>NC_000015.10:101342762-101981189 GCF_000001405.40 Homo sapiens
GTGGTGGCGCATGCCTGTAATCCCAGCTACTTGGGAGACTAAGGCAGGAGAATCGTTTGAATCTGGGAGGCAGAAGTTACAGTGGGCTGAGATTGCACCACTGCACTCCAGCCTGGGCAACAGAGTGAGACTCCGTCTCAAAAAAAAAAAAAACCAAACTCTGGCTTCATTCAACAAAGTGGGGACTGTTTCCCTATTTTTCTACTATCTAGAAGAATTTACAGAACACTGACATTATTTCTTCCATTTAAATGTTTGGCAGAATTTGCTGGTAAATTGCTCTGGCCTTGAGTTTTCTTTTAAATTATAGAATCAATTTCTTTAATAGGACAATTTTAATTTTATGTAAACGTGTCAATTTTGTTAAGTTGTATTTTTTCTTGGAATTTGTTCATTTCACTTAGAATTCCTTTGTCACATAATTTTAATGTATATAGGATCTATAATCATGCGTTTTTCTTTCCTGAAATCATATAGTTTCAGCTTTTTCCTTGGTCTACTTACAAGTTTATCAATTTTATTAGTTTCTTTCAAGAACCAGCTTATGGCATTTTAATTTTCTCTACATATGTTTGTTTTCTATTTTGTTAATTTCTGCTATTTTAAAAATTCCTTCTTTCTTCATTCTTTATGTTGTTGGTTTTTTTCTATCATCTTAAGTTGGATGCTTAGCACATTAATTTTCAGGATTTTCTCTTTTCTGATATATGCAATTACAGCCATAAAGTTGTCTAACTACAGCTTTAGCTGTATCTTCCTTATTTGAATATGTAGTATTTTTATTATCATCCAGTTTTAAGTATTTTCTAATATAAATTATGTTTTTTTCTTTTAACACATAAATTATTTAGAAGTATTTTTCAATTTTCAAATGTATGGAAACTTTCTAATTATCTTTTTGATTTTGATTTCTAACTTAAGTGTAATGTCAGAGAATAGGGTTTATATGCTACCAATCCTTGGAAATCCATCGAAGCTTGCCAAATGGCTCGACATGTGGCCAATTTTCATAAATCTTCCATTCGTGTTTGAAAAGTGGGTGTATTGGCCGGGCGCGGTGGCTCATGCCTGTAATCCCAGCACTTTGGGAGGCCAAGGCGGGCAGATCACGGATCAGGAGTTCGAGACCAGCCTGGCCAACACGGTGAAACCCTGTCTCTACTAAAAATACAAAATATAGGCACACACCTGTAGTCCCAGCTACTCAGGAGGCTGAGGCAGGAGAATCACTTGTATGTGGGAGGCGGAGGTTGCAGTGAGCCGAGATTGCGTCACTGCACTCCAGCCTGTGCGACAGAACAAGATTCTGTCTCAAAAAAAAAAATAAATAAATAAAAAATTTGGTGTATTATTCTGTTGTTTGGCACAGTGTTCCAATATGTCCATTTGACCTAAATTGTCAATTGAGATATTTGCATCTTCTATTATTATGAATTTTTGCTGTTTTATCTATCAAATATATCCGAGGTATGCTAAATCTCTCCCTCCTGTGTGAGTTTGTCATTTTCTCTTTGTAGTTTTAACAAGTTTTTGCTCTATATGTATTTTAAGGCTGTGTTATAAATTGCATAAAAGATTAGAGGTGGAACTTTTAGAACTGAACTAAACCTTTTACCAATATGTATAGACCCTCTACATATTGATACATACACAGAGCTACATATGAAGCTCCAATAACGCTTTTTGCCATAACATTTCTGTTTGGCTGATGAAGGACTGGAGAATCACTAACTCATAAATAAATATCTCCTCCCTCCCTCCTCTCCTGCTGGAGTTTCCCCTTGGCTGAACTCAACTATAAGCCACAGGCAAGGGAGTCTGTGGGGTGGAGGAGTGGAGAATGGATCTGGTGGGTAAATGAAATATACCTGGCACTACAGAAAATACTTTTTTTTAATTTGTATTTTTTGAGATGGAGTCTCACTGTCGCCCAGGCTGGAGGGCACTGGCATGAACTTGGCTCATTCCAACCTCTGCCTTCTAGGTTCCAGTGATCCTCCTGCCTCAGCCTCTTGAGTAGCTGGGACTACTATTAGGCACACACCACCACATGCGGCTAATTTTTGTATTTTTAGTAGAGACGAGGTTTCACCATGTAGGCCAGGCTGCTCTTGAATGCCTGACTTCAAGTGATCCGCCCACCTCAGCCTCCCAAATACATTTTTAAATACATTTTTTAAAAAAATCCAATATGACAATTTTTGTCTCTCAAGGGGAGCAACGAGTCTGTATGCCTTTAGTGAAACTACTGAAGTTATTGGACTTGTTTGTAAGCACTTGTTTTGTGGGTTCTAGTTACACAGCTTTGTCTGTGTCTCCTTTCCTTGGGTGCCCCTGAGGTCCCAGTGTTATGTGGTCTGCTAGGTGGGCTCCACAGATGAAGCAGATGCCTTCAAGCAAAAGCCGGACCATGATTCTGTTCACCTCTTTGGCTGTGAACATTTCAACCAACATTTAAAATTCTTTTCTGTGGGAGGGAGATTTCAAGACACTTGTCTTCTCTGTTGTTGGAAATAAAAGTCCACGACATCTTTTAACATTTTGATCTTGACTTTGTTTTGGAGTAATTTGTTAGCAACTTAGAAAAAGTTTTATATATCTTTTATTTATTTTTTAGAGACACTAATATTTAGACTGAAAAAAAGGCAAACAGATTATGAAGAAAATAAAATCAAACAAATTGGGACTTTTTTAAAAAAGGAAATAATTATCAAAACTCTGGAGGGGAAATTTAAAATTATTTTTAAAAAGTCAAAAGTGAAACAGCAGGCCAGAAAAAAAATTTATATGAATTACGACACACACAGGGTTATTACACCAATATTTTACCAATATTTTACACAGACTACATACTTATCAGCTTGATAGCAACACTGAGCGCTCTCGCGAAAGACAAAAGGGAATTTTCTTTTTTCTTTTTTTTGAGACGGAGTCTCGTTCTGTCATCCAGGCTGGAGTGAGGTGGCAAAATCTCGGCTCACTGCAACCTCCGCCTCCCGGGTTCAAGTGATTCTCCTGCCTCAGCCTCCTGAGTAGCTGGGATTATAGGCACCCACCACCATGACCGGCTAATTTTTGTATTTTTGGTAGAGGCGGGGTTTCACCCTGTTGGCCAGGCTGGTCTCAAACTCCTGACCTCAGGTGATCCGCCTGCCTCGGCCTCCCAAAGTGCTGGGATTACAAGCGTGAGCCACCACGCCAGAAAGGGCAATTTTCAAAAGAAAAAACACAGTGCACAAACATTTGAAAAAAGGTTCACCTTTGTTAGTAATGATCACAATGTAAGTTAAGGAAGGGTATCATCTACCTCCTCCAGAACTGCCCACTCCTGGTAAGACTACAAATCAGTTCAACTATTTCGAAAAGCAAATTGGCAATATGTATCAAAGGCAGGCATATTTGTGGTTTCCACCTCTTATTTATCCCAGTAATTTTACTTCTGGTGAATAATCCCAAAGAAATAATTTTAAATTCAGGAGAAGGCTTTTTGTACTAAGCTGTCCGCTCATAATAGGAAAAAATGGAAAGCAATCTACATGTCCAACAATAGAGAGATGCTTAAATAAATTATGGTGCTTCTGTTGGTGAAGTATTATAAAAATCTATAAAATGCTGCTTACAAAGGATATTTAATGACATAGAAACATGCTTGCTATGCAAGTAACAAAAAGAAAGAACAAGTTATACATGCAGCACAGTTAGGACTCTGTGAAATGTCAGGGGAGAAAAAGACCAAGTAGAAATGCCTGTAGAGACGTAGTTTGAACACGAAGTGTTTCTGGAAATAGGTAATAAAGTCAAATGTTCGAAAATCAAACACACTTATCTATTCTGGGGCGAACCTGGCTGCCAGAATGCCGAACCATGCAGGCAACAGGAATGCCCAAGCGTACCTCATTCCTAAAACTGAGGGCAAATCTGGGAAAGGGGTTTCAAGAGAGCTCTCCCTCTTCCTCAGATCTGTCATTTTCATTTTCATCAATGTTTAGTATTTTATTTGCAAAAATTAGCTATGAGGTGAGACAAAGGTCATCTTTTTGTTATGCTTTCTACTGGAGATACAGAACCGACTAAACAATACTGTGATTCATAAATGTGCACAGCAGCAGTTGGTTGCATTTCTCCCCGAGATAAGTGGGGATACATACTTCTTTTTTTCTCAAACGAGGAGAGTTTTGGGGAAAGGCGTCACTGTCACGGCCCCGTGAAAGAGAAAAGGAGGTAAAGAGATTGACTGCAATATTAATGCAAATGGGGTTAAAAATGGAACTTTTTGACAACAGTGTGTATGGTGACTGTTTGGAGAGTGTGCCAAGTTCTTCAGCTCTGTTTCCAAGGAAGTGGGAGTGATACTCTATAATTGCACTTTCCAGAAATGAGAGTTTAGTGACAAACTTGAAAGCCGGCACAGAAGGCATGTGCTTTAAATCTGTCTTCCTTTCTAGCATCAAGCACAGGATAGATTGAGCCATCGAACACAGATTGCAAAATCTCAACTCTTATCTTAGAAATGAAGATTAGCTCAAAAGAGATGTCAATAAAACACAGATCAAGATGGCTAGCAATAAAATGAGAACAGTTATGCTCTTGGGAAAAAAGACATTGTTGAAAGGGCCACTGAAAGGAAATCAAGAATTCATGGAACTTTTTAGGATGAATAAAGGGAAAACATGGTCACACAGAAGAGACTAATCTCTTCCCCTTCATTAAACATTTTACTGAGTATGTACAGCTGAAGACAGAACTGGTTAAAATTATGTAAGCTCTTGATTTAAACAAGGTTCATGCTTGCACGCACACGCATTCATGCAGTCAATCAACAACTGTTTGTGAGCCATGTCCAAAGTGCTGAGCCTCTGGGGGCGGGAGCTGAGAGATCCAGCTCTGGACTTCCAAAGGCAGCCAAAGTTCTAAATGTGGTGGCTTTGGTCATCTGTCCCTCTGCAGTATTTCACAGAGATTACCAAAGCTCTTGTTCAATCTGCCACCGGAACACGTGTTTTAGTCCAGGTTCCCTGGAAAACAAGGGACTGAAGTGAAGCCCATGGGCTGAAGCTTTATTGGGAGGTGCAATCCCAGGGCAACAGGAGTGGAGGGCAGCAGGAGGAAGCGCCCGGGGTTGACAAATGGAAGGAGCTGTGTTTCAAGCTGGCTGCAGCTCCACAAAGAAACGGGGTGGTTGCTTAGCTGGGGGAAGTCTTCCAAACAGGCCTTGTGAGACCAATGTGCCCTCAGACAGGAAGGGCATACACTTTATGTCCTGTCTTTCCTTGGGTAAACCTTCCTTCTGGGTTGTGTTACCTGCCCCCTCCAGGCAGCCAGATGCTGGGGAGGCCTGATACCAAGCCTCACCTGGAAGTGGAGGGAAAAGCCACAACCCCCGCCCCCCCGGGGTCCCGCTGGGTCGGACCGGCCCCTGCGCCTCCGCTGCTCCTCCCCGGTGGGAACGTCAGCAGCCATTCCAACGCCCAGGCTTCACCGTGGGGGAGGCTGGGGGAGCCGAGGCAAGGAAGTGAGGGCTAGATCTCTTTACTGGGCAACAGGCAAGGCCTGACGACAGCAGGGCTGGGCCAGTCTGGGGAGACACGCAGTGGGGCCAGTGTGACATTTGCGGAGTAAAACGTCATCAAAATACATGCTTCGAGGTATGAAGTGTGAACTATCATGTTTGAAAAGAACCTGCTTCCCTGGGCTTTCTGGAGTCTTCCAAAGGTATAGCAGCACCTTCGTGAGACACCGTCACAGCACAAGGCAGAACACAGAATTCGATATGTAACTGACATGTGTAATTGGCTTCAAGGAAGCTCAATATCAAGAAACACTTCTTGGTGTTTCTGATGTTATAGGCACTATGGACAAAGATTGTAATCCTGAAACCTTTGAAACTCCTCATAAAGGATTTGTTCATATGAAACCTTCCTCCATTTGAATCTCCCCAGGCCCGTTGAAGTAGACACTATTATTCCCATCACACACGTGCAGAAACAGAGACTGAGAGATTCCGTGACCAGGCCAGGAAGCGGCCAGCTGAACTCAGACCACGCCTGCCAGCTGCTCTGCTCTGGGCTCTCCCTAAACACCACCCTGAGGTCCAAATCCCGTTCAGGAGCTCCAGTGTCTGCGGCAGCCTGGTCTCCTCCCGCCACCCTCCTGCTCCTCTCACTCAAGTCGCCTGGATAACGGGTCAGATTTGGTTTTCGTAACTGATCTGTGCCCCGATAGCTTATTCTGCAAGTTTTGGCAAAAGCACCACAGTTCTGACTAGACCTTCCTTGATCCTGTCTTGGCTTCAACTTTCAGGTTTCTGGGAAGGACAGAACCAAAGCTGGGATTCCACAGAAGCACAGGGTAGAGTCAGGTGCACTGGGCTGAGCTCCAAAGAAAGCCAAGCCCTGTGGGAACTTCCTGAATGGCTCTGCCCCGGGGGCCTGCAAAAGTCCTGAGGAGCCAAGGCAATGCTTGGCTTATCATCTCCTCCTGGCAGTTTCAACACAAAGCTTTTGGTTAGCAAAGTTTTGTTTGTTTTTCTCGGGAAAAGTGTTGCTTAAGAAGAAGAAAGGAAGAATAGAAATGTACCTGCTGAGTTCAAAAGTCAGAAGAGTTTTCCCTTAGGGCCAGCCAACCCAATAGCAGCCCAGCTTTGCCTCCAGCGCAGCAACCCTGGATTCAGTGAATTCCAAATTCCTGGGTTCTGTAGAGGTCGCAGCCAATTTGATTTTCCTCAGAGGCATGGAGGCAGGTCTCTACCAGCTTCTCCAGGCTGGAATTTTCCCAGAGAGCAAATGGACCAATTCCTAAAGGCTGTGGTAAAACACACACTTGCAGTGGCAGGTAGGGAGAGGGGAGAGGAGCCTGGGCTTCTGTGACAACCTACACAGGCTGCGTGAGAAATTTCATGTCCACCAGGTGCTGGTAAGACGCTGATGAGGGAGTCATCAGTCCCAGGTCTCCCAGCCCGTCACCGGTGCAGCCAGCGTGGGACCCAGGCTCCTCTGCCCCTGCATTCCCGTTCTTTAAATCACATCACTCTGTGGCCCCGAGTGCAGAGTGCCATACAGATTCGTTTCACACATTTGTTCTACCATCTCTGCAACTGCTGCTTGTTGGCTTTCTATCATGATTTTGCCTTCTTGTGTTTTCGTTTATTTTTTTTATTTTTATTTTTTCTGAGACGGAGTCTCTGTTGCCCAGGCTGGAGTGCAGTGGCACAATCTCGGCTCACTGCAACCTCCACCTCCCTGGTTCAAGCAATTCTCCTGCCTCAGCCTCCCGAGTAGCTGAGACTACAGGTGCACGCCACCATGCCCGGCTAATTTTTGTATTTTTATAGAGATAGGGTTTCACCACGTTGGCCAGACTGGTCTCCAACTCCTGACCTCGTGATCCACCTGCCTTGGCCTCTCAAAGTGCTGGGATTATAGGCGTGAGACAACGCACCTGGCCTTTAGTTTATATTTTATTTGGATACTACAAATGTTGACTATCTTGTGTTTACTGGTTATTTGTATGTTTTCTTTACGAATTGCTTTTCAGGATTTTGGCCTATTTAGTGATATTATTTAAATATTTCTTAGTGATCTGTAAGCACTCTACATTTTAAGGCTATAACACAGTATAGCACTCTGTGATTATCTAACCTCTACAGTTGAGATATTAGACATAAAGGTGTCTGCCTGTGTATTAGAATTTTTTTATGCCAAATATTACTTTAATTTTACCCCTTGGAAAAATGACTTTTTAGCATATGGAGAATTCAGATGATCACTATTTACTGATTAGCAAGATTTAGTCAGAAAAATAGTTTGATTTATTAAACAGCAGTTAAACCAATGGCAATTAGACCGGGGGGCCTCTGAGCCGGCCCTGGGAAGAATGAGGCCAATGAAAAAAGAATGCCTGGTTGCGACGTATATTCCTGGGGAGGACTGGAGAGTGGCTGGCCCCCGCAAGCATAAAGAGGAGCTGGGACGGGTGGGGAGCAGTGCACGTTGAGCCTTGGTCCTGCAATGAATACGCTCCCCTTAAAGTGTGCTTGTCCCAAGAGAAAGACAACCCTCTACCCGTTCAATTCCCAATATGCAGTGGTGCGCTGCAGCCGACCAGCACTGGCTTAACGGAACTGATTGTGAACATTTTCAGAACCTTTGTGAGCTGGTTGTTAAACACAGTCTTTATTAAACATTAAATTATAGAAGCTTACAATTGAATAAATTATACTAAAAACAAAGGTAATGAATATTCACAAATTGCCCCTTCCTCATGATCTCACTATATTTTGTCATTATCTGTGCTTCAGGGTTACTCACATCTGTTCTATCTACACAGGGGAAGCACTATCTCATGGTGGCTACTGGACCCCTCTTTTACCAACCCGTCTTCAGTGACGTCACGTGAAAAGCTTGAAATTGGCCATGGCGGGATATTCCCATATGGAAATCGACAAATGCTACAAACAAGGGCTGGGTTTACTGTTGATTTTCTGGGCTTAAGAAAGTGATGGAGAAAGCATTAATACTGCAGGTATAACTTAAAAATGTTTCATGTCTGTAGGTATTACACTGTGAACAGCTTACAAAACTGAAGAGATATTCTTTCAGTATTTGAAAATTATTTTCCAATTTAGCAAGGAAGTTGTTCCCATCCCTGGTGAGTGAATGAAGTTCTGACATATGTCTTTGTTGTTTCTGTGGCAAAAATATTACCCAATATTTACGCTGGAAAGACAACTGTTCATGCATGGCAGCCATCGGCTGGTTATGGAACCAGAATTCGGCAAAAATCAATGAAAGCAGTCTCTGAGAATCAACTGGCTAAATGGAATTTATAATACAAGCAATGTATATTTTATTATTTGTAAATTGTTGGCTAACATCCTTTATATCAGTAAAATTTATAATGAACTTATGTGATATGTCAATATCTATAAATAATTTCCCCCAGAGCACTAGTTGTTAAATATTTACCAGCAAGCAGGACAATATAACTTCATGGGTGGTGGGAAAATGGGGACAGGATGGGATGCCTCATATAACAGCCAAATAAACAGCCCTCTTAACTACCATGAAACAGAAGACTCAATTCAACTGAACATGTAAACAGGGCAGAGTGGGGACAGCAAACTAAGGCCAGGACCTACCGCCTATTTTATAAAGTGAGGTCAGAACACAGCACGGCCTCTCATTTACATAATTTCCATGGCTGTTTTACACTATAATGGGAGAGTTGAGTAGTTGTCTCAGAGACCAGAAAACCTCAAACATTTACTATCTGACCCTTTACAGAAAAAGTTTTCCAACCCATGGGCTAGACAGAAGTGAAAAGGCCATCTGTGAATCACTTGAGTTTGTCCAAAATATTTTATAAATATTTTTCTAATTTTTTTTTTTTTTTTTTTTTTTTTTTACAGACGGGGTCTCACTCTGTCGCCCAGGCTGGAGTGCAGTGGTGCAATCTCAGCTCACTGCAAGCTCTGCCTCCCGGGTTCATGCCATTCTCCTGCCTCAGCCTCCTGAGTAGCTGGGACTACAGGTGGCCGCCACTGCGCCCGGCTAATTTTTTGTATTTTTAGTAGAGACGGGGTTTCACCGTGTTAGCCAGGATGGTCTTGGATCTCCTGACCTCGTGATCCACCTGCCTTGGCCTCCCAAAGTGCTGAGATTACAGGAATATTTTTCTAATTTTATGATGTTTTCTGCCAGACAGAAATTTCTAATTTTATGTGTATGCATCAAGATAATTATTTTCTTTCCAAATGGTTGGCCAATTATCAATAACTCTTATTCAACACTTCAGTCTTTTCCCACCAGTTTAAAACGCTATCCTTAGCATATCTCTGTGGCTTTATTAACGGACTATCCGTACTGTTCCCTTGATCGGTCTATTCCAGCACCAGTGCCAGATCATTTTATTATAGTTAAAAAACACAGTTAAACACCTGCATTCATTTTTTCAGAATTTCTCTAGCTATTATCTGTGCCCATTCTTTCAGAATAGGTTTTCCTTGCATTCCTTTAATTTTGTTGCGATGTTGATGAGGACTGTGTTAAAGTGACGGCTAACCCTTCTTTGTGAAGAAGAGATATCTCAGTGATACTGAATCCTCCCATTCAGGAACATAGTCTATAGGAAAAACCCTTAAAACCAAGCATCTATTCCAAGTACCTATTGCATTTCAAATGTTCTACTGCAGTGGTTCCCAACCTTTTTGGCACAAGGAATCAGTTTATTGGAAGACAATTCTTCCACAGCTGGGGATCCGGTGGGGAGCAGTGGGGATGGTTTCGGGGTGATTCAAGCACATGACAATCATTGTGTACTTTATTTCTATCATTATTACATTGTAAAACATAAGGAAATAACTATACAACTCATCATAATGTAGAATCAGTGGGAGCCCTGAGCTTCTTTCCCTGCGACTAGACGGTCCCGTCTGGGGGTGATGGGAGACAGTGACAGATCATCAGGCATTAGATTCTCATAAGGAGCGTGCAACCTAGATCCCTGGCACGTGCAGTTCACAATGGGGTTCGCACTCCTATGAGAATCTAGTGCCTTTGCCGATGTGACAGGAGGTAGAGTTCAGGCAGAAGTGGGAGTGACAGGGAGCAGCTGTAAACACACATGAAGTGTTTGCTGGCCGCTCACCTCCTGCTGTGTAGTCTAGTCCCTAACAGTCCATGGACCATGGACCGGTAGGTGGGATGGGGACCCCTGCTCTTGTGGACTGGTCAAAGCAAGTTCTCAGAAGGCCTGCTGCTCTCTTGGATTTCAGCCAAGTGAGGCAGCCTCTCAGCAGCAACATTCCTCAACACCCCGACCCTGGCTGGCACCCAGCAGAGGCTCCCAGCTTTTAATATTTCATTTAATTTTTATCTTCTAATTACAACACTTTAAACAAAAAAATCCAACCAGAAATATCCTGAAGCCAGACACATGAAAACCACTGGCCACAGGGCTAAAGAGATCAGATCAACTATGGGCTGCCTGTACTGCCTTGGAGAGGCGTGGAGACCTCACCAGGTTGGGTTGAGGTGAGGGTGGCCCTGAGCTTGGAAGACGGCCCTGACACCAGGCTCTGCCCCTTCCAGGCAGGTGAGCTCAGTCAGGCTCTGGGTGGAGGAGCTTGGACTCAGCTCCCTCTTCCACAAAAGGAGAATCTAAACACTCACAATAAGAGAATCATGTTCATGCTGGTAAGGCTCAGCACTTCTCGGGCACTGTTTCGTTTAATCCTCCCACCATCCCTGGGCAGAGGACAGGTTGGAGGCTCGGAGCATGGAAATGGCCTGCCGAGGTCCGCAATGACCAGTGGTGGAAGATGGATCTGAGAAGCAGGCCGCTCTAGAGCTCAGCCTTGTGTTACACTGGGTCTTGAAAAGGAAGCATAAGCCAATATGCACCACACACATACACACACCCACATATCCACATGCACACACACACAGATACATGTACAAGTATACACATATACCTAATGCCCACATATACACACATACATATCCACATAGACATGCACATGGACACACAGATACATACAAGCCCACATACACACATACATACTTATACACAATACTCTCCCTCACACATGCACACATATATACACCCAAGCACACACTCCCATACACACGTCCAGTAACTGTCTAGAGCACCTTCAGTCAAACGTAAAAGAAACTACGTGTCTTTTTACACTTTAAACAAAGTGTAAAATCCCTGTCTCTACGTGTCCCACGGCACATTGAGCATTTACTCCTCACAAGTGAAGAACTGAAGTGTATTTGCTGTAAAGCAATGAAATCTTTACATCGTTAAATTTACTTGTGCCATGTAAATCTCTCAGACAGTCTTGCATTCTGACCTCTTCGGAAGAAATGTTTCCCATACATGTGCTTTTAAAAACTCTTCACGTAATGGAAATTCTCAAATAAACATAAAATGGAGAAAACAGTACAATGAGTCCCCGTGCCCCATCACACAGTCCCAAGAATCCCCAACCTTTTCTCAATCTGGTTTCGCCCACCCTCTTCCTACTCTCCCACTCCTCACCCCCACCCTCTGGAATAGTTTAAAGCACAAATCATAGGCATCGTGGTCATGTCTTCATTTGTAAATACCATGATATGCATCACTAGCAAGAATAACTTTTCCTGAAACTTTAATTCCTTATTATCATCTACCCTGATTCTATACTGATTTGTAACAGCGAGATAAAATAGCACCCAGTGCCTGCTGGAGAACACGTAGGTGCTAATCATCATCCTATTCCTCTCTCGTTCTTTTGATAAATTGGACTTCTTTCCTAGATTGGTGGGAATCTGGAAATAATGCTGTTGAAATAATCTGGAAAAACACAGCACATGTGGGTTGCTGCTCTTTTGGAAACAGATGAAAGATCAGAGAAAAAAGAAATTTTAATCAGGGAGAAAGTGAATTCTCAGAGTTCAAGAGTGACACAGGATTTTTTAAAGTGCCATCAATTGTCTCAGACAGTCTATTTATTACTATGTGAATACCAAGTACGTAAAACCCTTTGGAACCATGAAATAAGATACATGGTGTCAATTATAGAGAGAAGATTGGAAAGCATGCCTGATTATTTTTTCTATTTAGACATTGATGTCTCACAATTCTCCCTGGCAGGGGAAGACTGTGGGAGGTGCCCCAGCACCTTAGGTAGGCTCCTGGTTACAAAGGGAGGGCTAGGCCAACTCAGTAAAGTTTGGGCCCTGTACATAGCCCTGGTCAAACTGCCTGCAGGGCACACTCAGCTGGGCTCTTGGGGTGGAAGAAGTGAAGAACAAGGAAACACCCCTCACACCCATGCCTACCCAGCAGACCCGGCATGGGGCAGGTGTGCAGACAAGGTAAGTGTGTGCTGCATGAACAGGAGAACACCATGCAGATGCCCCTTAGTGCTGACAAAGCCAAGCTCGATTCCTGCAGAGCACTTTGCATGCATCCGGCATGCCCATGGGGGCCCCAGGTCATGAGGAGGTGCAGGGACCTTCCTGCACCTGAGGGTGCCGAGCGGGATGTGGCCCTGGGTGGGGAGGCTGGCCTGACCTTGGCAGGTGCACAGGCTCTGCCTTGTCGTTCAGGTGCAACCACCAACGTAGGCTCCGAGGCAAGAAGGGCGGGCTGGGAAGGCTCCTCTCTTCAGTGACTTGGTCTGGGTCTCACTTCTGCACAGCCCTATCTTACAGGAGAGGAGACCCAGCGCAGAGGCCAGAGAGACAGGAAAAGCGGAGGCAGGAGGATCCAACCCCAGGCCTGTCTGATGTCTGACGTGGGAGAATGAAGCATACATGTTTCTCAGAGAATAGACACTTTCTGCATTCTGGGTCCAAACTTAAAATCTCGGGCATTTTGGATGGCAACTCTCTTAAATGCAGCCAAACTTCTCCGACAGATGTTCTGCAGGACGAGCCATCGCCCCAGCTCTGCCTGCACCGTTGCCAGCTCCGTTCGTAGCCTTGCAGGCTCTGTGCGTAACGGCTGGAGTAGCAAGCTCACCCACGGTGGAAGCTGCCCCCTCTTCCACACCCACACTGTGCACTGCAGGGGCAAGGTCCTAGTGTTCCCAAATCTGGAGCTAAGTAGAGTTCAATAAAGGTGTGCTGGGCTGGGTGCAGTGGCTCACCCTGTAATTGCAGCACTTTCGGAGGCCGAGGTGGGCAGATCACCTGAGGTCAGGAGTTCAAGACCAGCCCGGCCAACATGGCAAAACCCTGTCTCTACTAAAACTACAAAAAAAAAAAAAAAAAAAAAAAAATTAGCCAGATGTGGTGGCAGATGCCTGTAATCCCAGCTACTTGGGAGGCTGAGGCAGAAGAATCGCTTAAACCTGGGAGGCAGAGGTTGCAGTGAGCCGAGATTGCGCCGTTGCACTCCAGCCTGGGCAACAGAGCGAGACTGTCTCAAAATAAATAAATAAATAAATAAATAAATAAATAAATAAATAAATAATATAGGTGTGCAGGAATAAATGAAGAGCTGTTAGTATCTGCAAATGCTGCAAGACTGCAAAGCAGGATTCACACTCGATTCCATTCCTAAATTGCCTCCTGGAAGAGAGTGATCCTGGGAGGACCCAGATCCTTGGCCTGGGAACTGAAGAGGAAAATGGATGACTGATGTGCTACTCAACCTTTAAAAATGGCTTTAAAACTAATTACCTAAGCCACGTTCAATCTGACAGGAGGTATTATTGGAGCTAGCGCATCAGTCAGATCACTTAATTACTTCATAAATCCTGGGTCTTAGCATAGATTTTAAAGCACTTTTACACAGAACACCATTGGAGCAGTTTTTTTCTTTTCATTTTCTTTTAAAGCAATTAACTTGCAGAGATTTGCAGGAGATTGAAATGAACACCACAGAAACGAAGCACCCTGCCCCAAGCACAGGTTCTTGGAATGCCTGTAGAGAAGTGAGGACTGCCTGCTTTTCTGGTCTACGCGTGTGTGTGTGCTGCACTGTGCCTGGCACTGAGGCTGGTGGTGACTGTGCACTCACAGGCCACCCTCACCAGACAACCAGGGAGTGGAAGATCCTGCCCATTTGAGATCAGTTCATACCTCGGCATCGACGAGGCTGACAGGCAGCTGACTCGATGCTGACGATGCTGACCAGACCTGCATTTTCCTGGCTGACCAGCCCTGCATTTTCCCGGCCTCTAGAGCTCTGAATCCTGGAGCTAGAGGGCAACCTAGGTCTTCTCTGTCACCTTCCCAGGCTGAGGTCCCCAACAGGCACTATCAGCTTGACCTGAACATTCAGTGCTGGGGCTGGTCCTGCCTCCCTGTGTACACAATAGCGTCATAGCGTGCAGGCAGGCTGGGCTTCCCTCTCCACCCATGCACTGATGAGAAGCCTCGGCCAGCGGCCGTCCTGCCCACCTGGCGTGGCCTCACAGGCATGCTCTGGGGGTAGGTCTTATTGCGAACAATGCCTACGTTGGGTCCCGGGTCTTTGGGCACAGCATAACCAGTGCCTTGGTGAGCTCTGGGTAGACACGGATTTTCACCCTTCCTCCTAGGGGGTGCTTCCTGGCTCTCTGGTGGTTGATAGAGATCTTCTCAGACTCTCCTCCACACCTCAATGCCCGTCCACTGCAGGCCCCCATCCACACTGACGCCTTCTGTGGGCACCAGAGCATCCTCCCAGAGGCAGCAGGCCCTTTCCTTATGTCGGCCTGGCCAGGAAGCTCCCACCTCTGCTCTGCACTCATGGAAGGGCCCAGACCTGCCCCTGGAAGGAGGGGAGTTAGGGCAGGTCATCGCTGAGGACTGTCTCGGCCTGACATCCCCGTCGCTTGCCCAGTGGATCGGGTGGGGAAGCCTGGCTCGTCACTGCTGAGCCCCTCTGTGGTCCCTCCCAGGGCCTGGGGAGCAAGGCCAGCCCTGAGAAGTCTCACCCCTGGGGGTAGGCGGAGTAAGGCAGGTCATATGTGGGCAATGCCTGGCACTTCATTCTACAAAAGGACAGCCGTACCCTTGGGGCAGTCGCCATCTCCTAATGGCCTGTATTTTCTATGCTACTAAGATAAAAAAAAACAAAGTGACACTGGGGAACTCCTGAGAATCTGGCCTTAGGCAGACCCTTCCTCACAAGCCCTTCCTTGTTTCTTTCAGCCGGAAATCCCTGTTTGCTCCACTGAACTTGGGGCACTCCTCTGGGTCACTGGTGGCCCTTGGGCCCTTGTGCATGGTACTATTGGTTCCTGAAATCCGAAATGTTCCCAACTAGCCTGTGGGCTCCTCAGGGGCAGGAACTGTGTCTTGGAGCCTCTCTGTGCCCGAGCACTGGCATAGCATCTGGCACATGGCAGGACCTCTGCAAAATGCATCGGAGACATGTCTGTTAGGATACGCAGACCTCCCATTTTGACATTTCAGGAACAGCCGGAAGAGGTACCATTCATCTGGAGGCTGAAGAGGGCTTATCCTGGATCAACCTCAAAAGCACTGGGCCCATACGCCAACCTGGAAAGGGCCGCTTGGCCTTTGTTTGAGCCCCTCTGACCCCTTTTGGCTTCACTCCATCACTCCCTTCCCTCACCCTGGGAGGATCCAGCCGCCATGCTGAACAACAAGCTCAGAGGCTGGCCCTGGAATGAAGTGAGCAGGGCAGGTTGGGGAGACTCAGTTGCAACTGCAGTGTCCCATGTGAGGGCCACATGGATTTCCACTGTGGAGAGATGCTGGTGGGACCCAGGCTCCCAGGCTAGCTCTCACTGTGCTTGGGGAGGATGCACAGAGCCTGTGGGTGACAGGAAGGCGCCCGTCCTCCCCACACACAGCAGGGAGGGCTTGCCGTGCGTCAGCTGTGGCAGGACGCATGCCTGTACTTGCTGTTTCTGGACCACATTCAGGAGTGGCAGTTGTCTACAGGGTAAAGCTTGCATGGAATGAACTGACTCCAGACGCCCTTGCAGGAATGTGCATACTCTCTGTGATGACACTGGAGAATGTGTCCCCGCCCCCCAAATTCCAGTAGGCCCTAGAAGGTCAGAGCTGGAAGGTACCACAAGGTGTTTATTCTGCACCCGTCTCAACCTTCTGAAAGCAAAGATCCAGTTTCTACCCACGCTGAGGGGTGGAGATCGACCTGTGTCAAGACTTCATTTGGGGCTACCCTCAGGAAGTATTTCTTGTATCCACTAATCCTGTGTCCTCTGTAGCACACAGAGCATCTGGTCATGTGGTGGTTACAGAGGGTTCCAACTGGACTAATTAATCCGCCAACACCTATTGGGCACCTATCATACACCATGCAGCAGGAGGCTCTCAGGGCACAGCAGGACCGGAAGGAAGGAAGGCTGCAGATGGCAAGCCCATCAGTGCTAAGGCCAAGGCCAGAGCTGCTGAGTGCCATGCAGGCAGCAAGCAGGGAGCTGATATGGCAGCATCTGGCTGGGCAGGAAGCAGTGTGGCAGGTGCACAGGTGTGCAGGGCATGCGGTTCCGTGCTGTGCACCACTGCAAGCCTAAAGCTCGCTCAGCACCCACACGCAACAGGCTCCAAACGTGTGAATCACTGTTATATAAACAGATCTCCTTCCATTGCTCATACAGCTTGAAAGGCTGACGATACTTAATATACCTAATCCGAATTTGGATTTCTAGCTCAGTCTTCCCTCTCACCTCCAGGTACATATCTCTGCCTGGACTTGTGTAAGTATCTTTGATTTAACCCACCCAAATCCAAGCTCCTGATCTTCTCTCCAGCATCTTCCCCCCCTGCAATGTTCCAGATCTAGGAAACTAGGACTCCATTCTTCTACTGTGCAGGACAAAAACTCTGAAGTCATCCATGCCCCCTCTCTCCTCTCACAGCCCACATCTGATCCATCTACACATCTCTCGACCCTGCTTTCAGAATCTGACTGCTTCATACACTCCACTGATGCTGCCCCGTCGGAGTCACCTTCACCTGATATTGCAATGACCTTCTAACTGGCTTCCCCGCCTTTGTTCCTCTCCCACCCTCACTTCCGTCTATTCTGACCAGCTGTCAGCCTATTAACACAGAAGTTCAGATCACCTCTGTCCTCTGCCTAAAATCTCTCAGTGACTTCCAACCAAGTCCCTGTGAGGGCTGACAAAGCCCAGTGCGATCTGGTCCCTATGCTCTCAATGCCTGGTCCTGTCCTATTCTGCTCCTCTTCCCACTGCCCCCTGCAGCCTCGGGGGCCTCTCTGCTGTGCCTGGAACACACCAGACACACTCCTGCCCGGGGGCCTTAGCATCCCCTGGAACACACCAGACACACTCCTGCCCGGGGGCCTTAGCATCCCCTGGAACACACCAGGCACACTCCTGCCCGGGGGCCTTAGCATCCCCTGGAACACACCAGGCACACTCCTGCCCAGGGGCCTTAGCATCCCCTGGAACACACCAGGCACACTCCTGCCCGGGGGCCTTAGCATCCCCTGGAACACACCAGGCACACTCCTGCCCGGGGGCCTCAGCATCCCCTGAACGCTTTGCTTGGAATGCCCTTTTCCCAGATGTCTGCAGAGCTCACCCCCTCATCTTCTTTGAGCTTTACTCAAATGTCCCTTCCCTGAGGCCTTCCCGGTACACCCTGAAATGCCCTTGTCACCCTGCCCTGCTTCATTTTTCTCCTTAGAGCTTCTCATCATCTAATGGACAACAGCTTCCTGCCTGGTAATCTTGTTTCACGGCCTCCTCTGCCTTCCAGAATGTAAGCTTAGCATCTGTTTTGTTCACCAGTGCATCCCCAGTGCTTAGAACTTGGTAAATGCTCAATAAGTATCTGTTGAGTGAAGGCTGTGTTCTTGGAGGGGAGTATTCTTTGAATAAACTGATGAATTCCACTTCCTAATGTTTTATTTAAGACTTCCGTATCCCTATTCAAATTTGCCTATAGTTCTTTCTCTCTCTTTTTTTTTTTTTTTTGGCATATTGATCAATTTCTCTTCACTCTTATTTCCCTCTAGTGATCTGGAAGGTTGGCATCCTGTTTTAAATCTTGATTATCTCTCTATTATAGGAAGATATTTGAGTTTATATGTCTCTATCAGTGCTAAGAGTAAGACATAATCCATCACCCCTCCCACTAAATGTGGAATCAGAATCTCAGCAAATTTTTATTCCTCCCCATTCTCATCCCCTGCCTTTATGTTTCTGTAGGAGTGTAAGGTGGGAGAGTGGGTAGGACATCCACCACAGGCATTCAGATAAGACCCCTCCATGAGGCCAGGTCTGAGCTGCAGCCATGGGAAGCCCTAGGGACAGCTGTCCCCAAGGAGGGAGCAGCACGTGCCAAGGCCCCATGGAGGTAAGACCAGGCATGTTAGGGGAACAGAACGGAGGTCAATGATGAGGCGCAGGAAATGATTCACGGTGGAGAGGTGCTAGCAGGATGTGCAGGTCAGGCTAAGAGATTTGGGTTTTGCTCTAAGAGCTGTGGGAGGTCATTAAAGTTAGCAGGGGTGCATCATTTTCTGAATTATATTTTAAAAGGATCATTGGATGCTGGGTGGAGAGTGGCTCTAGCCAGTAGGGGTTGAGGCAGGGGGGCCAGTGGAATGAGGAGGTAAGACACTATAGGGGACTGAACTGAGGCAGTGGGCAGACTGAGATATATTCTGGAAGCAGATGGTGAAGGAGACAAAGAAGAATTAAAGGTTCACTCCTGGGATTTGGCCAAGCAATGGAGTGCAAGGTGAAGCTTTTTTTTTTTTTTTTTTGAGTTGGAGTCTTGCTCTATCATCCAGGCTGGAGTGCAGTGGCGCAATCTCAGCTCACTGCAAGCTCCACCTCCCAGGTTCACACCATTCTCTTCCCTCAGCCTCCCAAGTAGCTGGGACTACAGGTGCCCGCCACCATGCCTGGTTAACTTTTTGTATTGTTAGTAGAGATGGGGTTTCACCATGTTGGCCAGGATGGTCTCGATCTCCTGACCTTGTGATTCACCCGCCTCGGCCTCCCAAAGTGCTGGAATTACAGGCATGAGCCACCATGCCCAGCCCAAAGCTATTTACATTAATGTGGAAAGCAAGAAAGAGGCAGTTTGGGAGTTTGTCTAAGGTGCACAAGCTCAGAGCCAGTTAGACCCATGCCCAGAAGCAGGAGGCTGCTGCAGAGCAGGTCTGGGTGCAAGAGGGCAGGGAGAGGCAGCTTTGGGCACCACCAGCAGGTACAAGGTGCTCAGTGTCACGGGGCTGGATGAGATCCCTGGATGGGAACAAAGAGCAGAGGACCCAGGAGTGCGTGCAGGGGTATGTGCGAGAGGATCAGCCAACGAGATGCACAAGGGGCAGCCTGTGAGGTGGAGAGGGCCCCCAGGTGTGGCATCACTGCAGCTGTGCAAGAGGGCACTTCTAGAGGGGGTGAGCTGCCAACGTCGCTGTGTGCCGGGCCCTGCTCTCGGTATCCAGCCTGTCTTACCTGATTTCATCCCACCGCAACCCAGTAACTTGCGTACTATCCCCATTTTCTAGATAAGAAGACCAAGGCCTAGAAAAGCTAAGTGACTTGCCAAGGTCACAGGTATTTGTAAGAGTTAGAGCCAGCATCTACCCCCAGGTAGAAGGGCTCCTGAGCCCCCAGTCTTAACCACTGCACCCTGTGGTCCCCAGAGAGGGTGCTTAGTTTGTTAGAACCATAGACCCTGGCTTTAACAACCTGGGGAGGACAGAGATGGGACCATAGGCTTGGGCAATGTGGAAACGGTGGGGGACCCTGACGAGCCCCGGTATTTTGTGCAGTGGATGGGAGTGGGCTGGGAGTGAGCCAGTGATGGCCATGGCAGGCAGCTTGTTCTGCCGGCTTTGCCATAAAGGGGAGCAGAGAAGTGGGTGGTGGCTGGAGGGGATGTGGACTCAGGGGAGAGGCATCAGTGCACGCATGTTGGCCTAATAGGAAGGGGAAAGAGAAGAATGCGTGAGATGCATGAGAAAGGCTGCCTGCAGAGGCACAGTTCCATGGGGGATTGACTGTCCCCTCAAAGCTGCCCTGGGACATGGGTAGGGCTCGTTGTATTCGGCTCATGATACAGAGTAAAGATCACAGGTCTAGAGTGTTGAATGGTGTGCCCGGTTTCCAGGGCTATGCCATGAGGACACAAGAGCAGTAGCCCCAGCCTCCATGTGCTCTCCTGCATACAGCACCAGCCTCCCAGGCAAGCAGGCCATGCAGGCTGGCATGAGAACTCTGCCTTGTGCCCACGAAGCAGTGAATGCTTGAGGATGCAGCTGGCATGAGGAGTAAACCTTGACTTTTAATACTCGGCCAATACACTTTGGGGCTTTTAAAAGAAAGAATTTAGGAGCTTCCACTATTAAAATGTGTAAATTTCAGGTCATTTAAAATTTTACATTTTTGTACTTTTAGGATTTGTTATAACACTTTTTTTTTTTTTGAGACGGAGTCTCGCTCTGTCACCCAGGCTGGAGTGCAGTGGTGCGATCTCGGCTCACTGTAAGCTCCGCCTCCCGGGTTCAAGCCATTCTCCTGCCTCAGCCTCCCTAAGAGCTGGGACTACAGGTGCCTGCCACCTTGCCTGGCTAATTTTTTTTTTTTTTTGGATTTTTAGTAGAGATGGGGTTTCACCGTGTTAGCCAGGATGGTCTCGATCTCCTGACTTCGTGATCCACCCGCCTCGGCCTCCCAAAGTGCTGGGATTACAGGCATGAGCCACCGCGCCCAGCCAACGCTTTCTTAAAATAGTTATTTACTATTTTAAAACCAGAAAGAATACAACTGGGGGAGGTCCCAGATCCCTGTAGATGACTTGATGACTTAAAGTCAATTTTCCACGTAAGGCAAGTCAACACTCTTCTTTTCTCCTAAAACTGTGCTATTCCAAATGGAATGGTTTTTTTAATTTTGCTTTTGGATTGTTTATGGAGAACTGGAAAAGAACCAGGGCAGGGGAAGGTTCTCACGCACTCCCAGGGTGACCAAGAAGCAGACTGCATCTTCACAGAAAAGGGCACAGGGAACGACGGAACAGTGAAAGCAAACCTTGAGGAAACTCGCCCATAGAAAAGCAAGATCCCAGCACATTCTGTAAACGTTACTATGCATTCGACCCAGAGAACAAAGACAGGCGTTTATAGACCTTTGTGGGTAACTACAAAATAAGATGTGCTGATTATTCCAGTTTTCTTTCCTGGTTGTAACCCCATTACCTAGATCAGAGTTTGGTACTTAATAAAGACTAGTTAAATAAATGATTGATCATTAAGTAAAAGGGATTAAAAAGGTACAAGAATTACCAGAGAAATAAACAATCCAAAAGAAAAATTAAGAAAACCATTCCATTTGCAATAGCATAAAAATAATAAAATACTTAGGAACAACTTTCACCAAGGAGGCGAAAGACTTATATACTCAACACTACAAAAAACACTGCTAAACAAAATTAAAGAAGAGCTAAATAAACAGAAAACTATCCCAAGTTTATGGACTGGAAGACTTAATATTGTTAATGTGGAAATATTCCCCAAAATGATCTACATATCCAATCTCTACCAGAATTCCAACTACCTTTTAAAAAAGAAATGTACAAGCTTATCTTCAAATTCACATGGAATTACACGGGACCCAAAATAGCCAAAACAATCTTGAGAAAGAACCACCAAGTTGGAGGACTCGCACTTTCTTATTTCAAAACTTACTACAAAGCTACAGTGATCAAAACAATATGGTACTGACTCCAAGATAGATATACAGACCAATGGAACAGAATCGAGAGTGTGGAAACGAACCTCTCTTCTGTGGTCAGTTGATTTGCAACAGGAGTCTCAAGATCACCTAATGGGTAAAGAATGCATTTTTCAGCAAGTGGTGCTGGAACAAATGGGTACAAAAGAATGAGTTTGGACCCCTACCTCACACCATATACAAAAATAATTCAAAATGGATCAAAGTCCTACATGTAAGAGCTATAACACTCTTAAAAGGAAACACAGGAGTAAATCTCTGTGACTTTGGGTTAGGCAATGGTTTCTCAGGTATGACACCAAGAGCACAAGCAACAGAAGAAAAAATAAATTGAATTTCATCATAATTTAAAACTTTTGTGCATCAAGGTGCATCATCAGGCAATTGAAGAACCACAGATACCACTTCACACCTACTAGAACGCTTATAATTTTTTAAAAAGCAGAGAATATTAAGTGTTAACGAGAATGTGAAGGAGCTGGACCTCTCATATATTGCTGGCCGGAATGTAAAAGGGTGCAGCCAATGTGGAAGACAGTTTGGCTGTTCCTCAAAACGTTCAACATAGAGTTACCATATGACCTGACAATTCCAATCTTAGGTATACGCCCACGAGAAACAAAAACATAGGTCCACATAAAAACTTGTACATGAATCCTCATAGCTGTACTATTTGTAACAGCTAAAAGGTAGAAACAACCCAAATGTCCATCACAGGTGAATGAATAAACAAAATGTGATCAATCCGTACAATGGAATATCGTTTAGCCATACGAGTAATGACGTTTTGATGCATACGACAATATTGAAAAACTTTGAAAACATCATGCTAAGTGAAAGAAGCCAGACACAAAAGGCCAGGTGTTGTATTATTTCATCTATATGAAATGTCCAGGAGAGGCAAATCCAAAGAAATGGTAAGTGGATTAGAGGTTGCCAGGAGCTGGGAGGGGAGGAGGGAATGGGGAGTGGCTGCTTCATGGGTATGGGGTTTCTTTTTGTGGGGATGAAAACATTCTGGAATTAGATAGTGCTGACGTTTACATGACATCGTGGATGTACTAAAAGCCACTGAACTGTCCACTTAAAAATAATTAAAATGGTGAATTTTCTGTTATGGGAATTCTACCTCTAAAACACAAAACAAAGAATTATCAGAGACTCCGTAGTTAAATAAGGCCCAGAGGTAAAAAGAGGCTTGAGATACAAAAGCTGTCATGAGATTCCCAAGAGCCACTGACCTTGCTTCTCCGGGTTGCGGACCTGGGATGGCAGATCTTGGATTTCCAAGGTCCACTGCCCTTCAGCCTTTTCTCCCCAGCAGTGGACAGTCATGAATTCCCAGTTTGTAAACCCTTCATTGGAAAGATCCAGCAACCTGCAATTGGAGGTGTGGTGTCAGAAATGAAGGTGCTGGTACTGAGTGGCTGGGCGGAGGGGCTGGCACAAGCAGGGCTCTCGGGGGACTGTATGACCTGGCTGGACCGTACCCCCAGGGTAGCGGGGGTCTGGCCCCAGCCAACCCGAGGGCAAAGGGCACAGTGAAATGTGATCGTCTTTAAGCTCTTACACAGACTCTCTCCTCCATCACCTCCTTGAACCTCCTTAACATTCTGAGAGGAAGGCAGGCAGGCAGGCAGGTTTCATATAACCCAGTGAAAGATGTTTACAAGCTCTCACCAACAGAAGCCCCCAGTCCCGACAATTTCCTGCAGAAGGTGGCTGGCTCCTTCCCACCCAGCAACAATCTTACAGAGACCATAACTCCAGTGCCCGGATGCACGAAAGCAGACAGGGGCGGGGGTCCCCCTGGGGTACCTTCACCGAAGCCCAGAGAGTGCTCACTAAGGACGCCTTTTGAAAGTGCTTGTTTGTGCAAGAATGAAACTTCCATGTTTGATTTCAAGCCAGCTGTGTGCACTGTTCTCTGGGAGACACAAATAAGGAAAGAGGAGCAGCTACTCAAGCTTGTGGGGAAAGTTCTGTCCCTTCACCTGCAGGGCTGATCCAGTCTCAACAGGGGCATTTGAGGGAGATGACAATGGCAGGGTTGGTTGCTTTTCAGTGGGAATGGGAGGGGCCCGTGGAGAGCGGGGGGAGGAGACAGCTCCCCCACCCCCAGCAGTACCCTCCTTGCAAGTCCTGATGAGCCTCCCTTTACCCTTCCCAACTCGAAGGTCTTTCCCAACTGTACCCTTGAGCCCCTGGGCCTTCTGCCTCACACTTGGTTCAGGCAGAAACAGGAAGCAACTAATCAACATCCAATCTCTTCCTGCACCCAGTGCCATCCTCAGAAGTGACTCTTTCTGTACTGGAATCAATTCCAGGTTTTTTCCTCTTATTCTTTCTTCACAGTCTAATTTTCTATCTCGATTTTGGAATAAACATTTTTTTTAACATAGGCATCTTTATTGTTCATCAGAAATTGAAATACATAAGTTTTGAATGATGTAAGATTCAATTTCCAATCTGGGGGTTCTCTGAACACTCAATGTAGGAAAATGTTTATCTAGGGAACATTCTTTGCAATGGAGAAGAGTGAGGGGGAAGCATCCTGTGCTTTCTTCTAAGAAATGGCAAAGGTCAAGGCTGATTTTCACACTCGATGCCAAGCTGAACCCAACACACTGGGGACAGAACAAGGACAAACTGTCTTTTAAGGGCTGAGGTGCTGAGGCACATCAATGGCTTCTTAGTGAAGAACCTGGCAAACTGATAAAGCTGCTAAATTAAGTAAGATGTGCAGTAGGATAGGAGGTCATTGATCCTAAAACACAAATTCTTGATACAATCACAAAATCTGCCTTGGAAAAAAACCAAAGTCCCAAGACTCAGATGACAGCTGGAGTAGCCTCAGGGTAGTTTTTGTTTGTTTGTTTTTTGTTTTTGAGACAGACTCTCTTTCTGTCACCCAGGCTGGAGTGCAGAGGCGTGACCTCAGCTCACTGCAACCTCCGCCTCCTGGGTTCAAGTGATTCTCTTGCCTCAGCCTCCCAAGTAGCTGGGATCACAGGTGCGTGCCACCACGCCCAGCTAATTTTTGTATTTTTAGTAGAGACAAGAGTTGGCCAGGTTGGTCTCGAACTCCTGACCTCAGGTGATCCACCCACCTTGGCCCCTCAAAGTGCTGGGACTACAGGTGTGAGCCACCCTTCCTGGGCTAGGGTAGTTTTTAAAATGCCTGATGGCGCAAGGACAGCACTACCCAGCCAAGGGGTGGCTCCCAATAGGCCTGGCAGGACCTGCCCTCTATTATCCCAAGGGCACAACACTGGGCAGCAGCAGGAGGAGGAAAGTTTCCAGGGAAGGGAAACAGGGCCCCAGGGGAGCGGGAGAGGGGAGGCTGGGGCAGCGGAAGGTTCTTGTGGGTCAGGTAGCCGGACGTAAGCAGGACACGTAGGGCAACCAGGCCCCTGTGCCAGGGATACATATATTATCACACTCAAGTCTTATAACAGTCCTAATGTTTACAGATAAGTGAAGTGGCATTTTCAGAGATGAGGAATAAAGAGAGGCAAAGGGACTGGCTCCTGGGAGCCCAGCCAGGAGTGGAAGAGCAGGGTGTGGGCCAACTCTCCAGGGTCACTGCCACCCGCCTGCCTGCTACCTGCTGCCCCAGCCTCTCAGCCTCACCACAGGCTCTCCGTCAACCTGGGCCATCACCTGGGCCTGCACCCAGCTCTGGCTCTGAGTCAGGGGTCACAAACCTGGGTGCCACTAGGTGTGCGGCTGGAGTGAACGGAGAGCCCGTTGCTGGCCTCAGGGCTGCCAGCACGGAAAACATGGAGCACATGGACACACACTCGCCCACCTGCTCAGCTCCGGCCCAGTGCACGCAGGAACACGGGGCTGGTGTCAGACAGCTTCCAACTTTCCAAGAAATGCCAGAAATGAGGACTTTTAAAATCTTTAAGGTTAAAAAAATAAAATAAAAAACACCACGGGGAGCAACATAGCATCAAAAGCTGCAGCTCGTCCGCTGACACCGAACTGCTCGTGCCCGTGTGAGACCTCCCACAGGCAGAGGCACAGCACGGCCGGGCCTCCCGGCAGGAGGGAGAGGTGCCCCTGTGACACTCGTGCTATGAAAGGAGAATGTGGGATGGGCTGAGCTTGGTGCCAGGGTCTGCCTCAGGGTTGATTCCAGTGCACCGAGGACAAAGCTGGTGCCGGGCCCGCCACCTGCTGCCACCGCTCCAGCTTGCCTGCTGCAGAGAGACCAGGCTGCTGGGCAGTGCTGTGGGGGGCACAGCACAGGCCCCAATCCTCTGGACAATGGCCCTGTCTACCTTGCATTGCTGCTGAGTCAATTACCCTGTCTCATACAAAGTGGTGGGGAGGGGAAGGGTTAAGCAAAGGGCAACCCCCAACTTCTGCCTGGTTCCATCTGAGAGCCTTCGCTAGCCCCTGTTTCTGAATCTCTGCAGCTCCCTATAGCCTACACAAGGGCCACAGCCTCAGGCAGGTCACCAAAGGAGTCAAGTGGGCCCAGAGTGGGCAAGGGGACCACACCCCAGAAGACAGAGCAGGCCTGGTCCTGGGGGGCTTCCTGCAGATGATGTGGGCACAGTGCCAGTCCTGGTTTTTGAGAGAAGCTGGAAATGCTGATTTGTCCATGAAATTTCTTTACTCTCTCTACCTCTTAGCTAGAAAGAGACAGAAGGTACCAGAATACCCTGGCCCCTCTTAAGTTCCCATAAACACCTTCATTCTAATTACCTGTAAGTCATATATTTGCATCAATGTATTTCCCCTTGTTTCTAAGTTTGTTAAAGAAATGACTCCATAGCCTCCCAAAAAACCATGTGCGAAGCTTTGGAATTCCCAGCCCCTGAGCGCAAGAGAAGTTGGCAGAGAGCAGCCTGGGAGCACCTTCCCCACATACCACCCGAGCCTGTCTGTATTCCCGGGACAGGCCCCTGCTGGTGCAGGTTCTGCAGGGCAGCCCACGACTGGGTGGGAGAGCTGGTGGGGGGACAAACAGTGCTCCCTGTGGTACACATGCTCGATTCAAAAGCCAACTGAATAGGATTAAATGACCTTTAATGCACTTCTAAGCAAAGAAGGCATAGCCAGAATTCCACAAATCCCTCCGCTAAACAACAAAAAACGAAACAACAACTCTTTTGTCACTTCTCTCTGAAAAGGAAAGTTTTCCAGGACCTTTTGGAAGGCAAGGTTTCAGGGAGCAACTTTTAAGGTTTTTGGGGCCTACATGCAAGGGTCTCCAAGAGAAAGGAAGCTGCCAGCAGAACCAGTGGGAGTCCCCAACGCCAGAGGGCCTTGCAGAGACACTGTGGGCCCAAGACTGGACAGAAGCTCTTGTGCAGGGTCAATCTCAGTGAGCCCAGACCCCATCCCCACGCCTGCCTCGCCTTACCTCTTTGCCAGAAGTTGAGACTTGGTTCCCGAGGGAGAAACCAGGTAGATCTGGAGGTCTCCTCGGCGTGGGTGTGAGATGGAGGTGCGAACCACCACGTGCTCCAAGTAGACCACCCGCTGGTCCGAGTGCTCCGCGCAGGCGCTGGTCAGGGCCGTAGTCCGCAGCACCTGCACTAAGGGGATGCTCCTGGGGGAGAAGGGAGGGCTCAGCACTTGGCACCGGAAGCATGAAGTCTCACCCACACAGCCAGGAGCTCCAGCGCCCGTCCACTCTATCCCCACTGCAGCCTCAGGGCCCTGCGGGCCCCGGGGAGCCGCAGCAGCCTCTGACTGCCTCACGTGGATGCTCCACTGTGAACTTTATCACCTGTCCTGAAGACGTTTATGCCTCTGGAATTTGCTTACAGAGATTTGAAAGATGGTTCGGCTGGGCACTGTGGCTCACGCCTCTGATCCCAGCTCTTTGGGAGGCCGAGGCACCGCCTGCTGCCACCGCTCCAACTTGCCTACAGTGGAGAGACCAGGCTGCTGGGCAGTGCTGTGGGGTGCACAGCACAGGCCCCATTCCTCTGGACGATGGCCCTGTCTGCCTTGCATTGCTGCTGAGTCAATTATTTTGTCTTATACAAAGTGGGGGGAGGGGGAGGGCAGATCACAAGGTCAGGAGTTTGAGACCAGCCTGGCCAATACGGTGAAACCCTGTCTACTAAAAATACAAAAATTAGCTGGGCATGGTGGCGGGTGTCTGTAATCCCAGCTACTCGGGAGCCTGAGGCAGGAGAATCTCTTGAACCCAGGAGGTGGAGGTTGCAGCGAGCCGAGGTCGCACCACTGCACTCCAGCCTGGGAGACAGAGCAAGGCTCCAACTCAAAAATAAAATAAAATAAAAGATGGGTTCTTGGGCAGACTTGGGTGAATGTCCCCAGGGATGGGCTCCCTTTGGTGACCAGAAGGCGGCTTCTCCTCGGTGGCATTTGGCCAGCTCGTTTCTCAGTTGCCCTAGTATGACCTCCATGGTGACAGGTACACTAAAAGGCCAGACCTCACCACACTGCAATATGTGCATGTAAGAAACCTGTCCTTGGACCCCCTAAATATATAAAAATAATTAAATGTTTTAACAAACAAACAAATAAAAAATCCCACTACTTTGTTCCGAAGACTAGCATTGAAAATAGAAGTCACAATGCTAAATAACAGCAATCAGCAAACATTTCCCAAGCTGACTGTGCACTGAGCATAAGGCACTGGCCTGAGAATTTCCAAGGATTAACCCATTTAATCCAGAGGGAAATTAAGGACTGTACCCAAGGTGTAGCTAATGCGGGGAGGAGCTGGGATTTGGGGCCCCAGAGCCCACGCCTCTGCCTCCAGGCCTCACTGCCTCCGCCTCCAGGCCTCGCTGCCTCGAATGGAAGCTCGCGTGGACCCACAGTCAAGGACACAGCTCGGAGTTCGGAGGCTGCCCTCTCATGCTGATCGAGGGTGCCAAGCTTGTGTGCTCCCAAATCTCCTGCAGAAAGCAGGGTCCCCTCACTTTCCTGCCCTGTCATGGAAATGGACGATGGTTCCCTTTACAAACTCAGGGCAGCTTTACCATATGGGATGGAGTCTGAGGGTAAAAACAAAGCCTCAATCATTCAAGACTCCTTCCTGCTAGAATTTTCTGACACACTCCCCAGACCAAGCAGACTCCCCAGACCAAGCAGATCCAAAATCTGTACCCCAAGGCTGTTTCTGTGTCCAGGCTGGACCATCCTGCCAATTCCAGGCCATTAGGGTTCATGCCTCTTTGAACTCAGCCCCCGACCCACCCCAGTGATCTGCAGCTGAAGAAACATGGCATTCTTCAGTGCAGACCCACCGCCGCCCAGCAGCACATTAATAACTCCCCACCACACGACCGGTGCTTGGCTTATTACGGGGAGCGCTTTTCCCATTATGCCTGGACTCTCCTCCCGGGAGGCATGAGGCGTTCTGCTCAGAGCCTCTCAGGAGTTACACTGCTTGGCTCTACTGGGCCCTGAGTCATAAAAAACAATCAAAACAGTTATAAACAGTGATGTAATTCCCTCGGAGACTCTGTAAGTATTTGAAAACACGCTTTGCATGCACCATAAATTGATCTAGAGATGCTGACTTCCTTCATTGCCTTCTCCCAAGCTTTACTGCTAGTGTTTACTGGCCAGCAGCCCCCGCTGCGGTAGATGGCGAACACAAGAGAAGGCTCTGGGGAGTTCCAGGACCTGCAGGGCCCATGTGTCTCTCCAGGTGAGTGTCCCCCATCCCCCACCTTCACCCCACACTAAGAATGTAAGGTGGGTACGTTAGGGAGAAGCAAGGTGTGGAGACGGAGAAACGTCTATGCCGGCAGACTTACTCAGTGCTCCCCTGGGGCTTCAAAATGTAGCTCCCAGTCAACCCCAAAAACCAGGAATAACCCTACACTCTCACACTTCAACACCTTTCCAGTGCTGAATAGCAAGATCAAGGGGAAACAGACACAAAAGCCTTAACCAAGTTGAAGACACGGTCCCCACACTCCAACCAATTGCTCATCGGTAGGGGAAGTGATCAATCTGCTCTAGAAATAGACCTGGAATCCTTGTGAAGAAGCTTTAATCCCATTGATAAGGCACAGGGATGAGAGAACGGGAGCAGGGTAATTACAAGTGAAAGACAACCAAGCCCCACCTCTCACCTGCCCCGCCACTCTGAGCCCCACCCACAGAGCGAACACCTAGAAAAAAAAAATCATTTCAGAGTATGAAAGTCTCTTGCATCTGACTTTTTTATTCCTGCTAAGGGACTCCAGCCGCTGCATAAAGAAGGCTGGGTTGGGTGTGATCCTCCGCCAGCCCCGCTGCTGCTGCCTGCAGGGAGGCTGGCTGGGGGCGGGAGCACCCAGCTCCTGCAGGAGTTAATGGCCTCACTTCGTTTGGTTTTCAAAGCCATGCCCTTACCTTCACCTGGGGGCTAGGAGCCCAGCAGCCTCCTGGAACAAGGCTAACTGTAACAATTAGTTTTTATGTGAAAGCTCTTAACTGCTAAATCACTCAGTTACAGGCCACCAGGACTCCTCATTCCTGTAAGTTCTGGGGCAGCGCGGGAGCCCAGGACAGCTACTATAGGAGGGCACGCTGCCACCTTCCTGACATGCAGTTAGCTCCCCACACATTTTACTTCTGTGGTTGCTATTGAAACCATTAACCTAACATCCCCAATTAGAGTGCTTTTATTAAGAAGAGAAATAAAAGAGGAGGCTTCAAAATGTTTCATGATCATTGTGCTCAAATTTTTCTGTATTTCAGATAGAAACTCCAGGAAGAAAATAAGGAAGCCATCTATCAAAAGTCATCACTTTAAAAAATTAACTCCAAGACAGAAAGTAGAACAGTCAATGAAAAAAACAGAAGTGGTTCTCCACCCTACAGTTATTTCTAAGGTAACGCTGAAAATGCAAGTCGACTGCCAAGTAATTTATCTTTCAAGTTAAACAATGTGCAGAGATTATCACTGTCACGTGAATACACCTACATTGTACTTTAATGATGAAAACTGATTTAGAAAGATCTTAAAGTCCCCAAAGTAACTGAAAAGTGTCTTCTGCTATTAACTTCTGAAACTGTGGTCTATGTACATAAAGCCATCTTCCGAGGACGCTAAGGGAGTCCACGGAGTTAAATGATCCCGCAAAACCTGCCTGGAGACCGTGCGTTGTTGAAGCCAGGGAGACGGCCAGACTTGGAAAAGATCTCTAATGACAGCAAATGCCACGTGCCACGCAGCCACATTTCAACGTTAATTACTCTGGTACTTCAGATGTTCTCCATTCATCCCAAATGCTCTCCACCCGCTCCCTTCTCCTGAGGAGGCGAAGGCCCACCAACAGTAGCCACCCTGCTGACTCCCTAGGAACTCCAGACCACAGATATGTTGGCCTCCTCCTATTTTTTTTTCCAATGCATAATACTATCTAATAGCAAAAATAAATATTTTCAAGTAACCGAGTGCCAGGGGAAGCAGGAAGACGGGCCACAGGCTGAAACCCTCCGCCTCAAGCTCTCCACTTTTCCTGTTCTACCTGGGAAGCTACTCCATGTCAGTATTTCTCACTCCCTCCTTGAAGCCCTCTCCCCAGGTTGGCTTCCTGGACCAACCTGGATCCTTGCACAACGCACTTGCTTTGTTCCTCACTGGGCCCATGAATGTTCTAGGGCCATGTTGAGAGACCCTCCAGAATCAGGAGCCAGCAGCATCCTGCCAGCTGCTGTGCTGGCACCTGGCTTGGGGAGGAGAGGCTAAAGAACTGAGGCCCATTACAGCAGAAGGTCATCCAGGAAACCCTTTCACAGACCCGCTAACGGGAGTGAATGGAATGGCAAGAGTTAATTGGGACAGACTTGCTAAATTAAGCAATAGGAAAACAGCAGGTCGGAGGGCACACAGTGCCCGTGTGAAGGTGGCAAGAGGCTTCTAGGTCACTTCTCAGACCTGTGTTCCAGGATGCACGCTCTCAACAAGACTGTCGTTAGGCTCTGAGGTAAGCTGCTTCATTCATCTGTGGGCTTCCTTATTCATATGAGTTCAGACTGAGAATTTTCCTCACATGAAATTACTTTTTTTTTTTTTTTGAGATGGAGTCTCACTCTGTCCGCAGGCTGGAGTGCAGTGGTGCTATCTCAGCTTACGGTAACCTCTGCCTCCCGGGTTCAAGCAATTCTCCCGCCTCAGACTCCTGAGTAGCTGGGACTACAGGCATGCGCCACCATGCCCGGCCAATGTTTGTATTTTTAGTAGAGATGGGGTTTCCCCATGTTGGCCACGCTGGTCTCAAACTCCTGACCTCAGGCGATCCGCCCGCCTCGGCCTCCCAAACTGTTGAGATTACAGGCGTGAGCCACGGCGCCCGGCCAAAATTACTTTTGATGATCAAACCATAGCACATCACTTAGGTGAGAAATAAAATTTAACCTCAAAAAAAAAGCTAATCCAGTACATTAACTTACACAATGCCGTCCACAGTTAATTGGGTCAGAAGGTGCTTTAATATGTCATGCTTAAATTTATAGCACACTTTTTCCTGTACGTTAAATGAGGGGACTGAATTAGCTGGCTTTAAAGATGCCTTCCAATTCTAACAGTCTACAATTCAACCTGAAGGGGAGTAAAAGAGAAAATAAAATATACAGTCAATCCTCATTATTCACATATGCTGTATCTGCATATTCACCTGGTGGCTGACATTTATTTGTATCCCCCAAACTAACACCTGCGGCACTTTGGTGTCATGTGTAGATGTGTGCAGAGTGGTAACATAATGAGTCCCCCAACGAGCACACTCCCAGCTGAGGTCAAACAAGGCAACACCGCCTGTTGGTGCAGCTCTCATGCCATAAATAAGTGTCCATTTCTGGCCAGGTGTGGTGGCTCACGGCTGCAATCCCAGCACTTTGAGAGGCTGAGGTGGGTGAATCACTTGAGGTCAGGAGTTCGAGACCAGCCTGGCCAACATGGTGAAAGCCCGTCTCTACTAAAAATACAAAATTAGCCAGGTGTGATGGCATGTGCCTATCATCCCAACTACTCAGGAGGCTGAGGCAAGACCACTGCTTGAACCTGGGAGGTGGAGGTTGCAGTGAGCCGAGATCGCGCCACTGCACTCCAGCCTGGGTAACAGAGTGAGACTCCATCTCAAATAAAAACAAGTGTCTGTTTCACAGTGTATTTAGTGCCACATTTTTCACATTTTTGTGCTGTTTTTTGTTTTTTAGAGACAGGGTCTCACTCTGTCACCCAGGCTGGGGTGCAGTGGTGCAATCCTAGCTCACTGGAGCCTTGACCTCCTGGGCTCAAGCGATCCTCCCACCTCAGCCTCCCGAGTAGCTAGGACTGTAGGTGCAAACCACCATGCCTGGCTCTGTGCTTTTCTGTTGGTGAATTCACTGTTTGAAATGGCCCCAAGTGCAGTGCTGAAACACTGTCTAGTGTCAAACAGCATGAGAAAGCAGAGACCTGCCTTAAGGAGAAAACACACGGGTAAGACAAGCTTGGTTCCAGCAACGAGCACTAGTGCTGTCCGCTGTGAGTCTAAAGTGAATGAACCAATGATCTATGTTAAATAAGCTGTCTTTAAACCCATACACATAAAGCTCGGTCTATATGGACAGGCTGGCAAAAATGTGACCGGAGGCTCACAGGAACTTAACCCTGTATCTCTCCTAGGAATAACGCTTCAGTGTTCGTGGTGACTTTGTGGAACAGTACCACAAATAGGGAGAATCAACTGTATTCAAATTCCAAATCCTAATTTTAGAAATAAGTAGCCTTTACAATTTGGGGAAAAGAAGTTTGCTTCAAAACTAAGCCAGGAAGGGAAAGGGTTGCAAGAACATAACCAGCTGGTTAAGTTTGCTCGCAGCTACAAGGGGTAGCAGCAGGCAGGAAAAGTGTTGTGGGTCCACTGTGGTTACCCCCAGGGCGGGACTGCACAGCACCCCACAGATCTTCTGAGGACACCCAGGCATGCTCTGTATAACAACAGCCCAAGAGGAGAAACCAGAAGTAAGGGCCTCCTGTGGTACCCAGGTATACACAGAGGTCAGATGCCCTGGAGGGAGAGGCTGGGTAAGGTGAGGAGGGGATGGGAGGGTGGCAGACACCTGCATAGTTCTGAGACAGCCCAAAGAAAACGAGGGCTCTTGGCTTCCTAAAAAGACGTCACATCAGGCTGTGTGCTTGAGCACAGTAGAGCTGGGTTGACCTGTGTCTGATCCGCACGGCACTCCACCAGGCCGCTGGGCTCCTGGCCTCACCAGCTTGCCCAGCTGACCTGCCGCAGATGAGACGCCAGCAGCTGTGCTCTTAGGCACTGGCACCTGGCCAAGGCCGGAGGAAGCTCTGGGCAGCCAGGGTCAGGTACTTTATCATCCCTGGAGGTGGTGCGCCCAGCTAGCTCCTGGCACAGAGGTCACAGAGGTGAGGTCTTCTAACGGGTGGGCAGGTCGCTCTCATTGGCTCAGTACCGCCTGAGCTCCTACCTAGGGGGGCAAGGTGGACTCTGGAGACAAGCAGCCTGCGGGAGCAGCTCAGCCCCACAGCACCCCACCTCTGGGCCTAAGTTCCTAACTCCTTTCTGCCTCCATTTCTTCCTCCATAAAATGAGGATAAAGATAGAACTCCAACCTCACATGTTTATTGGGGATTTTTATATAAAGTGCTTAGAGCAATGCCTGGCACACAGTAAGTGCCTTTATAATCACAATCCATTATCTCTCATCCACAGCCATATGTCTTCATAAATAGAGTTGTTTTAAAATGACCGCCATACGCAGTCTAGTTTCACGAAATTCCAGAAAAGCAGGTGATATGCGGCTAATCCAGAGTTAATTCCTGAACATCTATAAAAAGATTATCTGCTCTACAGATAAGCCTTGATAGTCAAAGCAACACATTGGCTTTTGGGTCTGAAGTGTCTTGTGTGGGTTGTGGGTGTGTGAAGAGTTCATTAAAAGACAGGCCAAGCTAAACTGTAAGCTCTGTCTGGACAGTAACCTTCCAAACCAGCAGAAACTAAAGACGTGCAGGTAAGTTATCGCTTTGTGTTGGTTTAAAAGACCCTGTTGTTGTGAGTGTCCCCAGCACTGAGGTGGGAGTCATGCATATCATACACTGTTTCCCAGAAGCCTGGATTTTCAAAGCAGCGACAGAAGCACTGGCTAGAAAAATCAAGAGTCAAATAGAATATTTAATAGCTGGGCCTCTATTTCATTCGTTGGAATAATACTAAGCTTAATTTTCTTTTTCATTTGAAGAAAAGATATAAAAATATCAACTTTATCTTTCTATTTAATACACACAGATTTTAAAATCATTTTGCACAGGCAGATGCCCCTGGTCATGATCCTATGTACCTTCGTTTAATTGACAAAGGTTCTAAACAGATGGAAACCATTTGTGCCCAGGAGTAGGTCGACGTGCCTCTGGTCTACGGTCTGACGATCACAACAGAGGCCCAGGCACAGCTGGCACTTTCATCCAGTGCTATCCTGGAGGACTCTAGCAAGTCACTCTCTTTTGCTAACAGCAGCTGCCATTCAGTTTAAGTGATTTCCTCTCGCCTCTGCATTTAGCTTTAGCATTTCCTGAAAGCCTATGATGGGCCCTACCCCGTGTGGGCTCCTGGAGAGGTGGCTCAGACATCAATACCTCAGTTCTGGGGCTCAGACTGCTCTAGGGCAGGGTAAACACCAGGCAGTAAAGAGACTGCCCAGCACGATCCCGTGGTACCTTGGAGCAGGGGGCCTGGCTCCTTGATTCTCACCCAGGCCCAGCCCTACCTGAGGTCCCCTCTTCCCTGATGTTCTCTACCCTTCCAGGGACTTCTTCTTATCTTTCGGGTGGATCCATACACAGACAGGCTCAAACCCCCCAGTCCCCAGATGTGCAGTGTCCAGGTGAGAAATGCCAACGTATCACTTGGGGTCCCCTCTTGGCTAGTCCTTTTCACACCATGGATGGCCTTTTTTCAAATGACGGAGCTGCCTCCTGAAGGGGACTGTGTCTGGTGGGTCTGGCATCACCGCCCCAGCTCCTTCCTCTGCAGCCCGCATTGTGCTGTGCTGGTGGCCTTTCCGCGCCTTTGGGCCTGAGCATGACTCGGGCAGGCGGGGCTGTGATGCCAGCCACTGGGGCAGCGTTGGAGACAGCAGCTCCGCAGGGGGACACCATGGGTGACGGGGCACCAGCTCTGTGCAGTCATTCGGGGCCCTGGATGCAATGCTAGTTTGGGAGCACAGGCTGGGTGCACAGGAGGGACATGCAGAAGGGGTAGCCCATTTGACTCTTCCTGTCAGTCACCGCCATGAGGACAGTCTCCCTGAACCATGGCCATATTCCAGCCCACGGCTGGGGGTAGACAGAGGTTTCCTGCCCCTGCCCGTGACCAGAGGGGTGGACGTATGAACACCCCAGCCCCTCTCCCTCAGGACCATGTGTGACGTCACCATAGACCTGACAGGTGTGGACACATGCCCCAGCTAGAGGACTCCCGTGCTTAACATCCAGTGAACACAGCTGTCTGACCTTTGGTCACACCAGGGTAGCATCCTCTCCTGTTCAAGAGAAAAGACAGTCACCATATCCCACGCAGTGCACACGGATGCACACGAGAGGGGTGTATAAAGAGGCATACACACACTCTGTCTTCCCTCTTGCTCTGCTCTTCACCATGGGAAGCAGCTTAGGGCAGGTTCAGGACATTCAGGAAGTCCTAGGATTCCACCATGAGAGGAAGAAATCAGAATGAGGCCAAGAGAGTAGACAGCTGGACCCACAAACGTGCACGGAGAGGGGGCAGTTAGAAGAAGACGGGAAAATGGCTGTGTGGGAACGCTTCCTTTTCATTTTCGGCCACGTGATCCTAGCAGCTGGGAACCCCGATGGGGAAAACTCGCATAGCTGTGGGGATACTCGCGGCTCAGGTGCAGATGACCCCGACCTGCAGGCAGGCTCAGTGGCAGAGCTGGCTGGAGCTCCCTGCCAGGAGGGGAGACCCACAGGTGGACGTGAGGCATGGAACTCTGCTTGGTAACACCCCTCTCTCTGGAGGCCCGTATGTCCTCTGCAACAACCACGTTACAGAGTTAAGCAAGTGATCTGATAAGCAAGTGGTGTGAGACGGTAGGCTGGCTGAATATCCCAGAAAGAGTCTGAAACTGCTAAAGGTAAAGATGACTTTTCTTCAGAAACAGAAGTCTGATTCTTCTCCTCTTGGAGTTTGGAGGGTCCTTACTTTCCTCAAAGGACAGGAACAATGTTACACTGTATGTGACGGCGGGCTCCCTCAACCTGTGCTGTCTAGACTCCGTGTGCTTTCACTTAAAAAACAAAATAAAATAAAAATAAAAACAACCACTCGCCACCTAGGCACCACTCTGCCATCTTAAAACGATTTCTGGCAGGAGAAGAATGCTTCATTCAGGAGCCGCCCTGACGGGGACACGAGCGGAGGCGCCGGGGCAGAGGGCAGCCCCCAGGTCAGGAACCAGACCCAGGAGCCCACCTCCCTCACCTAGCCTCTGAGGGTCCAGGCTGCAGGCGTTTTCCAGCAAAGACAGAGAAGGCAAAACCTCCTTTATCTCAGAGACTCTCCCACGTTGTTTCAAATTTGACAGTCTAAGGCTCCTCAGAGAAACCGACGCCTTAAGAAGTCAAGACTGAGGCTTGTCAGGTGTCTGGCCGACCTGTCGGGGCCTGCAGTGACCACTCAGCGGTCAGTGTGCAATTAGCCACGGGAGAAAAAGGTGATTTTTCAAAAGATCCTTCTGTGGCTATTCATCCAGCTGCTCAGCCAACACACACTCTCTGCACTCCTACCATATGCGAGCCCTCCACCAGACACATTTTTCTCAACTATTTGTGGCAAGAGTGTATTACAAGAGTAGAGGCATATTCAAGGAAGAGCATCTAAAGAGAGTGACCTGTATTTGTTGATAAAGAAATATATCACTTTCAGTCATCACACTGTTTCTTTTTCAAACACGTTTTCCAAAGGGAACAAGTAGTTATGGGAAAAACACACTCCGTTCTGTATCAGATACAAGGCCCAGAGAAACACCGTTCTCCTTAAAAACAGCTGCGATGGCAGAATTGGAATAATCTGATTTCCTCTCCTAGTGGGCTAGGGTTCTTGCTTTCTGATTTACTTTATGGCTGCTTTTTTTTTTTTAAATAAAAATTTTGGCCAGGCACGGTAGCTCACATCTGTAATCCAAGCACTTTGGGAGGCCAAGGCGGGTGGATCACCTGAGGTCAAGAGTTTGAGACCAGCCTGGCCAAGATGGTGAAACCCCATCTCTACTAAAAATACAAAAAAACTAGCTGGGCATGGTGGTGGGTGCCTATAATCCCAGCTACTCGGGAGGCTGAGGCAGGAAGATGGCTTGAACTCAGGAGGCAGAGGTTGCAGTGAGCCGGGATCATGCCACTGCACTCCAGCCTGGGCAACAAGAGCAAAACTCGGTCTCAATCAATCAATCAATCAATCAATGAACAAATATAACAGATTTAGAAACACTTACTCCAAAGAGCAGTTCCGGGTGTGCCCTGCTCACGGGAGAGAGATGAAGCCAGGGCCCTTCTGCTCGAGCCTTGTTAAAAAAATCCCAGCGCTTAAGCCTTAAGAAGGTTGTACGGAGCCAGATAAAAGCCACACAAAGCTGCTATGCTCTGTGAATAATAAGCAGTACCCCACAACCTGCAACAGAGAAGAGGCTGACCCAGCTGCTCCTGCTCAGGCCTGGTGGATTCACACTGCAGACTCCCAGGGCCAGTTAGGCTGGGCTGGGGCTACAGCTCCAATCTCTAGCCGGTGGTGACAGAAAGGACACCTGCAGCTACTCCCCATTTCACTTTCTGGGAGGAGCAGATTCCTGACTTGGGCTGACATGCTAAACACGGGTAAGAATTTCCAATACTAGGCTGAGTGGTTCAGGCTGAGGAACTGATCCCCTATCGTGGAGCAATCTGCTACAAAAGGGGAAGAGGCCTCAAAACAGTGGTGGCTTAAGAAGTGATTCCTTTCCCAGCTGTACAATCCACAAGAGAAAACGCAGACGTGTGCAGGCATGCATCGTGCACACGCACATGTGCACAGAATGCATGTGTGAACACCTCCCCCAGCCACACCTTACAACAGAGTCAGCTCCAAACCCACGTGCCTGAGAAGTCACCGATGCCACAGCAGAGCCTTACCTGGGTCTCTTGTCCGAGGCGGCCACACACATGTGCTGCGATGGCACTGCTGTCCACTTCTTTGCCTCCACAACGAGAGCTTCTGCGTCCACCAAACCAAATCCATAGAAATGGCTAACTGAAAAGACAGGCCCTTCAGAGCCAGGCTCTCCTGCCTCTCCCAGGAAGGGAGCAAGGCTGGCTCTTGCATCTGCCGGGCCCCATGGAGGACAGAGGGACCGTAAGACTCGAGGTCTCCTGGGGGCCCCAGGCTGCAGGACGGGTCCCCCTGAGGGCTGCTCAAAGGTCCCAGCTGCCTCACTCTCTCTGAACCCAACTCCTTCTGCTAAATTTAGGAGTGTGGGTCAGGAAACACGTCCCGCTTTGGTACAGAGTAGAAGTGCTGAGAAGGTCTAGGAGTTTCTTTTTTTGAGACAAAGACAGGTTCCTTTACATTAAAAGGGCTTGTCAGCATCTATGCTCCCTGAATCTAAGACCAGACAAGAGAAACAAAATCTGAGACCTCTCAGTTCACACAATTACCACGTGCCCGAAATGCAATAACACAAGGCTGTACTCATCTTTTTTGCCATTTTCTTTCCCTGCTGAGTTCCCAGAGCATTCCGGGAAAACAGCACAGCACAGAGACAGGCTTGCGAACTGGCCCGGTCCAGTATTTAATTTGGCCAGGGCAGGAGACTTTCAAAGTTTAATTTAAGAGGCAAGGTCAAGAACTGCATACAATCTATTCTCCTATTTAATTAGGCCAGAATTAAAATGTGGGTCAGCTCTTGTTACAGTACACCACTACCACCGACATTCCTGCAAAACAAAGATGAACTAGCCCAATCGATGGCCTCCTTATTAAAAGGAATGTCCCTCGGCACTTAGGGTAACTATGCTTGACCTATATTTTACAGATAGTAGTATCAGACTTAGTGTCAAATTAGTTAGACCTGAGCTTCAGAAAAGGTTAAAAAAAAATTCCTCCCTAACATAAATACTACGGCCAAATGAAATATTTTTCAGTATACCTGATAAGAAGTCAGGCAAACAGGTCGGGCACAGTGGCTCACACCTGTAATCCCAGCACTTTGGGAGGCCAAGGCAGGTGGATCACAAGGTCAGGAGTTCGAGACCAGCCTGGGCAACACGGTGAAACCCCGTCTCCACTAAAAATACAAAAATTAGCTGGGCGTGGTAGCAGGCACCTGTAATCCCAGCTACTCGGGAGGGATTATTTGAAGGAAAATCGTTTGAACGCAGGAGGCAAAGGTTGCAGTGAGCCGAGATCGTGCCATTGCACTCCAGCTTGGGCAACAAGACGAGACTCTGTCTCAAAAAAAAAAAAAAAAAAAAAAAGAAGTCAGGCAAACAAAGCCAGTAGCACTGTCCTAAAATTACCTGCTTCAAAGGCCGCCAACAGCCAGCCTAACGAAGCCCTGACCCTGGGTTGATTTCATGGTACCTAGGTCTGTACCAGGCTGGGCTGAGGGTAGAGGCCCCACTGTCCTATGATTTACTTTTATAACACAGGGACTGGCCAAAAGAAGTTTTACAGTTAGAAAGTAACTTACAAAACTATCTCAATGTCCTCATTGTACAGATGAGGAAACTGAAGGCAAGTTTCAAAATCACAGAGCTACTCAGGGCTAAGGATGCAAGCTGCCCTCAGGTGGCACACAAACAACATTTATTTTAATAATTATGGATTTGTTTTAATGCACATTAGAAAAAATACGTAACTACATATCAAACCTATGATTAACTAGATGTAGTACAGTTTCCTTTTAAAATACATTTTTTTATGTCAAAAAAAAGTAGTGGGGGAAGTAATTTTTTTTTTAAGAGATGGAGTCCTGCTGTGTTGTCCAGGCTAGACTCAAATTCCTGGGCTCAAGCAATCCTCCTGCCTCAACTTCCCTAGTAGCTGCGACTATAGGCACACGTCATTGCTCCTGGCTTAAAGAGAACTATGAGTAAATATTGGTATAGGTGGTGTCTCGGTGTGGCCAAAGTTATAGAGTATAGGAGACCCCAGACTCTTGTGACCTGAGGGTTCTTCCGTAATGTCACTGTGAGCTTCCGGGATACTTTTCTTAAATAGCTGCACATGCGTTTTAAATTCTTGTGACACACAATTAATAATAACAACTAATGCTATTTGGAGAGTCCTTTTAAGGAATTCATGACACCCCTTCCTACACATTCCAGGGCCACCCAATGGTCCACCAGAACGCCACTGCCGCACCTTTATGACCCGCGCCGTTCACTTTCCAGTCGCTCGCTTTCAGGTGGGCCGGCCGGGATGTCTTCACTAGCAGGTGCTGGACGTCCCTCCAGGTTAACTGGCTGCTGCAATGACACAACACACCCTAGAGTCCACACAGCTCAACAACGGCAGCCACACAGGCCACTCAGAGGCAGGGGGTCGGCAGCCAACCCACGTCTGAACTTCAGCAAGCCCCTCAGGCTAAGGACTGCATTCCTTGGCAAGGGTTTATTTCACCACCTCTTTGTAAACAAGTTTCCGGCAACTAAATCCTGAGGGAAAAAAAGGTTCAATGGGTGACCCAAAATTCATAAGCATTAAAGCCTAGCCTTGCTGCCAAGCTCTGCCTGAGTTTGCCCAGAGCCATATGGGAAATTCTGAAAATACAAGACACTTAACATAATAGTAAATGTTTATTAAATACTTGGGGTTATTCTTCATCCTAAGCAAATACAACAGTGCATAAGAGTACATTCAAACCACGATTGGCCGAGATTCCATCCTGTGTGGACCCACTGGCTGTAGATTATAATTCAAGATTTTATATATGATTCTAAATTTGCAAAATATTCTTTTTGGGGAAGTAGAAACATTTCATCAAAAGAATACAACATGCCACTAATGTAACTAAATACACAGATGATTTTTTAAAATTTCTAAGACACATTTGCTCACCCCTGCTTTTTGTGTGTAAGACAGGGTCTCGCCCTGTTGCCCAGGCTGGAGTGCGGTGGTGTGATCTTGGCTCACTGCAACCCCGACCTCCTGGGCTCAAGCAGTCTTCCTACCTCAGCCTCCCAAGTGGCTAAGACTACAGGTGTGCACCACCACACCCGGCTAATTTTTTACATTTTTTGTAGAGACGAGGTCTTGCTATATTGCCCAGGCTGGTCTTGAATTCCTGGGTTCAAGCAATCCTCCTGCATTGGCTTCCCAAAGTGTTAGGATTACAGGTGTGAGCCACCACACCTGGCCCACCTTTTTCTTTTTTTTAACACCTCTGAAATCCAGATCCATCTTATGATCTGATACCTCTTATAAGCCCCTCTGCCCACAGCAACCAGGAACGGGTTACATTGCCTGGAGGTGCTGAACTTGGTCCTGTCTATTCACAGTGTCATTTCCAGGTCTAAATAACTCTCAGCCTAAAAGAACTCTTCAATAGTTACAAAAATTCTAAGAGATATGGATGCATTGTATAATGGCAGCACTTCTGGTTTCTGTGGTACATAAAAAGGTGCATCTTACAACTTTATGGCATCTTGGATTCGATGAAATATAGTATTTTTCATACTATCTGTACACAGAGAATAGTATAAAATAAGAGCATTGTTCCTTTCTTCTAATCAGTATTAAATGCTATGCAACCTGGATATTTGAACATACAAGCTTTCTGCAAGGCTGCTTTAAAACATGGTAAAGATAACACCTACATGTGAATCAGTAATGAAAGGAATATATTTTTGCCCTATCAAACAGCTGAGTGAAAAGAAAGATGTATGGGCTCATGGTTCCGGCCGCCATTTGACAGATAAATATTTATAGATCTTTTATTCCTTTTTTAGTCGGTTAAATTGATGCCTACCTAGGACTTTCTATTCAATCAGAAAATTAACCAAGAATAAACGAACATCTCTCGAGTCCAAGACTCTCACTCCCTAATATCACAAACACATACTCTTTCCTTCCAGACCATCTTCCCAGGGCTCGTTGGGATGCAGGTGACCAGAAGCACAAGCCCCAGCCTTGTCTCGGTGCACGTTTACTAGGAACGCACACCGTGCTCTCGGTGCGTGTTTACTAGGAACGCACGCCGCGCCACAGGTGCTGCCTCAGGGAATGTGACCCTAGGAACACGGACTAAGTAAAATCGGGGGAGCTGCTGCAGCTGAGGGGGCCTGGAGACGCAGAAGAGAGAGAGCTGAAGTACCCAGCTGCCCCGGCCTCCCCAGTGGCACCTGCTGGGATGTCACAGGCGTCTCTCCAGTGGCCCACTCTGTGTGTGGGTGTGCGAAGACGTACAGAACACAAACTTTCCCATTTCAACCATTTGTAAAGGTACAGCTCAGTAGCATTAAGGACGTTCACATTGCTCTGGTACCGCCACACCCACCTCCAGAACTTTTCACCACCTCCAGACTGAAACTCTGTCCCACGGGACACTCAGTCCCCATCGCTCCTTCTGCAGCCCCTGGCAGGCACCACGCTACTTTCTGTCTCTATGAGTTTGATGGCTCCAGGTCTTCGTGTAAGTGGAACCACACAGGATTTGTCTTATTTCCCTTAGCACAACGTCCTTGAGGGACCTCATCATAATCTGTATCCGAATCTCCTTCCTTTCAAGGCTGAATGTTCCACGTGTGTACAGAGCACACTTCGCTGATCTCTTCGTCCATCATGGACACTCGGGTTGCTCCCGCCGTTCAGCTGTTGTGAACCATGCTGCCATGAACATGGCTGGGCCGGTATCTACCCGAGTCCCTGCTTTCAATCCTGGATATCACCCACAAGTGGGATTGCTGATCGTCTGGGGAGTCTGTTTAATTTTTTCAAGGACGCGCTACACTGTTTTGTATGGCGGCTGCTCTGCACACTCCCACCCTCGGCCCCCTCTTTGCCTGTTTTCCTACGAGAAGCTCACCCATGGCGTTAAGTCTTGGGTATACTCCTTCCCTGGGCTCACACTCTCCAGGCTCCAGCCCTGGCCTCCCCTGACTTCTCCAATGTGTTCTTGCTGCTCCTGGCTGGTCACTGGCTTCCTCACCGTCTCTCCCCGTCCGTGTCCAGTGGCTCAGTCTCCAGGACTTTCCCTGCCAGGCACACCTGTTCTCCTCCTGCATCCACTGGCCTTCCTGCGGCCCACACGCCAACCTCACTGTTAGGGGAGATTCTGAGGCCTCGAGTAGCCCATGGCCGTGCACCCTGGTAGAGAGGTCACAGGTGCAGGCTTTGGAGTTTAGACAAGTGCTGACATGGCCACACCCCATGCTGCCCGTGCAACCTGGCAAGTTACTGCTGTGTGTCAGCAGGGCGTACTCGAAGACGGCTACAGCCAGTCCTCCTGGAAATCTTGAATTTAGGTGCCGGGATGACCTTTGGAGTGGAGGACAGAATGGGTCCAGGGAGTGAGAAAGTTAGGAACCATTTTCTTATGAAAAAATCTATTTTATTTTTGACTCTAGCAATAAAATCACAAATATAACCGCATGGAAAATATGTCTAAGAGAGGATGTTGAAAATGTTTTTTGATGAAGAACGGATGTTTGAAAAGTACCAAGACTGTCCCAAAACCATGGGACTCCCTTTAGAGAATTCCAACACGTATGGGTTTTCCTTCATTCTGGCCCCACGCTGTCTGGGGGCCCTCCCCAGACTCTCAGGGAGCATCTCCACCCAGAACCATCTGGCTTTGCCCCAGTTCCTTCCACAGCAGTAGTGAACAGAGAGAGAAGGCGGCCTGGGGCCAACCTGCACAGGCGAGAGCTATCCCAGGCTACAGGTCTGCTCAACACAGGTTTTCAAATTCCCAGACATCAACCGTTCCTTCCTTGACCAATCCTGTAAGTGTCGAGCGCTCTAGACTGACATTGTTCCAAATGATGTTTGCCTGATCCGTCCCCTGTATGTGTCTGAGGAGGAGCTAACATGATGAGGAAGATGACCGTCTGAGCTTTCACATGCCCACTGACCAAGTTTAAGGGGACAATGCGCCCCGGAGCAGGGTTTGTTTTCCATTTAGCTCTTTGCATGTTTCCAATAAGGAATGGAGGAAAATACAGCGCAAGGAAGGGTAAAGTATGCGAATGTGAGTTTCCACACAAGCAACTCATTATGAAGAATTTTTAAAAAGAGCCTCAGGACACAGAAGCTAACATTTTGGCCTGGAAATCAAAAATATCAAACTGTTCCTTTGTTACATTGGTAGCATTTGAGTGTTACGCTCAGTTTGTCTTGTGCAAATCCACATGCAAACACACGTAATTACAAGCATTGAGGCATCCCAACCATTCTTTTTGAGTTATTTGAAAACTCATCTACAACAGATGACTACTGCAGAGGGCTGGTTTGTTCTCTGCCAGTTTTGGTGACTAAAGTACAATTTGGTTTTGACTCTATGACTCCATGTGCGGTTAACTTGCTTTTCTTTCTGAACCAACAACACATACGCAACTCAAGAGATTTCTTGACTGTTAATTTATAAATGAAAGTTCCTAAAAGGAAGCCAGCGCAACCTAAAGTGTGGATTTGCTGTGAGGTGCAGAATCAGAGGCAGGCCTTGGACTCTGGCCCAGCCAGCCCCTGTGTCCTACAAAGGGCAGGAGACTTGGGCTTTAAGAAAGGAAGAAACCACTTCACGCCCATCAGGATGGCCTAAAAAAAGGAAGGAAATTTTGATACGTTCTACAAACGGGTGAACCTTAAAGACGTTATGTGAAGTGAAATAAGCCAGGCACAAAAGGACAAATCCTGTGTGATTCCACTTACATGAGGCACCTAAAGCAATGAAATTCATAGAGACAGAAAGTAGAATGGTGGTTGCCAGAGGCTAGGGCGGGGGGTCAATGGGGAGTGTTATAGGCTGAACTATGTCCCCTCCAAAATGTATTCATCGAAGTCTTAGGCCCCAGTACCTCAGAATATGATTATATTTGGAGATAAGGCCTTTAAAAAGGTAATTAACATAAAATGAGATTATTAGGGTGGGCCCTAATCCAATATGACCAGTGTCCTTATAAAAAGAGGACACAGCAGAAGGGGAGAAGTCAGCTTTCTGCAAGCCAAGAAGACACCAACCCTGCTGACACCTTGATCCAGGAATTCCAGGCTCCAGAACTTTGAGAAACTAAATTTCTGTTGTTTGAGCTGCCCAGTCCGTGGGACTCTGTTACGGCAGCCTGAGCTGACTAACCTGGGCAGCTGCTGTTTAACGGGCAGAGGGTTCCAGCCTGGGAAGAAGACGAAGCTCTGGGAGAGGGATGGTGGTGCAGGTGCACGACTCACTGAATGTGCTTAATGCCGCTGAGCTGTCCACTTCAATAGGGTGAAAATGGCCAATGTCATGTGTATTTTACCACAATCTAAACATTTTTTTTTTTTAGAAAAAGGTAAGTGGGAACTTACTTTGCTTCTAGAGCCAAGGCGATGATGCCCGCCACCATGGGGGCAGAGACTGAGGTCCCAGTGTGGCCATCGGTACAGCGCTGACGCAGATCCGTGGTGACCTGGGGGAGAGAGAAGCACAGTGAGGCAGTGATGGCAGACAGGCTAACTCACTCTGTGGAGAAGGCTGGGCTACTTCAGGTGCCACTAACTGGCAAGCGTGACCCTGGGTCTCGGGAACAAATAAGGTGTTAGGCAAATGCATCTCGGCAACCACAGGTTTCCACAACATCTGGTGCTCCCTGCTAAATCACTTTGTAGGAAGACAGGCAGGGGCAAGAAGGCCAGCTGGGAGCACAGACCGTACGCTTTGATAATAATAGATCAGCTGGTTCCCTCTCTACTGCAGAAGCGCATGTGGAAAAAATGGTAAAACAACATGAAACCAAGACGCACCCCACAAGCCCTCATCCCTGGGTCTGCCGGACTTTGTGGCCTGTCACCAACAGCCGAGAGTACCCACGGCAAAACCATCAGAGTCCACACTAGCTACCCCTAAGTCACCCCCTGACTTCAGAGCAGCTAGAGATACCCAGGTGGCTCAGAGAGAGTTTCTGCCTTTAGCCAGTAGGTCATAAGCTGGGTTCTCCACCAGGACGTCCTCCTGAAGAAGCAGATCAACCTGGCATGTTCTTGACCGCCCAAGGCCTACTGCACAGGGCAACAAGGCAGGTACCGCTAGCTGGGGGCTCTGCCTGCCCTCCTCGGAGGCACTGGCCCAGGCTGGGTGTGGGATGGATTCTGGACCTCACTACCACTCAGGCTGACGTGTATCTCCCGTTGGACTCAAACGGGAAGTGGGTGCTGGGGGTTCAGCCTGTGTGGGTTCAGGTGTGCTAGGTGGGATTGTCGCCCCATCATCTTTGTCCCCTGGTGTTATTCCAATGAGCTTTGCAGATAGAGTTAAGGTTGGTAGCCAGCCGACCTTAAACCAGGAAGATTATCCTGGATTATCTGAGTAGACCTGCTGCCACCACAGGGCCCTCCACCTTGGAAGAGGAAGGCAGCAAGGCTGTTTGAGAGAGGAAGCATTAGAAGGACTGGACCCACCGCTGCTGGCATTGAAGAGGGAGCTGAGGAGTAAGCCAATGAATGTGGGTGGCCTCCAAAGGCTGAGAACGGGCCCCAGCTGACAGCCCACAAGGAAATGGGAAACTCAGTCCCAGAACCACAGGGACCTGAGTTTTGCCAACAGCCCGAGTGGGCAAGGAAACAGATTCTCCCGGGAGCCTCCGGAAGGAACCACGGCCCTGCCAGCACCTTGGTCTTGGCCTCGTGAGACTCAAAGCAGAGACTCGGCTGAGGCTCCTGGACTTCTGGCCTACAGGACCATGAGATATCAATTTGTGCTGTTTTAAGCTGCTAAGTTTGTGATAATTTGTTATGGCAGGAATAGGAAAGTCACACCCACCCACCCACCACAGGACTCCAGTAGCCGATTTGCCTAACCTTTGAGAATCAATTTCACAGTGAGAGCAATCCAGATCCTCTTCCGAACTCAGCACCTTCCTTGCACACGTTTGAGCTGGGCCAACTGTCTAGGGAAGGTGGGGGTCTGGTCTGTGTCACACACAGGAAGATGTGACGGGAAGGCCAACAGAGACCAGTTTCCTCCTTGTTCGTTTCAGTGGGGCTGGGGTACCTCAACATGGGGAGGGCAGCTGAGGGCATGGGAAAAGGGACAAAAATGCTCCCTCTCTGACTCCAGCATCTTCATATGCAAATGGACACCATGATATAGATTTCAGGGGTTCTCGGCAGATCACAGCCAGGCACCTGAATGTACTTGGGCTTGGTAAATGGTGGCCAGGAGGAGAAACTAGGGGTGGCTGGGCAGGAGGCCACGCTCCCAAGAGCATGTGAGGCTCACAGCTGGTTCTCCAGCTTCAGAGAAGGGGGTCCTGGGGAGCGAGCAGAGGGGCCTACCCTGGGAGGGATGGCTGAATCAAGGTGGACAGCCCCTCCTGAGTCCTAGTGCCACGCCTGGGACACAGCTCGTGTTCAGTGAACGAACATACCCTCTTGTTCTGGTGAGAGATGCTTTCTTTAGGTTTTACTCCTCTATAAAGAGTCATGTGTCACCACAGGACATCCCTCGCTCCAGGTGGACACACCTGCTCACATTCCTCAGACTCAGAGGGACAGAGAATGCAGGCGGACAGGGTTGTGATCGCCATCACAGGCCTGCCTGAATGCTGGGACTGTGATATGTCGACTATCCTGAGCAGCACTCGTCTCCCTGGAGGACGTCTAAGAGGACTCAGAACAAAAGCTGGACTCTAGTAGAGCTGAAAATAACACCCCTCCTGTCAGAGCAGACTTCCCGGGCAGTGACCAAGACAAAGTATATTTTCTCTTTTACCGTTCTCCAAACTATACCCTTCTTACCCACATATTATTGCTCAGGGAAGAGAATTTTAAAATAAGAAAGAAAAAGCATTTTATAGCCAAGGCACGCACACATGCATGGCATACAGATCACACGCTGACGTGATTCGTAATGCAAATAAAGCTGCAAGTCCTACTTCCAGGGTTGAGAGACACCATCCTGCCTGCACGCAGTCCATGTTATAAACTGTCCCATAACTTAGCAAATTCGAACCTGCATCCATTCGGCCAGCAAGACTATGTTGGGTTTTGGCCAACTGTCTGTCTAATAAGACCCTAGCAGGTCCGTGCTCAAATGAGCTGGATTTCTACATAAACAGGACACCATTCAGCATCTCAGCTGCCCGTCCCAGGGGTGCGTACTCCAGCAGAAAAGGAAAATAACAAATTAATACCTTAGTTAACCAGGCCGAGCTGCTACCAGGCTGGCGACAGAACGATGGCAGCTGACCTTTCACTGGTGCGGAGCAAAGCCGAGAACAGGAAGCCTGTATGCTCCCACAGAAAAGTGTAAAAATAAATTTGCAAATAACTTCGAAAGATGTGGCTGAGCAGCCGCAGAAATGAAAAGATGCTAGTGAGCTTTAAAATTTAACCATGTCTGGCCAGCTCCACAGTCTCATTTTTAAAATGTCTACAAGTCAACGTAATGACTTTGCACTTCAATTCTGCATTAATTTGAACTGGAAACCCTCCCTTCCTCTTTTTTTTTTTTTTTTTAAGTAGGAAAGTATGTAGGGAAGGAAAAAGCACAAATTCTACCTGAGTACTAAAACAGTTACCTTTTAAAAGACAAATCATGCTTATGTTCACTTAAGTAAGCGGAACAGACAGAAACCACTGCTCGACTTAAAGTGTCCAGAAAAAGTGCTTCTGTAGCAACAGAATGCCTAGAAGAACTCCTGGATTTCTAGAATGTCTCAGTATAAAACCAAGTCTTTCTCTTACTCTGTTGTACACGCTGGAACTGGATGGGTTCATTGGATTCCAAGACATGTGACCACAGAATTTCAGAGTTAAAACAAGACATCATGAGAAGGAACCTCGTTCTTAAATAATATTTTTAGATCTCTAAAGCCAGAGAGGGGTTTAACTGCTATTTCTGTGCAAAGATTAGAAAGCCAGTGTCCGAGGAAGGCTGCCAAGGGACTGGGGTTTACCTCCAGGCTCAAATTGTTCGCCGATGGGTGAGGCTGGGACCCTGGGATCCGGAACAATCTGGCCTCAATCTAAGCCATCTTTCTGAGAAAGGGAGAAGAAACTCATTCCCAGAGGGCTGAGGCACTCACTGTAAGCACTCCAACTTGCCAAGAGAACTTACGATTTTTCGCTCATAAAAGGCCCCACTGCTGTAGGTGGTGGCCAGGGTGGAGGCACACTCTTCCAGGTACCAGGGCTTGTAGCCATTCTCGGTGGCGCTGCTGACGGAGATGGTGTAGATGCTGTTGGTGTAGCCATCGCACGAGCAGTAGTCCCCCTCTCTCCCGCCATTCCCAGATGCCCAGACGAAAATGGAGCCCAGGCCCTGCCGGCCCTGGAGGGACAAGAGGAACAAGGCTTAGCCCCGCAGCAGAACCTCGTAGGGTGGGTCTCCCCCCGAACCTAGAGTCCCATCTCCCAAATGTTCCTTCAAAGGGATAAGAAGGTTGCATTCAGACCATCTGGATGCTGCTGAGAGCATGGTTTTGGGGGCTCTGTTTGGATTTTAATGGTGTGCCTTTGCCTGTAGCAGCAGCCTTAAAATTGCAGAATCACAGGATCATACGAGGGGAAGGGGCCAGAAAGACTCCTCTGTTCTTCACAGGAAAATCAAGGGTCCCAACACAAGCTGCTCTATTCCAGAGCCATGCCTGTCATTTCCATCGCAATGGCCTAGGATCAAAGAGAGCTAGCAGTGCTGCAAATGACACTGAGATTACAGATGATGGAAGAATTTACAACTTTAATTTTTCTGGGTTGAAAGAGCTGGTCTGGTGGGGAAAAGAATGATTTTTCTGGAAAACATACTTGAAGAGGTACCCTTCTTGCAGAGAGAGCTAAATTTGCAAAGAGGGATAGGACCATGAACTCTGCGTGAAGACAGAATAGGTGGAAAGGGTTACGTCCAGGAAGCTGGTAGCAGCTTGTGGGTGTCCTGTCAGAGCTCCCTGTGGTCTCTGCAGTGGGTAAGTATCAGGGTGGTCTGATTTATATCACTAGCCAAGGCCAGGGCCTCATTTGTGTGTAGGTTTTCTTTCCGTTTTTTTGTTTTTTGTTTTTTTTTTTTTGAGACAGGGGTCTTGCTACGTTACCCAGGCTGGTCTGGAACTCCCGGGCTCAGGTGATCCTCCTGCCTTAGCCTTCAGAGTAGCTGTGCCTATAGAAGTGTGCCGCCATGCCCAGCTGTGCACCGGTGTTCATTGTTAAGAACGTACACATGAAAGCAAGTCTTTGAAAGACAGCAGCCAGTCAGGGCAGATTCCTGCAGCTCCGCTCTATCCCATACCCACAGGATGGATGATTTCTGACCACACTGAGAATCATTCCAGCCACAAGTACCAGCTAAAGATTAGCGAGTGGAAGACTGAACTGACGGATATAGTCCAGATGGCTGGATGGGCTGGTGGTGCACAGCTGGCCCGAGAGAAGGGCCAGCATCCACCTCCACGGGAAACTGGAGCCACTGGCTGGCCATCACATCCTTACTAAGGACCGTCCTTCCCAAACAAACAGAGGAAATTTATACTTATGCTCAACAATCGGCCAATTTAAAGATAACTTACACACCAATTCTGCAATCCCCGTAGAGCCAAATTGAAGCCTGCTGCTGACCAAACATGTCACACTCACTTTTGGAGCACAATGAGTGGACCCGCCTGCTCTGTACGCTCACACCACGGGGGTTTGTAAACCAAGGAGACTCCAGCTCCAACTTGAGGCTCCCAAGAAAGCCCACAGGAAAGTTCTTGGAGCTCACGCAGCCCCGCTGCTTAAGGCTGCCGCGTCCACTCTGCTTTCTGCATCTGCAAGGTGAACCTGTCGGGGTGGCCAAGAGCTCAACAGAAAGGTCCCTCCCAGAAAAGCTAACCTTCTGAGAGAAAGGCACAAAGAGCTCAGGAAGGTGGTGTGTGTGTGCACGTGATTACCTGCAGGAAGAGATTCAGCTGAAGCCGGTTTAAAGCAACTACAATGCAAATCAAAAGGTATTTAACCCATCAGAGCCTGTCCTTATTCCAGGTGAGAATTAGTCCTAGACACTGCCACTCCTAACTCCCCACCCCACTTGAAATGACTTATAAAATGTTGTCCTTTTGCAAGGTGGAGCATGCAACCTTACTGCTCCAGGAGCAGAGAATGGCCAAAAACAGTGCTCCCCAAACTTGAATGTGCACACCCTGGAGTCACCTGGGAACCTGTTACAATGCAGACTTGTGCCCCAAAGTCCAGGGTGGGCCTGAGAGTGTGCATCCCTAATGAGCTCCCAGGGGACGCCAGTGCTGCTGGCTCTGGACCCCACTTTGAATACCAAGAGCCTGAAATGCTCAAGGTTTGCATTTACAGCATGTAGCATGCATTTACTATGAGACCAACCCATCCTCATAGGCATCAAGGTACCAACAACCTTTCCCCTCCTTAAAACGGTTTCTGGGAAGGAGACATGGAAATGAGGCGAGGAAACAGCCAGGTCTGAGGAGTGTAGAGATGTTTTAACTGTCTCTGACGACTTTATTTTCACTTCCCAGATCTTCCAGTGGCTTCATGGAAGCCATGGGACAGAAGCTGTAGGGGACATTTCAACCCTAGCCATGAACTTGCACTTCTTTTCAGTAAACTCACAACTTCAACCCAATCAAATCGTATTTCGATGTCTTCCCTGGGGAGGGAGAGTTCATTTCATGAGCTCAGAAGCACCGCGACTGAGGGCCAGCAAACACCGGCCACCTGGACGCGGCCAGTGTCTTTAGCCACAGCAATGTCTAATGGTCCCTTCTGAATAACTAGGTGTGAGAGGAGCCAGGCTTCCTAAGGACCAACGTTAAACAGATCTTTGTGCCAAGTTACAGCTTCTACAGTCTCTCACCGCCGGGCCACATCATCTACCAAAGATAAAGTCAGATTTTACAGAAGACTGTAGGCGACAAATAGGGCCACAAGGAGGAAAAGCAGATGGGGGAATGTGGTTTGGTTTGAGATCATCAAATTTCTAGGAGGATTTTCAGTGACAGATCGAGACAGTTGCGATTTAAGGTTCTCTGTATGACATATTTTACTTCCAAATGACGAAAAAAAATCAAATGACCTCAGTATTTCACAAAACTGTGACAAGAATGAGGGGAAACCACGTGGTCCCCTCTGCAACTTCCCCACTCCCCTGACAGCTGGATGAAACCAACACTGCTCAGAATTCCGAATGCAAAGATCCCTCTCTGCAGCTCCAACCTCCCCAAGCCTCCCATAGGCTCAGTGAACCAGAGAGCCCGAACGATCACTGCCAAACAACCAGGACCCCTCCTGGACGGAGGGTGCCTCATCCTAGGAGCTCCATCTTTGGAAATCATCCCGTAGAAATGACAGACGCTCAGCAGGAACACCATCCAAAGCAATATGTTCTATGCAGGAAACCCGCCCTCCAGCTTACCCACCCTCTCCGAAGCTTAAATTCAGCTTAATTTTTAGGATGTCTCGCTTGTCATCAAGACTGAGATCCAAGCGATCTAGTGGGTTGGAGCTGGGAGCTAAGTAATGGAAGGGTGATTTATGTATTCGGCAGTTCTTGGTGGGCAGCAGCTGACTTGGTCATACCCGAGTGTGCCAGCACTCACTCAGCCCAGCCTTGGGCCTGGCTTAGGTGCTCAGCAGCCTCATTGAAGCTGCCTCGGTGTTTTCTTGGGGGAATGGAGATAAAGGAAGCTGTCCAGTGTCCCAAGGATGCCCGCAAGACCCCATGCTGTGTGCGTGCGTGTGTGTGTCTACACCGCCCCTCTTCCTTAATTTTCCTTCTCACATTTAGTGTCTGGGTGAGTACTAAACTCGGAGGGACAGGTGGGTAGATACCCTGTATTTGGTCATTGGTTTCTCAGGCATTCAAGACCTGAGTGGTTGGGGGGTGGGGGCAGTAGAGGAGGAAGCTTCCGCCTCACACTTGCAGAGTGACACCAAGTCCTTCGGAGGAGGTGCAGGCAGGTGCAGCTGGCAGGAGGCAGAGGATGCAGTGTAGGCCTGACGCCCGGGAAAGGTAAGAAGTGGAGGAAACTCCAGGGTTTCGGCAGGGCAGCAGGGCTAGGGGTCTCCTGAGAGAAAAACGCTCATTCTGATAAGAGGAAATTAACAGATGGTGACCAAACTCAACGCACCCAGGAAAGCCATCAAATGATATTACTTAGAGAAAGGAAATCATGAACATGGTTTGAAAACAGATTCCTCCTCCGTGGGGCAGGACTCGGGGGTGGGCAGACAGAGACAGAGAGAGGCTGTTTGCAGTATAATCTCTTCCTACTATCCGACTGACTTACTAGCTGTTTATGAGCCACACTGCAATCACTATGCATGGGTTATAATACGATGAGAACTGTAAAAATATTTTAAACGATATAAATTTAATGGGCTTGACTCCTGCCACCCCCTCCCATTCTCCCATCCCCCACAGGAGGAGTCAGAGAAGCCTGGACTTCCTGCTGGAACTCCCCTGGTCCCCACTCCCTACAGCAGTCACTGACCACACATTGTACGTTGGGCTGGGACCTGTTCGGCCACCCAGGGCCTCCTGGACGCTGACCACAGCTCTGTCTGCCTGCTCCAAGAAGCTGTCCTCACCCAGAAATCTGCCTTGCCACCCTGTTTGTAAGAACTGGCTCATCTGCAGCCACCTCCTCCCCCTTCCTCAGCCTTCCTGACACACAAGGATCCGGAACCAAAGACCACAGAGTGGCTGGCGGGTGGCCTCGCAGGAGCCTGCCAGCCTCCCCTTGGCCCATCGGCAGAGAAGCATCTTTGCCCTGCTTAGCCCCTTGTGAGGTTCCCCTGGAGAAGTTCAAAGTGGGCTGGGCTGTGCGCTGGTGGGGGACACCCCGACCACTGCTTCCTGCTGCAGCGGGGCCTGGGTGAGCACATACCCCGCGATGAATGCACAGAGTTCCACAGCTGGGTGTTTCTAAGGGCAGGTGGGCCGAGGCCCCTGCAGAGTCCAAGTAACAGGCCAGGTGAGCTGCCTTAGACCCCCGTCACCCACCTGTGTACCCCCTTCAGCCAGGGATGGGCAAACTCCAAGGCAGAGAGGGTCGTGCTAGCAGTGGCCACCTGGCTGTCACTGGAACAGCTGTTCTGGAACGAGGCAAAAACACTTCTGCTCTCGCCGGTCAAGAGCCACTTCTCAGACTCCCCGAGTGACTCCTCCACACTGGCCCTGGCACCTGTCACAGCAGAGTCTTCCCTGTCTTGTTTCAGGGCTGTGGCCAGTGTCACTCTGATACTTGTTAAAATGTTTACTGTCACCCTTGTCCCAGAGCGCTCCCCTGTAGCCCTGGTTACTCACACCTTTTTAATGCCATACTCGAAAGCCTGCTTAGCCAGTCGGCCGGGCCCGTCCACCGTCTTGCCGTCGTCGTCCGGCCCCCAGCTGGCACTGTAAATGTCGATGTAGTTGGGTCTGATGCCCAGCGACTTTGCCTCGACCACATCTGTGACATCGCCGTCCAGCATGCGGATGCCTGAAAGCACAGAGGAGGCTCGGTGTCGGCGCCCAGGCTCCGGGCACACAGCGACGGGAACCCGGGCCCAGGAGGCTCGGATGAGGACACCGCATCACAGAGTCCCTCCCCAGCAGGGGCTGTTCCCAGTCATTCTGCAAAACTGGCTCCTCTTCTCCATGCTGGCTGATGTGAAAGAACTCAGGCCAGGGCAACAAAAGAAAGCAAGCTACGTCCCAAAGAGAGGGTTCAGCTTCCCTCAGTGCTATGATGTCCTGCTGGTATCTAAAAATGCATATTTCTGTTTTTTATTTTAAAAAACAAGACCTATTATTATTATTATTATTATTTATTATTATTATTTTGAGACAGAGTCTCACTCTGTCACCCAGGCTGGAGGGCAGTGGTGCAATCTCGGCTCACTGCAAGCTCCACCTCCCGGGTTCAAGTGATTCTCCTGCCTCAGCCTCCCGAGTAGCTGGGACTACAGGCACATACCACCATGCCTGGCTAACTTTTATTTTTAATAGAGACAGGGTTTGGCCATGTTGGCCAGGCTGGTCTCGAACTCCTGACCTCAAGTGATCCACCTGCCTCAGCCTCCCAAAGTGCTGGGCTTACAGGCGTGAGCCACCACTCCTGGCCAAAAGGCACATTTCTATAATGGAACTCCAGAGGCTTTCCACCTCTCCCAGCTGTTGAGAGTTCACATCTGTTTCTCTCTCCTTTATAATTCCACTCCGACGTATAACTTATGATGAACCAAATGATGAGCTTTCAACCTGGAAGACAGAAGCCCGCACCCCAGGTTGCAATGGAGGGGACTGGGGTCTTGGACTTCGCTGGCCAGCTCATCTCCATTTGGGTTTGGGTTCTATGTTCCCTGGAGGGGTCTTTAGAGGTGGAGAGTCCAGCTTCCTCGAGAGCACCCCAAAAAGAGAGGGGTGAGGGGCTCCCATAAGCCTCTCCCAATGCCTGCCATCCCAGCCAGGGGCGTCCCTTCTTGCCTCATACTTGGCATTTGCCTTTATTACTGGGTGCCCTCTGCAGCCAGAAAGTTGCCCCAGCAACAGTGCCTCCCCCAGAGAAGGCATCTGAGAAAAACCTGGCATGAAACGGGGAAGCAGGGGGTAATGACGGCCATGGACACACTCTTCCTGGATTCTAGTAGATACAGAAAGTCGACTTCTCTGGGGCTCAGAGAATCTTGCCACCCGACCCTGGGTCAACTCTCTTCATGGCCACTTGACACCCACAGCTCCCCACTCAGAGGCCCCCGGGAGCCCCTCACCCACGGGGCCCAGCTCTGTGTGTGCGATGACCATGCCTTCATCAAGACGAATTCTAAATCTTAGAGCTATTTAAGACGTAATGGAAAAGAGGACTTCTTCTGATTGTAAGAATAGTATATGCTCTTGCCCAAACTTTGGGAAAAAGAGAAATAACCAATAATATTTTGGCTATTTTCTTTTCTTTTTTTGCTTTACAGATGGGGTCTCACTCTGTCACCCAGGCTGGAATGCAGTGACACAGATCATAGCTCACTGCAGCCTCAAACACCTGGGCTCAAGCAATCATCCCACCTCAGCCTCCCGAGTAGCTAGGATCACAGGTGCACACCACTGCACCTGGCTGGTTATTTTCTTCTAGTCTTTTTCTTTGCCTCTGGCATATACTTTCTTTCTAAATCCTTTTTTTCCCCCACTGAGCTTTATACAGGGCATTTCCCTGTGCCATTAAAGACTCTTCCAAGGCTTAGTGGCTGCAGCTCCCTGCCATCATGCACACACCCCTGGCCCAGGCAGCTTCCTTCTGGGGTTCACCTTCTGAAGTAGGGGTTCCCCACCTTACCCATACTAGTCTGCGCCTGTTTGTTCTACATTCCAGAATCTACATCAACACGTAGTGCATACTCAAAAGCAGCAACTTTAAATATGACTGACTTTAAAAAACAAAATAGTGAAGTTTTCCCTGAGGTTAAAAGAGGTGGTGCAGGACTCATGCAGAAGAGCAACAGGAAGGAGACCCTGGAGGTGACACCCTCCCTAGGTGCTCAGGGACAAACATTTTACGTGAGTAGAATCCTGCTGTCCCATCCATTTGTACGATAATCATGGGTGTGCTCTTTTGATGGAAACTGCTGGGCAGAGATCCCTAACACATACATTTCAAATGTTCTTGTCCTATCATCTTTCACCCAGTAGCACATGGATTATAAACATATAACCAAATGTACTTCTTCACTTGCCAGGGTAAGAAGCTTCCAACCTAAAAGGAATTTGAAGATGATTTCGCTGCAGTAAATTCTTCCATTCCATCCATTCATTCTACCCAGTTTTGAAGGTTCAGGTTTCCCTAAGGTTTTCCCCTTAATATATGCCCTGAAATTTCCCAGGCATGAAGCAAGACAGAGAATACAAGAGTCACCAAAGGCAGTTCTTGGGAGGCCAGGTAGGATAGTTGGTGGTGGGAGAGGGAGGACCACTCTAGGGCTCGGCATGTTGACCTTAACACTTAGGTGGGACACCAAGCTTAACTGGAAACTTCTGCTCCAAAAGCCTGGAATTGTATTCAAAATCAATGTCAGAGAAATTTACACCAAGGCAATAGCAAGGTTGAGGCATAGGAGACATCAGAAGTTCAACAACAGTGCTAGAGACATTCGGCAGTGTCAGCCACGTGGGCGTGGGCAGCGATGGAGGATGGGGCTGAAGTCACGGGAAGAGCCATCTCTTCATAGCTTGAAAGCCTACTATGAGCAGTAGGAATAAATGTAACTTCAGTGTTATCTATCTTCTCTTCTCACTCCACCTGTTTCCCTTCCTCTCTTTCCTACCTCAGCGAGCTGGCTGCAGGACGGCCCAGGGTAGCCACCAGTGTCCAGGCACTGAGATGGCACAAGGCAAGTGGACTTAGATGCCTCGACGCCTGCTCCCAAGGGGAGGTCCACAGAGTGGAGCTGTCACTCACAGTGAGCCTCGGAGCCAGCAGGAGGGACGTGGGGCATGCCACAGGTGAAGACCTTGCCTTCACCATCAACTGTGACCAGGTAGTGACTCTGAAGTTCTCCCGTCTCGCTGAGCCTCAGTCTTCTGCACACTGCAATGATGACACTTATCATATGTAGAGGGATGTCAAACAAATGAAATCGGATGATCCGTGTAAAGGGTCTGGCACACAGTAAGCATTCAACGTGTGTGTTTGCTGCTAGTTTGACCCCACTGAGCCTCAGTTTTCCCATCTGTAAAAATGGAGGTAGTATCAATATTGTGAAAATGGCCATACTGCCCAAGGTAATTTATAGATTCAATGCCATCCCCATCAAGCTACCAATGACTTTCTTCACAGAATTGGAAAAAACTACTTTAAAGTTCATATGGAACCAAAAAAGAGCCCACATTGCCAAGTCAATCCTAAGCCAAAAGAACAAAGCTGGAGGCATCACGCTACCTGACTTCAAACTATACGACAAGGCTACAGTAACCAAAACAGCATGGTACTGGTACCAAAACAGAGATATAGATCAATGGAACAGAACAGAGCCCTCAGAAATAATGCCACATATCTACAACTATCTGATCTTTGACAAACCTGAGAAAAACAAGCAATGGGGAAAGGATTCCCTATTTAATAAATGGTGCTGGGAAAACTGGCTAGCCATATGTAGAAAGCTGAAACTGGATCCCTTCCTTAGACCTTATACAAAAGTTAATTCAAGATGGATTAAAGACTTAAACGTTAGACCTAAAACCAGAAAAACCCTAGAAGAAAACCTAGGCATTACCATTCAGGACATAGGCATGGGCAAGGACTTCATGTCTAAAACACCAAAAGCAATGGCACCAAAAGACAAAATTGACAAATGGGATCTAATTAAACTAAAGAGCTTCTGCACAGCAAAAGAAACTACCATCAGAGTGAACAGGCAACCTACAAAACGGGAGAAAATTTTCGCAACCTACTCATCTGACAAAGGGCTAGTATCCAGAATCTACAATGAACTCAAACAAATTTACAAGAAAGAAACAAACAACCCCATCAAAAAGTGGGCAAAGGATATGAACAGACACTTCTCAAAAGAAGACATTTATGCAGCCAAAAGACACATGAAAAAATGCTCATCATCACTGGTCATCAGAGAAATCCAAAACAAAACCACAATGAGATATCATCTCACACCAGTTAGAATGGCAATCATTAAAAAGTCAGGAAACAACAGGTGCTGGAGAGGATGTGGAGAAATAGGAACACTTTTACACTGTTGGTGGGACTGTAAACTAGTTCAACCATTGTGGAAGACAGTGTGGCGATTCCTCAGGGATCTAGAACTAGAAATACCATTTGACCCAGCCATCCCATTACTGGGTATATACCCAAAGGACTATAAATCATGCTGCTATAAAGACACACGCACACATATGTTTATTGTGGCACTATTCACAATAGCAAAGACTTGGAACCAACCCAAATGTCCAACAATGATAGACTGGATTAAGAAAGTGTGGCACATATACGCCATGGAATACTATGCAGCCATAAAAAATGATGAGTTCATGTCCTTTGTAGGGACATGGATGAAACTGGAAATCATCATTCTCAGTAAACTATCGCAAGGACAAAAAACCAAACACCGCATGTTCTCACTCATAGGTGGGAATTGAACAATGAGAACACATGGACACAGGAAGGGGAACATCACACTCTGGGGACTGTTGTGGGGTGGGGGGAGGGGGGAGGGATAGCATTAGGAGATATACCTAATGCTAAATGACCAGTTAATGGGTGCAGCACACCAGCATGGCACATGTACACATATGTAACTAACCTGCACATTGTGCACATGTACCCTAAAACTTAAAGTATAATAATAATTAAAAAAAAAGAGAGAGAAAAAAAAATGGAGGTAGTAACAATAACTGATTGGTTTTTCTTTTTGTTTTCTAAAAACACATGACTTGATAAGCACAAAAGATTGTATGTCACATACACGTTAGTTATAAAGCCTAATAAAAAAACGGATACCCATGAACCCTGCAGCCCAATGCAAGAACAAGAACGTGACCCACTGGGGGCCTCTACTTCTGTGTCCTCCCTGTCACCCCCAGCTTCTCAGAGGAAAATGATCAGAATTTTTGGATTATTCATGCCATTGCCTTTATTTATTTATTTATTTATTTATTTTGAGATGGCGTCTCGCTCTGTTGCCCAGGTTGGAGGACAGTGGCGCCATTTCGGCTCACTGCAACCTCCGCCTCCCGGGTTCAAGTGATTCTCCTGCCTCAGCCAACCAAGTAGCTGGGATTACAGGCGCCCGCCACCACACACGGCTAATTTTTGTGCTTTTTAGTAGAAACGGGGTTTCACCACGTTGGCCAGGCTGGTCTTGAACTCCTGACTTCAGGTGATCCGCCCACCTCGCAGGCCATTGCTTTTTAAATACTACTAGTTTAATACAATTGTATATATGCTTAAGTGATACATTGTTTAATTTTGCTTGTACTGAGAATTAATCCTTTGTTGGTAATGCAGGTTATAAAAATCTTCTCCCAGTGTATGCCTGGTCTTCTCACTGTGTTTATGGTAGCTCTAGACAAACAGAGGTTCTTAATTTTAATAGAGCAAGAGCTCACCTCCCTGTGAAGATCAAAGGAGTCGTAACAGGGGCCAACCTTCTCTGGGTTTCTGGGTTTGCTGGCATCTATTGTAAGTTCCTTTCCCCCTTTTATAGGCAGGGCAGAGCCACCTCTAGGCCCAGCTCACATGGGCTGTGGCATCAGCTCACTGTATTTTGTCCTTTCTGGGTGGAGAGGAGGGGTCGGGTGGACATGAAGTGGGGTCTTTCCCAAATCTGTGGTCCATGTGCCTGCCATCCCATCTCCATGGCTGTGTCAGGGACACTGGGCCCAAGTGTCCAGCTCTCTCAGCCAGGAACCTCCAAGAGAAGGGTCAGGGCCAGGCCCAGTGCAAGAGGCTGGCAAGATCGTGGCCGCCGGCAAGATACAGAGCAGCTCACGGTAGGGGAAGAGAGTGGGGTCAGAGAGTCCTGGGGTGTAATCTCGCTTCCACATGACCTTGGGCCATGGTCTCAACCTCTCTAAATCATGTTTCTTACAATTTTTATCTACCGGGGCAGTTAAGAAGATTAACGAAAAGCTAAGTTGAGGCCCTGGCCCCGGAACTGCTGGATAAATGGCAGCAGGGTTCTCTTTGCCCTTACTTTCAGCCATGGATCTCCAGGGCAGGAGACCTCACTGGCCACCCGGGGGTCAAGACCAATTCTGATGCTCTAAGTGGTGAAGCTGATCCTGTTCTAGGATTCTCTCTACAAGTTATAGGTGTTGAAATGCCTATTTTTGAACAAGAAGAACGGGATGCCAGAAGACATCCAAAAATACATAAAAACATATGACCAGAATGATTTCCCAACACCTCTCACCATGCTTTTCATCTTGGAAAAAGACTGACTGATGTGTGGGAAAGCAAGCATCACGCGCTTAGATCTTAATGAAGCATCTATTTTCCCCAACACTGACAAGTTGCCAACAAAGAAAAGGTAAATATTTTCAGTAGAAGCCTGCTGTTCCAACATGAGCTTTAAATGTGAATGGCTCTCTGGAAATGCCAAGGAGAAGAAAAACAGTAATGATTTCTCTAATGAGAAAAGAAAGGCCCATTTACTATAAAATGTCAGGTATAAATTTGATTTGGGCAAATTGTTTTGATGGCATTGATGGCAATGAACTCCCCATGGTCAGCTTGCTAACGGACTGCTTTTGGGCATGCTGGGTTCAGAGCACAGCGTGGCACAATGAACCCGCCTGCCCAGTCCACTCTAAGGACGAGTCTGTGGGTGTGAGGCGGGAGGAGTGTTGAGTGGAAGGAAGATGGTTGCTTTGGAGAACCTGGTGCCTTTGTGTTTGAGGGAAGAACTCGGGGTGCTATGGGAACCAATCCCCCCACTGACAATTGCAGCTGCCCACAGAAGCTCCATCCAGGAAGGAATCACACCAGTTTGCCTTGCTTTAAATAATACGTGCATTCCTATAAAATCTCCTAAACCCAATAATATTTTAAATGCCCTGGGAGAACTTGATGAAATGAATGATTTTACAACTCACTTAGTGAAGCTAAAAAAAAAAACAAAGCCACTTTTTTTCCGTAGTGACCTGTCTTTCCTCCATTTCCCCTGCTTCTAATTTTTTTTTTCAGACAGAGTCTCCCTCTGTCGCCCAGGCTGGAGTGCAGTGGCGTGATCTCAGCTCACTGCAACCTCGCCTCCCAGGTTCGAGCGATTCTCCTGCCTCAGCCACTGGAGTAGCTGGGATTACAGGCACACACCACCACGCCTGGCTAATTTTTATATTTTTAGTAGAGATGGGGCTTCGCCATGCTGGCCAGGCTGGTCTCAAACCCCTGACCTCAAGTGATCTGCCCACCTCGGCCTCCCAAAGTGCTGGGATTACAGGTATGAACCACCGTACCCGGCCGCCTGCTTCTAATTTATATCTCGACTTTCCAAATAGCAGGTTTGTATAAGGCAAGGTGAACCTATCAACATGCAGCCGGCCCCAGTCAGCACGAGACACAGCATTTCCCCTGAAAACTTTCTAGGAAGCTCAACATTAAGAGCAATGGGAAGAACACACCCACAAGCCCACACACCCACACACACACACGCACACATGCACATCAATACAAGTCAGCCCTCCTGCCCGGGGGGATAACGGCTGGAGGAAGGCAGGGAGCGGGACACGCTGGGCCCACTTTTGTTTATTGAGAAGTAATGTATTTTGCCTTCAGCGAATGAATGGCAATGCAGAAGCAATGAACAGGAGCAAATAAAATTAGACTGTCGCTTCCTGAGTGTGACAAATAGGCCTCCCCAACACATTTTGCTCATTAGCCCTGGGTTTATTTTAGTAAGTCCACAGAGAATTATGTTTTGTTTTTGTTTTGTTTTTTTCAGTAAAACTATAGCACATTCTGTTCTATGAGCAGCCATTCCGGGCCAAGTAAGGTTTCAACAGTTACTTAGAAATGCTACAATCCTAAAAGGTTTCTGTCAACCCTCATTATCACCTAAGACAATAGACACGGCTTTCAAATTGCTAACTATGCCCCCACAGGACAGCCTTGTTCTAGGAGCTCCAGGGAGCTGTGGTCTGCCGAGTTGTCAAGGCAGACCTACGTTCGCCATCGTGACATGAAGTGTGTGGGGACGCGCGGGGGATCACCAAGCCAAATCTCTTCCTGCTTCCTGTTCTGTTCCTGATGCCCTGATGGAGCCACTCCACCTCCTTCTACAGTGGAAACACAGCTGTAGCCAGCGACGCTCCTTATGGGCATGTCCTGCATGCAGCCCTGGATCCAGGAGATGAGGTCTGTCCCAGGTCAGGTCCCGTGATAACTGAGACTGGTTCCCCAGTCTGTGGTCCATGTGTCTGGCGTCCCATCTCCACAGCTGTGTCACGGACACAGGTGCGCAGCTCTCTCAGCCAGCGACCTCCAAGAGAAGGGCCGTGACCAGCGTGGGAGGCTGGCAGTGTGGTGTGGCAAGGGTATGGCCCCTGGCAAGATACAGAGCAGCTCATGGTAGGGGGAAGACAGCTGGGGTCAGAGAGTCCTGGAGCGGAATGTCGGCTCTGCATGACCTTGGGCCATAGTCTCAGCCTCTCTAAATCATGTTTTCTACAATATTTATCTGCCAAGGCAGTTGAGAAGATTAATGAAAAGCTAAGTTGAGGCCCTGGCCCTGGTACTGCGTCTGGGATAACTTTGGTATCATCCATCTTCTCCCCTTCCTCTTGTATTTTCAGTATCTGATGCTTTGACATCTGGGGCTTGCTGACCCTGGGGAGACTGTTCCTTCAGGCGCTACCCAGGGTCTCGGGATAGTAAACTACCCATCAGGAGTGTGCTTTTCACATGCAAGCCAACCAATCCAGAGTCTACACCCCAGCCACCTCCATCATGGGCTCTCACACACCAGGTCACTACTCCCTTAACCTAACCACCCAAGGCCAGGTGTCAGGCAGCTAGGGACAGCCCCTATTCCCCTGAGTCTGCTGAAATTATTCAGCCTAGCTGATTCTGAACTTGCCTTCTCTGCCTCACCCACTCCTTCCCACAGAAACCACCACAAGGCCTCTGGCCCGTGTCTTCCCCTCTCTCCTGCCTCCTGACAGAACCCGCTGCTTCTCTGTGTGGCCCCACATACGGTACTGGGACGCATCCTCTTGGGAACTGGAACAAACCACCTTTTCAATGCATGGCAGTGGTCTCCTCATCTGCTGGCCTTGCCAAACCTAAATAATACCGAAAATGATTGTACATATTTAAACAGGTCTCTCTTTGATAATCGGGTCCTGTTGATTCTTCAAAGAACAATACAAAACCTGGAAAAGCCTTAGCCATGGTCTAGAGGTTTGACATCGAGGCTGACCCTTTCACGGTCTCCCCGCTAGGGAATGAGGGCTGGAGAACAGAAGTGCATGGCCCAGGCACACACAGGAAGCCAGTGAGAGCCGGCAGCTTGGGATGCAGGACAGGACAGCAGGCTTCTGAGCCAGATGGAGCACCCGTACATCTGCACCACACGCAAGTACGGCAAGGAACCCTAGAGGAGGCGCACGTGCCAAGAAAGCAAACCCATATCCTGAACGGACCTCTGAAGGGGACACGGACGGCGAAAAGGAGACGTTCATGCCGCCATGAACAAAGGCCACCCAGGAGCTTGTTTCTAAGACTCAGCGTGCTCTCTTCCTGTCTCTCTGCTTCTTTCTTATGTACACCCAGGAAGAAAGCCCCTCAGCAGCCCTCTCAGGAACCCAGGGCTATGCAGCCCACAGCATTCGAGAGCTAGCCTCACCCATTCTCTGCGGGTGTCTGCAGCAGGGCGGCCTGAGGAGGGCATGGCCACCAGGGAGACACAGGGCAGAAGGGGCTATGCCAGTTCTTGCCCATCTCCTCCTTCCTATGGCTCCTGCTTAGCCTGGCGATGCTCAGATCTAGCAGGCAGGGGCCTTGGATGTGTTGGGGGAGGTGAGGGACGAGGAAGTGGGGAACACCCGCTCCCTGACAGCAGCAGCTCCTAACATTCACCAAATCCCCCCAAGCCCCCCAGTGCATTTAAAATCCTCTTGCAGTTGAAAATGCGCTGGGAACCTTTGAAGATTAATCTACAGCTTAAACTGTTCTCTTAAAATGCTCACAGGCCTAAACTGCTTAATGGAAACACTAACGAGACTGAATTCTGTGACTCAGAATTAACATAATTAACCAATTTATGGGCATGGATTAATTTAGCTGTTATGTACTTAACATTTTCGTGTTTATGAAAGGAAAAACATGATTCAGTTCCCCAATCAAAATATGGAGCAAAAACACCAACAGGAATCTGGTCGCTGCCGTTTACTTTTCCTTCCCAGAAACAGGGCAAACATGGTCTGAAAAGATGCACCTATATCCGGGGGCCGGAGCAGGGGAGCTTTTCTGTTTGTCAGGTGGGAGGGCTCCCTGCGGTCTCCAGCTGCCCTTGCTGCAGGCCCCAAATGCAGCCTACTCCAGACCAGCCTCAGGGATCCTGCCCTGTGGACTGGCGATGCTTCTGAAAAGCAGGGAGGCTGAGCGCGGGGGCTCATGCCTGTAATCCCAGCACTTTGGGCGGCCGAGGCGGGCGGATCACGAGGTCAGGAGATCGAGACCATCCTGGCCAACATGGTGAAACCCTGTCTCTATTAAAAATACAAGGCCAGGCGCAGTGGCTCACGCCTGTAATCCCAGCACTTTGGGCGGCCGAGGCGGGCGGATCACGAGGTCAGGAGATCGAGACCATCCTGGCTAACACAGTGAAACCCCGTCTCTACTAAAAAGGCAGAAAATTAGCCGGGCGCGGTGGCGGGCGCCTGTAGTCCCAGCTACTCGGGAGGCTGAGGCAGGAGAATGGCGTGAACCCGGGAGGCGGAGCTTGCAGTGAGCCGAGATCGTGCCACTGCACTCCAGCCTGGGCGACAGAGTAAGACTCCGTCTCAAAAAAAAAAAAAAAATGCAGGGAAAGTGTACCATAATGCAGTGTCCCTCATGACACCCCTCCTGCCTTAGGAAAGTGTCTGAATCTGGTTAAGTATCAGCACACGTGAGGAACTTGCTAAAGGGTAGAAGCCTGGTAAAGTTAAAGGGGTGAGGGCTCCACTCACCTCCCCTGCATATTGCAAGCCTCCCTGAGAGAGCAGGTTCCACTCCGGCCAAGCCAGCACACCTGGCTCCCCAGCAAGCTTTTCTCAAAGGATGCCGCATGGGGCACGAAGCCAGGAGGACCTGGTGCAGTGGATGGGATCACATCCTCAGCCTGCATTCTGGGAGGGGCCTTCACACTTTTTTGTTTGTTTGTTTTTTTGAGTTTGAGTCTTGCTCTGTTGCCCAGGCTGGAGTGCAGTGCCACAATCATTGCTCACTGCAGCTTCAAACATCTAGGCTTAAGAGATCTTCCTGCCTCAGCCTCCTGAGTGGCTGGGATTACAGGCATAAGCCACCATGCCTGGCTAATTTTTAAATTGTTTGTAGACACAGGGTCTCACTATGTTGTTGAGGCTGGTTTCAAACTCCTGGCCTCAAGTGATCCTCCTGCCTTGGCCTCCCAAACTGCAGGGATTTTGTGTGAGCCACTGTGCTTGGCCAGGGCCTTTAGAATTCTGCAGGCCCCAGCAGGAAGGGCTTGCCATGAAGCTCAGCCTGCACTCACCTTGGAGGTGAGCTGATGGCAGTGGAGGCAGCCAAGTCTGGAGCCCCCCACCACCAATGCCACCCTGAAGCAGAAGGGCTGGGAGGGAAGGAGCATTAGAGAGAGAGAGAAGGAGAACTATGTGCCAGGTCAAAATTAAAAAGACAAAAAGGTGAACAGAGCAAGAGAGCAAAGAAAGGATGAATAAGAAGAGGGGCTAGGAAATGCCTGCTGCCCTCTCTCGCTCCCTCCTGTGCTGTTCCCATTATCATACCTTTTTAGGCCAGGAGGAAGAGGCGAGGCCAAAATATGCTTGGAAGGAATCAGAATTCAGTCAAGAAGTATACAGTTATACACTGCGAAGGCTTCCCCTTCTGCTTCTGTTTCTGGCCACTGGGCTTGGTGGCAGCTGTTCTCATCTGGTCACCGCGATGTCCTAGCATCAGAAGGCTATGATTGCAAAGGTGGAATCCAGGCTTCAGGGCAACAGGCCTGAGCTCAAGCCTCTGCGCTGCCTCTTGGCAGCTGTGTGAACCCAGATGTGGCAATTCATCTCTCTGTTAGTCTCCCCTGGTGGGAAACGGCCATGATCATGTCCAGCGCACAGAGGCACACTAAGAACTGGATGCAAAGATGACTACAAGTGCTTGGCAACCAACAGCAATCGGCAAGAGGTGTCACCATCTGCACCACAGTGAAAAGACTCAAGAGACCCAACCCAGGAGGAAGACTGAGCACGCAGCCTACCTCTCCCCAGGGCCTGGATCCCTAGGAATAAAACTTAGAACGAACAAATCTGAACCAGCCTTGGGAAACAAGATCAGCACAGACGAGCTGTCTTGAGGCACTGAGGAAAGACGGGAAGCAGAGGGCATCAGGTAGCAGCAGGAGGCGGGGTCCTGGCGCGAGGACTTCTGAGTGGGGAACAATTCCAGAGCTGAGGAAGGTGCCAGGCTGGGCGTGCAAGGACAGGAGGAGCCCCAAACAGGCCTCGGAGTAAGGAGCTAGGGTGGCAGGTCTCAGCCTCCAGGCTGAGTGGGGACAGCAGCAGAGTCATCTTGAGGCTGGTGCAGTGAGACAGGGTCCTAAGGCCAGAGCACCAGGACGATGCCCTGGGAGCGGGGAGTCCGCCTCGCACCCTTCTCAGAAGAAATGCTATCAAGCAACAGCTCCCTCCACTCCACATCACAGAAAGACCCCTGCCGTCAGACCAGACAACCACCCACAGCCACATGGGGATCTGTGAGCACATGCAGGGGTGGACGACCAAGAAGCAGCCCATGTTTGAGGAAAACCCATCCCAAGAAAGAGGGGCACCCAATTAAAAAGCAACATGAACAAGAACAGAGGGACCCGACGAGACAGGGCCAATAGAACAAATGGAAAAAACCATACACAATAAGTAGGCCAAATACCACAGCAAGGAACCGTGGTACCACCCCGACCTATGGCAGCACAGCCTGAGTGGCGAGCCTAGACCTCCACCCATGCGAGGACGAAATGAGGTGCCCGACCTCACTGCTGGGGCATGTCAGGAAACAGCAGGTAGGAAGCAGCGCTTTTACCTCCAGCAACCTCAAAAGGGGCCCACTTGCATGGTGCCAGCAGATACCATGCCATGAGCCTGGTCTTCCAACCACACCCAGCAGTAACAACGTGTCCCCTCCATCCCCTGGAGTTGTGTCAGGATGCCTGGTGGAGAGTCAGGAGGCTCACTGCTGCTCACAGTAATGAGGGGACCTGCACTGTGGGGTCATGGGAGGCACACAGGGAGTGGGAACCACTGCCCCTTCTCAGCACTGATAAGGAGACTTCCCACGCTTGGGTATCAGCGGAGGCTGAATGGGGGCCCTGGACAACCTACCCCTGACAATAATGAAATGGTACCCCTTGTCCTCTGCAGCAACAGGGCCAGAGAAGCCAGCTGAAACAGAAGGCTGAAGTCAGGTATAGCCTCATAACATAATGCAAAAATGTACAGGTTTCAAAGGAATATCACATGTCATTCCAAGAACGAATAGGAAGATCTCAAATGCATAAAGACAGACAATCACCGATGCCAACATGGAGGAAACGGATGCTGGAACCATCTGACAGACATTTTATTCATTTTCTTCCTCTTTTTAGGTTTACCTTTTAAAATTATTTTTAATTTTTAAGGATATACTAGTTGTATATTAATAAAGATTTTAAAGAGGCCATGAAAAAAACACCTAGGTGAGCAATTACAAATATGCCTAAAACAAATGAAAAAATAGAAAGTCTCAATAAAGAAACTGAAAGTCTCAGCAAAGAAATACACGATATAAAGAGGAACCAAGTAGAATTATTAGAACTGGAAATACAATAATCAAAAAGCTCAGTGATGGGCTCAGTAATAGAACCCACAGGACAGAAGAAAGAGTGAACTGGAAAATTATATATATATATATATATATAAAATTACCCAATCTGAACAACATAAAGAAAAAAATTTAAAAATATGAACAGAGCATTAGGGACTTGTGAGACTATAACAAAGACCTAAACTTCATGTCACTAGAGTGGACAGGAGGAGAGGAAAAAGGGCCAGGAGTGGTGGCTCACACCTGTAATCCCAGCCCTTTGGGAGGCCAAGGCCGGAGGATTGCTTGTGCCCAGGAGTTCGAGGTTACAGTGAGCTATGACTGCCCCACTGCACTCCAGCCTGAGCAACACAGCGAGACCCTGTCTCTAATAATGGAGGAGGAGTGAGGAGGAGGAGGAGGAGGAGGAGGAGGAGGAGGAGGAAAAAAAGTAGTGGGGGCTGGAAAAGTTCTCGAAGAAATAATGGCTAAACGCTCTCCAAATTTGGCAAGAGATATAAACCTACAGATTCACCAAGTTTACTTTCAAGTTTTCTAAATTACATTTGATGGTTGAAGCAAAAATTACAACACTGTCTGATGTGGTTCTAAATGAATGTATGTTTAATATGTATGTATATTACAAATATAAATGGGAGAGAATAATGGGATATAAAGGAAGGTAAGGTTTCTGTACCTCACGCTGGTAAAGTGACAACACCCATAAAATTGATTGTGAGAAGTTACATGTGCATAATGTAATACCAAGGGTAGCCACTAAAAAAGCTATACAAGAAGACATACTCAAAAACATTATAAACCAAGTGAGATTTTAAAAAGTGTTCAAGTAACCCACAGGAAGGCAGGAAAAAAAAAACAGAGAAACTAAATACAGAGGAAAATAATAGAGAAGTTAAAATGGCAGACTTAACCCCTAATGTATCAATAATTACATTAAATATTAACCATCTAAATATAGTAACTAAAAGAGATTGGCAAGTGAATCTAAAAACATGGCCCACGTTTGACAGCAGACCGGGGGGCTACAGTTAGCAACAATATGTTAAATATTTCAGTGTAGAAGAGAGGACTTGAAATGTTACCAACACATAGACATGATAAACACCCAAGATGACGGATACCCCAAATGCCTTGACTTGATCATTCTGCATTCCATGCATGTAGAAAACATTCACAGGTACCTCTTAAATATGTGAAATGTCATTTATCAATAAAAGAAAAAAGAGGCAATTTCTACTGTATTGTACTCTTCAAATTAATAAAAATTTTTATAAAAGAAAAATAAATTTTAAAAAATGGCCCAAATATATGTTATCTACAGGAGACTCAATTCAAATATAACAATATAGGCAAGTTGAAAGTAAAAGGATGGAAAAACGTATACTGTACAACCATTAATCAAAGGAAAGTAGAAGTAGCTATATTAATATCAGATAAAGTAGACTTCAGAGCAAAAAAATTCACCTGAGACAAAGAGACGCCCCTTGTCAGCAACACTGAATACCAAAGACCATGGGGTAATACCTTTTAAATTATGAGTGAAAATTATCTTGAACTTAAAGTCAAAACCTAGCCAAATTTGTAGGGAGAAAATAATGACATTTTTAGACTTCAAGGACTCAGAAAATTTACTATCTATATAACCATTCATACCTATAGCAAGCACTCAAAATATCTTTTAAGAGAATGAATAATTTAATAGATGAGAAAATCTAGTAAAATAAAAAAATCACATACAAAGATGTAAGAAAAAAGAAACAATGGTGACCAAAGAAATTAATTAGACTTTATACTTAAGCTCACACAATTGTTGATGCATGATGTAAACTTGTTAAAAATAATATGGAGTTAAATTTTTGAATTATCCCAATTCAAGGAGGTGACGACAGACAGAAGATGGCAGAGGAGTGGAGCTATGGTAAGTTTCTTATGTTGCTCAGGTGAAAGAGTTAAGTACTGATTAGCGCTAAACACTGTAGAGAAACATAAGTCCCAATAACTGTGTTTAAAGAGTAACAGAAAAACAGATTTAGAATGTAAAAATTTCAACCCATTAGAATGAAAGAAAAGAGAAGAAACTACATCTAACCAGCAAAAGGCAGGTAAAGACAGATTGGTAGACAGATGGACGGACAGATGGATGGATGGATGGATGGATGAATAGATAAAAACAAATACAATAGAAATAAATCCAAAGATATCTGAAATCAGCACATGTATGAATATAACAAAGTCCTTCTTTAAAGAGACTCTTCAATTGTGTTAAAATATAAATCCAGATACATGCTGCTTATAAAACCAACATTAGAAATAAAGAATATATGAGAAGAAGGATGATAAAATAAATTCGCAAGTGTGCTACTTTTATCAATCAAAGTACAGGTGTTATATCAGCCAAAGTACAATTAAAGGGCAAAAATGAGATAGAGAGGATTTTATATTGATGAAGATTCATTATACCTTGTAATGTACCTTGTAAATAGCTATAAAATGTGTACAGCGAAAACGGAAAGAAACTGACACATCCATAATCATCATGGAAACCAGCATTCCTTCTCAGAAACAGATCAGGTAGACAAAAAGTAAGAAAGACTCCAGAACTTCTGAATGAACTTGATAGAACACACAGGTGATAGAGGCTGATGCCTAAAGGTATCAGGCAGGCAGGGTAAATGGCTGAAGCAGCCAGGTCTGTGAAGGCCACCCGGGGACGGGTAGACTGCCCTTTGAGTTAGGAGCAATCGTAGCCGACTGTTGCCATTAAGGAATGAGGGCCCAGCACAGCCAGAGCTTCTAAGCTTTCATAGAAAGCCCCAAATCCATATTTTTACATAAAATACTGTGATTTGTAAATGTTTACTCAAGTTTTCAAAAATACACTTGTGTGAGTCAAACAAAACATGTCTGCAGGCCAAAGGCAGCTTATGGGCTACCAGTTGCAATCCCTAATCTGATACAGATTTTTTTTACTCAATGAGCATAGAATAAAAATACTCTTCAAACACTGATATGGTTTGGCTGTGTCCCCACCCAAATCTCAACTAGAATTGAATCTCCCAGAATTCCCACATGTTGTGGGAGGGACTCAGGGGGAGGTAATTGAATCATGGGTGCCAGTCTTTCCTGTGCTATTTTTGTGATAGAGAGTAAGTCTCATGAGATCTGACAGGTTTATCACGGGTTTCTGCTTTTGCTTCCTCCTCATTTTTCTCTTGCCACCACCATATAAGAAGTGGCTTTCGCCTCCCACCATGATTCTGAGGCCTTCCCAGCCACGTGGAACTGTAAGTCCAATTAAATCTCTTTTTCTTCCCAGTCTCGGGAATGTCTTCATCAGCAGCATGAAAATGGACTAATACAGTAAATTGGTGCCCATAGAGTGGGCATTGCTGAAAAGATACCCCAAAATGTGGAAGCAACTTTGGAACTGGGTAACAGGCAGAGGCTGGAACAGTTTGGAGGGCTCAGAAGAAGACAGGAAAATGTGGGAAAGTTTGGAACCTCCTAGAGATTTGTTGAATGGCTTTGACAAAAATGCTGATAGTGATATGAACAGTAAGGTCCATGGTCAGGTGGTCTCAGATGGAGATGAGGAACTCATTGGGAACTGGAGCAAAGGTGACTCTTGTTATGTTTTAGCAAAGAGACTGGCAGAATTTTGCCCCTGCCCCAGAGATCTGTGGAACTTTGAACTTGAGAAAGATGATTTAGAGTATCTGGCAGAAGAAATTTCTAAGTAGCAAAGCATTTAAAAGGTGACTTGGGTGCTGTTAAAGCCATTCTGTTTTAAAAGGGAAGCAGAGCATAAAAGTTCAGAAAATCTGCAGCCTGATGATGCAGTAGAAAAGAAAATCCCATTTTCTGAGGAGAAATTCAAGCCGGCTGCAGAAATCTGCATAAGTAACAAGGAATCTAACATTAATCCCCAAGACCATGGGAAAATGTCTCCAGGCCATGTCAGAGACCTTCACAGCAGCCCCTCCCATCAGAGGCCCAGAGGCCCAGGAGGAAAAAGTGGTTTCATGGGCCACGCCCAGGGTCCTCGTACTGTATGCAGCCTAAGGACTTGGTGCACTGTGTCCTAGCCACGTCAGTCGTGGCTGAAAGGAGCCAACGTACAGCTTGGGCTGTGGCTTCAGAGGGTGGGAGCCCCAAGCTTTGGCAACTTCCACTTGTGTGTTGAGCCTGCAGGTGCACAGAAGTCAAGAACTGAGGTTTGGGAACCTCCACCTAGATTTCAGAAGCTGTAGGGAAACACCTGGATGCCCAGGCAGAACTTTGCTGCAGGGGTGGGGCCCTCATGAAGAACCTCTGCTAGGGCAGTGCAGAAGGGAATTGTGGGGTCAGAACCCCCACAAAGAGTCCCTACTGGGGTACTGCCTAGTGGACCTGTGAGAAGAGGGCCACCATCCTCCAGACCCCAGAATAGTAGATCCACTGGCAGCTTGTACCATGTGCCTGGAAAAGCTACTATATTATATTATATCCTGTGCTATTCTCGTGATAGTGAATAAGTCTTATGAGATCTGATGGGTTTATCAGGGGTTTCTGCTTTTGCTTCCTCCTCATTTTTCTCTTGCCACCGCCATGTTAAGAAGTGCCTTTCACCTCCCACCATGATTCTGACGCCTCCCCAGCCATGTGGAACTATAAGTTCAATTAAATTTCTTTTTGTTCCCAGTCTTGGGTATGTCTTTATCAGCAGTGTGAAAACGGACTAATGCAAACACCCATTGGCATATTCACAAAAACTGAACGTGTATTAGGACACAAAGATATTCTCCAGAAATTCCAAAAGGCAGAAAATATACAGAACATTCTGTGAACCCAATATAAGAAACTTAAAAATTAACAACAAAAGGAGCATCAGAAAATCTACGCAGTTGAAAAATTTTATAAATCTCTTCTAAATAACTCCTGGGTTAAAGAGAAAAATCTAAGCTGAAACGTACAATTATTCAGAAATATATAGCAAGAAAAGCACCATATAATTAAACTAGTAAGAGGTGATGAAAGGAGAATGTATGATTATTTATTTATTTATTAGAACACATAAAATCCTGAAAATAAAGAACTAAATACACATTCCATTCAAGGAATTAGAACACAGCAACAACAAATTTAAAAGCTGAAGGAATTAATAAATAAGTAAAAGCAGAAATTTATGATGCAGAAAATAAAGGAACTCAATTAAAAAAAACCTAGTTCTCTGCAAAAGCCTGTTTTTTTTTATTTTTACGTACACTATTTTTTATAATTTTAACTTTTACTTTAGATTCAGGGGTTATATGTGCAAATTTATTACATGGGTATATTGTATGACACTGAGGTGAAAAAACCTATTTTATTAAAAATAGAAATTTTTCATCAATCAAGGAAAAAAGAGGAGATGTCACAAATAAGATTAGAAACAATTATAACTATAAACATGGAGGATGTACTTTTAAATTACGAGCATATGATATTGAATTTATGTCATATATTTGAAAATCTTGAAAAATTGATGATTTTCTAGGAAGATTTAATTACAAAAATCTCCTCAAGAAGAAACAGAAAACCTGAATAGGTCTAGTCCTTTTGAAAGTCACCATATCCAATCAGACTAGTTAATCAGCTCTACCAACACTTCAGAAATCAGGCACTATCCACAATATATTAACTATTTCAGAGCACAGGAAAAGAAAGTTTCCTAACTCTTTCTACGAGACTGGCCTGACTCTGATAAACAAGTTAGAGAGAAACATCACAAAACACAGAAACTGTGATTCTATCCATTTTATAAATGAAGTTGTAAAACCATAAGAAGACATCAGCAGTTGAATGCAGATGTATCAAAACAACAATACTCATGAGCAAATGGAACTTATTTCAAAAATGAAAGAAAAAGTTTCCAATTTAGGATTTTTTTTTTTTTTTTTTTGAGGCAAAGTCTTACAGGGCTGCAGTGCAGTGGTGTCATCTCGACTCACTGCAGCCTTTGTCTCCCAGGTTCAAGCGATTCTCCTGCCTCAGCCTCCCGAGTAGCTGGGATTACAGGTGCCTGCCACCATGCCCAGCTAATTTTTGTATTTTTAGTACAAACAGGGTTTCAACATTTTGGCCAGGCCGGTCTCGAGCTCCCGACATCAGGTGATCCACCCACTTTGACCTCCCAAAGTGCTGGGATTACAGGCGTGAGCCACTGTGCCTAGCCCAGTTTAGGAAATCTATTAATGTAACTTATTACACTACACAGATTAAACAATAAAGTTGAAAAACAATATAATAATCTCAATAGATACTTTTAAATATTCAACATCCATTCCTGATTAAATCTCTTAGAAATCTAGGAATATAATAAAATTTTCTCAACTTGATAAAGGGTAACTACAGGGAAGACATTTACAAATGGCATAAAATTAGAAGTATTCCTGTATAAGTCAGAAATCAAACAGAACCTATAAACCACCACTATTCAATATTCATCAGGAACTGCTACATATTCAAATAAGGCAAGAAAAAGAGAGTTATTAATATTAAAGAGATAAAACCACCATTATATTTACAGATAGCTATTATTTAACATCTCTCCAGAAAAGCCAAGAGAATCCAACGGAAAAACAACAGCACCCACAGAGATCAATAAGGTGACCAGAAACAAAACCCAACATACAAAAATCAATAGCTTTCCTATATCCGTTTCAATAATGACCAATTAGAAATACAAATTTTTAAAAAATCTAGATATATATCTAATAAGAAATGTATAAAATCGATATGGAGAAAGTGATAAAACTTTAAAAAACAATGTAAAAGAAGACCTGAATAAATAAAAACATACCATGCTCCTGGGTGGGAAGACTCAATATTGTAAAGATGTCATTCTCCCCCAATTAATCTATAATTTCCAAGCAATCCCAATCAAAATCCCAACAGGGCTTTTTTTTTTTTAATGGAACTTGACAAGCAGATTCTCAAGTTCATCTGAAAGAGAAAATGTGCAAGAATAGCCAAGTAATTTTTGAAAAGGAACCATAAGAGAAAATTTGCCCTATCAGTTACCAAAAAAACAAAAACAAAACCCCAAAACTCTCCTAAACTGACTGTAATAATTCAAAGCGTGGTATTGTTAGGGCTTATGAAGGAACTGACTAAGGAAACGTAAGGGCAGACCCAGTGTCCATATGGGGATCTAGGATGTGATGAGGGCCACGTGTGGCAATCACCAAATATTGATTTGGGGGGATCTCTCTTTCACACTACTCACAGAAATAAATTCCATATGGATCAAAAAGCTGAACAGAAAGGCTGGTTGTAGTGGCTCACACCTGTAATCCCAGTACTTTGGGCAGCTGAGGCAGGTGGATCACCTGAGGTCAGGAGTCCGAGATCAGCCTGGCCAACATAGTGAAACACCGTCTTTACATAAAAAATACAAAAAAATTAGCCAGGCATGGTGGTGGGCACCTGTAATCCCAGGTACTCGGGAGGCTGAGGCAGGAGAATTGCTTGAACCCAGGAGGTGGAGGTTGCAGTGAGCTGAGATCATGCTACTGCACTCCAGCCTGGGTGACAGAGTGAGATTCTGTCTCAAAAAAAAAAAAAAAAAGCTAAACAGGAAAGAGAAAACCATAAAAATTTTAAGACCAATTATTGTCCTAAAACTAAGTTTTTAGAGGAAATACAAAACAGGTTTACTATCTTGGGCAAGATCCCAAACTCAAGAGTCATGAAGGAAGATGAACAAATGTGACATCATAAGAACTTTACTTTGTTTTTTTGAGACAGGGTCTCACTCTGTCACCCAGCTGGAGTATAATGACGCAATCATGGCTCACTGCGGCCTCGACCTCCTAGGCTTATGTGGTCCTCTCACCTCAGCCTCCCAAGTAGCTGGGACTACAAGCACATGCCACCATGCCCGGCTAAATTTTTCAAAATTTTTTGTAGAGACAGGGTATCACTATGTTGACCAGGTTGGTCTCAAATTTCTGGGCTCAAAAGGTCTTCCTGCCTCAACCCCCAAAGTGCTGGGATTACAAGTGTGAACCACTATGCCCAGCCCATAAAAACTTTAAACAGATTTTTATTAAAAAATTATATATGAAAAGGGGGCACAAATCATCAATGTACAGCTTGACAACTTAATATAAAATTAAAGTCTCTCTAAAATGAAAGACATCAGGGACCAGTGACCGCACAGGGGTACCCCACTCTCCTCTCTGGAAACAATGAAGATGGCACATGCCTCTGTGGATTCCTGACAGTGTAAAATTTCTCCCCAGGGTAGGTGCTAATGCACCTGAAGGCAACACACCTAGGGAAACTGGGGGTTGAAGGAGTTTTGTTTCTTTTTTATTATTTTTGAGATGGAGTCTCGCTCTGTTGCCCAGGCTGGAGTGCAGTGGCACGATCTTGGCTCACTGAAACCTCCACCTTACAGGTTCAAGCAATTCTCCTGCCTCAGCCTCCCAAGTAGCTGGGACTACAGGCCCCTACCACCACATCCAGCTGATTTTTATATTTTTAGTAGAGACAGGGTTTCACCATGTTGGCAGGCTGTTCGGGAACTCCTGACCTCAGGTGATCTGCTCACCTCCGCCTCTCAAAGTGCTGGGATTACAGGCATGAGCCACCACGCCTGGCTATTTCTTAAGATATAATTTGGACAGTTCCTGTTTCTTTCAGTTGATTTAATTATTTTTATGTGACAACATTTATAAGGAATGTGCAGTTTTACAAAGAAAATTGGTTAAACTATGTCCACAGGTTTTTTGACACCTTTCTACTCAAAAGGTGCGACCAAATTTCTTTCCCCTTGAGTGTATTGTTAAACTTAGTGATCCATTTCTAATGCACAGAGTATGGCTGAAGAGATGGTACATGACTTCTGAGATGAGGTCATAAAAGACATTGCTGGTTTGGTTTTGCTTTTTCTCTTGAATCACTTGTTATAAAGAAAGCCAGCTACCATGTTATGGGGACACTCAAGCAACCCTCTGGAAAGGTACACACAGTGAGGAATCAGGGACTCCAGCCAACAGCCCCATAAGTAACCCATCTTGGAAGTGAATCCTCCAGACTCAGTCAAGTCTTCAGACTACAATCACAGCCAACAGCTTGACTGGAACTTCACCAGTGACCCTGAATCAGAAACATTCAGCAAAGCCACTATCTGTGCTGGAAAACAAGTGTTTGTTGTTTTAAGCAGCTGCATTTTTAGAATGACTGCCACTCAGCAATAGATAACTAATACACAATCTAATTGATAACTATAAACCACAAGTTTTAAGTTCAACAATGACAGAGTTGCTTATATCAGACTAACTCTTCTTATTAAAGATAATAATTATAAACTCTGAAAAAATATTTACTTAGAAAAAATTAACTTTTTAAGACCACTGAAGAACAACCAGAAAAGGGCAGAGGTAGGCAGGGGGTTCAATTCTTGACAAACCATACTGGGTATGCTCCAAGTTGACATGACTTTTCCTCTTGAGGGAACTTTCCATTTCTTTTGGTGCAGAGAGGCTAGAACTCAAATACTGAAGTACAGTAAAATGTCATCTTATTCTCCAGAGGAGTCAGGGGATAGAGTTGGGACTGTCAGAGCTGCTGGAAATTGAGAGGAGAAATTTCAGAAAGGAGAGATCTACAGAAGAGAACATATAAACTCCTCACAACCACTTGGCTGAACCCTGAAGTATACATGGGCAACCCACTAAGAAGTCCAGTAGGAAAACAGCAGCTGAGAGGCTGGAGGAGCTGAGCAGGTATTTCAGCTGCTGCCCACTACAGGGCAGTCCATCTGGAGTTTCAGACTTGCTAAGTTAGAGGTCTGGGTTTAAACATTTCAGGCTTTCCACTGAAATACCAAAAGGGTCATGGTCTAGGAGTAAAGACCATATGCTAGGGCTAATGGATTTTCCCTAAGGCTATGCGAAAATCAGAAAGATAGCAAACATTAAAAAAAAGAATAATCAGGTCTCCACAAGCTCACATTTAACCAACTGCTAGAACGAAACTTTTTTTTTTTTTTTGAGACGGAGTCTCGCTCTGTCGCCCAGGCTGGAGTGCAGTTGGCGCGATCTCAGCTCACTGCAAGCTCTGCCTCCCGGGTTCACGCCATTCTCCTGCCTCAGCCTCCCAAGTAGCTGGGACTGCAGGCGCCCGCCACCGCGCCCGGCTAATTTTTTGCATTTTTAGTAGAGATGGGGTTTCACTGTGTTAGCCAGGATGGTCTCAATCTCCTGATCTCGGGATCCACCCGCCTCAGCCTCCCACAGTGCTGGGATTACAGGCGTGAGCCACCGCGCCTGGCCAAGAAAGAAACTTAATGATATTCAAAGACAACAGAATCCAGAGTCTCTACAATGTAACAATATCTACCATACAATAAAAAATTACTAGACATATGCAAAGAAAGAGAAATACATGACCCACTGTAAAGAGAAAAATCAGTCATTATAAACATACTCCTAAAATGGCCTAGATGTTGGAATTAAGTGCAAAAGACTTTAAAGTATTTCTTACAAACATGTTAAAGAGTCTAGAATAAAAGATAGATATCATGACTGAAGAGATGGAGACACATGAGGGATTCGGAAACAGTAAAAAAAGAGTCAAATGGAAATCATAAGACAGAAAAGTAAATATCTGAATTTTTTTTTTTTTTTTTTGAGATGGAGTCTTGCTCTGTCACCCAGGCTGGAATGCAGTGGTATGATCTCAGCTCACTGCAACCTCCGCCTCCCAGGTCTAAGCCAATTCTCTTGCCTCAGCCTCCTGAGTAGCTGGGATTACAGGCATGTGCCACCACACCTGGCTGATTTTTTGTATTTTTAGTAGAGACGGGGTTTTAGCATGTTGGCCAGTCTGGTCTTGAACTCCTGATCTCAGGTGATCCACTCACCTCAGCCACCCAAACTGCTGAGATTACAGGTGTGAGCCACCATGCCCAGCCCTGAAATTTTTTTTAAAGACCAGACTGAACACAACAAAAGGAAGGATTAGTTAACTTGAAGTTCAATAAAAATCATTCCATTCGAAGCAGAGAAAAAAGGGTTAAAAAAATGAACAGTGCCTCAGTAACCTGTGAGGCGTATTAAGCAATCTAACAACTATAACTGTGCCCACAGAGAGTAGAAAGAAAATGGAACTTAAAAAAATTTGAAGAAATATTGACAATTTTTTTTCCAAATTTTCTTTAAAAAGAATAACCCACTAAGAAGCACAGAAAACCCAAGATGGAATTAATACGAAGAAAACTACATAAAAGAATGTTAGAGCCACAGGCAAAGCACAGATATTTTTAAAAATAACATTATGAAAGCAGCTACAGGGAAGGGCCATGGTGGCTCATGCCTGTAATCCCAGCACTTTGGGAGGCTGAGGTGGGAGGATCGCTTGAGGCCAGGAGTTTGAGTCCAGCCTGGGCAACACAGCAGTATCTCATCCTACAAGGAAAAAGGTGTGTGTTTTTTTTAATTAGCTGGGAAAGGTTGTGTTCACCTGCAGTCCCAGATACTTGGGAGGCTCGGGTGGGAGGATCACTTGAGGCCAGGAGTTTAAGGCTGCAGTGAGCTATGATTATGCCACTGCACTCCAACCTGGGTGACAGAGCAAGACCCCATCTCTTCAAAAAAAAAAAAAGGAGCCATAGGAACAAATCACGTTTCTTAAAAGGGAACAACAATAAGGATGGCAATTAACAATCGACTCATCGTCGGAAACAATGGATACCAGAAGACAACAGAATAACACCTTTAAAGTGTTGAAAGACAAAAAAAAAGTTAGAAGGTCGTGTTCAGCATAATTTCTTTTAAGAAAAATGAAGAGAAGCCACTTTCAGATAAAATTGGAGAGAATTTTTCACTAGCATACCTGAACCTCAACAAATACCAAAAGAGGTGAGAGATAACCTCAATAAATACCAAAGAGCCTGGCGACAGGCTGAAGATAAATGGAAAGATGGAAATCTGAAGCTAGAAAAAGTAAGGAAGACCAGTCAGTGGAATGGTACACAGGCAGGTAAATGTATTTCTTGTCATAAGTAGTTTGCGGTCAACTACATGTTTAAAACAAGAAATGCACTGTGGGTTTATAACATGTGAAGTAGAATCTATAAAAACAACAGCACAAACAATGACAGTGATGGTGAATGGAAACAATCTTAGATTTACACATTATATAGAAAGTACACTATTAATTCCAGATAGACTGGGATAAGTTGGGATATGCATGATAACAGGGATATTTTTTAATTAACGCATTGAATATGGTTGAGCACATGCTGCATGTATAATACTGGATATGCCGCTGACAGAGAGACGAAAGAGATGAGGGTCACAGTTCTGGGCCTCTAGGAGCTCAGCATGTCTTTGGAGGGAACCAACAAGGAAGATGGCACAGAACCACCTATTGAAGTTAAAGGGGCAGGTAGGAGCCCCAGGGGTGGCAGAGCAGGCACCCCATGAGAGCAGGGCATGAGGGTGTGGCTGAGCTTGACACGGCAGGACTTGACTACCCGTGAGAGTGCTGAGGAGACAATTACGTCTGCGGCGTGGGGCTGGGGTGAGCAGGCCACATAAAGATCGAGGACATGAGGTGGAGCTCACACCTCTCTGGAAGGTAGGTGTGGGGTTGAGGCTGGCCTTGACCCAAGGATCCAGTGATAGCCACTGGCTCCAAAGCTGCTGCAAACAGCTTTAGCCTCTCCACACAGGCAGCCAACCCGCTTCCTCCTGGTTCTCCCTCCAAGCCCACCTCTGGGTGAGGTGCTCTAACACAGCTCCCTCTCTGTGTGTGCTGGCACACAACAGGGAATTTCCCTGGGATGTCCCTGGAGCTGACCATAGAGCTCTTCCTTTTCATGTCTTTATTGTTAGTTGTCACTCAAGAGACTATAATGCATATCCTAACTTATCCCAGTCTATCTGGAATTAATAGTATACTATTTTCTGTATAATGTATAAATCTAAGATAGAGCGTTTCCATTCACCATGACTGTTACCATTCCTGCTGTTGTTTATATACATATATATATATATTGCTTCATACGTTATAAACCCACAGTGCATTGCTATTATTCTTGTTTTAAACACATGCCAAATTCTATCCCTACATTTTCCAGATCTGGAGGGAGCACCTTCACTTGCAGGACTCGGGAAACGTAGGGAAAGAGTTTGGCGATGAGTGTAGAGCTATCTAACGGTAATGCTGTATTTACTGTGCACCTCATCTGGGAGGATCTTTATGCATGTTACTTCCACTGACTCCTCCCCGCAATCCATGATGCAGGTGTTACCTACCTGTGAGACCCCAGGGAGTCCTCTAAACCAGCGCTTCTCACATTGTGACGTGGAGACAAATCCCCTGCGATCTTGTTATAATGCAAACCCTGACTCCGTAGGCCTGGGGTGGGGATTCTGCATTTCTAACGGCTCCCAGAGGATGCCATGCTCAAAGTCTAGGGACTTGGGGGAGCAAGGCTCAAGCAACTCCAAAGGTGGGGTCCACCCCTCACTCAAAGCAACACAAATGGTTTTTATTCTCCCACTGAGAGTCTCAGCAAGAGGGAAGGAGGAGCTCAGCTATCCCCTGCAGACTTAGCCCAAGCCGATGGTTTCACACATGGTATCTGACTTCATCCTCATAACAAAACTGGGGAGGCAGCTGCCTGGTGGTCATTTCACCCCACAGGTAAAGAAACCTTGGCTCAGAGAGGTTATGTAAGTTGTTCAAGGACACACAGACAGTGAGTGGTGGGAATGGAACTGGCACCCAGGTTGGCCCGATTCTACAGATCCTGGAGAGACGTCTCAGGGCTCTGCACCCATCATCAAAGGCTCCAGGGAGAACTTATATATCTCAGTTTGCAAGAACTATCCACAAAGGAGCCAGGCCAGTTGACAGAGTCTCCTGATTTGTTCTGCAGAACGCGCCCTTGGGGGTTAATTCTGCTATAAAATGAAAATCCAAGCCACCTTCAAGATTTCCACGGGAAAAGGCAGGCAGAGTCCTAATTAAGTAAAAGCTAAGGACCCTCTTTTCGAAACACAAGAAATTCCCCCAAGGACTGGTGATCCAGGGAACCGTGGCCCAACCTCCCTGCCTGGTACTGCTCATAAGTGGAGCCAAAGCGGCTGCAGCCACCCTCACCAAGGCTCGGTGGCAGAACGGCAGAAAGTGGCTGCAGCCACCCTCACCAAGGCTCGGTGGCAGAACGGCAGAAAGCGGCTGCAGGCACCCTCACCAAGGCTCAGTGGCAGGATGGCAGTGCCCCCCCGGGAAGGTGGTTTCCCACTGCAGCCACCTGAGTGAGCAGGAGCACCTTCGGACTGAGAAGCAGACAGGCCTCCTGGGTGAGGCCGCAGTCCCTGGAGGCCCTCTGGCACTCCTCTCTGCTGCCCCCACTTGCTCAGTTCCCGGGTCAGTGACATGCACCTAGAGGGGCCTTCAGAGCACTTGGGTGACTGAGCTGTCACACTGCCGGGCTCCCGTGGGGAATAGGAAGACATTCAATACTTTACTCCAAAGCCTCATCCTAGCAAGGGCAGCTTGACTGAGCAGTGTGAGAAGCTAAATGGCAAGACCAGACGCACGCGGGGCAGGGGCGGCTGCTGCTCCGTAAAGGGACCAAGAAGAGCTGATTCCCTGGTGAATGAGACGGGGGACAGCTGGATCCAGGGAGCACTTCACAGAACAGAGCAGGCATGAGGCTGCCATAAGGCACAGGTGGACAGAGCCAAGTGGAAAGACGGGGGAGGCGGGGATGGGAATGGTTCAAGCCCAGGCATCAATCGGGAAGACCAGATGTGTCTAAGGGGCACTATGAAAAATGTCCTCTAAGGTCAGAGCAGGGGCAGGAGAAGTGGGCCAGCAGGCTTGAGTGGGAGTCAGAACCCAGGGAAAGCTCTGGTCCCGGGTAAAAGCTGTCACTCTGTCTGGGAAGTGACGGAGCCACTGAGGGCTATGGGCAGCGGGGAATCAACGCAGACTTCTAGGAGTCAGCAGCCAGGCCAGCAGGACCAGAGGAGAGAGGGTACCTTTCTGATGGGAACTGCAATGGCTTTTCAGGCAAAACAGTAAGCAGTTCCTCTGTCTTGAGGCCCCAATCCCTGTGGGTCAGCTGCCTGGGCCATGATACAGACGGCACTGCTGCGTCTGGCCCAGGGGTCTGCTGACATGGCCAAAGCCAAAAAACAGGAGGCTGCTGAGACCAGCGGACAGGGAGCTCCCAGCTGCCCCTGCCCCAGGCCCCTCGGCTCGCAGGCTGCCACGCCCGGCCTTACCTCCTATTTTGGCATTGTACGCTATGCCCACGATGCAGTAGGAATTGTTTGCTGAAGCAGCAACTTCTCCCGCACAACGAGTGCCGTGTCTGAAACAAAGGAAAAAACCAAGTGAGGACGCAGCCCAGCAAGTTTCAGTGAATTCAGTGCCTGGCTCAGTTCAATGCAACAAGAGAGTCAGTTGTCCGAAGCCCAGAGATGTCATTAAAGCCCATTTCCTGCATCCCCTCTCATCACCAACCCCACTCTGGGAGAAGGCACCAAGTCAGCCTGGGTACAGCCCTTCCTGGCATCCTGAATGTGGCAAGTGCTCACGCATGGTCACCTCTTCCAGCATGCCTCCCCTGACCCCCATGTGGGAGGAAGGTGCCTGCCCCAGTGCCCGTGGTCCTATACCTTCCTCCTCCCAGCACGTGTAATTGGCACATGGCCACTGCTGTGTAGGGTGGGTGCTGCGCCACCTCGGCCTCGTGTCTCCTGTGGCTGGCAGCAGGGACACCTGCTGCCTGGCAGGATGAAAGAAGGAACAGTCTGGTGCTGATGTCACCTGCCTCATCCCCTATGCACCTACAACACCATGCTTACCCTGAGGCAGCCCTTCCTGTGCTTCTAAGGCCATTTAAGCTGGAGCTGAGGAAGAACGCTCTAAATTAAACACTCAGCAGCTGGGAGACTATGAAGAAATGACCAGAAAAACAAATGCGTTTTCCTCAGTAATGACCCCATTCTCTGATGTGCCACGTCGGGTCAGTTCCTCCAGCGGGGGCCAAAATAGGAGCAACTTGAAATAGCACATCTTTGAGAAGAGTCCACAGAGGATGGGAATCATTGATTCAAATTTAAAGCTGCCTTTAAAAATCGCCCCAGGCAGCAGCCCTCTGGAAGAGAGTCATCTGTCCTTCCCTGGAAGCCACACAGCTTCAAGGCCAGGGCTGTTCCCGGGGTCACAGAGCTCAATGGATGGCTCGGGATGGGATTGAATCCTGCCCTTCAAGGGTCACTGCGTGGTATGTGGGTCATTCCTCCTTTGCCCCAGGCATCCTCACTGGCAGCAGGAAGGGCACCTTGGGACGTGCATGAGGCTGGGCTGCTGCAGGCTCGCGGGAGCTCTGCAGCCTGCTGTGTGGAACTCCAGTGGCCGAGGCTTCCTGCACAGCATTGCCTGCGCACCCGTTTGTGAATCTCAGAATCAAAGCGACCACAAACTAAAAGACTATAATCGGGAGACGCCCCTCAGCAAGAGTCTTGTCAACAGTGGGGAGGAAGAAAAAGCTTTTATTATTTCCCTCTAAATATTTTTAGAGGAATGATAAGAGCTCAGGGTATGGGGCATGCTGATGGAGAAGGAAAGAGACAGCAAATGAATTCCCAGGACTGACCCCAGGGCTGCCGTTTACACTGCAAAGTCACCTGGGCTCTCCGGACCCCACTGCCTCCACTTGCAAAATGACAGTGACACAAAAACGCCCACCATTTCGGAAGAATCTGCTGGGTGCATTCCTCATGCATCATCTCACTGACCCCTCCTGTGACCCTGTGAGGTAGGGGACATCACTGGCCTGGACGAGCCTCTAAGACACTAAGACATGAAGTTTCAACCAGCTCACCCGGCATGCACGCAGCCAGTAAGTGGGAGAGCTGCGATCTGAACCTGGGTCTATCCAGCATTACTCATGCCCCTTCCACCTCATTCCTAAGGTCACAGAGTCACAAAAGCTCAGGCACGTGACCTGTGTGCTCAAACAGACCAAACTGCTGTCTTCACACAGCAGGTCATGGAGACGGTTAGACTTAAGGGTTTCTCTTTTAAAATATTTCAAGAAAGTTGGAAACAGGAACGATGTCTGTCAAACACCCATTTCTAGCTGCCCGGCAGCGGTGACACCCCAGAGGAACAGGCTGACTCCACAGAAGCTGGCCGTGCCTGAAGGGCTGTGCCTGGCATGGCCTGTGACTCCTGGAGAAGCCTGCCTCGCGCCCAGGCAGGGAAGATACGCCGGCAGCCACCGCCTCTCCAGCTCCCTCGCACACACATTCAATAGTGACGCTGCAGGGAGGGGAAGAGAAGCCGGGGAGATGAGGCGAGGTGACGTACTTATTTTCATTGCTGGCATCATATCGTGGAGATGGGTCATAATCATTGCCGTTCACGTCGTAGCTGGCGTAGGAATCCTAAGAAATGGAATCGTGGTGAGTGAGGAGAAATGGCATGTGACAGCTCTGTTTGAAATGGATTTTATGTTCCGTTGGCAAATAGAGAAACCACACGCGGGGCTCCTCTCTTACTATAGCTATAATCTCATATACGTTTTTATCGTGGTAAAATATATGTGACGGGAAATACACGACCTTAACCATTCTCGAGTGTGCGGCTCAGTGGCATTAATTCACAGTGCTTGAGGCCATCGCTGCTACCCATCTCCAGAACCCTTTCAACCTGCAAAACCCCACACCCACTCAACACTAACTCCCCACTCCCCTCTCCCAGGCCCTGGCAACCCCCACTCCACCTTTTTGTCTAAGAGTTTGGCTACTCCGAGTCACTCGTGTAAGTGGAATCAGGCAGTATTTGTCCTTTTGTGACTGGCTTATTTCACTTCGCATAACGTCCAAGGTTTATCCACGTTTCCACGTGGGTCAGGATTTCCTTCATTTTATATTTTCAATAGGTATGCTTTTGTTTATATGACTGTAACAGCAGTATTCACATAATTTTACATTCTCCTTTTAAAATATATGATAAAAGGTTTCCAGTGTTGTTGACACGTAGTCTGCAAAATTCATTTCTAAGGGCTGCATAACGATCTGTCAGATGGATACAATATGGTTTACTTAATCACCGGTAGGTGCCCAAGTCCCTTAGAGTATTTCTTGCATCTATGATATTTACGATATGCCAAGCTTGTGTCCTTACATTTAACTAATTTAGTCCTTACAATAACTCCGTGAGAGAGTCGTTCTCTTATGAACCATTTTACAGACGGTAAAATGTTTACAGATGAGGCACAGAGAAGTTAAGTAACTTACTCAAGATCTCAGAGCTAATCATTTGCAGACCCAGGATAGGAACCCAGGCACTCTGGGCCTAGAGCCCGTGTTTTCACACTGTCACCCTGTCACTGTTCGTGTTGCTACTATCTGTACGCTGATGATCCCCCTCCATGCATTTCTTAGTTCTTTAGGCTCCATTCCTAAAAGTGTATGTGACTGTGCAAGCATGTGGATGAATCCCTCTGCAAAACCCTTGCCCCTGACAGTAGCAAGTAGCAGAATATTCATCTTCCTAATTCTTTCCAGCATAGTTTTCTTTACTGCCTAACTTAATGGGGGCTGGGGGAGATCGGGACCTTACTGTTTTTAAACTTGCATTTACTTAATGACCAGCACAGTTGAATATATTTGCATGTCAGTTCCGAGGATTGACTTACATAATTTGGGGCCAGGTCAGGGTGATTTCTCTCTATGCCATCATCAAGGATGGTGACCACCACGTTTTTTCCTGTGTAGCCCCTCTTCCACGCTGCCTGGACATTCATTTCCGACCGGCAGCGACTGTTCTTGTCGCCACAATGCTGTAAGCACGAAAGACACAAAGTCCCCCCGACATGGACATTCCAGATGCAGAACTGACACTCGGTGCACACCCCACAGGGAGGCGCTTAGGCTTGCAAGTAAAAAAGGAGGGAACACCTATCCCTGCCTTACATAGCAGAGCTCCTCTTTCCCACTCGGATCGAGAATCATGCAGACGGCTCCCTTGCTTTTTCTGCACCTGCAATCTATATTTTCCCAGGGCATCGCCTCCCAGCAGGAGCTCTGTCCATGGGCTGGGCTTTGCCATTTAGTCATACAGCCTGCATCAAATCACTTCCCTTCTCAAAGAGCCCCCATCCCAGAGTGTGCTGCACAAAGTTTCAGAAAAAATCCACAGGAAAGCCGGTACTGCACAGCCTTGCGGTAGTGGTTTTACACCCTCAAGGTGAAGTGTGTCTGTCTGGAGATGTTGTTTGAATTTAGCTTTGTTGAGGGAAATTAACCCATTTCAGAGACCTGGCAGTGCAAGTGTCCTGGGGCAGACAGAGGTCCTGTCCTACTCACCAGGTACCACATGTTGGACCAAATGGGGTCGTTGAAGTAAAGGGCCTGCGGGTCACTTCGCACCTGTCTCTTCACCCTTCGTTTCACTTCCTGTTGCTGGAGCCATTTCACCTACCAGAAGAAATGCAATTACTGTTTATATTAGAAATGATTTCTTGATTTTATGTAGCCTCTTTGCAGGTGCTACAGCCTTCCTTGTGCGTGAATATCTGTGTCATAGCAGATATTTTAGATGGTAAGTTCCTGGGGACATTTTCACTTCAAAGTGACTACATTTGAAAGATGAGAAGTTGTTTGTGTATACAGAGGAAGAAATAACACCACTCTGATAGATTTTGAAGTCGTTGTACTAAAAGAAAGAAAGTGCTCACGCCTGTCATCCCAGCACGTTGGGAGGCCGAGGCAGGAAGATCGCCTGAGCCCAGGAGTTTGAGACCAGCCTGGGCAACATGGTGAAACCCCACCTCTCCAAAAAAAAAAAAAAAAAAATCTAGCTGGGCATGATGGCGCATGCCTGTAGTCCCAGCTCCTCAGGAGACTGAGGTGAAAGGATTGCTTGAGCCTGGGAAGTCAAGGCTGCAGTGAGCCATGATTGGTGCCACTGCACTCCAGTCTGGGCAACACAGCAAGACCCTGTCAAAAAAAAAAAAAGACAGAGAGAGAGAGAGACAGAAAGACAAGAAGGAAGGGAGGGAGAGAGGGAGAGAAGGAAGGAAGCCAGCCTTGTGAAATTGCCGATAAATTATCTGGTGATCCTTGTCCTGAAGAAAAAGGAAATACACACATGGGAAAGCAGTGAATGAAGAAAGTGTTTGGTTAACTGGTATTGGAATTTGCTTTACAGTAAGGACATAAGTAAATATGGTAAGCCATATATTGGAATATTTGGCAGCCACCAGCAATATGGTACCAAAACATGCACAGAGAAAAATCTAGAAAGGAATACAGCAAAATAGTAGTAGCATCAGTTCCTGGGTGGTGACATTATTGCTAATTTAAAATTTTACAATTACTTTCAGGATGTCATAAATGTCTTTCAATCAGCATGATTTGTTTTCACGATCAAGGAAAAAAGTTCACAAGGCTGTATCACTGATATTTAAGACCAAGGATCAAGGCACCAGGCCACCTGCAATAAAACCCAGCCCCGTGCTCACCAGCTGTGTGACTTGGAGCTGACAGTGGACATCCATGGCCTCAGGGTGGTGTCCACCCACACAGTGGGGACAGTCATGGGTTGCCACAGGGTTAATATAAGAAACAACACATATAAAGCCCTCAGACCAGTGCCTGGAGCACTCCTGCTCTTATCATCCCGTGTACACATTCTTTTCAAGCTGGAAAAACTTTTTCATTTTAAAAGGATCTTGGGGTAAAGACTTCTTGGACCCTGAGTGGGAATGTTTTCTTTGGTCTTACCACGGCAGCTCCACCTGATTGAATAATGCTCAAAGCTGGGGTTCAGCCTGGCTCTGGGGCCTGACATGGGTGGGATAAGGATGGGCGCCAGGGCCGTGCTCTCGAGGAGTCTGCACTACATTCAGGGGATCCCACCAATCAGAGGATGATGTGAGTTCCAAACAGGGCAGGCTGCCTGGAGGAGGCAGCTAGAGGCAGGGGAGGAACAAGAGAAGGGGGCGGGGCCCCAAGGTGACCCAAGGCTGGCGACCCAGGGTCGTGCTGGAAGCTAGAACAGAGCTACCTGAGGCTGAGTGGGCAGGGAGTAACAGTCCCCAAGAGCAAAGGGACAAGATTTCTCTTCCTCCTCCCTGAGCCTTGGCCTCCCCACATCACCCTGAGCAAGGAGAGCGGAGCACCTGCATACACAGCTCAAATTTAGGGCTGGGGATGGCCTCCAAGACATCCTTGGTGTACAGGGCAAAATGCCGGAAGAGAGGCATCCCAGCCTGTCCCACCCCGATGTAATTCGTCTATAAAACACCAGCAGACCAGACGCCTTAGAAACACTGCAAAGGGCTCAAAACCAGTTTCACGTCACACACTTAAAAAATCCTCAGCACCAAGTCCTAGATAATTTATAATGGCCGCTGACAGATACTTCCACAGAAAATAAAACTATAAAATGAGATATTTTGTTCCTAACACCGGCTGATGGCATTTTGCAATGTCCCCATATATTACTGCCTGAACTAGAAGGCTTTTTACCTGGTCTAAGATGCCGCAAACAATATTTCATAATCTGTTCAGCACGCTATTACAAAATACAGTGGTATGTAGATCCCGCACAGCCCAAAGCTCCCAGGGATGTCCCGCCCTCCTGCCAGGCTGAGCCCTGTTTGTGCTAAGGGGCCCTGAACTCTCTGTTCTAACAACATCCAGCCCCTTCCAATTGCTGTGCCCACCAGACCACACTTCCAGTCAGAGGAGGAGGCACACTCTGCCCTTCCAAGCCCAAGTGGGTGACACCCCACTAATCAGCTGGGAGATGTGGGAAAGCGTAGAGCCAGAAGTCATAAGAGGGTTCCTCAGCAGGATGGAAGAGCCTGGGCATCCCGGCCCTTGGTCCTTGCTGGGCTCTGGGCAAAACCCCACAACACTGGCACACAGTTCTGAGGGGGACTGTGATAGCCTGCGGCCCGCAGCACAGTTTGGGGCTCTCTCTCTGTCGTGGTCGCAGGGGCAGCCCTCTCTCTGCTAACACACCTGCTCATTGTAAGTCTCTGACGGCAAGTGAGGTGCTCTCAGGCCAATGGAACCGAACACTGTACAACAGATGACTGACCAGGCGTGGGGGCTTCTCCGTGGAGACGGGATGCAGGCAGACAGCGCGGTGGCAGAGGCTGATTCTCCCGGCACTGTGTCCCTTCCTCTGGGTTCCAGTCACTCCCTTGCTTCTCACCCAGCTCCAGGACAGCACAAGGGGATCCCGGATCCCACCTCCTACCCACCACAAAGAGAAAGCCATTTTCCAGGTTCACCTTCCCCAGTGTCTCCAGAGAGCAGGCATCCTGGGGTCACTTATTCTGTGGCTCACTCAACAAAAATGCACTGAGTCTTCCTGTGTGTCTGGCGCTAGGTTCTGGGAAGATCAGCATGAACATACCTGGTTCCCGGCCAGGACCAAAGTGCCTCCCCCTCCCATCCCCAGCTGGGATGCAAAGCTCTGCCTTCAATGCCCCCTCGGGGTGAAACCAGGAGCCACCTGGACACTCTGTGGAGGTCAGAGGTGTGTCACCAGCCCCAAACCAAGCGACTAAAACTCCAGCCCTCCCATCGAATGGAAGCAACCCTCACAGGTTGCAGTGAGCAGAGATTGCACCATTGCACTCCAGCCTGGGTGACAGAGTGAGACTCTGTCTCAAAAAAAAAAAGAAAGAAAGAAAGAAAGAAAGAAAATGTGATTAGGTCTAAATGACTGCTAGATGACATCTGTTGACTTTTCTTGTGGAAAATCAACTATAAGTGATTTGGGGCAAAGGCAAGGTTTGCCAAATGCCACTTCTAGCCCAAACAGAAACCGTCTTTCTCTGCAAATCTGTAGAAAGTGCCAGGATTTCTTTAACGTCATACTTTGAAGATAGAACTTCACTCTGACCTTTTTATCCTTTTCTCTATTTTCCAAATGTATGTTTCCTGCTAAACATGCAGCACAGTTATAGATAAGCTACGCTCTGGGGCAGGGAGTTCTAATCATGAAGAAGGCTTCATCGTCTTCTCAAGACAGGTGCGCAGCAACACTTTCTTTTGTAGTGTGTGCTTCCTCCAGCTTCCTTCTCGAGAAGCCAAGTTAAAATGAGGCATCCGTTGACTGTCCCTCTGTTGATAAGACGAGGTAAAATCTAAGGATGTTCCTAAAGGGTAACATAAACAAGCAGAGACCCAGGAGGGGGCCCTGCCCGCGTTCCAGTAAATGGCTTGCCATGCTGCAGGCTGTCCATGCCACCGAGTTGTGATCCTTGTCCAAGCATCCTTTCAGCGAGCAGCCATGGGCAGCCTTGGCCCTGTCTTCTTCCCTGTGGGCCACAGGTGGGCCAGAAGCTTGCTGACATATCATTCCCAGGTGTGACAAGCGACAGGGGAGGGTGTTTTGAAACTTTCACTCATGAGCCAGTGTCACCAAAGAGAGCATGAAATCCCTCCCACTTGCACGTCCACCCAAAGCCACCATGTCCTTCTGCCCTAACTTCAAGCCTGTGCCTATTCAGAGGGGCCCTGCTGTGGCTCAGGAAGGCCCCTAGAAGTTCTTGGGAGCTGGAGAGTCCTAAAAGGAGAGGGGCTTCAGTCTTTGCTCTGAGATGGAGGGAAGGCCACGAAGGGCATACACAGGCACCCTCCCCCAGCGGTCCAGGGGTCCCACACAGCATCAAGGGAGTCAAGCTGCTGAGGTTCTTTGAAGTACGCACCGGCAGGGCTGCGGACACCAGGTTCACACAGGTTCTGCACAGTTGTAGCCAACGCAAGGGAGACAGCTCGGCCAGCTCTTTCTTTTCTCTTTTCTCCCTGGTTTCATCAAAGCGAAGGTTACTTTATTCTGTAACTGTGAAAGAACAAGGGGACTGCAAGCCAGACCTGACTGTCCACCAGGGCATATCAAGGGAGGGAGTCGGAGGCCATACCTCGGCACCCAGGAGCCACCAAGCTCCAAAGCCTCCTCCAGGAGAGAACAATCAGGGCACCGTAGAAAATAAGCCTGTTATTCTCTCTGTGTGGGAGGTGGGCACCCTGCCTGGGCCTCTCCCTCCACACTGTAAAGCAGGGGCTGGGACCGGTCCCTCTCTCAGAGCTTGTGCACTCAACAGTCTGTGGCGCTTAGATCTTGATTCCCATCAACCTTGACTGCTCTGAGCACCTCGCTGGGCCAACATCCAACCAGCTAAAGAGCTCAGTGAGAAAGCTGACTGGTGAATTTAAAGAAAGAAAAATCCCACTCCCCGACAAGTGCCCGTCACTGCATAATGTGCAACGTGGCCCTTCTCTCACTGACAGGCGACGATTCATGCAGCACACTGGAGCCATCTTGCCCTGGATCCCACAGTCCCTCAAGGAGTGGAAGGACAGGCTCGAGTCCCAGAAACCCCAGAACTGTATGCAAAATGGTGCCGGCATGAGCATGATGTCTTTTTTCCTCTGGAGAGCGAGAGGCCCCACAACTTCCAACAGCTTTTCAAAGGGGCCTGTGATTCCCCCAAATGGCTAAGAACCACTGAACCAAGCTAGACAGAGGCAGAAAGCAGATCCAAGTTCTCCGAGTGAGGGATTGGTCCTGTGGCTGTCATCTTCCAGCAGGGCAAGAGGGCCATCGTGACAAGTGAGAGACGATTACATGGTTTCGTGAGAGCCCATCATGGCGAGATGCCCAGGCCCACCTCCGGCGCAGCACTGGCTCACCTAGGGGTGGGGCCGGGAAACCCCAGGCTGCCATGGCAAACACACAGCGGGAACCCAGTGAGTAAGCCCGGGCAGTAGAGGAGGGGGAGGAGGAACCAGAAAATAAAGGACATTCTAACTCAGCCTAGAAAGCCACCCCCACCACCACCTCCCGTGTCATCCAGGCAGCTGCGAGCCCAGCTCCCTCCCCACTGCCTCCCCTGCAGCCATAACTGCAACAGCGTAGAGACCATTTCTTGAATTCTTTCCATTGAAGTTAAACTACAGGTGCCAGAAGACCCCTGCTTAACAGTCATGAGAGAGGGAAGTCCTCGCTCTGCCGATGACGGAAATGGGACAGTGCGTGTGAAAGCTCTTTGGGAAAGTAAAGCTACTCATTTGTAAGTTAGTTCTTATTTTGCTGAAAGGGGACAGAAGGTGCCCCTCTCCCCACCGCCCGCCACCCACCTCCACTCACTGACAACAGAAGAGGCAGCTGGAGCCCAGCTTCACCTATTGTTAGGGGCTGACCTGTGAACCCCTAAATTCTTATGTTGAAATCTTAACCCGGGGTAGCTCAGAACGTGACTGTAATGGGAGATAAGGGCCTTAAAGAGGTAGTTACGTTAATATGAGGTCATGATGCGGGGGACCCTAATCCAATCTGGCCAGTGTCCCATGAGAAGAGGAGATTAGGACAGAGCCACTCGCAGAGAGGGACAACCACGTGAGGATCAAGAGACCTCAGAAGAAACCAACCCTGCCAACGCCGTAATCTCAGTCTTCCAACCTTCCTAAGTGTGAGACAATACGGTTCTGCGGTTGAAGTCCCCGCATCCTGTGGGACTTTGTTACAACTGCCCCCGCAGACTAACAAACTATGAGGTCCAACACTGCTCAACGTGTCTGACATGCAGTCACTGTCTGTACCTCTGTTATTTTAGCTTCAGCAATACAGGATACAGCTTTGTCAACTGAAAACTATATTTAGGATTTTTCCATAATTTAGCCAAGGTGGGTCAGAATTTACTTCTAAAGTATTTACATAGAAAGAAGTTGCTTATGTTACACACAACTTGCTTATAGGAGTCACATCTCTGGAACTTGAGATATGCTTCAGGAAGCATTGTCTACTGTTCTCTGGGTTGCTGCTGGACTTGTAAGGGAGTAAAAGCAAATGATATGTGGCCTTGACCCTCGATAACCTCCTGTTGCATTGGCAAGAGATGGGCTTGCATGCTTTGAACTCCAAGTTCCTCTCTCCCGAGGCATCCGCACAGCAGCGTCAGTCCGCCTTCCCATCGCCTCTCCTCTGGTTCTGGAACACTGAACGCCCTCCCAAGCCTGACGATCCAGGTCCCCCAGGAACCACCTGCAGCTCCCCTGCCGACTCTGTCTGTCCCTGACAGATCCCAAACAAACTGAACTAGTCATCGTTCCCAACAAACACTGCTGTGTGCTCCTACTCTAGGGCCAGATCTAGAATACAAACATACGACTGCTAGAAGAGCAGGCCAAGTCCGCAGCCTCTGAGCAGGCTTCCTGGTGGCAGGGATATTGGAGCCCAGAGGGGAAGGTGGGGAAGAGAGCAACAGCAGGGGAAGGTGGGGAGCCGTCTGTGCAAAAGCTCTGCAGAGGGAAAAAGAGCGAAAGTCACCCGAGGAGGATCTTAAAGGCCAGTGGTGGCCGTATTTCAGAGGATCCCTCAGGAGCATGGGAGGTGACTGGCCGGGGCAAGGATGCCCACATGAGGCCAGCAAGGAGGGCAGTGCAGTGGTGCAGGCAAGAGATGACAGGAGCTGGGCCTAGGGCAGGAGACACAGGACATGGCAGGGCCAGGTTGTACGGGAGGTGGAACAAGTGTAGGGGGGAAGGAGAGGCCGCTGGCACTGCAGTGGAATGCGGATGAGCGCTTCCCTCTGAGACAGACTAGGGTCAGAGACAGTGAGCTGGGTTTGGGACATACTGACTTTGGATTGTCTTTGAGATATCTAAGCGGAAGGGCAGAGCATGTCGTGAAAGAATAAAATGCTGTCTTTTAAGGTAAATTTACACATTCAAACTTTTTACCAATTCCTAGCAGCCATGCCACTAGAACCAGCTGGGTGGTGCTGAAAATGTGAACAGCCAACTTGTCACTGTCATTCGATCACCCTCATGGGGGAGCAGTCCACCGTCCCCACGTGGGCAAATCCTCTGGGCCCTGGGCAGCTGCCTGGCCCTGCCCTCAGCCCATGACACAGTTCATCAACCCCTGAGACCAATGTGGTCACTTACTGTCTATGTGCTCTTGTCAGGAACTTTCTGTTTGTTTGCACTTTGAATTGCTCTAGCACACAAAACTGTTAGATAAAATTCCATCTGTGGTTAATGGAAAGATCTGCTTCAACATTGCATCACTGCTGGAAGGAAACCCGAGCTTTGATTAAACTCCGGGGGCAAAGTCCCATCCTACAAAACAGAATGCCTCCTCTGGTCCTTGCAATCATTTTGCAACTTCTAAGCTTTAAAGCACTGAAATGAAGCATTGAACCCAAGCCTCCTACGGCCCTAGAAGGAGCCACCAAGGCTCCCTCTGAACATCTTTATCCTTCCATTTCCATCACCAATCTGGCTGAGATCTGTAGGGAAGGAAAAGAGCTGAACCCAAGTCATCATGCTAAAATGTAAGGTCTGGAAGACACAGGCAGCAACGACTAACTATAAGCCAGCTTGGAACATAATCAGAACAAGTAATTTTAAAAAAATTTGTGAGCCCTTTCAGTGATTGGTCGACGCTTCTGTAATATCCACCCTTCTCCAGACTTTTGGCAAAAGAACAAGTTAAAAACAAATGCTTTCAGTTTGCTTAAATGACAAGCCTTGGAAAAACCCAGCGACCGATAACTGCACACTGCGAACACTTGGGCTGTTCCTCCAAGGACAGGGCTGAGTAACAAAGCAATCTGAGCAAAATGGCCCTTTTCAAAGACGGTAAGAAAAACATCAAGTAAAGGTAATTAAGAATGCAAGGAAAATGACTGTACCATTCCGGTACAGGATCAGTGCGAAGAAGATGCCTAATAAGTGTGCGTGCACACACGTGCTTAACAGAGTCCTGCTGCTGACACCCCCTTGAGTTTTGTTTTGCTTTCCCAAATGTACATTCTATCTGCTTTTATGTGACATGGGGTGGACTGTACATTCCATCACTTATCAAAGCACTCCTATACAATAGGGACTGGAACTAATTAAAATAAGATACCGTCTGCATTTGATGGAACTTTATCCTAAGCCCCATAACATTCATTTCCAGTTTGGTCATTTGAACACAATGGCAGCCTCGCATTCCGAAGTCTCTGAATAATATTAAATCATCTTTTCCTTTTGTTAATAATATTAATTACACAACTCTCCAGATGTGAAGGTATCATAAAAATGCTTTGCCAACGTAGGGAAACGTTCTGATGCACTGCAATAAAAGATAACACTAAATACTTCCATAAAACAGCTAATTTCACCAAGTGTTTAATTGTAATGACTGGGTGGAGTAAATATTAGTCAGACTGACAGCTAATTGATTTGGTTTGCATTAAAGCTAGACAAATTTAAACAGAGGTATTTCAGTTGCGATTCTGAATTCATAATCGGTTCAGATGTCTGTGTGCTTTCCCTGGGGCTAACAATTTAATTAGAACTATGAGAAACAATCAGCCAATCCTAGGAACGTTCCAGGAAGGCCTGGGATGCCCAGGCTGTTTACCTTTCTTCCTTTCTTCTTTACTGGCAGGATGCATTGATAGAAGCCTTGCCAGGAGCTTATTAAGAAGCTCTGTGAGAAGGAGATTTTTATTTGAAAAAATTTAACTGCTACGTTAGCCTTTGCCTAGGAAGTCTCTATCCTTCCTTCTGCTGACTTCGAGGAGACAACTAATGCCTGGGAATGCTTTGCCCTCAGACCCAAACTGAATATAGGACTTTTAACACACCTAAAATGGGTCAATCAAGCAGCTCAGGTGCTGCAGAGAGGAGGCAGGTCCAGGGTATGGTGGCCCTCAAGCCCCCCACAGAGTCTGTCTCTGCTGCCTCAGCCTGCCTTGCTCATGCACAGGTCTCCCATCCCCATCTTCACCGAGAACTCAGCAACACAGAGACCTGCTGGGCAGCTCTGCATTACTCAGGCACAGGGTCCTGCACTCAGCAGGTGCACCATTAATATTTTTGGAAGGAAGGGATGAGCAGTCGACCTGAGTACCTTTAAAAGTTTTAAAATATAGTCACCAACAACAGAGGATGTAGTCAAAACACAGATTAAGTCTCCTATTTCGACTCTGCCTTAGTTCTAACCATTAAGAATCTGCTTTATTAATTCTTGGAAGGCCTCATGGAAAGAAGACCAAGAAATCCACGGTCCCCGTCTCTTCTCAGAGCATGCTTATGAGATGGGCTTCCTGCATGCAAACAGCTTGCTTTCATTGTAACTATCCGCGTGGTGGCAATTCAACAACTCAAAAGACTTCAGTTGAAGAATGAGGATGTTTCTTCACACGGCAGATCAAGTGCTTGCTTAAAGTGAAAGTGTGGAGGGATGCTGCGTCGACCTCTTTCCTAGCTTAGAATTTCCTCCAAGATGACAGATGACGGTCTCTCAACCGCACAGAACTCACGCCTCCTCCGGGATCAGCCTATGCACCCTGTACAGAGGCTCCCTGCTGCTCAGTTTTCTACTGATCCACCCTTCCCCAAGTGCCCCACTCTTTGGGAAGGAGCAACTACAATCTGGCTTTTTTCCTAGAGGATTAAATATACTGGCCCCTTTGAAAAACATTCCTTCATGTTCCATGGTGTAAGCACAAGTAGACGTAATCTCACCCCCATGTGATGGGGTGAGACGGTGCATGTAAAGTGCCCAAGCACAGCCATCCCTTAGTAAACACTTAACTCCTTCCCTTGCTATGAAGGAATAATGGAATTAGCACAATGTTTCATATCTATCTCGTTCGACTTATCCGTATCTATCTATCCATCCATTCATCCATCCATCCACCCACCTATAAAACCAATCCAGAAATATATTCAAGACAAGTCTGTCTTTTCACAGCCCAGGTCCATGGGTGAGCTCCATGGGGACCACTTCCTCATATGCTTCAAATCAAAACCCTCACCATGCGATGCCCCAGAGAAGGATAATTCAGGTACAGAGCCCAGAGATAACGCGTCTCTCCAACAGATCCCTGCTCAGTCAATACAAAAAGAGCCCTGATTGTCATTGAAGCAGGTGGGTTGGGGCAACACCAAGAACCCATTTTTCCATAAAAACTTTACTCTAAGTATTTTCTGGAAATAGCTGAAATAATATTGTGCACCAGCCAGGGGGCCCAAACAAACATCTAGTATATACGTTAACTTTTAAGAGAAGATGATTTCTGTGACCTAAAACTATGATTTACCAATGACCTCCGTTCCTTGCTGGGGCTGCTACTGCTTCTCACGTGAACTTCATTTTCCTTCTCAGCACTCATCGCCCTGTGACATATCACATATTTTTCTATTTCCTGCTTCGTTTTCTGTCAGCCCTGCCGCCAGCTCCACGGGCCCTGCTATGGACAGAGCCAGCCACATGGAAGGTATTCCAAAAATACCTGCCAAATGAATGAACTCACTGGAGGCTCACTTGGCCATCTTAAATTTTTAATCTTGACACATAACTGTTGATTGATCTTTCTCAAATATTAATTTCAAATCTATGCAGAAAGGAAGTATAATTAACCACCCAATAAATACGGGTTATGTTAAAATTTAAAATGTTAGCCTCCTTTCAAATCGCATTTGTTTTAATCCTGAAGATCATGTGAATCTTTGAGGAAAAAAAGTCATAGTTACTGCCTCAGTTTTCAAATTCATAGTAACCATTAACATACATGTTATGACAACCACAAAAACATCCACCTGCCTGATCTCTAATTTCATTATTAAAATACTTGCTTGAATTGCTTAGAGTTTTTGTTTCATGGGTAAGATTCATATATGTATCTCCTGTGAGTATTGTGTTTTGTTGATTTTAAAATGCTGAGAGATCCTCACTCACATGATTTAGTTCAGATGGTCTGATTCGTAGCTACACCTGTCTTGCTGTATTTAAAGTGAATATGGAAAACTCATGTCTATCCAGAATCACATTAAAATCCAGACTCCGCCATTTTTAAGACCACAGACCCAAACCCTCCAGCCCTTAGGAAAGCATCCGGACACTCTGTACCTGGGGGTCCATTCTGAGGAAGGTGTGAGGGCCTCTGCTACTCAAGGTTGATCTTTTAAAGGTTTTGCTGTGATAAAAATGGTAGTAATCTTCCAGGTTTCCAATCTGCAAGACAAGAAGCAGAATGCCATCAATTAATAGTCTCACGAACAGCTTCCAAAATCTTCCACCCCACAAGAATCTCCCCCTTATCTGAGGGGCTCATTCTCCCAGAGGAAACACACCCTCCATCACCCTGCTCCTCATATCTCTGGCATGTGTGCAGTGTTTATAAACGTGAAGGTGGATTCAGACACTCATTTTTAGATAAATAACACTAAGTCATATTTCCCATGGACCACATACTCCATCACATCTCACGGTAAATTAACATCATTTAAAGTTTGGACTATCATGGCCAAGTTTTTTAGACAGAAATGAATGTTCGTTTAGGGCCAAGAATCCCTGAAGTAGCTAAGTTGGTGTCAAGTCAGGTCTACACCAAAACATTCATTTATAAACAAACCCCATCCTCTCCACCCCATGGGTAAACTGAAATATCGAAGAATGAACACTCACTCTCCAGTGCAACAGGACAGCCAAAGAAAACACATGGATCCATCTGCTTGGGGATTGTGAAAGGGTCAGATGAGAACATCTAAACCTCCGAGGTGTCCCAATTTTCTGCCAGGGGCAGTTTGTCAGGACAGATTTCAGCTTGAGGACCGGATGGAACCAACAGCAGCCCTGTGCCCCAGCCCCTGGCCTTCAAGAAGGGCTGGCCCTCGCTGTAGCACCAGCTTGTCCTCACGTCTGTCCGGGCTCGAGCATGGGGACATTGTTATCGGAGGCCTGCTTCTTGGCTGTAGAGAAGGGCTAGTTGATCACCATCCTCCAAAAAGGATTTTAAAATCAAGATGGACTGGATATCATACAGACCCTCAGGTTGATCTTCTCAGGCTAAACCATCCTGGTTTCTTTTCTAGCTTGATTAAAGGGTAAATTTAAGACTAATGGTCCTCTACAGCAGTTCTATATGATGATTACAAACATGGGTTTTGAGTCAGATCGATTTGGTCCAAACCCTTCCTACCCCTCCACCAAGATTAGCCATGTGACCTTGGACAAGGACATTTGACTCATGGGAATCTCAATTCCTTATGTGTAAAATGGGGATAAAGGTACTTACCTTTAAAAGTTAAGTAGGACTAAAGCCTACCCGACTCACAACTCCTTGGCTGCCTCCACCTCATTCATAGCCATTTAGTCTGCTATAGTCTGACCTCAATAGAGTTGACTGGCCCAGGTGGAGACCTGGAGGGACTTGGATGCTGTGGCCATTTTCATATCTTTACACAAGAAGATAAGGCAGGAGTGCAAGAGAGAGCCTCCCAGCCCCTTTGCTTCCCTTCAGTTCTCCTTTCCGGCAACCCTGGCAGCCTTGCTGTCTCCTGTTCGTGGGTTTAGGAGACACCACTTTGTCCTCGAAATAAAGAGTTCCCTTTTCTACTTCAGCTTGCTCCAGTGTGTTTCTGTTGCTTACAACCACAGAACATCAAATACGAAGACAGTCATGAGGAATCAATGGGAATCACCTATATAGAGCCTAGCTGAGTGTCTAGAACCTAGTGGGCATTCAGCAAATGCTGGTGGTCCTGGGAGCTGGGATTCTCTCTCGGGCTCCTCCACTCCCTTCTCTGGGTCTGGGATGCTTTAGCTTTTGGCCAAATCCAGGTCTGCATCTAATGTGACCCTTCCCTCTGGGTGACCTGGGCTTACCCTCTCTCAGTTTCCTTATGAGACTAATAACCACCACCCTGAAGGGTTGCTCCGAAATTTGAACGCGATATTTACGTGTGAAAGAGCTAGCAGAGACCCAGCAGGCAGGTAGTAAGTGCTCGATACACGGTTTTCCGCAATTCTGATTCTCACATTTTTCTGCCATCATAAACCTCATTATTTCTGCCCTATTTTGCTCACAAGCACTTTTATTTTTCTTCCTACAGATAAGTCACCTTGCTCACTTCTTCAACAAAGTTAACTGCCACACGTGTCAAAAGGCTCCTCCTCACCCGCACTAGAGCTGTTATTTAGCTACGGAGGCAATCACCGAGTCTCAACTTGCCGCAGTGTTTAATCAACATGTTTGCTCATAAGCTGCCATCATCCCTGGGAGACGTTACGTAACTTTTGGTCTTTTAACTCTGGGCATTCGAGTCAATTCCCAGTCAGGGACATGGAGGAACGAAGAGTTGAATAAAACTTGCTGGCAAAGAGACTAATTGCAGCAGTGCTGACCCTTAGCAGGCTCATGACAGGGGGGCCTGGAAGCCATTCAGGGCAGCACCTGGCCTTTGACCAGCTAAGCCAGGCTTGGGGAAGCCACCTTTCCCCTCAAAGGCCAGTCCCAAAGCCATCCAGCCCCCTGCCCCGGGGCCGCCATGACTGTCCTTTGCAAAGGCCCCTGGGTCTGGGCTGATGTCAACTGTTCTCCACGAACGATCCAGGAAAGGCACAGACAGTCCCCAGAATGCTGACCAGGCCAACCACCTCTGGAGGCAGCAGCGGCCAGAACTCCATCTGTTTGGACACTTATGTCCGGCCTAGCATGAGAGCTGGGGGGCCGGGGAGGGACGCTCCCACTGCAGGGGAGAAGGGGACACCAGCCAAGGCTGCCCTTGCAAAGCCAGCTGCAGAAGAAGCTGGAATCACACATTCGTCCTCTGTGACTGGCTTATGTCATTCAGCATAATGTGCTCATGTTTCATCAGTGTTGGACCATGTGTCAGAATTTCCTTCCTTTTTAAGGCTGACTAATCTTCCGTTATCTGCACATCTCACATTTTGTTTATTCATTCATCTATTTATGGACACGTGGATTACTCCCACTGCTTGGCTGCTGGGAATAATGCTGCTGTGTACAAATATCTGCTCGTGTCCCTGCTTTCAATTCTTTTGGGTATATATCCACCTACCGTTTTTTGATAAATTTTCTTGGAACATAGCCACACCCACCCTTTCCCTACTGTTCATGGCTGCCTTCCTACTACAATAGCAGAGCTGAGTGGTTGCAACAGAGACCCTAGAGCCCACGAGGATCAAAGAGTTCATATGTGAACTCTGAAACAGAAAAGGCTGCCAGCCTGTGATGTACAGCATTTGCTGCTGAGAGTATCAGGGGAGTTCACCAAAGTCTCTGATGTCAAGCAAGGGTTCTCTAGGGCTGGGAAGTGGCGGTCCATACACGGAGTGACTCAAACACAGGTGCGGCTGCAAGCCTAGACCTTCAGCATCTCATTGAGTCTCTGAGACGTGCTTTTTCCATAAACCTTGTCAGATGCTCCAAGAGGCCCCGTCCTTCTGTCTGACTCATGTGGTCCTGCCCTCTGCCCTCCCTTTGCAACATCAGGCACCAGGTCAGGAGTGTGAGGTTTTCATCACGGGCAAAACCAGTGAGAGAATCAAAGGTGACACAGCAGGAGGCAGGAGCAGCTGCCCAGGAACACAGGCCCATTGAAAGTCTCGTCGGCCCGGATGATGCTGCGTTTATGATACAGCCATTGCTGTCTCTCGTCCTCCCCACCCACCTAAGCCCTTCTAGGCTTCTCATCTGACCTACCACAGCAGGGTCCACCCCAGGTACGAGGAGGTTCTGCCCCTCCCCAGTGAGGGAGGCTGTTCCTTCACATCTCTGGGTGCCTTCATGGGGAAGGGGGACAGGATGCCAGGCTGTGAGGCCCCCAGGCTCACGCAGGGTCACCTGTGGGGATGTGGCCACTGGCCTGGTTGAACATGAAGGACACCTGGCTGCCCTCTGGCCCTGACTCACAGATTAGGGTGTGACAAGGACCCACAGAGATGTCCCCATTTCACAGATGAGTATACTGAGGCCCAGGGAGGTTAAGACTATGTCACACTGTGGGGCTCCCAGTTCCTAAACCAGCAGCCTCCCCATTCTGCTCACAGACAAGCAGGTGACAAAATTTGATACTAAATGACATACAGATACACGAGTAGGGTTTAAGATGACTGCCACACTTTTAGGACCTCTTCAGGGTCAAATGGACAGCGGTGGACTCAGGAAGGGGGCGGCCTAAAGACAAAATTCCAAATAATCTTCCAGGTAAAGTGAGGTTCTTTTTTTATGTGGCATTTGCCCTGATGGCAGGTGTTCCTCCCTGCTCAGCAGCCTGGACGTCCTGGGTGGCTGCTGCTTGGCTGTGGCCTCGGACGGTGTCCACACCAGGCGCTGGCTCTGCTCCCGTGCTCACAGCTCATCGACTACGCACCGCTTCTCCAGCCGGTGCCTGAGCAGCCCGCCTTTAGAATCAGGAGCGGTGGCTTCCACGGACTGCCGCTATCGGAGGGCCCTGGCAGCCTCCTCCTCCTTCCCTCGATTATAGAAGGGAGGCGCTGCCTCCACCATCCCAGGCTGCGTCCCAGTCCTGCTCAGCCCCGTGTCCTCCCCTGACCTCCATCTGCTCTTCATCAATGAATCTGACTGCTAGTCCACAAGGCATTGTCTTTGTAATGTCATAACATGAAATTTAAATACGTTCTTGTTCTCTTTGGTGCCCGTGGTATCTTCACAATGAATTAATTAGAGCCCGTCTCATGCACCATTCAAGAAAATAAACAATTTGCTGAATACAGGGTGCTCATGTTTCTTTACTCAACGTTGATAGGCGATTATATGCATTACTTGATCAAACTGATAACATCATTAGAACATCATTACAAACCTTGCTAAATGTTCTTGACCAGAACACTGGAAGGAATGAGATCAAAGAACTCACAGTGAAGAGAGTTTAATGTAGTGTAATCCTCTTTAACAAGATGCTCTGACATTTAAAAAAATATAGGTAATATGTGCACATGATACAAAACATGGAAGGTACAAAAGGGTACAGAGTTAGTGGGGAACAGCAATTCCCCCTCCTTCACCTGTCCCCCAGCCAGGGATCCTCACTATTACCGAGTGCCCCTGGCTCATTACAACAGCTGACGCTTGCTGGGCACATGCCCCATTCCAGGCAGCAAGCTTGGAGTTCAGATGAATTAATAAGCTTCATTTTCATAACAACTGTAGGGAGTAGATGTTATGACCATCCTCATCTGACTGATGGGGAAACTGAGGCACAGAGCAGTGAAACTGTTCAAGATTCATTTAGTCAATGAACAGTCAGGATTCTTCACCGTTGAACCTTCTGCCTCTCGGCATGGTTAAGATTGTTAGTTACCATGGGGAATTTCAGGCACCTTGGTCCTTGTCCTTTGCGGCAGGTTCTTTCCCAGAGAACCAGTACCCTCAGCATGTGTGCACTTTCCTTCATTTCAATAAGGAAATCATGGGAGGCCTATATTATGTTTCAGGTACATATTATTCCATTATGTCTGTATACGAGTGTGTGTGCATATGTGTGGATGTATAGAATGTGTGAGTGTTGTATACACGTGTATATACGTATGCCGGTGTGTGTGTGTGCATATGTATATGGATGTGCAAGTGTTTGTATACAGATGTATATATATGTATACAGTCATGCCTTGGCATCCGTGGGGGGCTGGTTCCAGGCCACCCTGCAGATGCCAAAATCCACAGATGCTCAAGTCCCTGATATAAAATGGCATCATATTTGCATACAACCTACACACATCCTCCAATACTTTAAATCATCTTTAGACTACTTATAATACCTAATACAATGTAAATGCTGTGGAAATAGTTGTTATACCATATTGTTTAAGGAAAAATGACAAGAAAATAGTTTCTACATCCACCATACATTTTTTTTTCATGTTTTTGACCTGAGGTTGGTTGAATGTGTAGATGTGGAACCCGTGGATAAAGACAGCCAACTGCATATGTATTCAGGCGTGTGTGTGTATCTGTGCATATACACGTGTATATACATATCCAGGTGTGTGTGTTTATGTAAGGTTCATAAACAAATGACTCTGAAACATACCAGGTAGGTCCTTGGTTTTCCCACAGTTCTCACATCCGAGTGAGCCTCCTGGGGCCACTGCTGGGTTGCCCTAACTCAGAACTCCAGATCTATGGCTCGCCACCTTCGTACATGTCAGCTTCACCTGAGTAGCTTGAGCAACCCCATGTGGGTGGGGGCTTGGCCCCAGATGGACGTTCTGGTTCCAGAGGTCTGAACAGCCACTGGGGAGGTGGGTTCTGAAATCCTCTGCGGGAGAAGCTGAGCTGTATCCAGGAACTGCATGAGATACCGAGAAGACAGGCCCAGAAGGCTGTTTCTTCATTTCCTGCCAACCAATCCTGGGTCCTTCCAGGCTCAGCTCAGCATCATCTCCTCTGGGGAGCCTCTCCCGCCTAAGGGGGTCCCAAGCACGTGGCCCCATAATGGCTGAGTCCTCCAGGGGCTGGGCCGGATCTGCACCATCTTTATCCACTGGCTCCTGGCAGGACCCCTAGGTCAGCACATAACTTCCACCACGCCAGAGCAGCATCAACAACACTGCACCCTCGCCATCCTGCACCCCAAACCTCTCCTCCTGAGGCGTTCCTTGTCTTGGTAAAAGCCACCACCAAACCTTCCCAAAGGGGGCTCTTAATGGCTCCCAAACCCGCTCCCCTCATCGCACCAGCCCTAGTGCAGGCAGCCCCACCCCTCTGCTTGGACCCTCGCTGGCCTCTTAGTCTCTCCCGTACCACCGCACTGACACTCCCACCCTGACTCCTCCTTGTCTCGGAGAATACACGACCAGCCAGGACCCCTCTCCAGCCACAGGCCTGGCCCTGCCCACACTGCCCTCTGTCATCCAGTGTAAGGGGCCCTGCCCTCACACACCGTTTCACACCCCTGTGCTCGCTCAAGTCCCCTCAACTCCTACTCTGCTTTTAACCATCCCCTCGGCTGTCACTGACTCCAGGAAGCCCTCTCAGGCCTCCCAGGCCCTGTATGCCCAGACATGGCTATGACACCCTTTGTCCTCCCTCCCTCCACCATAAGCCTTCAAGGGCAGGAGCTATGTTGTCTGTCAATTCTCAGGGCCTGGCTGTGTCTGGAACACAGAGGAGCTTGAAATCTGCCTGATGAAATGAACAGACTTCTGTCTCCAAATGACATTGGGAGGATACACAGGTCTCCCCCCATCCCATCTGTGTCCAGCTGTCCAGTGAGGCCCCGCATCCAGAGGTGGGGTGAGCATGCCCCCAGTGCCTTCTGGCCCGGGCTCTGCTGTCCTGTCTTTGAGCTCTCTCTCAGTCCCCGTCCCAGGACAGCTGTGAGGTCGGGAGGAGGCTATGGAGCCAGGCAGACCACCTCCCGGCTGTATGGTCTGGGCAAGACCCCCACTGGCCTCTCTGGTCTGAGGACTTGAGGCAGGCAAGGCCTGGCCGGGCACTCCCTTCCACTGGCCAGTGCCCTTCATTCATGGCACGCACCAGCCATGAGAAGAACTCTCGGGCGCAGGTGTGGACAAGCAGAAGCGGCTTGCAGGGCCACACAAGGGAGGGGTAGGAACCCTCACGAGGGGAAAGGCCTGGCTTGGGGTTTACAGAAAGGGCCTCCCCCATCATGTCGTTTCTTTAAATGTGAATGTAGCTGGCTTCAAACAAAATCTCAGTGGGCGCTGCCAGCTCGGGTTCACTCTGCCAGAAAAGACTAAATGTTTTTTGAAGATCCTGAGGAATGGAGGAGGAAAGCCCAATCTACTTTACATGTTTAATTTGCAGCAAAGTCACCGAGAAGCACGCCGAATCTACCCCAAATGACATCAAATAGTTCCAAAGGTCCACCCGCCCACTCAGCTCTCCAATGGACGTGACTGCAGACACAGGTGCAGTTCGTAGCCCTCGAGCAGGCTGCGTTGTTGGTGGGGGTGGGTCGGCTAAGCGCATACTTTGGTAAGTCTGCAAAATCCCCACCCCACCTCCCCAGGCCAGCCCAGCCAAACCCTTCCACACGGGAACAGCTGATAAGCAGCCACAGAATGTCTCAATTCAAGGCCTCAGTGATGAATGGACTGCAGATGAGGCTTCTGACTTTGCAAAAAAAAACTGTACTTTATCACTCCCAAAGCCTGCCCTTGGCTGGAAACAGATGTTCCAAACCCCGTCCGCTCCGCAGCTGCAGCGTGCCTGCTTCCGGAGCCGCTTGTCTGTCTTCAGGGCCGGCATCTGCCGAGGGCCTTGGCTTTCTGGGAAGAGTCTATGTCTAAAAGTCATGGTCGTCCGAGTTCAGTTATATAATGTTATTGATCCCGGTTGGTTTGCTTAAGAAAAACACAACTAATTAGACTCTATAAAAACCTACACACCAAATTAATTCTGTATTGCTCTAGTGACTTCCGCCTGAAAAAAACGTTATAAATATAGATGACCACTGGACCTATATTTAGCCAGCACTGGATTACCTGGTATTTATAATTAAGGAAGTCCAGAAAGAGAGAGAGAGAATGGACATTTTGTTGTTATTTCTTAAAGCATTTTTTAAAAACTGCTTCCCATTTCAGTCACATATACACATAGCAACATTCTGTTATTGCAATAATTACAATCCTGACCCAAGTTAAGATGATTGCACAATTTCCCAGTCTCCTAAAATTACTTTCTTCAACACATATCCACCCAAACTATGCAATTAAGCTGTTCAACATCCTAAAAATTCCTGAGAAATCATTAATTCTTACTTAGCAAACTTCATTTTTCTCTTCCCTTAAGTCGCCAAACCAAATGGTCCGGCTTCGGATGAGAACGTTTAATTTCTACATGTGGTCTCGGCCTATATTTTCAAGGTCTACAAAAAGCTACCTGAAAAAACTACAATCCTGACTTTGAAGATCTCCATTTTAAATCATTTCCTGGTTGCAGGTTTCTTTACGGCTGTCTGGAATTAGTTGTTTTACCGGATTCCTAAATCCAATGCCTCTTGAGTATTCATTTTTGTTTTGTTTTGTTTTAATTTTAAGATAAGCTGTAAAACTCTTCTTTTTCCTGAAAAATTCCAGTCTAAAGTCATCATATGGGGAAGAACATGGTGTGTGTGGGGTGGGAAGATCCGGGGTGGCCCAGAACAAGGCACTGCTGCAACTCAGAAGGTGAGGAGGGCGCTCACATGGGGGAACGTGGAATCGAGCCCGTGGGGCTACGGGTGGGAACAGGCTACTCCAGATGTCAGTCCAGGCAGATAACCAGGCTGCCCACTCAGGGAAAGTGAAGACACAGGACATGGCAGATTGGTTACCCACAGAGCACAGATGGAACATGTTACTACATTAGGGGCCCTTACAACTGATAAAGACCGGTGGAATTCCCCGGTGTCCATGGCTGTGCTGCACGGCTCTGCAGACACAGTCCTTGTTTATGCAAAGGACACACTGGAGCACTGGGGCTGGCGGGGCCGGGGTCACCAGGTTCTCTGCGCTGGGTCAGTTGAGCTTTGCCCTGTGCATTCAATTTTTCTGTAAGTTTGTGATTGTTTCAAAAAATTGTAAAAGAAATTTTTAATTGTAATAAAACAAGGTAACCAGACCTTTTAGCCCCTTTCCCAAATAAAGCTTAAAGAATGTATGGTCTAAACTGAAGACAAAACTCTTTCTCTAACCCCATGCTGAGAAGCGGCGACAGACTGCTTCTCAGAGCTGCCCCATTCCTTCCTCCCATCAAAGGAGGGCCCGTGGGATCCAGGAATTATTTTGTAAAAGAGACAGAAAATGAGGTGTATTTCAAGGGCAGGTGACCTCTGGGGTAGGGAGGCTGCTTGAGGCCTGGCCCTGCCCCATGTGCCCAGGGCCCATACCTCACCCCCAGGCAGAGCACACGCCCCTGCTCCCCGCAGGCTGCCCCTGTGCAGCTGATGTGTTAGTGGGAATGGATTTGAGCCACATCTCCCTGCTGCTCGCTAACTTCCCTGTGCCATGTTTGGCCTCTCTAGTTGGGTGAGGTACCCCCGATGCCCACAGGGCCCAGCCTGGGACCCCATGTCAGGGAGGAGGTGAGCCTGCGGAGGCTCCAGGAACCCAGAACTGCGAGATCTCCTGAACTCTTCCAGAGAAGCCAGCATTTGGATCCGACATGCGCTCTCCCGAGTTTTTAATAATGGCAACTCATTGTACATGTTACCACCACTGTGTAGCCTGCCTAACACATGCCTGCAGGCTACAGGCAGCCTGTCGCCTGGAAAGTGGGGATCGAGACATTTGGTTGAGACTTTCCCAACTTGAGGAGGCCCACTGTTTACTTTTTTCTTTCTGAGTATGCGAGAAGTAGGGGGTGCCTTATCCTCAAGAAAGTCTCATCTAGAGAATTTGCCAGGGGAGAGAGGCTCCGGTACGAGTCCAGGTCTACTCTCAGCATAGGGCAGCTCTGCTCGTGAAGAGTGGACTGTGTCTGTGACCTTGAGCACCAAAGGCTGTGCACAGCACACCTGGGCACGCTGCTTACATCATGGATCAGAGAACAAACTACACTGAGCACCCAAGGCAGTCAGGGGGAGCCCGTCTGGCTCCTGCCAGGCCCCCTCCTGGACTCCCCAGAAAGAAGGGTCAGTGCTGGGCTGCAGCTCATGGCTACTTGGCCAAGGGAGGTCATGTTGGAGGAGGCTACAAGGTTTTTAAAAATAAGATTTTGTCTTTATGAAAGACATGTTGGAAATTCACATTTTAATACCTAAAACACCATCACTTGAGAGCAAGTTATCCCAAGGGAAATCAAAAGGAATTCTAGAAAAATTAATCTTCAAATTTTCACTTAAAAATATATACCTCCTGTACCCGAAGATGTGAAAACGGGGTTCTGAACAAATATCTGCATACCCGTGTTCACAGCAGCATTTTCCACAAAAGCCAAGGGGTGGGAGCAACCCAGGTGTCTGTGGCTGGTTGAGTGGATCGACAAAACCTGGCAGGGACACACGATGGAATATGGCTCAGCCTGAAAAAGGGAGGAAACTCTGATGCATGCTACAACACAGATGAGCCTGGAGGACGCTGTGCTCAGTGAAATGAGCCAGGCACTAAGGACGAATACTGAACGATTCTCCCTGTATGCGGTACCTGGAATGGCCAAATTCATAGAGACAGAATGTGGTTGCCAGGGGCTGTGGGGGAGGGAGGAGTGGGGAGTTGGTGTGTAAAGGGTACAGAGTTTCAGGCCAGGCACAGTGGCTTCTGCCTGTAATTCCAGCACTTTGGGAGGCCGAGGCAGGTGGACAGATCACATGAGGTCAGGAGTTAGAGACCAGCCTGGCCAACAGCGTGAAACCCCGCCTCTACCAAAAATACAAAAATTAGCCGGGTATGGTGGCGTGCACCTGTAATCCCAGCTATTTGGGAGGCTGAGGCAGGAGAATCGCTTGAACCCAGGAGGCGGAGGTTGCAGTGAGCCAAGATCACACCACTGCAGTCCAGCCTGGGCAACAGAGTGAGACTCCATCTCAAAAAATGAATGAATGAATGAATGAATGAATGAATGAATAAATAAATAAATAAAAGGGTACAGAGTTTCAGTCTGAGAAAATAAAAAAGTTCTGGAGATGGACAGTGGTGATGGTTGCATAACAACGTGAAAATACTAAATGCCCCAAACTATACACTTACAAACAGGTAAGATGATATATTTTCTATTATGTGTATTTGACCACAGCAAACAAACAAACAAACAAAAAACTCTCCTCTGCATTCTGTCCCCACCTTTCCCACCTCTCTTGTGTCACTCAGGATGCTGGGACTATGGCTCCAGTGTACCAGCAGCATCTGGAGGCCTGAGAGGGAGAAGGCATAGCCGACCCCAAGGCACAGCCAAGCACGGCAGTGCTGCCCAGCTGTTATTATTAACAGCTCTTAGCTCCGGAAAGCGCTTCCCATCCTTGGCCCCTCTCTATTGTGTGGTTTCCCTTAAAGGGAACAAGGACACAGGAAGGAGGTGGCAATCATCTCAGGGACGGCCAGAGTCACCTGACCGGGACTGACAGTCATGGGTGGTGAGAGTGTCAGCCAAACACCATGCAAGCTCAGCTTCCTTTTATCCTGGAGCCTATCCCAAATGATGGCTTCAAAGGCCTGCTGACCAGGTGGCACAGTGACCAAGCTCCTATGCTGCTGGCCTTGTGACAGCTTGCCCTGCTGAGGTCGGCAGCTCCCAGTGCATGAAGATACAGAAAGCTTTCATCCAGCTGCATCAATGCCCCAACTCAATCACACCAATTAAAACCAGGCACAGAGAAACATGCACTGTCATTCTGCTTCTGTGACTCAACCCCACGCTGGTAATTAAAAATGAAGAAGCTACTGATGAGGCAGCTGTCATGACTTCACCAAAATACAACTGAGGGACATCCTTTCCCGGTTGCAAAGCATATCTTGGCTTGTAAACTAAAAATAGACTTTGTGCAATTTTCATATGGCTCTTTAAAAATGGCATTTGGGATTTCTCCGGCAAGCTGTATGCTAAGAAGTCAGGGGACCAGGTCCCAGCCCATCTCTGCACCCTTGCTGGCCACAGTTTCTACTCTATCGGGGAGGCACTACATTGCCTTTTCTCTCCATCCCATTTGCACTAACATCTGTGGCTTATGGAATATTTGCCAATAAATGATTTCAACAGAACTTGCATACTCAAAGTAAAACTTCAGCAGCACTAATTTACAGATGAGAAGTAATTGCTTGGAAGGAGGGTAAGAGAAGACAGATCATCCTACTCCAGGGATGGAAGGACGGATGGTCCCCTCCACGTGCTGATTCACGTAACAGCAGCTTATCAACAGGGACTTGGTGAAGACCCACCCACAGTGACGAGACTCTGTGCAGTCACCGTCTGTGCGTTTATCAATAGTGACGCCCACCCTGACTCCTGGGCTGCTCCAACCGTTCCTTCCTCTTCTGTCTGGAACCCTTGTCCTTGTTTTCTCAAGCCACTGCAGGTCTCCAGAGGCGTCTGTCCATTCCCTCATTCCTTCCCTCAACAAATATCTGGGCAGCTGCTCGAGCCAGGTATTTTAGACATGAGGGACCCAGAAGGGCCCACATGGGCCCAGGGCCTGGATCCAGGGGAGAGGCTGACAGGAGCGAGCATGACACAGCAAGATGAAGGAGGCACATAGGAAACCGCTTTGCCTACCGGGCTCTCAGAGGGCATAACAAGGAACGGCAATCTGCCAGATGCACCCCTGGATAAAAACAGGGACCCACATTCTTAGAAGCTGGAGTCCTAGCAGTGGAGGGAACATCTTCTCTACTCGTCTTTCGAGGCAAGATGGAGCCGGGGAGAGAAAGGGGGAATACACAAGGTGAGGGTCAAAGGGAGGCAAGGAGGTAGCAATGAAGGGACCCCAGGCCTTGCCTTGCATGACCAAGGACACTCCAGAGGGAGTATCAAGATCTCAGCTTGGGCTGGGCACAGTGGCTCATGCCTGTAATCCCAGCACTTTGGGAGGCCAAGCAGATCACCTGGGGTCGGGATTTCGAGACTAGCCTGGCCAACATGGTGAAACCCCGTCTCTACCAAAAATATAAAAAATTAGCTGGGTGTGGTGGTGCACACCTGTAATCCCAGCTACTTGGGAGGCTGAGGCAGGAGAATCACTTGAACCAGGAGGCGGAGGTTGCAGTGAGCCAAGATCGTGCCACCGCACTCCAGCCTGAGCAACAGAGTGAGATTCCATCTCAAAAATAAATAAATAAATAAAAATAAATAAATAAATAAAAATCTCAACTCAGCAGTTGAGGTCTTGGGCCTTGGAGCCAAGGACTACCCAGATCTGAATCCCAACTCCTCTGTTTAAGTGAAAAGGATCTCTGAGCAAGTTCCTAAATTTCTCTTCAGCTTCCCTTTCCATGCATTGGGATTAGCAGCATTTCCTTGCCCAAGGTTTCTAGGGGGATAAATGAGGCGTGATGCATATGGAATGCTCGGCTCACGGCCTGGCACACAGAGAGCAGCCCCAGCCTCCCAGGGCGCAGGCTGGTCAGCTGGGTTTTTTCATAGTATTTCTTAAAGAAAAGAACAAGGATGCAGCTCCCTTTGTGGGGGGAAGTGCATTGCAATAAAGCTAGTTGCAAAGTTAGAGAAATCCCATTTGCCCTTTGATTTCAATTCTTAAAAATATATAGAGTGCTTCTTTATCAGTGGCCCCTGTGGGGAAGATAATCCCACCTAGACGGAGCCATACAGGGCCAAGGTGAACAGTACAGGGTGCAGGGCAGAGGGGAGCCGAGGAGCTGTGCCGGGGACAGCCCACACACAGGCAGCCCTGGCCACCCCTCTGGGTGTGCAATACCATTCGTGTCTGGCAATCCATTTTCTTGAAACTAACTTATTTCTTATCCATAAAATGAGCCTGCGCTATCTGTCCAATTCCAGACTGAAACATTTTTTAAGTCCAAAACTTCTGATTTTGTAAAACACATTCTGGCCTTATGTCATCTCTTATGCTCACATTCCATCTGATGTTTGCTTACCCCCTACCAGCGCTGACATCTGGTGTCTGCAATACCCTCACAGATGGTTGCCCGTGGTACGTCCCTCCAGAGGTGGAGCTGGGTCCAGCCACGTTTTAGGTGGCTTGCAACAACATGGTCAGACACATTCGTCCTGCTCTCTCAGAGGTCTCCATGGCTGTTCTACTCATGCTGGGCTATCAGGCAAGACACAGTAAAGACCTATGTGACTGCCATGTGCACTATCTCAGCAAACAACCAGCAAGTTCACCCAACTATTTCTAGGTTGGTGGGCACAGGTCGTGGTGATAGGGACGTGAAACCCAACTCCAGTGCTGTGTGTTCGCTTTGCCCCAGTGGGTTTGAGTCTCTGCAGCAGACAGCGCACATGTTGAAAGGGGTTTCCGCAAGGCTTTGAGCTGAGGCATAAACCCAAATGCCGTAGAGACCCGAGCTGGGCAATGTGGCCCGGGCTATACACAGTCACTGGACCCCCGGGCTGTACACAGTCACTGGACCCCCACAGGACCCGGCTTCTTAGGAGGGCCCTTGGTACAGACTCCAGCAAGGCTCCTGACTGTTGTTTGCTCACCATTTACAGACCATCGTCTGTCTCCAGGGACTGTGCCTCACTCTCCCTTTCACCATGTGTATCTTCTCCAGCGCAAACAGACCCCAGCACCCGAAGCGCGACTGACGGTCCCAAAGGCTCCACATACCCAGCAGATTGGCTCCTCGCTCCTTCCGAAGACTCCCACTCTGCTCTGTTTCTCCCCAGCGGCAACCACAGACACAAACTCTGTCAATCATTCACGCTCTCTGCGACGCGTCTAATTACTCACAATGCCACCTCTCTAACCTCTTTCTTGAATCCAGGCTAAATTTAGCAGTTTTGGGTATACCTCTGTCAGCTTCTACCTAATTCCTTCACATCCATCTCACTTGGAAAAAACAAACTGCCTTCCATTTCATTTAACCACCCCGACATCCCGCAAGCATGCTGGATGGGCCTGGATTTTACTACTGACAGCTGTAGGACTGTGGTTCACGAGCCACGTGTTCAGAGAGAAGTGGCGTGTGTGTAGCTTCTCTCAGCCAAGGGAGAAAGGCTTCCGGACAGAAGAGAAACCCTCTCCAGGCCACCTCTCCTCTCCCAGCCTCACTGCTAGCTCCGCCCACTGAGCCCTTGGGAATCCCTATTATATACAAACATCTATTTTGAAGCCAAAACAAGGGAGAAACTCCTCTGCACCTTTGGTGCTTCCTCACACACCCTTGGCTTAGCTGAAAGCCCCTACGTGCCTGCACAGGGAATCATGTGTGTGCTGGCTTCCTCCATCCTGTTGCCCAGCTGTAAGTGTCCAGGCTCTCCCTTTTACTTCCTAGAAACATCCTGGTTGCACAATAAATTCTGTGGCCACAGTAATCCTACCAGGAAAGGACAAATCCAGGCCCACCCAGTTCTCCCGGCTTGCTCCGCGTCTCCTCTCCCTAAGTCCACATCACCTGCTGCCACCATTCCCGTCCCCCCACCCTAAGTCCACACCACCCGCTGCCACCGTTCCCGTCCCCCCACCCTAAGTCCACACCACCAGCTGCCACCATTCCCGTCCCCCCCACCATTCCTCACTGCACTATCATTGGGCTCCCCCTCCTCCATCACCATTGTGCCACGCCTCCCAGGTAACTGACTCTGCTGACACCCTGAATCCTGCCCTGTCCCCTCCATCCCAGCAACTATGAACACAGCTCCAGCTGGGCCCCTCACCAACACCCCTCCCTCACCCTGATGCCTCCCACCCATGGTGACCTTGGTGGTTCCTGGTCCTCCATCCATGCGCCTGCCACCGGGTCCTCCAACACCCTCAGTCCCTTTAGGCAGCTGTTTCAACCACGTTCTCCTTAGAACCCTAGACAGCCCACGCCCCCACCTTCTGAAACATTTTTAAGTCGCAAACTTCTGATGTTATAAAATGAGTTCAGGCGTTACATCATCTCTTAGATTCACAGGTCTGTAAAGAAAAATTCACCTCGAGGGAGAGAGATGTGCGTTAGGTTCTGTGAAATTCCATCTGATGTTTGCCACCCACTATCCCAGGCCCCACACTGAACTGAGGGCCTCCTCCCCACACAGCCACATGGCCACCACTATGCCCCTATGAACCGTCACACAGGTCCCTCTCCTGCCCAGGAAGACCCCCCACGATGGCCTGGGCCTACCCAACCCCACCCCTCCGTGTCCTCCTCTCTGTGGGCTCTCTCTCATCTCCCCTCAGAAGACTCTCTCCTGCCCCTCTTCTAAAGAGGGGTCTTTCCCAGGGCCTCTGGTCCCTGCCCCAGCCTTTTCCTGCCCTCTGGCCCTCTTTCGAGATGCCACACCATTCCCTGGCCTTCCTTCACCAGTATTATGCTGTCCCCTCTACCCAGGCCCCCTGCCTACCTCCATCAAGCCAAATCTTCCTCACCCTCCAGGGCCAGCCCAAACACCTGCTCCTCCTACATAAGCTCCCTGATTCCAGGGGCCATAAGGGACAGGGGTAGCAGAGGGTCACCTAGACAAAAAGCCAATGGCAGTGGAAAGGGTCTGAGCCACTCTGTCAAGAGGTGTAATCCAGCAGACTTAGAACTCCACGCCCAACAACAGAGAATAACATTTCTCTCTAGAGACACACAACGTTTTCAAAGACTGAGCCCAGTACCAGGACTTCAAGCACACCCCCCAAATGTCTAAGAACTGATTTCCAAGAAAGCATAGTCTTTGGCTGTAATGCAATTAAGCTGGAGGTCAACAGGGCAAAGAAAGACTAAACATGTCACACATTTGGAAATTCACAAACACATGTTTATATAACTCATGGTAAAAGAAAACATCATAATTGGGATAAAAAAATACTTAGAATGGAATGATAATGAAAATACTATTTAGGACAACTCATGGGAACTGTGGACATGACCCCGGGAAAGATGTGTGTAACCTGAGGTGTTCGTGGTAAGAGAAATGCTGAAAATTCATGGGATTAAGCATCAAACTAAAAAGTTAAAAGAAAAAAAAATGAGAAGAAGGTAATACAATTAGGACCAGAACTCTGTAAAAGTAGAAAACAAATTTACAATAGAATTTAAAAGGCCAAATGCAGTTCTTTAAAAATCTGGCAATATAGCCAAACCCATGGCACCACTGATAAAGAAAAAAATTAAGGCGCAAACGAATAAATAACATGATAAGTGGAAAAAGGATGTAACCGCAGATCAAGCAGAGGTTTAAAAACAATAAGGAAACACTACCAATGCCGTTACACTCATAATTCTGAAAACACAGACCACATTAAAAAATTCCTAGAAAATTGTAATTTATGAAACCACTAACTAAAAAACAAATACAGGACTTGTCAAACTTTCCACTAAAGAAACTGAAACAGTGCTTAAACACCCATCTCTCTCACACAGAACAGGCCTAGACAGTTTCACAGGTAAGCTGTACCAAAATTTCAAGGTATAGATCATCCCAGTCTTAAACAAGCTCTTCCAGAGAACAGAAAAAGTAAAAATTTATCAGGCCAGAATACTTTAATCCTAAAAACAGACAAGAACAGTATAAGAAAGGGAAACTCTAGGTCCACTTTACCCAGAATATAGAAGCAAAACTCCTAACTAAAATATTAGAAAGCCAAATTCAGCAACGAGGAAGAAAGATAGTCTGCCATGACCATGGTGAGTTTATTCCAAAAATGCAAGGGTATTTTAGCATTAGAAAGTCAATAACTGTAATTTTTACAGTAGCAGAATAAAGAAGATACAGGAAAAGCATTAGATAAAATTCAAAACCCATATGATTAAAAACTCTTAGCAAATTAAAACAAGAAGGAAGCTTTCTTAACCTGTTAAAAAGGCATTTACAAAAAACAAACAGCAAATATCAATCTTAATGTGGAAACCCTGAAAGCACTCCCTTTAAAATCAAGAACAAGATAAGACTGCCCAAAATCAATGCTTTTATTCATCATTATACTGAAAGTTCTAGTCAACAACAGCCATGATAAATAAATAATTAGCTTAAAGATTGATTAGGGAGAGACAAAACTACAATTATTCACAGATGATATGACTATCTACATAGATAACCATATCAAATCTATGGTTTCCTATGGTTTACATAAAAAATAGACAAATTATTGGAAGAAATAAGGGACTTTATTGAAAGGTGGCTAGATGTGAGACCAATCTAAAAAATCAACTGCACGTCTATATACTAGCAACAACTGTTAGACACTTAAGGTACCTATGCCTTTATCAGAGATGTGTAAGTTGTGTATATAAGAATTTACAAACTTTACTAATACTTAAAGGAGACCTAAATAAAGAGATACCATGCTCATGGATAGGAAGGTCCCATATCATAAAGATACATTAGATAGATAGATGTATATATTAAATAAAATTTCAGTCAAAATCCCAACAGCTTTTGTTTTGTGGAACTTGTCAAGTTGATTCAAAGTTAATATGAAACAACAAAGGGCCAAGAATAGCCTAAAACTCCTGAAAAAGAATAAGACTTGCCCCACCACATATCAAGCCTTATTATGAAGATACAGTACTGAAGTCTGTGAGGCACTGGGTCAGAGACAGACAAGTTTAACTCGTGGAACAGAAAAGGGAGACAATCTGTATGCAAATACAGAACTTGATTTACTGATAGAATATCAGTGTTGAAAGGAGGAACTAATCCACTGATGATGCTGGGAAAAGGTGGTTATTCATATGAGAAAAAAATAAAATAAAATCCCTACTTCACATCAAACACAAAACCAATTTGAGCTAGATTAAATACTTAAGTGTGAGAAGTAAAACTAAAACTTGTAGGAGGACGTCTGAGAGTGGGTTGGATATCTTCTGTTTGTCCCTCTAAATCCACTTTCCGGTTTCCTCTACCGTGCTTTCAGCCCCAGGCACATGGCTATGGGGGCCCAAGTCTGTGGAGAAAGGTCACCAGCTTGCAAGGCAGCAGCCCCAGGAGCAGCCTGGGAAGGCTTTGTGCAGAGGAGGGCCGTTTCCTCCTCCGTGTTGGGAGAGTTGTCTCTGCAGATGGTGGGTGAGAGTTCGCTGCCAAAACCACTGTCTTCCCTGCCCTGCGGACACTTCTTCCTCACCTTCCTAAAACTGTAAGAGACCTGGAGCCGTTGAGCATCAATGACTCTTTGACTCAGGAATCTTAAAAATCACACACAGGGGCCTTCTGGTTGGCTCCTTTGCCCTCTGACTGTGGGTCGGTTTTGGAAACAGAAAATGGGAGAGACGAGAGAGGCAGGTTGGGAGGAGGGTCGAATTGGCTTGTTTTCTCCTCTGCCCCCTTCTACAGGGTAACTTCTGGCTGGCCGTGTTTCTCCCCGAATATCACTGCTCTACCAAGGAGACTTGTCAATACAACCTCTCCTTCCAGGTGCCATCAACATTCCCTCCCCTCTTCCTTTGGGGCCAAGCGTTGCAACAATTCTGCTGCTACCAGTTCCTGGTGGTTTCTCTGAACTCCGCCCATGCCTTGGGAACCGGTCTAGTGACCTTCCTCAAAGTGCTCTACTATGTGCCGTATCTTTCCTGCTGAGACCTCCACTGATAAAGTAATTGTTACTGAAAGTGGTCTTCAAATAAATCCTCACGAAGGGAATCTGGGATTCGGTTGTTCATCTATTCTGGGAGCACTGGGATAGTTGCCTTTCTGGGTGTGAGGGTGTGAGTCTGTGTGTGTGAATAAGGATAATCCACAGCATTCATGATTATACATGATACTGGCAGTCCCACTGAACAACGTGCCGGGGAGTTGGGGTGTGGGGTGCCCACTGGGAGAAGAGGGTGTGGCAATAACAGTGCCTACCAAAGCTGTGAGGTCAGGTAGATTCTTCCTATGTCCTTAGAGAGCATATAGAAGGGGAAAAAGAAATTGAAAGCTATAAACATTCAACTAGTAATACACAAGGAGAACCAGAAGGCCCCCATGGTAGCCCCAGGGTGTGATTTTTTAAGATTCCTGAGTCAAAGAGTCATTGATGCTCAACGGCTCCAGGTCTCTTACAGTTTTAGGAAGGTGAGGAAGAAGTGTCCGCAGGGCAGGGAAGACAGTGGTTTTGGCAGCGAACTCTCACCCACCATCTGCAGAGACAACTCTCCCAACACGTAGGAGGAAACAGGCCTCCTCTGCACAAAGCCTTCCCAGGCTGCTCCTGGGGCTGCTGCCTTGCAAGCTGGTGCCCTTTCTCCACAGACTCACCCACATCCTGCGCCACCTGGGCCCATAAAACAAGGCAGACCCCAAGGCACAGGAACTGCGTCAGAAGGAGATGTCCACTGTGTGGGGGCAGGAGCCTGGGAGGTGGGCTCCAAGCGGGACGAAATGCAAGTAGGTCATATGTACCCACACGTGTGGACAAGGTGGTTCCCTCACAATTTGGTCATTTAATGTGAACCTTGAACATCGAGGGGTGTGTATAGTCTACAAGATTGGCTAATCCAAGTCTAGAATTAATAAAAACCAATCGCTGATGAGGTCAGTATGCTGGACCTCCGGGACATCCTGCAGAGCTGTGGTTCTCCAGCCCCAGACGGTTTATTAAAGCCAGATTGTTGGGCCCTCTCCCGGAGTCTGTGATCGAGCAGGCTGTGGTGGGGTCCAAGGATTTTCATTTCTAACAAGGTCCCAAATGTAGCTGCTGCTGGTCTGCTGGGAATGCAGGGAAATGGGAGGCTGGAGGGATCTACTGCGTGACACCCTGTTAAGCCACCTGGCCTATACTCCCTGGGGAGGCCTGGAGCTGGTCTCCTCACCAAGGGGTTAGGAAAATGCCTGGGGGAGGGTCAGCGTCCTCCTAAAGAAGTCCATGGAGGCTGTCCGCTCTATCCCGCCGGTGACAAGGGATGCTCCCACAGCACCAGGTTCCCACTCTCCACGGGAACTGCGGGATCCTGGGTAGTAGGGGCCAGCGGCGGGCATACCAGAGTGATCACCTAAGCAAGGGGACAGAGGCTACTCAGTGTACTTGACTCGCAGGACCTGGGGAGAGGCTCCAAGATGAAAAAGAGGGCAAGCCTGATCAGATGCCGCTTGACACACAGAAGCTGGGACCTACTGGGTCTGCTGAGCAGAACCATAGTGGGGATTTGCAACATCATCCAGTGTCCAGACCAATGACGGGGAGGCTGGGACCCTTTAAGAAAGGGCCCTGCGAGGGGCAATCAGCGTGTGTGGTGAGCCTGTCCTCAGCCTGTCCTCACACGTTCCCCAGACTCGCATGGCCACTTGTTGCCAGGCGGCTGTGTGCTGGGGACAGGGACACACGCTGACCTCCCACTGGCTACTAAACACAGGCCCTAAACCCGCACTGATTCTACAGCCCTGATGTGCTACTGAGACGCACAGGTCCTGAGCTGGGTGGAAACAGCACGTCTTGTTCTGCTCATGGAAACAGGACCATCTGATGGTACGTCCAGTGCAGCTCAGCCCCTCCTGAGGTCATTCCCCAGCTCCAGAGCAGAGTGTGCGGACACACCCAGGAACGGCTGAGGCTCCACTCTGGCTCTGAGCTGGCGGGATGAGGGCTATTAGAAGAGGACAGAGGGGCCACCTGTTGCCTTCTGAGACACTGACTAGCACTAGAGGAGATCTTTCTGACTGTGGGGTAGGAAGGATTTCTTAAACAAGAACAGAGGAAGCGCTAACTGAAGGAAGACAATGGTGTCCTAAGAGATGGGGCCGTGAGGGGGACATTGGTAATGATCTAAGGCACCTGAACTACACGTGATGCCGCACGGTATTACTTCAAGGTGGACTTAAATCAGTTAAGTATGAACTGTATTGTAATCTTTAAGGAAACCACTAAAAAAATTTTAAGAGAAGTATAATCGACACATTAAGCAAGGAGACAAAATGGAATTATCTAAAAGGCTCAATGAAAACCAGAGAAGGCAGAAAGGAGTGGGGTTGGGGAGGGGCAGGGGTGCGGAGAACAAATGTAACAAACAGAAAAGTTACAAACACGGTAGATACTGATCCAACAACGCCAGCAAGGACTTTAAATGTGAATGGTCTCAACACACCAATCAAAAGACAGAGAATGTCAGAGTGGATTAAAAAAACAATGTCCGTGCTCCAAAGGACACCATCAAGAAAGTGAAAAGACAACCCAGAGAAGGATGACAATGACTGCAAGTCACGTGTCTGATAAAGGACTCGTATCTAGAATATACAACAATAAAAGCCACATAAACCCACTAAACATGAACAAAAATCTGAGCAGACGGTTCTCTAAAAAAGAGACACAAATGACCAAAAAGCACAGGAACATACGTTCAACGTCATTAGCCGTAAGGGAAATGCAAACCACTCCATCTATGAGATGGGTGCAGAAAAAAAGACGCATCATCACAAGTGCTGATGAGGATGTGGTGACACTGGAACCCTCAGACATGGCTGGTGAGACCGTGAAGGGTGGGTCCACAGCCTGGCAGTTTCTCAGAAATGTAAACATAGAGCTGCCATATGACTCAGCCACTCCACAGCTAGATAAGCTCCCTAGAAAGGTAAAAACATACGTCCACATACAACTTGCACGTGAATATCCACAGCAGCGTTATTCACAACAGCAAAAAACCTGGGAACAACCTAAATGTCCATCGGTTGATAAATGAGCAAACACAATGTGGGCAATTCATTACAGTGGAATGTTATCTGGTGATAAAAATCATGACATATTAATACATGTTATAAAATGGATGAACCTTGAAAACATGCTAAGTCAAAGAAGCCAGATACAAAAAGACCCTATTATTACTGTATGATTCCATTATATGAAATGTCCAGAATAGGCAAATCTAGAGAGACGGAGAGTAGATGAGTGGCTGCTTAGGGTTAAGGGAGTGGGGTAGATGGGGACTGACTGCTAAGACGGGGATAGCATTTCTTTCTGGGGTGATGAAAATGTTATCAGATGGGGTGCGGGGACAGTTGTACAACTCTCTGAATGTACCAAAACCCACTGAGCTGCATGCTCTAGATAGGTGCATCCTATGTGAATTATAACTTAACAGAATTGTTATTAAAAGAGAATAAATTTTTATATACAATTATGTAAAAGTTAACTCTCCAGTTTAATCAGAAGACACCCCATACAGGTAAAAAAAATTCATAAACTGGGAAACACGGTTTCCCACTCCTGTTAACTGACAAAGGATTCATATGCCGTATATGTACACCCAGTAATCCCAATTCTAGGCACACACCCCAAAGAAACTCTGGCATTTGTGTACTAGCGGTCTTGTATAAGGCTGTTCTTAGCAACAATTCTTTTTTTTTTTTTTTCAAGACAGAGTCTCGCTCTGTCGCCCAGGCTGGAGTGCAATGGCACGATCACGGCTCACTGCCACCTCTGCCTCCCAGTTCAAGCAATTCTCCTGCCTCAGCCTCCCGAGTAGCTGGGACTACGAGTGCCCACCACCACACCCAGCTAATTTTTTGTATTTTTAGTAGAGACAGGGTTTCACCATGTTGGCCAGGCTGGTCTCGATCTCCTGACCTCAGGTGATCCACCTGCCTCAGCCTCCCAAAGTGCTGGAATTACAGGCATGAGCCACCACGACTGGCCAACAACAATTCTTAAAAAAGAATTACAAACATGCCAGGAGAATGGACAGATACATTGAGATGTGCTGGCCAAAAAACACGGTAGTGTTCACAGCAGTGAAAGTAAGAGAACCACAGCTAAGCTGGGGCCATAGCCACACTGTGGCTAAACCTTAGAAACACGATGTTAAACTGGGGGGAGAAAAGCAAGTCTCAGAATACCCCACACAGTACATCATTCCCACAGTGCTCAAAACCAAAGCTAAGCAACACGTTGTCTAAGCACATCTACGCCGGAGATACGCAAGCCACGCGGACAGTGGCTTCCTGCGGGAGCCGGAGGTGTCTGGCAGGTGGTAGGGTGCAAGGAACGCGTAGGTAATACTGGTAATAGCCTAGTCACTGGACGGGTGGTGGCTTCACAGGTTCTATTGTTATACTTTGTATAACCAACAAATATATTGTGGGAAATATTTTATATGTGTCAAATAATAGATTTTAAATGTTAAACATGTTTCAAAAATAACAAAGGAGAAAAAAGTGTGGTGTCAGCTCTGGCTCTGCCATTTCTAATTGGGTTAAGTCATCTGAATGCTCTGTGCCTCAGTTTCCTCATCTGTGATGTGGAGACAGGGAAAGTACCTAGTTTGTGGGTTAGCAGTAAGTAGTAAATGAGATCAAGCCCTCAGAGCAGTTTCTTGCCCAGTAAGAGTTTGTCATCCTTGTCATTGTCACCATCATCATCATCGTCACAGCACCAGCCCTGGATGGTCCATCTTCATATTCACTGTGTGAAAACAGTGAGCCCCACTTTGTTTAAGCCACTATCATCTACTTTTTGCATCTGAATACATTCCTAGCTACTGTTTGATGATGCTCTGGAATTGGGTGACATCCAGCATATTATTCCTTAGCAGGATGCAAACTCTCCATTTCCAGCAGGAGCTTTTAGATTACTGGTTAAATAAAATCACAGAAATCTGATGCTTCCAAATTTCAGCTCTCGTGTCAGAAGGTGGGCCATGACTCCAGGACTCCACAAACACCCAGAATTGTATGGCTCCTCCAAAATCCAATAAAGAACCATCCCAGGCAAAATGTCCATGAAGGAGACAGCAGTTGGTACTAATAACTGGGAGTGGCCATCCACGTCCTTGATGCTGGGCCAGTGGTCACAGTATGGACTGCTGTTAGGTATCCACACAGGAAGGCACAGCTCTCTCTAGGATCAGCATGGAGTGTGCCCGTCAGGCAAGGAGACAGACCTCACATCTGCACTAGTGATGACAGCTCGTCTCACGGAGGTTTAAGTTTATGCTGCAATCCTCACAACAGCTGGATATAGAATTCTATTTTGGCAATGATTGTTGCAATCATATTTTACAGGTGAATGATTTGACATTCAAGGATGTCAGAGGTCCCCAGCTGTTGATCAAGGTGTCGTCGAAAGTGCTGGGATTCGTACCCAGCTCTTCTGATCTCAAAGTTCTCATTTTGTCACTAGCTCTTTTTGCAAGAACTACTAGATCAAAATAGCGCTATGAGAAACACGTGTTTTTTTAGGCATTCTGGGGAAATTTGACTATTACAGGGAGAAAAAACACTCCCACCTTTGCCCTCCCATTCTAGAAGAGCCTTACAACTCCTGCTCATTTAATTAAGATGGTCAGTTTTCTGTACAATCCATCCCAAGTGATGCCCAGAGCAAGAAAAGCTGGGGGAGAGGATAATAATCCAGCCTCTCCAGGCACTTCAGTCTCTTGGGAATGAAGACAGTGAGCATTTGTAGTTTACAGGCAAATGCACGTGTGTAGAGAGCTGCTACATGCCCTGCGTGACTGTGTGCAGGCGAGAAACCATTCCTTCATAAGCTTCTACGCTGGCTCCAAGATGCCGACATGGGTGAAGTGCCGAGAGACCCTCCGTCTGTCATCTTAACCCCAAGTTTTATTTTCTTTCATCTTTAAGAGAGAATCCTTAGTTAATTAATTTCAGGCAAGAGGGTCCTCTTTTGCGTCAGTGGTGGTGGGCACGAGCCCCGAAGAACATGCCAGGCAGGCGAAGGACTGAGCAGGGGTGTCCACACGCTGCTGAATGGAGCGGCTAGAGCCGGGTGCCTCGCTGGGAGCCGGTGAGGACGGTGTGCAGGCTGGAAATGTCCCAGCTGCTGAATCATGGCTCAGCAGTTTGTCTCCTAGTTTGGCTTAACTTCTGCCTTTTCCATCCTAAGCTTTTCAAATCGGCCAACACAAAAGGTAAAAGAAACAGTGGATCTGAAATCTTCTCCGTGACACTTTTTACTAGCTTTAAATTCCTACTTTAAAAATAGTGCTTTCCTAGTCTGACTCCAAGGCCTGACGCTGGAAGGACGTGCTGTTTCTCTCTCATCCAGTGCTAATGATAATCGCCGTGATGATATCAATATGACTGGCAACAACACGCGCTGAGTGCTCACTTCGGGACTGGCATTATTGCAAACATTCAGTTGTTGGAGGTGCTTCTAACTGCCATTTTTTTTGAAGAAAGAGCTGAACCATTCCAACTCAGGGATCAAACGTCCCTTGTTTTGTACACAGGAGGTGAGGTACTGTGCTGGCTGCCAGAACAAGGCAGGCGAATTATGCCTGTTCACATATTTTACCATAGTTAATATATTTTATTTCACCAATGTCTCTTAAAGCACATTAAACATTTAATTAGTTTTATTTCCTTTTACAACAATGACATCTTATTTATCTGTCTTTATAATGTAATTAGTGTAATATCTGTATGTGTTTTCCCCTTGAGTCAGCTTAACACTTTCTCCTTTTCATTATGAAATATTTTGTTTCCTTCCAAGTTTTCTGCTAACCAAGTCCTTACTTTATTTAATTCACTTTCCCCATACACTGTGCTGTAAGATTATTTTATTTCAGAAAAATGTCACATCTTCCTCTTGGTACTAAGATTCTCTTCTCATTTTACCATTTTTCCCTATTTTAGTTTAATGTCCTTTCATTTCTATTATGTGTTATGTGTTCCAAGTTTTACATCCCTCCGGCATTCATTTTAATAGAATTAGGAGAATCTATAAATAAAAGTAGCTCCTTAGAATAATGCTTTCATTCTTCTCTTCTCTCCCCACCCCCACTTCTCCAACGTGCCCTAAATTTACCAGCAGCTTCTCCTAGGCCGGGGTTCTCCCACAAGGAGTCTGACCGCTGTGTCTTTGCTGCATTTGCCCTGGTACATCCCCGGGGTTACACAGGATCAGGATTCCGACATAGGACGCCTGTCCGTTAGGACTCTGTAGGGAATGGCTGTGGTGCTGCCCTTCAATTCAACAACTCGAGAGGCTGAAAATTCTACACAAAGTCAGCAATTCAAATTCTGAAACTAGAGAAACACTGCGGAGCAAGACCGAGAAGATAATTAGCAGGCAAGCAACCCAGCCTACCTTGCCGTGCCAGGGGTGTCTGCGGCTTATCTCTCCTCCTTCTCTCTCCTCCGCAGGAAGGTCCTTAAACCACGGACTCTGCTCATTTACATTTACTGGGAAGCTTCTCCCTGGGGCTGAAACTCTGCCTGGGGAAAGCCTAGCAAGTTAGTGGCTCAGAGAGCCACAGTAATCCTTTCAGATGCCAGTGTAGCCCCAGAACATCCTCTACAAAAGCAAATGCCCCTGAACCCAGATTCCAGGAGATTTCTTTGATGACATCATTTGCCCTACTAAATCCCTAGAAAGGCTTCTAATCCTCATCTCTAAACATAAATTTATGATTATGTCTTCAAAGACAACATGGGGTCTCTCCCACGTCCACAAAAATACCTTTCTCCCAACATCTTGCTATGAAATTTTTCAAACATGCACCAATGTTGAATGAATTGTATGGCAGACATCCATATGCCCATTACCTTGATTCTACCATTAACATATTCACTAAAATCACTTGATCAAACTTCTCTCCATCCATCCATCCTTCTATCCATTTGTCAACACATCTTATTTTTGGTGCATTCCAAAGTAAACTGCAGTATCAGTACACAACATACATCTCCCTAAAGACTTCAACATACACATCATTATTTGCTTATAGATTTATTTCTTTTGAGATAAAATTTAGATATGATGAAACAAGCAAAAGTAAATTACACATTTGTTGAGTTTGGATAAATGTACACACTTGTATAACTCAAACCCCTACTGAGATTCAGAAGACAGCCATCACTCCAGAAAGTCTCGCATGTGCCTTCCCGGTCAACCTCCAGCTTTCATGCCCCCACATTTGGTTTTGCCAGTTCTAGAACCTCCTCTGAATGGAGTCAGGCACCCTCATGTAAGGTTTCTTTCACTTGGCCTGTCTATGAGACACATGCACGTTGTTATGCATGCTGGTTGTCTGTTCCTTTCTATTGCTGAATAAAAGAGTGCTCACTGAATGAATGTATCACATTTGTTTTTCCATTCTCCTATGGATGGACCTAAGAAACACGAAATTGTGATAAAAAAAAGCTAAATGACCCAGAAAACTCCATAATCCTCTGAGGAAAAAAAAATCGAACGGAGGCATCGCCCCAGATTGCTGAGAACCCAGCAAGGGGACACAGGCAGACCAGAGACATGCTCTGACTGACGGCACTTGTTGGCTTGAGTCTCTCCTCAAAGCCCCACGGCCAGGTGGCCTGGCCACAGCAGTCAGCAGGTCGTCTTCTGCTATGAAGGGGCCGACGCAGAAATCAAACTGGGCTCAACGTTAACACAGCTCCCTGAAGAGGCCTCAGGACAAAGTCATGGCATTGAAAACGGGTTGGGCAGCATGGCTGCTCCCTTCCGGCTCTGTCCAGTGTTTCTAACGATGGGACAATCTGCCAGGCATCAGTTTCACACCCACGGTGCATGCAGAAACATGGCCCAAGCTCGAGACTTGCAATCTAATTCATGCAACCTGACAGCACGATTCAAACAAAACTGACGCTGTGGGGAGAATGACAGTGGCAAGTGCACAAACAGGTTCCCTCAACCTTGGAGAGACAAAAGGATCTCTCAATGGTGGCGCCTGGTCACTGAGACTCCACTGAGGAGGTCAGTTTTCAGGAGAGACCAGGGAGGAGGCTGAGCAGCTCCCTGGCATGATGAGATGCCCAGGCTGGCACAGCCATCAGCACACACCAAGCACAAAGCAACTACCTCCAGGAAAGGAACCAATTGCTGGAAAGTAGAACCAACTTGGAATAAGAAAATAAATTGGGTTAAGACAGGATTTTCTATAGTTCTCTGTAGCCATTGAACTTTTGACAGAAGAAAATAGAAAATACATCCAGGGCTCTTTATGAGTAACAATCAAAAGAGAAAGTGGAAAGATCCTCTGGTTAGGTTTGAGAGCTGCCCTTCCCTGGTTGGAAAAGGAAGGCTGTTAAGACCTGGCTTGTGATAGTGTGGGTCTGTTAGTTCTGGTCCCTCAATGTGAGCCTTGTATTGACAGTCTCCCAGAGCTAATGTGTCCATACCTACCTCTGAGGTTTCATTTGGATTGGTTTTTGTTTTGTTTTCTTTTCTTTTCTAGAGACAGAGTCTCGCTCTGTCACCCAGGCTGGAGTGCAGTGGCATGATCATAGCTCACTGCATAGCCCTGACCTCCCAGGCTCAAGCAATCCTCTGGCCTCAGCCTCCTGAGTAGCTGGGACTATAGGCACATGCCACCATGACTGGCTAATTTTTTTATTTTTTGTAGAGACAGTGTCTCACTCTGTCATCCAGGCTGGAGTACAGTGGCATGATCATAGCTCACTACAGCCTCGAACTTCTGGGCTCAGAGGATCCTCCCACCTCGGCCTCCCAAAGTGTTGGGATTACAAGCATAAGCCACCATGCCTAGCCTTCATTTGGATTTTAAGATTATTTAGTGTAAGAAAGAATCAATTTGGTTTTCTAACGTTTTCTGATTTGACCAAATATCAGAACAAGGTAGAATAGCAAATTCCTTGAAAAAGCAGGCAAGCAAACAAAAATCCTAGAAAGTACTAATGAGTTCACAGAACTCCATGGGGAAGAGAAAGCATCTATTCCCACAGACAGGCTTTTGCATCTTGTGCTAAAATGAATGGTTGTAGGCCGAGGTGGGTGGATCACCTGAGGTCAGGAGTTCAAGACCAGCCTGGCCAACATGGTGAAACCCCATCTCTATTAAAAATATAAAAATTAGCTGGAGGTGGTGGCGTGCGCCTGTAATCCTAGCTAATAGAGAGGCTGAGGCAGAATTCCTTGAACCTGGGAGGCAGAGGTTGCGGTAAGCTGAGATCGCACCATTGCACTCCACCCTGAGTGACAGAGTGAGACTCATGTCTCAAATAAATAAGTAAATAAATAAATAAATAATGAATGAATGAATGAATGAATGGTTGTGAGGGTCTTAGATTATCAAAGTCATGATACATAAAGTTGTCTAAGCCTCTGAAACAAATCTAACTTCTTGTTCTTGGCTAACGGCATCATATTCCTGCAAATGAGAAACAGAACCGTGTATAAGACTGTTAATGAGCTCAGTCATAAATGGTTACTTTGATAGGACAGCAATAAGGTTTCTTTTCTTTCTATAGAAATTGGGCTTTATCAAGAGGAACACAAATTGGGATTTCTGTTTGTTTGTTTAAGTTGGAAAAAAACAGCAGAAGATCAAGATGTATGTTAGACTGAATTCAATGGCGGCCAAAAATGGACTTATTTTTCCATGTTAAAATCTGTCCTCAGACAGACACACCTAAATAAACTCCAACTGGGACAAGGAGGCACAGATCCAGGTACATGGGGTCTAACAGACATAAAACCACAGGCCTCTGCTGTGACCCTCGGAGAGGACACGTGGAAAGCTAAAACTGGCGCCACGGCGGTGATCACTGGGGTGCGCAGCCTGCCTGACCCATCTTTATAACTTAGCACCTCGTCCGGGGCCAGGCTTTGAGCCAGCATCCAATAAATGTTTGCTAAGTAAAACCAGCAGCAAATGAACCCCCCTACCCTCTAATGGCATCGAGGATTGCTGAGGCCTTCACACATCTGGAACTTCTATCTCTGCTTTTATCCTTACTGAGCTGATTTTTCTCCCTCCACCTCCCCTGACACCTCTGACCCACTCTCCACCATTCTCTGCCCTGCTCAGTGCTGCAGAAGACTAAGCCCTCCAGGCAATACTGCCCAGGCCAATGGAGGCACCAGAAGGAGGCTGCACCCTACTCAGCTCCAGCTCCCACAGGATCTGCTAACACTGTTTTGCCTCCATCCCTGCAGCAGCTCCCCACCACTGCCTACCCAGTCCCCGGGTACCTCAACACCCTCTGTTGGTTCCCTTGTCCCCATGCACACCCTGTAAGTAGCCTCTTCATGAGACTCTTTTCCAGTGGGTCATTGAAGGTGAGTTGTTTTCGGATGGGATGCAGATTAAAGCACTCACGATCCATCTGCCCAAACACACCCCCACTTCCCATTCCTCTGTGAACATTCTATGGACCCCTCCAGGTCTGGCCCTAGCGCCACTGGTCACAAAGGCTTCCCTGAATCCCCAGTTGAGAGGCTGCCCCATTCTCCTCACTTATCCTAAAACATTTGGACTCCGCCCCTATATTCCGTTCACTACTCCTCTCGCAAGAGTTACGTGCTGTCTATTTTAGGTGGGGACTTTGTCTTACTCATCTCTGAATTACACTGAGTGACGAGCCCAAAGCCTGGCAAACAAATGGTGCTGCAGATTTTACTTCAAACAACAACAGGCAAAGCCAACAAACACTCTGAACAGTGTTCAATGAAAAGCAACGTACTTAAAAACAAGGGATGAATATCTACAACACAGAGAAAGCAATCATTAAAAGACAAACAGCCCCACTGAAAAAATGGGCAAAGAATATAAATAAGCAATTCAGAGAAGGATTAAAATGCCTAATAAATAAAGAGACACTTAACTTTATTTACTCATTTATTTTGAGACAGGGTCTCGCTCTGTCGTCCAGGCTGGAGTGCGGTGATGTGGTCTTGGCTCACTGACTCCTCAACCTCCTGGGCTCAAGGAATTCTCCCACCTCATCCTCCCCAGTAGCTGGGACCACAGGCGTACACCACCACACTTGGCTAATTTTTTTTTTTTTTTTTTTGTAGAGTCAGGAACTTGCCATCTTGCCCAGGCTGGTCTCGAACTCCTGGGCTGAAATGATCCTCCAGCCTCAGCCTCCCAAAGTGCTGGGACTACAAGTGTGAGCCACTGTGCTGGCCAAGCAACATTTAACTTGAATAACAATGAGGGAAAAGAAGCATATTAAAACAACCACCAGATCTCATTTGTCACCTATAAGAACTGGCAAATATGACAATTGGTCATCACTACACAAAATCGGTGGGGCCCACACACACTTCTGGGGGCAGTGTCAACTGGCACTATCTGTTGGGAGAGCCATGGCCAACATCTAACACAATGTAACTTGCACACATACATTGACTCAGCAGGTCCCCTCTCTGGAGTCAGACTATTCGGGTTCAAATCTTGGCTCTGGCACCTACAAGTTGTGTAACTGGGAAAAAGTTACTTAACCTCTCTGTGCTTTTGTTTCCACATCTGTAAAATGAGGGTAATAATAACACCTACCCCATAGAGTTTCTAAGATTAAATGAGTCAATACAAGGAAAGCACATGAAAAGTTACTTGGTACACAGTAAGGGCCAGCAATCACCATTTATTATTATAACTAGTATTTGTTTTGTTCTTATGGATCCTACAGAAATTCTCACAAGTGCAGAGTCATGAATAAGGATAACCACTGCAACACTGCTTATAACAGAAAAAAACTGGAGGCAAATCAAAGGAACATTCACAGGTGTGGTATAACAAAACATGTTGCATCTCTAAAATGCCATAAAACTATTTAAAAAGAATGAGGTAGGTCTCTATGTACGAGCATGGGAAGATTCCCAAGACGTCCCACTGTTAGTGAAGAAAACCTAGGTAGGTCCAAAAAAAAAAACATGTTTAGTGTGATTCCATTTATATTAAAAAAAAAAAAAACAACAAAAATTCTTTTTGTGTGTATATGCGCACGTATCTGTCTGTTAAGGCACAGAAACAGGACACATATACTAATGTGTGAACAGTGGTGACATCTCAGGGAAGGAGTAAATCAGGGATCGGATGAGGGGAGGAAGGAGATTTTGGATTTTGCTTTGTACACCTGCACTGTGTGAATTCTTTACAATGGGGGAGCATTTATATAATACTCTAAATTTATAAATTTATATGCAATGTATAATTTTTTAAATAAAAATGCTCGATAAAATCCTAATGAGTTGAACTGAACAGATGTTACCAAGTGTGGACCCTCTGCAAGGCTGGTGATGCCGGACGGGAGATGCAGGTAGGTGGGATGAGACGCCATAACCAGGGACCCAGGGCATGTGGGGCGGGGAAGCAGCGCAGTGGCAGAGCCTCTTCCACCTCCCTGCACGGTCCTGACCTTCCACAGCAGCTGCAGCACTATCCACCTCCCCACGCAGTGATAAAGAACTCACTGACCTAAACGTCAGGAAAGAATGACACAAATGATGGGCCAGCTACGCCAAGGTACACTGAGCAGCCATTACAAGTTACGCCATAGAAGACTTATTGACGTGGGAGGTACAAGTTGCAAAAGTAGACAATCCTATTTGTATAAGACATTGGTGAATATATGTGTGTGCGTGTGTGTGTGTGTCTGTGTGTCTGTGTGTGTGTGCATGCATACCTACACAGGTTGAATATCCCTAACCTGAAAATCTAAAATACTCCAAAATCCAACAGGACACTCAAAGCATTTCCAATTTCAGATTTTCAGGTTAGAGATGCTCAACAAGTGAACATAACACAAATATTTCAAAATCTAAAATAATTGGAACTCCAAAACATTTCTTTTCCCAAGCATCTCAGATACAGGATATTCAACCTGCATATGAGTGTGCACGCACACACTCAGACACAGAATCACAAAACAAAAAGTCATGGCCCAAAGTGTCAACAGTGATTATTTTGGGGTGGTGGGACTATGGGTGATTTTTATGGTTTTCTTGTTCTTTTCTGTATTGCAAAAATATTCTGTATCCACATATCCTTTCTGTATTATACTGAGAGGAATCAAGTAGTGTAAACAGTCTTATAACCAGGCCATGCTACCCTCTATGCAACTGTGGGTCCCCCTCCAGCCTCTTCTCTCCTCTTGGGATCTGGTTCTACTGTGTTCCACTTGCCTCCCAGCAGGCAGGAAACACAGGGTTCTGGTAGGCAGAAAGGAGGGTATCCAAGAAAGGTTCCCTGACCTTCAGACTCTTAGACTCTACATCAAGAATGTTGCCTTCATTCCTGCATAGATAAGCCTTTGAACTGAGCTCCAGGCCAGAGCCCTGATAAGGAGGGGAGGATCCCATAGTACAGGAGGACTTCTTCACAGGTCCCTTCTGCCCCAACCCTCCATCTGCCTGGACTGCACCCCTCTGCCCTAGCCACTTAGAAAGCCCCAAGCCAAGCTCCGTGGCGGCTCACATGCCACCTGCTCCTTGTAGCCTTTCCTAATAGACACAGACTCTGTCTATGAGGAAGGCCTGGAATGCAAGTTGCCCAGGTTGAAAGCCTTGCTCTGACCCTTACTACTATAGCAGGTTACTCAGCCTCTGTGGGTCTCAGTTTGCTCATCTGTGTAATGGGATTAATAGTACGGTTCTGGGGGCAATCATCAGCAGTGCCTGGCAGACAGCCAAGACTGACATAGGAGTGGCTGGCGGCAGTCATGGTGGGGTACTGGAATCCGAGGACCCAGTTGCTATTCTAAGGACAGTCACGTGTGGGGACAGAGAGGCTGAGTACAGGCACGAGCCAGACTGCTTCTTTACAGAAAATAAACCTTCCACAGGACAGGCTCCACCAAGGCCGCAGGACACACCCATGCCTCCTGTCCTCAGTCCTCCTTCCCACTTTCCCTCCCTCCCTCTTCTGTGGCTTCCCCGGTCCTCTTTTTCTGGCTTCCTTTCCTCTTGTTCTTCTGCCCACCAAGGAGCAAGATGCTCGTTCTGAGCTTCAGAGAACACCAGGCTAGGATGCTAGGTGTGTCCAGACTTGCCGGTTCTGCCTCGGAGTAGCCACGTGGCACAGATGACTGAACATCTGCCTTGGCCTTGAGAGCAGAGTCCCTGCAGGTGACACTGGAATCACTCAGCAAGACTCAGTCCCAGGAAACACAGAACCCAAAAGCAAGGTACCAAGAGATGTCAAAGGGTGGAAAGCATAAGCGATATTTGACTATACAGAAACATCACAAATATTTGCTGCTCACAAACCTGCTAGAGCTCAGCAGAAGTGAAGATAACAAGGTCAGCATTTTCTCCATACTCACGCTTAAGGATGATTTGCCTTTGGTGAATGGAATCAGGACATCACAGGTCCTGATATAAAAAATTCTAACAATTTCTCATTCACTAAACCTTCTCAGTGCCAGGAACTGCACTAGGGCCTCAGGAAGCAAAATGAGTCACGTAAAGACGCAGACTATGAGACGCTGTGGTCCAGAGGGTCTAGCGGGGAGAGAGACACCCCGCACGCCATGGCCGAGCCCCTCCGTGGAGCTCGGAGAGGACAGGGCTGCAGGCAGGTCAGGAAGCAGCACTTTGGCTAATGCCAAAGAAGGGCAGGGCCCGGGTAGACCACACAAGGAAGGGGCCCCCAGGTTAAAACGACAGCAACAGATAGGTGCAGAAGAAAGAAAAAGCATATGGAAAGTGTCCTGAATGTCAAAGGCCCGGACTTCATGAAGATGCGTGTGGTAAAAGTGAAGGGTTCTGGGTGAGCACAGAGCAGTGGGGCTCTGAAGAATCCTACGGATGGCCGTGTGGGAAATGGCCTGGAAGGGAGGCAGGGAAGCCAGTGAGGCAGTCACCAGGACACTCACCACCAGTGAGAGTATGAGTGAGCAGGCCCGGCCTCGGCTGTGGCCATGGGCTGGGTGGCAGGGGAGAAAGACCCAGAGGCTGGTCGGACAGGGCTGTGGTCGGTGCATGCAGAGGCTGGTGGGAGGAATCCAGAGAGACATCTGGTTTCCCATCTGGAGGACGGGGTACAAGATAGGTGAGCAGAACGGTGTGGGGCACAGGAGCACCTCCATGCAGCCTTCTACTAGACAGGGAACAGCAGGCCTGACCTCTGGTGGGAGGGCCCTTATCCAACACGAGGCAGCCCCTCCCTTCCCCTCCACCACCTTCCCAGATCTCCACCCAGGGAAGAGTCCGGCAATGATCAGGGAGGTGAACTTGGGCCTTTTGAAGGCAAGAAGGAAGCTCTTGTAAGTGACCACTGCTGGGGTCCTCCCAGGGGGACAGTCCAGGAAGGGGGACAGGACCTTCTTAGACTGTCCGCCTGTGGCAAGCCCAGCAGTGGTCATCTCAAGGTGATCTGCTTAAATGATCACAGGAGATATGTCTGAGAGTTGTCATCAGGGTGTTTGAAACCAAAGCGGGAAAGTCTGGAAGTCCAGGTTCCTTGCAGGAACGTGAGTGATGCCATTACCCACTGATGGATTCCCCCCAGGGCGGTCTGGCTGATCACTCAGAGCTTCGGTAGTCTGCTCCATTTGGGCTGTTTCTGCCCACTCTCACTGAGAAGATGGATTTTCCCAACAAGGACTCTAGAAGTGATGGATGCTGGCCGGTGGCAGAAATACAAGAGCCCCCGAGGAAGATTAGAGAACTAACAGTGACAGCCTCTTCCCAGCCCAATTCAGTAAATGGGTCCATGTGCGGCTGGGCAGAGCCACAGGTCGGGCGTGGCTGCGGGGCCCTGTGGAGCGCAGCTTGTTTATGCCCAAGCAGCCAAGGCAAGACAATGAGACTTTCTTCCTTTCCACGGTGCCCCTGTCTTGACACTGAGGGCATTGATGGGCTGGTTGCCATGGGAACCCTAGGCTGCTGATCCCATCCCATGGAGCGTGAGGCTCCTGACAGCTGATGGCTATTCATCCCCCTTCCTTGCAGGACTAGACAGGGGGCCTTGCGCCTGCTGCTGGGTCCTCCAGATGCTCAAAGGGCAGAGGCACAAGGACATCAGGAAAAACCACAGCTTGATGGGATGATGGGACCCGCAGGGTGTGAAGCATCCACAGTGAGCTCCAGGGCACCAGTGGGGCCTCCAGGGCACTAGTGGGGCCTTCAGGGGACACAGGGCTCTCAGATCAGTGTGGAGCTGACCTGGCCAAGAGGCAAACTACAGCATCACAAAGAGGGTGTCCTCATGTACAAGTACGTACGTGGCAGGGCCTATCGAGTGACTCCAAAAAGCAAACGATTGGGATGAGAAAGCGATGGTGGGGGTGGTTCAATAAATGACACTTAAACAAAGCGCAGGTGCCTGGCCTTGGTCCCTCACAAAGACTCATAACCAAGAGTCTCTTAAGACTCTTGCAAGGCAGGGGCCACATTTTCTTATCTCTAAGTGCCCAGGCCAGTGAGAGCACACAGCAATACTCGCTGAATAAATGAACGCACGTCTGCCGGCCACCACAGAGGTGGCAGAATCGGAACTAACCTTAGAGAGCAGCCAGAGGCCTAACTTTGGGCTGACTCACCCAGGAAGCCCAGAGCCCAGTGTCAGAAACAGGCAAGCCAGCAGGCAACGTCCAGGTGGCAGGGGGCCTGGGGGCCCAGACGAAGGGTACATCCGGCGGGCTGGGGAAATCGGGGTGAGTCGGCTGATGGAACTGACAGTGCAGCAGAACTTGGAAGGCTGAGGGGCGAATCTGGTGACGGGTGGGAAGGCTGAGGGGCGAACCTGGTGACGGGTGGGAAGGCTGAGGGGCGAACCTGGTGACGGGTGGGAAGGCTGAGGGGCGAACCTGGTGACAGGTAAAGCCGTTCTGGGCAGGAAGAACAACAGAAGCAAAGCCTGAAAGGAAGCAAAAGCATGAAGATGGGGGATGGGCAGAGCTGCAGCTACAGCCAGGGCTCGAGGCGGTGGGGTGGGGCAGGAGGAGGCCCTGAGGCAGGTAGAGGCCACAGAGGCCACAGCCTGTGCTGGGCGGTGGCAGGGGCAATGCAGGGAGCCTGAGAGCCATTCAGGAGACAGTGAGACAGGCTTGGGGGAGCACGGGAGCAGGAGGAGGCGATGGTGACCTCTAGGCCTCCAGCTCTGCCACTAAGGTAGACAGGGGTCTCTTCTTGTAGACAGGGACCCACACGAGGAGGAGGTTTCAGCAAAAGATGATTAGTCCAGCTGATAAATGTGCAGCTTGAGTGACTGAAATGTGAGTGACTCAAATGTGTAGTTTGAGTGGCTTCCTAGAAGGACTGGAGGGCTTTTCTTTTTCCCTCCAATAGAGAGAGGTGTGAGTGGTTCCAATGCTGATGAGCAGGAGCCAGTACAGATTCCCCGAGACAGAGCCATGCTGGTGTGCAGCCCTTTGAGTCTGTGCGCGTTCACGCACACGCATGTGCACGCACCCGGTGGACAGAGGGAGAAACGGCGGCTGGTGGGGTCTCCGGAGGTTGCTATGCCTCTTGTCTGTTCATTCTGGCAGAAGCCGAAAGGCTTTTCTGTCTGATGATTTACCTTTGTCTGGGAAGCAGGTACGAGGTGACAGCAGTAGAAGGTGAGTCAGAGGGTGTGGGGTCCGGCCCTGGCCTGTCAGTCACTGGTTTGTCAGAAGGTACCTGGGTCTAAGGCCTCATCACCATTAACCAGGCCTGGTGACACCTCCCTGCAGGGCTGGTGAGGGCCTTCGGAGCAATAGTCAGGAGAAACATCAGCTGGTGGGAGCAAGACCAGGGCTTCTGGTCGGTGGCAAGGCCAAGACCCAGTCCCAGGAGCCAGGAGGAGGCCAGCCACCCAGGGCAAGTACAACCCGGAAGCCCTCCCAGGGCAGGGTGAAAGGAGGAGGAGAGGTGTCGGCAGCCTGGCTGAGCTGCAGAAGATCAGAGGAACTACTTTCTAGATGCCACAATCTGTGTAGAGGCTCAGAGATCCAAAAAAGCTCAGGACGTTCCCAGCCGGCATGCAGTTGGCGGACACTGGAGAACAGGGTCTGGACAGCCCTGAGTGTCCCTGTCACCACCCAAAGCTCAAAGCCGGCAGGAGTATCAGGCGGTGTCCCAGCCTCCCCCAGCCCATCGACAGCTCCGTGTTTCTCATTTGCTTCCCTGGTTTCCGCCCAGAGAAACTCAAGCCTTTCTAATGGTCCAGTCAGCTGAGCCACCTGCTCAGTCCTGATTCTGAGTCTGCTCCTGATTCTGAGTCTGCCCCTGCACCTGCTCAGTCCTGATTCTGAGTCTGCCCTGGATGCTGCCTTCTGGAGCTTTTCTGGCTCCAGAGATGGCAGCTGGCTCGGCTTTGATCACCACTCCCCGCACCAGCTCCAATGACTCAGGAGGGCAGTCCGGTCAATTAAACTCCTGCCCACTTAAAGGCATCACCATCCGGGTGAAGACGTCAGATAGGAGGGTTAAGACAATGAGCTTCACAACCCTCATCTTGCCTCTGTCCCTCAGTTCACACCCAGAACCTCTCGCAGGCCAGCCGCGCACAGCCAGTCCAGCTTGGCTCAGAGCATAAAACCAAGACAGCCTTAGACCGAAAACCAATCCCAGAGAACTAGGTCACAGGTGACTGCTCTTCCGGGTCTCCCCTTGTCCCTACCAAACCCCTGACGCTGTGGCTGGAACAAGTTCTGGCCCATCATTTTAACACCTGGTTAAGGCTTCGGCTTGTTTTTCATTGCAAGAACAAGTTGTCTGCAGCATGACAATTTTCCTCTGCTGACAAATGAATCGTGCAGGCTCACCTGAAATTCTGGGCCAGGTATGTCCTGCTCAGTAGCTATTTTAAGTAAAACTATTTAAGGCAAGTTCAAGATCATTTAAGGCTCTTAGATCTTTTAGGGCCCTGGCAGCCAGCCTGCCTTTTTATGTTCAGACTCAGAAGCAACAAATTAGCTCAATACCCCAGGCAAAGCAAAAACCCAAGGGAAAGCATGGCATCCAAGAACCACCCTTAAGATAAACATCATTTCCAAGAGCAGCAGACGCTGAGCTGTTGTGATTTGGTATGTGGAGAATACCTTGCTGCCATCCTCTCCACACAAGCAACTTGTCTTTTCTGAGTCACAATGTCAAAGGTGACAATGCACACAGGTTAGAGCGAGGGTGACTGGAAGGAGAAAGAAGCAGGGGAGAAGGGAAGGGTTCCTGGGCTCCGTGTCCAGCTCTGTCCAAACGCCCATGCGACCTGCAGCCAGACATTCTGTTTCTCTGTCACCATTTCCTTGACAAGTGGATCGGCCCAGTCTGGACATCTAAAGTAGGGACTTCTTAACATGGGCCTGCAGGCACCTGCCTCCAGCGGTGGGCTTCAGATGGTCCAGAAGCACCATGCGGTAGGTGTACCATGTGCATCTCCCTTTTCTTTTTTCTCTCTTCAATGTTTTATGTGTATCTGTGTATATGTCTATGTATATAGGTATATGCGTCAATATACGTGTGTTTATATATTATACGTGTGTATATATACACACTTGTACACATCACCACATGTAATATACCCTGATACAAAGAAAAAAAGTACAAAATGTCTAGGCACAATTTTGTATATAATCCACGTATGTTTATACATACACACACCCACACACATAAGCGTGTGTTGTAAAGCAGTACACTGCAGATAAAGTTTGAAGTTCCTCTCCCCTCCCTCCCTTCTTGGAGGTCATTGCTAACTAGAATTTGATGCAGATCCTTACAGCCCACACTTTTATACTTTTACTACATCTATAAGCATCCATAATTAATACAGTATTGCTTTGTGCTTTGTTTTTGCTTGTTTTTGTTTTTGTTTTGAGACAGAGTTTCACTCTACTCGTCGGCCAGACTGGAGTGCAGTCCTGTTCATCTCAGCTCACTGCAACCTCCACCTCCCAGGTTCAAGCCATTCTCCTGCCTCAGCCTCCTGAGTAGCTGGCATTACAGGCGTGCACCACCACGCCCAGCTAATTTTCATATTTTTTTAGTAGAGACAGGGTTTCACCATGTTGGCCAGGCTGGTCTCGAACTCCTGACCTCAGATGATCCACCCGCCTCTGCCTCCCAAAGTGCTGGGATTACAGGCGTGAGCCACCACGCCCGGCCTGCTTTGTGTGTTTCTTAACGTTTACATGAATATGATCACATTGGACACCTACAATTTGCCTTTTTTCTCTCTCAACACTATTTGAGAGATGTATCTGTGTAGATATAGATCTGGTTTATTCATTTCTAACCACTGTAGAGTCTTGCATGGTGTGACTATTTTGATTTAGTTCTCTATTCTACTTCAGGGAAGGTGGGTTTTCCTTCATTTAAAAAAACGCCTGCATGGACATTCTTATACAAGTCTCTTTGTGCACACGTGGGAGAGTTCTTCCAGGATATGTCTGGCTGTGGACTAGCAAGTCCAGCCTCACCGTGTATCGCCAAATTGCTCTCCAAACGATACCAATCTCCACCAGCAGCATCTGAAAGTTCCCATTGCTCTATATCCTTGCCAGCACGTGATGCTAACACTCTTCCGTGTCGGGAAATCCAATAGGTGTGAAATGGTATCTCATCGTTGCCTAAATTGCAGTGCTCCAATAACCCCCAGCGAACTTGAGTGAAGCTGGGCATCATTTCTTATGTTTACTGGTCATTTGGATTTCTCTTCATTGACTTCTCCATTCATAAACTTCCCCATTTTTCTACCTGGCGTGTATCTTTTTTTCTTAGTGATTTATAGTTTTCAAAATAATCTGTGTACTAATGTATTTGTTATATATTGTAAATACTTTCCTGGTCTATTCTTGCTTTTTAACTCTGTTAGGATGCCTTTGTTTACATAGAATTTTTATCTTAATGTATCAGTCTCTTCATTTTGAAATTTATTTTCATAACTTGTGTAGGGACTCCTTTCCCGGTGTGACAAAGGTATTCCACTGCAGCTCTTTCTAAAGTTTTATATACAGTCTTTAATCCCATCTGGAATGTACTGTTGTGTAATGTGAGGATCTAATTGTTTTTCCATGGGGAGAGCCTGTTCTCCCAGCACCATTTAGTAAATAGCCCATCCTTCCCCATCTATTTGTAACTCTTCAGCTCACACATACAAGTTCCCACACATGCTTGGGTTTGAGTTGACTCTACTGCTGGACTGTCGTTACCACAACTCCCCTCCTCCTCTTCTTTCCCAGAGTTGTCTGAGGTATTCCTGGACCTTACTCTTCCATATGAATTTTATAATTCATTTGTGTGATTTCATATTCCACATTAAATCTTGTCACAGCTTAAACTAGATTACATTGAATTTGCAGATTAAATTGGGGCAACTATGAGAGCCAGCCCTCCCATGCATGAACACAACGCATCTCTCCATTTATTTAAATTTTTTTTTTTTTTTTTTTTTTTGAGACGGAGTTTCACTCTTGTCGCCCAGGCTGGAGTGCAATGGTGCGGTCTCGGTTCACTGCAACCTCCGCCTCCCAGGTTCAAGCTATTTTCCTGCCTCAACCTCCCAAGTAGCTGGGATTACCGGCATGTGTCACCAAGCCCAGCTAATTTTTGTATTTTTAGTAGAGACAGGGTTTCTCCATGTTGGTCTGGCTGGTCTCGAACTCCTGACCTCAGGTGATCCGCCTGCCTCAGCCTCCCAAAGTGCTGGGATGAGCCACCATGCCCAGCCTAAACTTTCTTTTCTCAGTCCTTCTTCTAAATATTTTATGTTTCTCTATAAAAGTCTCACCTTTTTAAAAGACCTATTTCAACGTATCTAACAGCTTTTATGCAAGAATGAAGAATGGTTTCTTTCGTCTTCTCAGATGTGCTGCCATGCAGGTGGCTGTTGCTGATCAACTCCCTTATTAGCTCCAGGGGTTAATCTCCAGGCTCTTTTGGATTATCCATGTAGTTATGTCATCTGCCGATAATGACATTGGACACTTCCACATTTTTATTCCCTTTGAAATCCTGTGGTGTTACCTGGACTGATGAGTAGAGGGACAAAGAGAGGCTGTCTTGTCTTGTCCCTGGTGATGCATATTTTACAATGGAGAGGATCCACAGCCTTTATCAGGTGCTGAAAGGGAGCCATGACACAAGAAAGGTGAATAACCACCAGTCTAAATTACCTCTGGGCCATGTGAAATAAACTGAATCCAGTTATTAGTTGTATGGAAGAAAGTAAAACAAGCAAGAACCTTGAGCACAGCGACTATCTGGGAGAAAACCAGGGCTGCGATTCAGGCAAGTACAGAACATAACACTAATTGCCCATTAAGGGCTTGGAGAAAGAGTTTCACAAAGGAGACCTCAGAACAGAGAATACGGCAGAAGCAAATGAGCAGGGATGGAACTGTCAGAGGTGACATATGCGTACCATGTGAACACAAACAGCTTCCTTCCCTTACTTCACCCCCATTTACTCATCTGTAAGTCAAAGCTAATAATATCTACATCTTATTTATGAGTCACAAATTCTCCTGGCTGAAAAAAAGGCAAATAAGGTTTTCAAAGAGTTCTTATTGAGTGGGTAGAGGCTCAAATGCTCCAGGCCTTTTCCACATTAGCAGTGCACTTAGAGGGGGGAAAGAAAAGCTCGTTTTGGAATAAAGAGTAATAGGCCCTCCGTGAGTAATCACACACAAGCCTCTGAGACAGCTCCTATCCCCAACCAGCTAATCTCTGTTAGTGAATGTCACCGCAGTGCCACTGCCAGCACCATGCCTGAGTGACCGGGCTGCGTGGCATTCATGCTGGCTGCACTAGACAGAGCTGGGGAGACCCCGATTAACTCCCCAGAATATCCTGGGTACGGAGTGTGCATCGGGGCGAATCTTCTCTCCCATCCGCAAAACCAGGAGAGCAGACTGCACTAAGAACTCAGTGAGCCTGACAGAGGTTGTCTCAAAGGGGCGGCATGGCCAAGGGTTAGGCATTTTTATTCCCACAGATAGAAATTTCCGGGGAGAGTTACCTGTGCCTCTCTGCCTCTCTCTTGCAGTGTGAGCTCACAGCTCAATTTCAGCTCCATTCTGCTCATTTAATTTTAGAATCCCAAAACCCAGGCACTTTGTAATTTATCGCGTAGTTTAAGAGTCACTTTTAGCTGAAGACAAATTGCTGGGCCACCTGGGCACAGCAGCGAAGTGTGGCAGGAGCCAGGGGCACTACGCAAACATGAGGAACACCTTCTTCAGCCTGGACAATCAGCCAGGGAGAGTCAAGAACTACAGAGACAAACGAAGTCAGTGCTACCCGACGGCAAAATCTGAAATCACAGGATGTTTGGAGGGCCTTGAGTGGTTAAAAAAACTAAATATCTATATGGATATACATGTGCGTATATGTATGTGTGTATATGTGTATATATGTAACATTTTATATATATATATGCATATATTTAAAAGGTCTCCAAAGATGTGCTAGCATTCTTTCAGTAAACTCGAACCTGCCTTGTGAAGATTCCTTCATTCGAATGGTGGAATCCACCCCTCCAGCCACACACCTAATAGTACATCAACGTGGGGCTTGGGATGCAGAACTAATGTCATTTCTATCAATCAGGGACGCCACCACACCTTGCTGGCTTCTGCCACGGATAACGATGAAACTACATTTAACACTGCCTGGCACTAAGGTTTAGAGTTATGAGTCGGTGCTTCCCTGTCACTTCACTTAACCCTCTGAGTGTGTAGTTTGTAGATTTGTTAACTGCACTGAGAGGTCCCCTGGTGTGACCTCAAAATAACGGCCTCTCCAGGAGCCATAAACATGGATCAACCCCAACTCACCGCCCCTCAGCCCGGTAGCTGGTTGAGAGAGGAAAAAGGGACCCGCCGGGAGGTCCTTTGAGGGTAATGCCGCCTTTGTGCCCAGGGCGTGGCCTGCTTGCTCACTGACAGAAGAGGGGACAGCCGAGGGCTGCGGGGCTGGGAGGGCCCCGTGGGGGCCGGTGAGGGTCAGGCCCCGGTCCAGGCTCTGTGGCAACGCAGCATTAGATCTTTCCGACAACCCAGCGGTGTAGACATTGCCACTGACTGCAAAGGAGCTTGTCAGGGGAGCGACTTGCCAAAGGTCACACCGCTCGGCCATCAGAACCGCGGCAGAAGCCCCCACACAAAGCGCCCTCCCTCCGCTCCTGGAGAGGTTTTAAACCCAGGACCCCCGGCCCTGCGCTGTCCCAAGGCCTCTCCGACGGCGGCCGGGCTCCAGGGTGCAGGCTCCCGGCCATCTACCCCCGGGAGCCGCGGACACCGAGGGAGCGCGAGTCCCCGAGACGCCGGGCCACGCTCATGTCACCCAAGCAGCGGCCGCGGCCGCCTTGGCGCGCGCACCGGGTCCGGAGCTCGCGCCGCCCGTCGAGGGCAGAGGGGCCGCTCCCCCGCGGGGGAGAGCCGGGTGGGCGCCCAGGACCCAGCGGCGGACGGCGCGCGACGCCTGAGGCAGCCCAGACTCCCCCGGAGCCCGGCAGGTGTCCGCGCCGCCCCGGCTTCTGAGGCCACACTTCCGAGCGCGGGGTTGGGCGGCACTGCCGGGGGACTTGCGGTCGGCGCGCCGGACCTGCGTGGGCGCCCACGCGGGACCCCAGTCCCCCCCACCCCGCCGAGTGTCCCGCGCGCGCCCCCCCGGGCGACACCCCCCCCCGCAGGGCGCCCCGGCCGCCCGCCGTCCCCAAGCGGTCCCGGAGCCTTCCCACGCGCGCGCGGGGCCGGGGCCGGGCGGACAGGACTGCGGAGGCGCCCCCCTCGCGCGCGCCGGAGGCCGCCGGGAAAGTTTTGGGCGCGCGGGGCCGGCCGCACTCACCTGGCCCAAGTTGAGGTACCCGTGCGCCGCCGCCACGCGGTCCGCCTCGGCCGGGCCGCCCAGCACTTGCACCGCCCAGTGGTTGGTGTAGACGGGGCGCGGCGGGGGCGCGGAGCAGGCGGCAGGCAGCGCCAGCAGCAGCAGCCAGCGCCAGGGACGCGGCGCGAGCGGCCGGAACCCGGGCCCGCCGGCGCCCCCCGCGCCCCCCGCGCCCCCCGCGCCCGCGGCGGTGTCGGTGGCGGCGGCGGCCCGGGGCGGCGGCCGGGGCCCGGGCGCAGGCGGCGCGCGCGGAGGCATAGCGGCGACAGGCTCGCGCGGCGCCCGAGCTGCGAGTGCGCCGGGGGGTGGAGTGCCGCCTTTTAAAGCCGCTCCGCGCCGGGGAAGCGCCGCCGCCGCCGCCACCGCCGCCGCCAACACCGCCGCGGGCGGGAGCCGGGGAGGAGGAGGCGGCCGCGGCGCGTTCCCGCCCCCGGGCCCGCGCTCCTGCGACCGGGCTCCGGGGCCGAGAGCCGTCCGGGAGGCCCGAAACGCCCCCCACCGGGGGAACTTCCCCGCCGACTTCTGGGGCTCTCGGGACGCGGTGCCGCCCCAGAGGCGTCCTCGGCCCGCGAGTTCTGCTGGGAGCGGGGAGGCCCCGGCGTCTCAGGTGAGTCCCCGGTTCCCTAGACCGGCCGGACACCCGAAGGCCGCACTCACCTGGCGGGGGCCTCAGACGCCTGGCGGCCTCGCCCGCCTCCCTAGACGGAGGGCTCGCCCGTGTGCGGGGTCCCAGGGAGAAGAAGCTGCGGGGAAGACAGTGGGTCGCCCGGGACCAAGCCTGGCTGAAGGGACACATTGAGCGGGGCAAAGGCATGTGGCGCATCAGCCGGGCTCACGAGCGTGTACCCGAGAAACCACCGCACGGAGCCCATGGCGGAGGCCGCGGCCCATGCTGGGAGGCAGGCCGTGCAGGTGAACCCCCAGGCCGCGCAGGTGAACCCCCAGGCCGCGCAGGTGAACCCCCAGGCCGTGCAGGTGAACCCCCAGGCCGCGCAGGTGAACCCCCAGGCCGTGCAGGTGAACCCCCAGGCCGTCCGCTTAGCCTCGCTGCGATCTTGGGCAAATGACTGTGGTGGCTGAGGGCAGGCGCCCCACCTGCAAAATGCGGGGAACAGTGGCATCTACCCCGTCGGGCTGATTTGAGGATGAGGTCAGCTTTTGCTGTACAATAAGCTGTCCGTAAACGTTCGTTTTTATGAGCCCAGGGCCTGCCGTGTGGTAGGTGTTCACTAGACGATGTACACTCTTAAAAGCACCCACTGAGCTGGGACCAGCAGTAGAAAGTCAGCTGAATCATCCTCACCCCTGCTTCCTGGAGCAGCCTGGTATCCAGTGGATAATGATTTGAAGCACCCTGGAGATGGATGGAAATGTTCACACCATAATCAAGGAATTATGAAGGGTAAGGATCGCTGCTGGATCTCTTCTGTCATCCCTCCCAGGACCCATTGGTCCTACTGGCCCACTTCCAGAAAGCAAGCCATCAACCTGCTTAATATAGGAAGTAAAACAAAAAGGTCGAGAAGGCCTTGAGGTGGGAAGGAAGCTGCTTCTCTGATGGTCAGTTCCAGGAGCGGTCTCTTGTTGAGCGTGCAGGATTCACTTGGAGTCTGTGGCTTGGCAGCTGGAGGTGAGAGGCTGGGGCGAGAGGGGATGGGCTGAGGACAGGATCTGCATAGATGGTTTCCGAGGTCCTTTCCAGCCTCGCTCTCAGGAGCCCTTTGGTTTTGTAACCCACGTGATTCATCATTTCTTCAGGTGTGAGTCACCCCTAATGGAGGTGGGAGAACAGGAGGCGTGGTGGGAGGCCCCATCCCAACAGGCCACATCCATGTTCACAAGGGCTCCTGCCAAGGGCCCATCTTGGAACCTGGAGATCAACGTCCCACATGGCCTTCGCTTTGCTACACTAGATGTAACTTCACCTCCCTGCGTTCCCCTGGCAAGTGGGGTCAGCTGCTTGGGCCGTCACTCCAGGCCTGCCCACACTGCAGAAGACAGCCACCGTGTGTCCCTCCTACAGATGGACTGGATGCTCACCAGCCCCTGCCAGTGGAGAGACATGAGGCCCTCATGCAAACTGGCAGCCCTAGAGGAGAACCGGCCATACTTGTTGGACAGAAACAGTACCCAGAACTCTCAGTCTGCCTCTGCCTGACATGGCCCTGGCTGCCTAGCCAACTGGCTTGCAGAAGAGGGACATTGGCCTGAGTCAAGGGGACGGGGTTGGAGGCATTGCATTGTCACCTAGCAGCAGTATGTCTGGGCAGCATGTGTTACCTCTCTTCCCCTTCCCCTGCTGGCCGGATGTCCCTCAGATTCATCCTGGATCTGGTGCCGTTCTTCAAATATGTGGCCTGCTTCAAGATAATGTAACTGCACATCAGCTAAATGATTATAAAGCAGCTGGTGCCTCCCAAGACGGAGCCCCCGCAACGGCAGTGATTTTGACAGGCAGAGATAAGGGTGTTTCCATAATAATGTGGTAGATTAAGGGATTCAGCCTGCTGTACTGAGGGGAGACTAAAATGCATCTGAATTTTTATTTGGAGAGATCTGAATGTATTTTACTAACAAGTCTGGTCCTTTTGGGCTGAACTTTCCATTTGTCATGGAAGTGCCCGGCAATATCTTGACTCCGATGTTGTAGGAAGACCAGCTTCCCAAAATGAACATCCTGAATCGAATCGCCTCCTGTGGGTTTCCTATTGATTCACACGGTGACGGGATTAGCTCAGTCACGGGAGTACCAGCCCTTTTCATTGTGATAGGATCTGTAATAAAACTTGGCTAGTCGTCCTGCAGGGAGGGGATTTATTACTCAGGCTCTGGCTCTCCACATGGCCCCCGAGGTCCACACAGCTCTGTGGGGAGGGAGGGGGTGCTGCTTTCCTAGATTGAGGTCTTCGAGCCTCAGGAGGGACAGGACATGGACCAGAAAGGTGATTGGAGCCTGGTCATATTTCGGAAGTTTTGTGATATTTATACTGACATCTTCTAAAATCAGAAAAGAGGAGAAGACATTGAATGATGTGTTCTCATGCCCACCACTGATCCCTTTACAGCAAGCATGGGATTATCCGGCCAGAGTCCGGGAATACCCACGCAGCCAAGACCACAGGACAGCAAGAGCCTTTGCACAGCCTTCTAGGATGTGATAAGACATACTTTGATGCAGAAATTGCCTCTGTGTAGGGAATAGACACTTTATTGAACAATTACATTTTTGGCAATATGCTAGGTTCAGCAGGCCAGACTAGCATCCCTTGAAAAATAGCTGATGGACACCACCTTCAGGATACCGGAGATGAGCGTGGACTCAAAGCCCAGCTTTGTCATTTACTCATGTGCAGCCTCAGTAAAGTTGCTTCAGTTTGCCCTACTGAAAATAATAGTAACGCTGCTGTCCCCATACAGAGGGGCTATGAGGATGACAGGAGCTGATGTGAGCAGAGCCTGGCACCCAGAGCCTGGCATGAAGTCAGCACTCCATAAATAGTGGCAACAGTGACCACTGCTGACCAGGCGCTCTCCAGTGGGATAGAGTAGTTAGGGCTGAATACTCTGACCTTCTCTGGATAAGGGCTCACTGTCCTCATCTATGCCTGGGTGCACATTTTCTCACATCTTAACATCCCCAAATCAAGAAACATCTCACAGTTGGTGTTTTGCAATCATCACTGGCCTGGACTGAAATTGAGTTCTTCCAGAGAGGGTTTGTTTTTGCTTCTGCCAGTGATCTGGGGACACAGCTCCTGAAACTCCTTGGGGATCTGCTGAATGGTGTGACCCCAGTGTGAGAACCAGCTTATGGTTCTAATGATCAGTGCAGGGCATCTCCCTATTTCTCCCTCCCCTCGCCAGGGCCAAGATAGAAACCTGATGATTCCTTGCTGTTCCTCTCCATGGTGGGTTTATTTCTCATTTTCCCCTGTACTGACAGTAGAGTCTTTATTTTCCCTCCCCTCCCCTCTCTCTCCTCTCCTCCTCCTCCTTCTCTCTCTTCCTTCCCTCCTTTCTTTCTCTTTCTTTCTTTCTCTTTCTCCTTTCCCTTCCCTTCCCTTCCCTTCTTTTCTCTTTCTTTTTCTTTTTCTTCTTCTTTCCTGAGATGGAGTTTCACTCTTGTCACCCAGGCTGGAGTGCAATGGTGCAATCTCGGCTCACTGCAACCTCTGGCGTCCGGGTTCAAGTGATTCTCTTGTCTCAACCTCCCGAGTAGCTGGGATTACAGGTGCAAGCCACCATGCCTGGCTAATTTTTGTATTTTTAGTAGAGATGGGGTTTCACCATGATAGCCAGGCTGGTCTCGAACTCCTGACCTCAGGTGATCCACCTGCCTCAGCCTCCCAAAGTGCTGAGATTACAGGCGTGAGCCACCAGGCCCAGCCAACAGTAGAGCCTTTCATTGTTCCATCTTTAGAGAGGCATCTCCTGTGAGCCTTTCATTGTTCCATCTTTAGAGAGGCATCTCCTGTGAGACTTTCCATCTTGGATGTTTTTTTTTTCTTAGTAATATGTTAAATAATGACACATCTTCCAATTGAGGGTGTATCTTAGATTTGATGACATATGATATTAATGCCTTCAAGACATATTGCAGTAAAGAAACTTGTTGAATTCTTCCAAATATATTTGCTGTGTCTGTGTATGTGTGAGTGTGGCATCTATTGATATCCTACAGAAAAGGTACAGAGAGTACAGCATTTTTCATGAAAATCTGTTGTGAATCCTCAGCAAGGTAAAGGCTTTTTCAAAGTAATTGCCTGGCTCAGTTGAATTTTCAAATACATTTCTATCGGGAGAATCCTCGGATACTTTGGGCCAGACAGCACTCAGAGGTGAGATACTGTTGGGACGTACAGTCATTCCTTAGACCTGACAGTGCTTCTTGAGCCCAGATAAACACCCAAGGTCCCCAGGAACAGGAGGTGTGATGCAGGTCGCACACAGCCAGTGGGCCTGAGACATGGAGAATCCGGGGCAGACTACACCTCTGCCTCCCACCAGCCCCTCCCACCGTCCCCAACAAACCTTTACCCAAGCCCAGGTTTCTACAAACCGGGGATTTCCCCAGCCAGGTCCTCTTCTCTCCCTTTCACGCTTTTCTTTTCTCTCCTTTTTACTCACTCCAAATCCCACTCACAGCTGCTGCCCATAGCAGTGGTGGGTCAGGGGCCTTTGCTCCCCTGCAGCTTCAGGCTCTGCGTCCTTCTGGGCTCTGCCTTCTGCTCGGTGTACACAGTTTTTCAGCGGTCTCTTCAGTATCTGCTCATTCATACTGAGCTCTACTCCCTGCTGGGGTGGGGGGACATGTGACTATCGGGGGTGGGGAGGGCATGGAGCAGCTCCCACTCTACTCTCCTCTCTGCTTAAACTCTCTTTATATCTAGATCCTAGTTTTCTTAAGAAAGAGCCCTTGAAAACTGCTTCTCCTGTGAAACGATTACCGTGGGTCTAGCAGTTATGTATCCCAGTGTTCCTTTCCTAAACTCCCATGTGGAAATTTAGTGTCAAACAGGGAATTTAGGGGCAAAAAAGCTGAAACTCCCTGAGAAGCTCTTCCTGACTAAGAATGAGAGCTTGGCAATTCATCTCGTTTCCCTTTTCACCTCAGCATCCAGGAGGCTCAGAGCCACATGTGATAGAAAAATTGTAGTTCTTTATTTCTTCTTTGTTGCAATAGGTAAGATGCCTTTGGTTACAAAATATGAGAGTGCCCAACTGAAATGAGTGCAGACAATAAGGACAATTCATTATTTTGCAAACAAGAAACTGGTATTAGTGGACCCAGGGTTGTTAATTCAGCAGCTCAGTGATGCTGGGACTCAAGGTAGCTTTTCTATACTTTACCTGCCTTTCTCCTATTCTTATATGACTGCCACAGATGGGAGGATCATATCCTCTCAAGACAGCCTCCAGGGAAGAAGCGCAGGAGCGACTTTCCATCTCTTGAATGTCTTCATCTCCCTGGGGAGGAAGCACCTAACCCTCCAGTCCACTTCCTCTCAGGCCCCACCTACCAGATCTGGGTCACAGGCCCACCCTCTGCTGCCAGGTAATCGTAGACAAGGTGAGCAGGGCGGCTCAGGTTGCTTTCGATCAGTCTTTGCTCTTCTCCTGGGGAACGCTCCCTGAGCACATTGCTGCCCCAGATTGAGCAAAACCAGGATGCTGTTAGCGAGGGGCGGCACTGTGGAGGCTGCTGGGCGAGTTCCTTGGGGGTCTACCTCTTGCTCTCTGTTTCTGTTGGATCACCTTCATATAGATTTTCTCAGGCACACAGCAGACTCCAAGCAAATATTTATCGAAAAGTGGAAAGGAAGGGAGGTAGGGAAGGAGGGAAAGGGGGGGAAGGGAAGGGAGGAGGGGAAGAACAAGAGGGAAGGGGAAGGAAGGCTCAAGTATTATTTAGAATTAATGTGTTCCACAAATTAAATACAACACAAATCAGCCTAAGCAGCGGTGACTCTGACTTTCCCCACCTTCCCTGTCCCCACGCCCGGCAGCGCAAGGATGGCGTTGCACTGTCCACAAGCCCAGCAGTGGGGTGTGCCTTTTTCCTGTGTGAAGACACCCCTTGGCTCCAGGGTGGGTTTCGGGTTTGTGGCCTAAGTGTTCTTCCCGAGTGAGAGTGAATTGGGAGCTGGGGCTCCCTCCCTAGTCCCGGCAAAGAGAGCAGAGCAGAAGACAGGATGGGAGTGGGGTCCTCGCGGCGACAAGCAGAGGAGAAGAGCTGGCAGGTTATCCCTCTCTACAAAAGTCTGGTTTTGAGAAGCTGAGCGCAGAAATACATCATGGGAAAATAGGCATTGCGGGGGACCTGCTGGGCTGTGGTGTACACGAAGTGGCCGGGCTGGGTGGGGCTGAGGAATTGCAGCTGAAGTCCTCGCCCTTTAGCTGCTCTCTTTCCTCAAGAGCACAGAAGGCACAAACACCATTGCTTCTGCACCCCCTGCCCTGTCCCTCTCCAAAGCTGCCCCTCCCTTGGTGCCCTGGTCCCCAGGGAATCCTGCCCTCTGCAGGGTCATGCTCTGGCAGTTCCCCAAACTCCTAACCCTCTAATCTTTTCCTGTCCCCAGATCCTTCCCCTTAGTTGCACGTGTGCCAGAGCTCCCCCACCCGGCTCTGAGAAGGCTTCTTACGCCTTCCTGCCCCTGCCGCCCCTTCACATCACCTCTGACCTCCTGCCTTCACTTCCCCGGGGTTCCAGGAAAGGTCACATGACGCCGCTCTTCACTCTCGGGCCTCTCCATGCCGTCCTCTCCCTCTCCCTCCACTCGGCTGGATGCAGGTGGAGAAGAAACACAGCCACCCCGGCTGCTGTCGCCTGGCAGCCATCATTACACACCTCTGGCAGTCTCTCGAAACGCCCACCCCTCCTGTCCAACTGGCGTCCTCCATACTCACCCTCAGCTGACAGCCTTGCTTCCTTCTTACCTCCTTTCTCGGAAGAGATCTTCCTCCTCCACCCACACCTGCGCCGGGCTCTGCCTCACAGCACTGCCGCAGGTGGTGGGGCCCACTGAGGACCTCCCCTCCCTCACCTGCTGGATCCCAAGCTACCCCAGCTCCCCAGAGCCGCCGCTTCACAGTATCACCCTTTCTCCTGCTGAGTTACCTCCATGCACGTACAAGCATGTGGTTATACCATCTATCTTTAAAAACCCACAGGACTCTCGCCAGCTACTCTCCCATTCTTCCCGTTTTAGCAACACAAAACTCCTCAAGCAAGTCTCCCCACCCACTATTTCAGTCTCTCCTGCACTCAAGCCCACCCACGCTGTCATCACCATCCCCCGCAGCCTGTCCGCTGCTAACTCCAGGGGGCCGTTCTCTGACCTCCTGTTGGAGGCCTTCCTGCACCTTTGACACGGCTGACACCCCTTGTCCTGGAAGCACATTCCGCTTGTGGCTGCCAAGCGGCCCCTGCTATCCTAGTTCTCCTCTCACCTGTGTGGCCGCCTCTCCTCAGTCTCCATCGCTGGTTCATTCTTAGCATCGGGGTGCCCCGAGCCCCGACTCTTGGGTGGCTTCTTTTTTGTACCCACCCTCACTCCCGCGACGCTCTCAGTCATTCTCTAACTTTAGGTGCACGTTACGTGTGGGTGACTCTCGGAGCCCGTCGCTGGCTTGGACTCCTAAACTCCAGGCGGCCGGCAGCTTCTCTCCTTGGATGTCTAAAGCACTTTACAAGCTGAGCTCCTGGTCCTCCCCGTCCCCACCACAAAACGCCCCCGCCGCCCTGCCCTGTCCCCAGCTTTCTCCATTACGGCAAATGCCAACTCCACATTTCCACTGCTCAGGCTAAAGCCTGAGGTCATGGTTAACCCCTCCCTTCACCCCAGCACACCCGTGTCTAGACTGTCATTGAGTCTGGTTGTTTCTACTTTGAAATCCGTTCAGAGTCCGGCCACTTCTCACCACGCCCCCTGCTACGTCCCTGGGCCGAGCCACCCCCACCTGTCACCTGGTGAAACTCAACAGCCTTCTAAATGCCTTCCCTGTTCTGGCCATGCCTCCTGCCATCAATCCTCAACACAGAGGATGTGTGAAAATAGAAGTCAGATCAGGCCGTTCCTCAGCTCTAAATTCCTCCATGGCTTCCAACCTCACGCAGAGAAAAATCCAAGATTTTTCTCTACCCTCCCCCAAGCACACAGTGGAGGCTGTCAGATACGAGAAGAGCATTGAACGAGATGGTTAGGGCTTCCTGGAAGAAGTGACTTTTAACCTGAATTTGAAGATATAAACAGGAGATAGCCAGACGGGTGGACCATCAGTCAGGACTAAGCAAGAAAACAGAGATCACACTGAGGATTTGCAATGCAGGGAGTTGGTGACTCAGGGATGAAGGAGCACAGTTTCTCCCACCCCTGGGTGCAGGCCTCCCTCCCCCAGCTCCAGGCAGAGGGCCCACTTGAGATCAGCACGTGCAAAGGCCCTGGTGCAGGAGGAAGCCTGGTGTGGTGGAGGAGCTAGAGGGCAGGCAGGGCAGCAGGGGCATTGGCAGTGACAGGAGGGTAGTGGGAGAGGGGATGAGAGGCACGGCCAGAGGCCAGGCTGTGACAGCTTCATCAGCCTTGGCAAGAATTTGGACTCCATCCCAAGAAGGGTGGAAAGCGGAGGAGGGGCACTCCCACAGCTCCAACCCACCTGGCCTCCAAGGCCTTCTGACCTGCACCCGCAGCCCCACGCTGTCTTCAAGAGGCCGGGAACCTTGGGTCCCACATCTTCACCTCCTTACTCAATATCTCCACTCTCTGTGGCCTCTGAAATCCAGAGCAGCCTGTTCTAACCTCCTCACCCCCACCCGGACCAGACCCTGGCCTCAAGGGCATGCTGTGGCCTTCATGCCCTGACCCAGTGTGGGCTCGGCCTGACTCCCACCTCTCACCAGTTCCCTCACCCGTCCCCAGGCTTCCCACCCTAGCCGAGGGCCCTGTCGCACTGTCTGTGGTGTTCACTTCCCAGGTGGTCTCTCTAGCTCCAGCCGCTGCCCCTCATCACCCTCCCTGCCGTCTCCAGAGTCTTGGTTCCCAGGCACTCCCATGAGACGACTTAGACCATCAGTGAGTCTTCTCAGCCAGCAGGGTGGAGATCAAACTCAGGGGCACGGCCTTTAGCAAGCTGGCACTGTTTTTCTTGCTCTTCCTGTCCCACCATAGGGCCAGTTGCTGCTCCCAGACGGACTGGCCCTTCAGGCCCGGGCACCTTAGCTTCCACTATTTCTTCCTGACTGGATTCTTCTCGGTCTCCAGGCAGAATGGCTCTCCCTGGCTGTAGGACCTTATGTTTGGGGGCCCAACTGTGATTTGTGGCCTCACTGCCAGCCCTGTGTGTGACTCACGGTGAGGCCTCAGCAGCTGTTCCCTGCACCCCCATCTAAAACAGCTCCCTGCACCCCCATTTCTCACTGGCAAGATGAAGCCTCAGACCTGGCAATCTCGCTCCACCCCTATTTAAACAAGGCAGAACCTCTGATCTGGAATGTTCCCACTGCAGCCTCTCCCAGAGCCTTGGGAAGGAGTTGGCTAATACAATGCTGGGTGGCAGGGCTGTGCCAGCAGTGCAGTGATTTTTAAAATATGTGTTAGAGCCCTGGGTTTTTCCTATAAATGAGATGGTCGGCCATCATCCTAAATGTCACTCCCTCACTATTAGGCCACAGTGATGTTCCTAAAAGAGTCAACAGTAAAGACCTGTTTGTAGGTATCTAGGAGCCGGCAGCAGACCCTGGGGACACAGGACCAAACGTAGGGAGGTTTCAACTCTGGATCTCCATCGATTCTGAGCACCTCGGTGACCGGGGTGGGCTTCAGGCTTCCTGAGCTGGGGCTACAGGAGTGCAAAGGGGTTTTATGATGAGTCCATGTATTAAATGAAATAAGGGCCCACAGAAAAGAGAAGGCTGGGACCGCAGGTGTCCAAGAAGCAAGGCACAGAGGCAAGCAGGTTCCTTCCCACACGCAGCTGAGGTCCACTCAAAAGGTGATCCTGAAGAAATTATGCTAGAATCAGCAGAGTGGGCCTCGGCTGAGTGTGGAATCCAGCCCACTACTTGCTGGCTGTGTGACCCTGGACCAGGCACCTACCCTCCTATGCTTCCGTTTTCTCTGCTGCAGAAGAGGCTGCCAATGATGCCTTCCCTTAGGGAGTGAGCCAGGCCGTAATTCAAGGCTAGGCAGCACCTGGCAGCTGGCATGCTGGCAGCAGACCTCCTGACACACGTGCCCTTGGTTTGGCAGATGCTGGCAAGGGTTGTGGTGACAGCGGACACGTGAACCACGACAGCTGGAAGGGAACAGTGGAGGGGAGGGCACTATGCTGAGTCACATTTAGACCTCACTAAAACCGAAGTGGTTCCTGTTAACTTGCTTTGGTCTATGTGGTGGATTTAGGGCTTCCAAAAATCCTCTTAAGGCTTTTTATATCCTCCTCACTATTTATAGTCTAAACTCCCCCAAATCCCCAACCCAGACAAAATCATTCCTGCTATGTTTTCTTTCGATGCCAAGCTCACCAGCAGCAGAGAACATAGCTGCATGACATGGGGCCCGATAGGCTGCTCATGCCTGTGCCCCTCCCTCCAGGAGTGAGACTTGGGAAATCCTTTACCCTCTGCAGGTTCTGTGTTTATCCTTTGCAGGGTCACCTGCCACAATGTCCAACTCCTGCCACCCACAGGAACTCCAGCAATGCTACTGATTCCCACCATCCAATATTGTGATTTTTCAAAGGTTGAAAATTTGATAAGCAAACAACACATATGTGGCCCAAATAATTTTGCATCTGGGTCTTTTCATCTGGACTGAGGCCAATGCCCTTATTCTTCTTCCTTCTCCTTCGGAGCCCTTTCTCCCTCCATCCTGTAAAAGTAATCTTTCATTAGAAATCAGCAAAGTGGAACAGTATACTCCCTCCTGAGCATGTACCAGTCACAGGTCACAGGTGATCACCACTGTCAAGAAGAAAGTCTAATTCAGTCCTCACCTTTGATAGACGGGAAGTCTGGAACCTTCTTAGTCACGGCCTCTCAGGCAGAAGATAACAGAAGACTTGCCACAGTGCATGGCAGGGCCACAAGACAGCAGGAGGGGAAGTGACACTCAAGTCCTGTCTCCTGGAATAGGCAGGGGATGGTCCAAGTGAAGTGGGATTGCTCAGGCAGGAGGAGAAGAGGCAGAGGGGCACTGTGGCTAGGGAAGAGGCTCCAGCCCTGACCACCTGGGTTCTCATCCCAGCTCGGCCACCTCCCAGCTGCCTGACCTCAGATGAGTCCATTGACCTCTCTGGGCCTCAGTTTTCCCAGCTGAGCATAAAATGGGCATATTTGTGTCCACCTTAAATGAATTAGTGTACAGTGCCTGGACCTGGGCCTGGCACTCAGACAGCATTATGTGAGAGCTGTTCTCATCAGGCCAGAGGTTTAGCAATACCTCATTGCTACTTGTAAACATGCCTGGTTCTGGAAGTGTCTGTGTGGGTGTGTCTGAGTTAACACAGACATGCCCCAGGCTGGCCAACCCCACAGGCCGGACTTGTATCTCCCCCAGCAGAGACCCCCAGGCCAGCCTCTCCTCTCCCTCCACAGCCCAGACCTAGAAGGACTGCACAGCCTGGGGACCTCAGCTCCTTCCCCTACGTGCCTGGTGAAAGGAGGGAAACAGGCAGTGAAGAAAGAAGGAGCAGAGGAGGAGACAAAAACTCACCTCTCCTGAACCCTCTGTAAGGCTTTTGCATGCATTCGTGTCTGAGCTCCTAAAGTCCGTGTCCTGTTTTACAAACAAGAAAGCCCCGATCCTCCGAGGGAGCCAGGGCTTTGCCTGAGGTCTTGTCAGGTGAACAGTTAGGGTTCTGGAATGGGTGGCTGTGAAGGCACAAGGCAAAGGCAGAGGGAGGAGCCTGGGCAGCCACCCGGCCCCATCTCTTCCTGCCACGCCGTGAGGGCATCCTCAGATAAGGACCCAGGCACAAGAACCTTGACGGGAGGGGAGAAGGACACCCCGGCTGGCCCATCCCCACGGGTCGGTAGAAACAGGAGACAGGCCCGAGGACTCCCTGGTGACCAGGGACCATCTGTGGCATCCCCCTCCAGGACTGTGCCCCGGGGAGAACCGCTCACTGGGGATCAGCAGGCTGCACTGTTGCCCCCTGGAGGATGCAGAAGGAGAGAGACACGGTGCCCGGACTCGGCAGCCCCATGATCCCAAGCTGGGAACCCCCCGGGCAGGCTTCAGACTCCTTTACTGTCTGCCTGTCACCCCCAGGCCCCTCCTGCCAGGGGGAGCTCAAGGGAGTGAGTCCCCCTGGTGGCGGGGAAGCCCGTCCTTTGGGATGGAAAAGCCCGAGGCCGCCCCAGCTCCCTGGCCACCATCGTGCAAAGGCAGCAAGGCGGACAGTCAAAGGACGTGCATCCTGCAGGGGCTTGATCCTTTTGATGCCTACTGATGAGGGGCAAGTCACTGTCTATGAAGGGTCTACAATGTCCCCAAATTCTGCCCCTAATGTCGCTTTAGAAGTCAAGCCTATCCCTGCTAGTGGCATTTAGGAGCTGAATTATATCTTCTTTTAAAAAAGAAAAAAAAAGGCTTCTCTCCAGAGAAGTATTCAGATGCCCATGAGCTCTGCCATCCAATATGAATATTCCCTTAAAAATGAAAATTATGGCGCACTTAAAAAGGAGCATGTTATGTCAGCACCGGGGATAAGACAATTTATTACTGTCTACAAAAGGAAGGCTCTAATGCCGTGGTAGAGGCTGGCTCAGCGGGCTGTAAATTATGAGCCATTCTCTGGCTGGTGGAAATAAATCCTCTTGTCACTCACTGTGCTCTCCCCTTGACAGGCCAGCAGGCCGCCGGGAGCAGGCAGAGTCAGGAATTCCATGTCCGTGACCTGAGAGCCGCACCACTCCACCTCCTGGGCCTCACTCCGCCCTATACACGCGCACACTTAATGACATCTCTGATCATGTCTTCAGGACGCATACCCTCTTTGACTTGAAAAAGTAACAACTGTTTGTGGCCTTCTCACAGGCCGAAAAGAACAAGCGGGGTCCAGTGGAGAAAGGTGAGGCATGGGAAGGCCTGGCCCGAGCACTGTGACTTCAGCGAGGCACCCTCCACCCCTCTCAGCTTTCCTGGTCTGAAAGTAGAATTTCGCCAGAGGGTGAGCCGACAGGTAGAGCTGTTTCCACCTGCGTGTGCTGCCTGTGAGCTGGGGAACTGCCCACACTGGGAGGGGTTGGGAAGCGTAGGAGGGCACCTGTCGCAGACGTTGAGGAGGGGCTGCCTTTCCCCTCCAGGGGCTGACCTCCCAGGTGATTCCCAGAGCCAGACCACAATTCCAGAATTCAGTGAAAACAGCGCCAAATCCTATTCCCTCCCGATCCCACCCTGATCCCTGCCTCTGGTAAACCGGTAAGTCTTGTTTTCCCCACCACCACCTCCCACTCACCACCTTCCTAAAGCGATCTGTGCCATCAGCCCCTACTGTGAGTACAGCCCTCTAAGCCACTCAGAGGGACTTCCTTTGGAAGCTCACTGTCGGAGACATCCTGCATGCATCCAGGTAGAGACATCATGAACAAAGAATACGGGCCGGGCACGGTGGCTCATGCCTGTAATCACAGCACTTTGGGAGGCTGAGACGGGCAGATCATGAGGTCAGGAGATCGAGACCATCCTGGCTAACACAGTGAAACCCCGTCTCTACTAAAAATACAAAAAAATTAGTCGGGCGTGGTGGCGGGCGCCTGTAGTCCCAGCTACTCGGGAGGCTGAGGCAGGAGAATGGCGTGAACCTGGGAGGCGGAGTTCCCAGTGAGACTCACCCAGTTCTCAGTGAGCTGAGATCGCGCCACTGCACTCCAGCCTGGGTGACAGAGCAAGACTCCGTCTCAAAAAAAAAAAAAAAAGTATGTATACTTGCTAGGCAGTAAGTATGATTAAATGTGTCTGCTGTGTAAGAACTTGGGATTAAATGTTTCCAAAGAATGGTTGAGGAATCAGCTGGTATGATTGCCAAATAAATACTAGATGCCCAGTTAAATTTGAATTTCAGATAAACAATGAAAACACTTTTGGTTTAAGCGTACCTCACACAAAAGTTGGGATACACTTGCACTCATAAAATTATTTTTTATTTATCTGAAATTCAAATTTACCTGAGTGTCTGTCCTGTATTATTATTTGCTAAATCTGGCAACTCTGGGTGGGCAGGAGGGTCAAATGCTCAAGCTGGGACTGGCTAGGGAAATGCATCCTTAATATTTTAAAAAGAAGTGGCAGGCACAGGTTTTGGTTGAAAAAATACAGAACATTTTCTCTTGGGGCCTGGAATCATGGCAACTTAAACCATTAAAAGTATCCTACTGATCTCAAATACAGCCCATTAGGCCTCCAGGAAGATTAAAACAACAAAATAAATAAAAGTGACAAAAGAGACAGAGGGGAGAGAGATCAAGAACTAAATGGAACATCTGATATTCATGGAAGCTGTGATAGTTCCGAAACTGCACATTCGAGAAGTTTTGCCAGCTGGTATTTCAGGAAGGGTTTGGGGGAATGGGGGAAGAGCCCTTCTGCTGGCCCATCTCTCTTCTCGTCCCAGCCTCAATCCGCTCCAAGACAGGAAGAGCAAAGGCGAGAAGGAGCCACGCCCCAGGACCGATGAGGGCTAGCAGGAATATCACATCACCCACACCATTAGTTAGGTATGCCTGGTCTTCCCCGCTCAGCTTTCTTCCCTCCTCCCGTGGTCAACCCCAGACACCTCAGCAAAATGGACAGCCATCCAAGCCAGAGGCACCCCCTCCAAGCAATTCTCATTCATTCTACTTCATCATTTTCTTTAGCATCTTATTTGTCCTTGAATTTTCTATTTTACCTTTCCTCCACTTTCTAGTTATTTTCCCCCTCCCCCAAAAATGTTTTCTGGTGGTCAGTAAGACACTTGCTCTCTCTGGAAGAACAGTGAAATCCCTGATGAGACCCAGTGTGAATTCACAGTGTCGTCATGTCTGTCCTGTGAGATTAGGCACCCATGAACCTTCCCAGCTTTGTGTGGATCGAGCAGGTAAGAACAGAACAACCATTTGCTGCTCCCAGTGCCCACGGTGAGATACACTTCAGAGGTGACAAATGGATCGTGCGGCAGCTCAGACCCCAGGCGGGAGGCCACGGGGACACCCACCACTCTTGGCACCGAGGGCTCCGCACGGTGGAGAAGATGTCGACAACCCTGTCTTCTAGGTTCAAACATCATGTCATGGAGGTAAAGGGAGAAGGCGTGAGGTTAAGGGCCTGCGAATCTGGCTTATCCAAGAACCTATTAACTGTAGTTCAATATTTACCAGCCCTTCTGAAGACATGTAGAAGAATGACAATGTTCAGACTATCAGTGTCAAGATTGTAAGGAGTCTGCCTGAGTCATGGGTTAAATGGTGCCCATGAATATTTTATTGAACTGTTTCCTAATTGTTTACAAGCTGGACATTTTTGTCAGCCATACACAGCAGTGTTGTGTGCTACCCAGAAGTTCTGACTCATCAACACTTTGTCGGGTTAGCAGAGAGCAGGCTGCACTTGCCATCTCGAACCCAGAGTTCTTTCTGTGCTGTATTATTTTGAGATTTGGTCCAGAGAAAAATGATGGATCAAGGCAGAAAAGCAGGTAACGGGCTGTCCCCAGATGCGCACATTAAAAGGCAAAGAGCTATCGAAATGTCACAAACTTTCGTTACAGCCCATCATTGGAGAGCTTTTCCAGCCGAGAGCATCCACCTTGACATCCTCCCCTCCCCAGCTCCATCAGGCACGAAGAGGCTCCTGCTGACAGACATTAGGGACACGAAGCAAACTGACACAGTGGATTAATCCTGGTGTCTGGGGAGCAGTTAGGACGTGTCATGTCAATAGGTGTCTGGGCACCTTTTAGACCAGGCCTTAATGGCCCAGCCTGGCCCTAATCGTCCCTCACATGCCACGGTTCTGCTCTTTCATCTTTGCTGTGTGTGTCCCATGAAGTCTCATTTTAAACAAGGCAGCAAGGCACAGTGACCACCGCAGAAATCCACTTCCCTCGAGGCCTTGCCACAGATGCCAGCAGCGCCACCAGCCCCCATCCCCAAAGGAAAACACAACCAAACAGTCATTAAAACGAAGAAAACCACGACCATGGTAAATTTGTCAGTGTTGGCGGAGAAGATAATGATACTGAAAATAGCCTGAAACTCTTTGTCAGATGGCTTGCATTTTTGGTCACAGGAGAACGTTTTCTATGTGACACGTGTAAGTGACCTGTGGGACCTTGTCATCAGTGAGGTCAGAGCACTCACTGATGCTGAAATTTGGGGGGTTCCCCAGGCTGCCCTCATCGTTCTTGCAACATGGCTGCCAGGGTAGTCGGTGTGAAGGATGGGGTAGGCTCACCCTGGATGTGAAGGATGGGGTAGGCTCACTCGGAGTGTGAAGGATGGGGTAGGCTCACCCTGGGTGTGAAGGCATGGGGTAGGCTCACCCTGGGTGTGAAGGATGGGGTAGGCTCACCCTGGATGTGAAGGATGGGGTAGGCTCACCCTGGGTGTGAAGGATGGGGTAGGCTCACCCTGGGTGTGAAGGCGTGGGGTAGGCTCACCCTGGGTGTGAAGGATGGGGTAGGCTCACCCTGGGTGTTTGCACCTGCGTCCTTGCTGCTTCCAGGTCCCTGGGACATGGCCTGTGGTCTGCACTGCTTGGGTGGTCCGTGGAACGTTTTGCTCACAATGTTCATAAGAAGTAATACAAAATAGTATCCTTCTCCCGCAAGGGTAGGGCCGGGAGAACTGGGAGAACAAGAGGCTATTGGCACCTGCCAGGTGGAAAGCAGGTGGACAACTCAACAGAGGGTCTGTCTGTTGGCACCCAGCGGTGTCGAACTGGTTATGTAAAAGAGAAAGAAAAAGGATACTAAGTCTCTTGAATGAAACTGGGCCCCATCACACGACTCTCTCATAAGCCCAGCACAGCTCACCAGGGCCTCTCTTGACCAGAGGCTTCTGCAGAATTCCATCAGAATGGAGGCTCACACCTGCCAGTTGGCTCTATGGCTAAAGGTCATAATAATAGAACATCTCTTATACCTGATATTTTTTAGATCTTCTGAATCACATTTTACAAAAACAACTTAGCAATTTTGATTCAAAATTCAGATGCTTTATTTTTCTTGTAATTTTCCTGCACACACACACACATACACAGCCATCAAACTAATACTTCACACACACACACGCACACTGCCATCACACTAATACAACACACACACACACACGCACACTGCCATCAAACTAATACTTCATATCCACTGTAAGCTTATCTTTAATTTTGGGGCTGAATTTTGGGGCTGGAAGTACTAATGAGGAAGGGACTGTTCCCACCCTCTGGCAAGGCCACCATTCTGGAACCTGATGACAAATGCATGACAGATGCTGAATATCCTCCTGTCTTGATTGCCTAAAGACTTGCTTTTCACTATCAGCATGTTTTCATATCTGGTTTTCAGAACATAAATGTATTCACAATTCAACATTTTAGTTTATTCATTTAAAGCATTAAAAATGTTTCTCAGAGTATGCATGGTCGAGAAGGGCATATTATTAAAGCAAAAATCATCCACTCCATTCCCTTGTCCTACCCATAGTCCCAGAGACCACCACCTTTCAGCGTTTCTGCATTTTGTGTTCCTAGTGGCTAGCATCCTCAGTCTACATGGCATCCTGACATCTCTATGTCTATATTCAACTCAGGCTCTGTTGACGCCTTGCCATGAAACACAAGGCTTTAGCTGACTTACACTACATCTTCCCCTAAATTTTCACAGTTACATTGTTATTTTTAGTTTTCTGTTGTTTGCCTTTCCAACTTGCAATCTCTTATCTATCACTTCTTGTTCTATTGTTTTCAGATAATAGATCAGTTTCTCTTAGCCATACCTTAACTTTTATACTGTCAGAGTTGATCATTTTATATACTGTCTTATAAACATAAGGTTTTCATGTTTTGTCCACCAGTTGATTCTAAAAATATATTAAAAAAATAAACACTGTGTACATAATTATGACTTTGTAAATATTGTTCCTTCAAAGTCAATCAGTATGTTAGGATTTTATTTATTTTTCTCTAGGTCCAGTATCATTAACCATAAGTGACATGAAAGGTTAATTATTAAATTCATGTCACATCTTTATTTCCTTTATATTTAGACACAGACATAAATCTCCTAAATAGCTTTTTGTTTTTCTTGGGATTTTAAGTTGCACTACTTGTGTTTTTGTCAGATCCTCAGAATTACCAAACCTCTTAATCATACTGTTTCTTGAAGCTTTTTGCTGGACTATATTTTGCAGTAATAGAAAGGAAAGGGTGCTTTGGAGGCAAATTCTCTGAGTACTTGTAAAACTAAAACTCCTGCTCACGTGCTTAACGATTTTCTACGTATGGAATTCTGGGTTTTAAATCATATTTCCCAGAATTTTTTTTCTTCTTAGTATTCAATGTTCCTGACAAGATGTCTGAGGTCAGTATTATTTTTGGTCTTTTGAGAATGACTTTTCTTGTTTCCTGGAAGCTTTTAGGAATTTCTCTTTATGTTCAACGTTCTAAAATATCTTGAGTCTGTGTCAGGGCATAAGTCTTTTGTTCTTTATTCTACTTGGAACTTGGAGCATCTTTTAGTCTAGAGATAATTATCTTTCTTCATTTCTGGAAAACTTTGTTCTATCATGTCTCTATTCTTTTAATTTTAATAAAGTGTACATTTATATAATTTAAAAAATTAAACAGTTCTATAAATCTGCAAGTGATATTAGCAGTTCTCCTCCCACTCTCTGGAAGCCATGACTTTCAATGCTTTTAGTTTTGTTGTATTTGCCTCCAAATTTCTAAATAGCAGGTTTAAATTCCTGTTTATTAATATTTTTAGTTTTAAATATAGTATGCTTACTTCAGGCAATGGACAATAAGGGTTTAGCTTTCTACTCTACTCCCACACCCTTAAATATATTTCTTTTCCATCCCATTCCTCTAATAGAGTGGCACAATTATAGGGCAAATCATATTTAGCATTTATTTTATTAGGCCCATGGAAATACGATTTGAGGCTGTAGCTATATGCATTCTAATTTCCTTTATTTTCTGATATGGTTTTCGTTTTCACTGGAGTCAACCTTTATCCCATTTGTTTGGTTTCACTATGTACCTATCACAAATCCATCTCCAAATTCCTCAACAGAAAAAAGTCTCCTTCCTGAGAAAAAAAAAAAAGCAGGAACAATTTTTAAAAGTTGAGACATTGCATTCTGAAAACGCCCAGTAGTCTTTATTCTAGCCCAAGAGCACGTTACTACTTTGGCTGAGGATATAGAATTCTAATTTGGAAATCATTTTCAATAAGAATGTTGAAGGCCTTGCTCTATTATTTAGTGTTCACCATTGCCGTAGAGATGCCTAACGCAGAACTAATTCTAGACCTTTGTATGCGACTTGTTCTTTCTTTCAAAGAGCATTAGTACCTTCTCTTTGTTCCCAATGTTTCGAAACTTCGTGTGAATGTGCTTTGTGTGGCTTTGTTTTCATTCATTGTGCTGAGCACTTGGTGAACCTCTCAGCCTAGAAATTGATGTCTTTGGGATCCAGGAACTTTTTCTTGAATTGTTTCTTTGGTGAATTGCTCCCTTCCATTTTTTTTCTCTGTGTTTGAAAGCCCTGTTATTTAAGATGTATTTCCTGTTTAGTCTAATTTTCTTGCTTTTTAGCTTATATTTTCCATTTCTTTGTTGTAATCATTTTTATTACTTGGAAATTTCCTCAAGTTTCTATGTTTCTACTAAATTTTTCTTTTCTGCTTTTGGATTTTAAAATTCCAAAATCATTTTTGTTTTCTAAATGTCCCTTTCTACAACAATACTCCCCTTTTCAGCCTCACTGATGTATACTAATATGTTACTCTCCACATTTAACTCCCCACAAAACTTTGCTAAGTTTTGACATATTATATATATGTATATTTATATATTCCCATAAAACCATCCCTATAATCAGTGTAAGCATATTCATCATCCCCCAAAGTTTTCTTATGTGTTTTCATAATCCCTCTCACATCTTCTTCCCCACCCCATCCCCCACCATCCTATCCTCAAATAACCACTGATTTGCTTTCTTTCATTGCAGATTAGTTTGCATTTTCTAGACTTTATATAAATGGAATCATATACTATGTACTCTTTATTATTTGACTTCTTTCACTGTGCCTAATAAGTTTGAAATTATCCATGCTCTACATATCAACATTTCATTCCTTTTTATTCCTACATGATATTTCACTGTATATTGTGTATACCACGATTTGTTTAATCCATTCACTTGTTGATTGGCATTTGAGTTGTTTCCAGTTTTAGACTATTACACATAAAGCTGCCATGAACATTTGTTCACAAGAGCTTGTGTGGACATATGTTTTCATTTCTCTTGGGTAAATACCAAGAGTACAACGGTTATAGCCTATGATAGGTGTGTGTTTGACTTTTTAAGAAATTGCCTATGTTAATTATCTAATGCTACATAAGCAATTATCCCCAAAACTCCCCAGCTTAAAATAACACACATGCATTATCTCAGAATTTCTGTGGTTCAGGAATCCAGGCATAGTTTAGCTTAGTACCGTTAAGGCATTAGGCAGCCCTGAGGTTTGATCTGAAGACTCAACTGAGCAGAGATCTACTTTCAAAGTCACTCATGTGGTTGTTGGCAGGATTGAGTTCCTTGAGGGTTGCTGGGCTGAGAGCCCTAGTTCTTTCTGTCTGTTGGCTGGAGACATCCCTCAGTTCCTTTCCATGTAGGCCTCTCCAATACGGTGACTTGCTTCGTGAAAGCTAGGAGGAGAGAGTCTGTTAACAAGACAGAAGTCACAGTCTTTTGTAACCTAGACATGGAAGTGCCATCCCTTCAATGTTGTTGTATTACATTGGTTAGGAGAAAGTTACTCACGGAGAGGGGTTACACAAAGCCATGAATACTAGGCACTGGGGTCATTGGGAGTCAAGTCAGAAGACACCTCCCACACTGCCAACAGTTCCCCAAAGTGGTTGCATCATTTACACTCCCGCCAGAAGCTTTCCAGATTTCCAGTTGCTCTTATCCTCACTGACATTTTGAGTCATCAGACTATTTAATTTTAATCATTCTAAAAAGTGCATAGTGGTATCTAATAGGGATTTTAGCTTGCATTTCCCTAATGACGAATGATATTGAACATATTTTTATGTGCTTATTTTTTTTTTCTGTAACCTCCGCCTCCTGGATTCAAGCAATTCTCATGCCTCAGTCCCCCTGAGTAGCTGAGACTACAGGCACGCACCACCACACCTGGCTAATTTTTATATTTTTAGTAGTAGAGATGGGGTTTTGCCATGTTGGCCAGGCTGGCTCAAACTCCTGGGCTCAAGTGATCTGCCCACCTCTGCTTCCCAAAGTGTTGGGATTACAGGCGTGAGCCATAGCGCCTGGCCTGAATATTTTCTTTGGTGGTCTGTTTAAAGCCTTTGCCCATTAAAAAAAAAAAAAAAAAATATATATATATATATATATATATATACACATATATATATTTATATATATATACACATATATATGTGTGTGTGTGTGTATATATATATATATATAGGTGGGCTGGGCACAGTGGCTCAGGCCTGTAATCCCAGCACTTTGGAAGGTCAAGATGGGAGGATCGTTTGGGCCCAGGAGTTGGAGACCCAGACTGAGCAACAGAGTGAGACCCCATCTCTACTAAAAATAAAAAATTAGCCAGGTGTCATGGTGCATGCCTGTGGTCCCAGCTACTCCAGGGGCTGAGGTGGGAGGATCCCTTGAGCCTGAGAGATTGAGGCTGCAATGAGCTGAGATTGCACTACTGCATCCCAGCCTGAGTGACAAAGCAAGACCCAGTCTCAAATAAATAAATAAATAAATAAATAAATAAATAAGTAAACAAATAAATAAAATGGGTGGGTTGATTATTATCACATTTTGAAACTGCTTTATATATTCTGGATCCAAGCCTTTATCAGATATGAATTTGCAAATACTTTCTCCAAGTCTGTGCCTTGTATATTCTTTCAACAACATCTTTTGAAGAAAAGTTAAGAACTTTTCTTCAAAAAAAAAAAAAAAACCAGAAAAGTTTAAAAGTTTAACATTAACGCAGTGCAAACTATCAGGTTTTTTCTTGTCTGAATTGTGCTTTCAATGCCACAGCTGAGAAATCTTTGCCTGACTCAAGCTCACAAAAATTTTCTCTGTTTTCTTCATCTAGAAGATTTGCGGTTTTATATTTAGATCTATGATCCAATATGAACCAACAATCAAGGTTCATTATTTTTTCACGTGTGTGTATCCACTGTTTCTATGAAGTTTGTTGAATTTTTCCCTTTGAATAACCTTGGCACCTTTGTCAAAAATCAGTTGCCCTTATAGGCATGAATTTATGTCTGGACTCTACTCTCTGCCATTAATCTGCTTGTTTGTCTTCACGCCAGGAACCAAATTGCTTAATTACTGGAGCTGTATAGTAAGTTTTAAAATTGGGTAGGGAAAGTCCTCACATTTGTTCTTTTCTTCCAAAATATGTTTGGCTATACTAGGTCCTTTGCACTTCCGTATAAATTTCAGAAATAGCTTATCAATTTCTACAAAACACTCTGCTGGGATTTTGATTATTTTGATGCTAAATGTATACATCAGCTTGGGGAGAAGTATCATCGTAATAATATTGAGTCTTCTGATTCATGAACATGGCATGTCTCTCCATTGATTTAGATCTTCTTTAATTTCTTTCTGCAATGTTTTGTTGTTTCTAGTGGAAAGGTCTTATGCACCTTTGGTTAGATTTTCCCCTAAGTATTTTGTATTTTTCATGCTATTGTAAATGGTATTATTTTTAAAAATTTCAATTTTTAATTATTAATTGCTAATGTATAGAAACGCATTTGAGTTTCTGCTGTGTGCTAATCTTATATCTTACAAACTTGTTGTACTTACTTCTTAGTTCTAGTAGTTTATTTTGTAGGTTCTCTCAGGATTTTCTACATAGACGATCATGTCTGCAAATGAAGACAGTTTTTCTTCTTTATTTCCATTTGGATACAACTTTTCTTCCTTTTTCCCATCTATCTTTTTCTTGCTTTATTTAATGGTCTAGAACTTTCAGGACAAGGCTGAATAAAAGAAGCACAGAAGCTTCTATTCACACAGAAGAAGACACCCTAGTGTGCTTCTAATCTTAGAAGAAAAGCATTCAAGTTTTTTTTTCATTCAAAAGATCATTTTTATTAGAGGTACAAAGTCGTAATCATAAAAGAAATCTTGTGAGGGAGTGGTGACTTTATTTGATACAACACAATGTACTGAAACATGGTTGCTGCTTTTCCTTTTTTAAAAAAATAGACTTATTTTTTAGGAAGTTTTTGGTTCACAGACAAAATTGAGCAGAAAATATAGAGACTACCCATATACCTGCCCCCACACCACACACAGTCTCCTCCATTATCAACAGCCCCCACCATGGTGGTACATTTGTCACAATCCATGAACCTGCATTGACACATCATTATCACCGAAAGTCCATAGTTTACATTAGGATTCACCCCTGTACATTCTGTGGGCTTAGACATGTGTATGATGACGTGTATCTATCATTATAAAATCATACAGAGTAGCTTCACCATCCTAAAAATCCTCTTTTCTCATATTCGTCCCTCTCTCCCCGAACTGCTGGCAACCACTGATCTTTTTGACGGTCTCCATAGTTTTGCTTTTTCCAGAATGTCATATATTTAGAATCATACAGTATGCAGCTTTTCCAGATCGTCTTCTTTCACTTGGTAACATGCATCCAAGTTTCCTTCGGTCAGGTGTGGTGGCTTGCATCTGTCATCCCAGCTACTCAGGAGGTTGAGGCAGGAGAGTCACATGAGACCAGGAGTTTGAGACCAGGCCAGGCAACATAGCAAGACCCCATTTCTAAATAAATAAATAAATAAATAAATAAATAAATAAGATTAGCTGGGCATGGCGGCCCGTGTCTGTAGTTGCAACTACTCAGGAGGCCGAGGTGGGAGGACTGCTTGAGCTTAGGAATTCAAGGCTGCAAAAAGCCATGATTGCACCACTGCACTCCAGTGGGGTGACAGAGTGAGACGCTGTCAAAAAAAAAAAAAAAAAAAAAAGAGGTTCTGATAGCTTGGTAACTCATTTCTTTTTAGTGCTGAATAATATTCCATTGTATAATGTACCACAGTTTATTTGTCCATTCACCTACCGAGGGACGTCTTGGTTGCTTCTAACTTGGGAATTATGAATAAAGCCGCTATGAACTTGTGCACAGGTTTTTATATCAGCATAAGTATTTTCAGCTCATTTGAGTACCTGCCCAGAAGTGAAATTGCTGAATTATGTGGTAAGAATGTGGTTAGTTTGTAAGAAACTGCCAAATTACCTTCCAAAATGGCTGTACCGTTTTGCATTTCCACCAGCAGTGAGCGAGGTCCTCTTGCTCTGCATCCTCGGCAGTGTTTGGTGGCGTCAGTGCCCTGGATCTGCGCCACTCTTCTAGGTGTGCAGTGCTATCTTCTTGTGGTTTCGAACAGTCTGTTTTCACCATGAAGTATGATGTTCTAGTTTGCTGAGAGTTTTTATCAGGAATTAAAGTCGGATTTTGTTAAATACTTTTCCTACATCTATGGAGATGGTCAAGTGATTTTTCTTTTGTAGTTTGCTAATATGATTAATTCTTTTTCTTTTTCTTTCTTTTTTTTTTTTTTTGAGACAGGGTCTCACTCTGTCTCCCAGACTGGAGTGCAGCGCTGTGATCATGGCTCACTGCAGCCTTGACCTCCCAGGTTCAAGCAATCATTTCACCTCAGCCTCCTGAGTAGCTGGGACTACAGGCACAAGCCTCCACACCCAGTCAATTTTTTTTTTTTTTAATTTTTGGTAGAGACGAGGTGTCGCTATGTTGCCAAGGCTGGTCTCAAACTCCTAGGCTCAAGTGATCCTACCACCTCAGCCTCCCAAAGTGCTGGAATTACAGGCTTGAGCCACTGTCCCTGGCCACATCAATTGATTTTCAAATGTTAAACCAATCTTGCATTTCTGGGTTAAACCCTACTTGGTAATGAAGTATTTTCACTCTATTTCTTGTTAGATTCAGCTTGTTAAGTTTCATTAAGAAATTTTGCATCTATGCTCATGACAGGTATTTGCTTGTCTTTTTCTGATTTTGGTAACAGGGTAATCCTGGCTCCATAGAATGAGTTGGTATTCTGTCCTCTTTGATTTCCTGAAAGAGTTTGTGTGGAGCTGGTATTATTTATTCCCTAAAATGTATGGTAGAATTCACTAGGAAAGTCATGTAGAGCTGGAGTTTTCTTTCAGGAAAGGTTTTTACTTGCAAATTTTATTTTTTAATAGATATAGGCCTATTCAGATTTTTTTATTGTGATAAGATATTCTTAACACAAAATTACCATTTAAGTGTATAATTCAGTGACATTAAGTACATTCACAATGTTCATTACCACTATTCCCAGAACTTAAAAAAATTATTCCAAACAGAAATTCTGTATTCATTAAACAATATCTCCCTCCTCCCAGCCCCTAGTGACCTCTGTTCCTCTGTATAAATTTGTCTATTCTAGGTACCTCATATAATTGGAACCATACCATATTTGTCCTTTTGTGTCTGGCTTACTTAGCATAAAGTTTTCAAGGTTTATCCACGTTGCGGCATGTATCCAAACTTTATTCCTTTTTATGGATCTTGATTTCTTTTTGGGTGAGCTTTGATAGCTTGTGTCATTCAAGAAATCTGTCTAAGTTGCTGAATTTATTGGCATAATGTTATCTATAATATTTTCTTATCTTCCTTTTCATATCTGTAGAGTCTGTAATGATGTCACATCTCATTCTTGTTGATAGTTTGTATCTTCTCTCTTTTTTCTGATTTTCCTGTCAAGAAGCTTATCAATTTTAATGATTTTATCAAATAGTAAAGTTGGTTTCCTTGATTTTTATATTGTATTTCTGTTTTCTATTTTATTTATTTATACTCTTACCTTGTTTCCTTTCTTCTGCTTTAAGTTTAATAGTTTAATTTGCTCCTATTTTTTCTTATGTTAGAAACTGAAGTTGCATATATAAAACCTTTCTTTTTTTCTAATATGAGCCTGTAGGACTATATATTTTCCTCTGCATACTGCTTTAGCTGCATCCCACGCATTTTGGTAGGCTGAATTTTCATTTTGATTTAGTTCTCTTTCGATTTAGTTCTCTTTTGATTTCTTTCTGATCCATGAATTATTTTTAAACGTATTACTTAAATTCCAAATATTTGGGGGGATATTCAGATACTTTTGCAATACTAACCTTTAATTTACTTCCACTGTGGTCAGAGAACACTTTTTTAATTTCAAGTTTTAATTGACAGATTATAGTTGTATATATTTATGGGAGAAAAAGTGGTGTTATTATCTTTTAATACAATGTGAAAAGATTAAATTAAGCTAGTTAACATATCCATCAACTCAAATATTTGATGTTTTTGTGATAAAAACATTAGAAATGTACTTTCTTAGTGATATTAAAATGTACAGGACTTAATTATGGGCTATGTTTCCTATGCTGTACAATTGTTTCTATACACACAAATCAAATGTATTTTTCCTGTCTAACTGAGGCTTTGTACCTTTTGACTATTATCTTCCTATTGCCCCCATACCCCAGGCTCTGATAACCACCATCCTACTACCTTCTATAGTTCAATTGTTTTAAATTCCACATATAAGTAAGCACATGTGACATTTGTCTTTCTGTGTTTGGCTTACTTAGCATAATGTTTTCTGATTCTATCCCTGTTATCTCAAATGACAGAATTTCTTCCTTTTTAAAGGTTGAATAGCATTCCATTGTGTGTTTCTACCACATTTTTAAAAATCCATTCACCTCCTGATGGACACTTAAGTTCATTCCATAACTTGGCTATTGTGAATAGTGCTGCAATGAGCATAGGAGGGCAAACATGTCTTCAACATACTGATTTCAAATCTTTCAGGTAAATACCCAGACATAGGATTGCTAAATCATATGTTAATTCTATTTTTAGTTTTTTGAGGCACCTCTGAACTGTTTTACCTAATTACTGTATAACTTACATTCCCACCAACATGTACAAGGGTTCCCTTTTCTCCATGTCCCTGCCAACACTTTTTTGTCTTTTTTTTTGAGATGGAGTCTTGCTCTGTCACCTAGGCTGGAGTGCAGTGGCGTGATCTTGGCTCACTGTAACCTCTGCCTCCTGGATTCAAGTGATTCTCCTGCCTCAGCCTCCCATGTAGCTGGGACTACAGGCATGTGCCACCATGTCCGGCTAATTTTTTGTATTTTTAGTGGAGGCGGGGTTTCACTGTGTTAGCCGGGATGGTCTCGATCTCCTGACCTTGTGATCCACCTGCCTTGACCTCCCAAAGTGCTGGGATTGCAGGTATGAGCCATCATGCCCAGCCTTTTTTGTCTTTTTGATAATAGCCATTCTAACAGGTATGAGGTAATAGCTCATAAAGGTGTATACCTAATTTATTAAGAGTTTTTATCATGAAATTACACTGTGTTTTTCTGAATGCTTTTTCTGCATCTAGTGAGATGATCATATGATTTTTGTCCTTTATTTTGTTAATATGGTGTATAACATTTATTGATTTGCATAAGTTGAACCATCCTTGCATTCCAGAAATAAATTCTACTTGATTGTGGTAAATGAACCTTTTAATGTGTTATTTAATTCTGTTTGCTGCAACTTTGTTGAGGATTTTTGCAACTATGTTCACTGAGGATATTGGCCTGTAATTTTCTTTTCTTGTGATGTCCTTCTCTGGTTTGGTATCAAAGTAATGGTGCCCCCATAAAAAGAATTTGTAAGTATTCTTTCTTCTTAATTTTTTGGACTAGAAATCAATACCAAAATAGATTTTGGAAATTTCACAGGTACATGAAAATTGGACAACATGGTCCTGAACAACTAATGGGTCAATGAAGAACTTAAAAGGGAAATTTAGAAATATCTTAAGCAAATGAAAATGGAAACACAATATACCAAAACTTATGCGATGCAGCATATGCAGTTCTAAGAGGAAAGTTTTTAGCAATAAATGCCTACACCAAAAAAGAAAAAATGTTTGCAAATTAAAAACTTCATGTTACACTTCAAGCAAATAGAAAAAGAGCAAACTAAGCCCAAGATTAGAAGAAAGAAATAATAGAGATTAGAGCAGAAGTACATAAAATAGAGACTAGAAAACCAAAACCAAAGATCAACGAAATAGTTGTTTTTTCTCAAAAAAAGATAAACAATTGACAAACCTTTAGCCAGACTAATCAAGAGAAAAAGAGAAAAACTCAAATGAATAAAATCAGAAATAAAAGAAGAGACATCATAACTGACACCACAGAAATACAAAAGATCATGAGACTATTATGAATAATTATATGCCAAAAAGTCACATACGCTAGAAGAAATTTATAAATGGATAAATTCCTAGACATGTACAACCTACCAAGACTGAATCACAAAGAAATAGAAAATCTGAACAGACTGATAGTGAGAGAGGAGATTAAAGCAGTAATAAAAAGTCTCTCAACAAAGAAAAGTCCAGGACCTAATAGCATCACTGCTGAATTCTACCAAACATTTAATAAAGTACTAACCAAGCCTGTAATCCCAGCACTTTGGGATGCCAAGGTGGGTGGATCACCTGAGGTCAGGAGTTCGAGACCAGCCTGGCCAACATGGGAAACCCTGTCTCTACTAAAAATACCAAAATTGGCTGGGCGTGGTGGTACACACCTGTAGTCCCAGTACTCAGGAGGCTGAGGCAGAAGAATCGCTTGAACCCAGAAGGCAGAGGTTGCAGTGAGCTGAGATTGTGCCATTGCACTCCAGGCTTGGTGACAGAGCAAAACTCTGTCTCAAAAAAAAAAAAAAAAAAAAAGAAAAGAAGAAAAGGACTAACACCAATTCTCCACAAACTATTCCAGATAACATACTTTATTTGATTTAAATCCTTATACATTTATAGACGGTTTTTTTTTTCTGCTGAGAATATAGTCTATCTTAGTAAATGCTCCATATGCACTGCAAAAGAACGTATTCTTATGTTGTTAGGTAGGATGTTCTATAAATATCAATTAGATCATGTTGGTTGAAAGTATTTTGTAAGTCTTCTGTATCTTCACTGATTTTTCTATTTATTTGTTCTACAGATTATTGAGAATAAAATGTTGAAATCTCTAACTACAATTTGGACTTGCTCATTTCTCCTTATAGTTCTATTCACTCTTGTTTCATGTATTTTGAAACTCTGCTATGATGTGCATAAATGTTTAGGTTTGTTTCATATGTTCTTGGTAAATTGCCTCTTTTATCTTTATGAAATTTCCCGATTTACCTCTGCTAATATCATTTGCTCTGAAATTTCATACCTGTTAGCACCTGCTGCTTTCTTTGAATGAGTGCTCAAATAGTATATATTTTTAAATCTATTTTATGCCTTTTCTCAACTCTTATTTTAAACCTGTTTGTATCTTTGTATTTTAATGGGTTTATTGTAGCAGATCCCGGGAGGTCTACCTATTTCTTCTTCAGATTTTCAGTCAATCTTCCTCTTTTGAGCCTCACTCAACCCCTTCGGTTTCAGTTAACTAACGCTTCCAACTTTTAGGGCTCTTCCGTTTTTGGATTTTCCTCAGAGCCAGTGAGAGCTCCAGCTTTCCTGGCCCTGTTAACAGTCACCACTCATCCGTCTGCCTCCCAGCTTCCAGGTGGATGGTTTCAGACTGTCCTCCCATTCTCATTGTCGTTACAAGTTTATCCTCTCATTGCCATTTTGCTGAAGTTTTTAAAGGGAGCAGTAAATTGGGCGTTGTCTTTGCCATGTTAAGCCAGAAGGTAGATTTCTTTATAAAAATCTCTGTTTTGTCTTTGATAATAGCTTTCTCTCCATTTTCTGCCTCTGAAACTGTTAGTTGGGTGTTGCCCCCTCTTGGAGTAATCCTTTGGGTCTCTTATGTTTTCTCTCCTATTTGTATCTCTTTGTATAAATGTTCCCTTGATTACCTTTCTTTCCTATGGGGTCAGCTATTCTGTTTAATATTCTTGGTCTTTTTCTATCGGATGGCTCACTTTTCCCGTGTGCCTGGTGGTCCTTTGTCCTTTGTTCATATGTGAGGATGAAGGATCACACTCACGGTAGCTGGCATGCTGTGTGTCTTCCATGGGCCTCACCGTTGAGGTAATAAAACATTTGAATGGGAGCTCATGTGTGGTGTTGGCGCTTGCACACCAGTAGACTTTGTAGGATTTTAATGGTCTTGGGAGCATCCTTTGATATTAGAATAGGAGTGCACCAACCCCTCCACTAGAACCTTGGATTTCCGTGGTGTGTGTCCTTAGAGAGAGCCTTCTAGCTTGTTGCTTTGTTTGCCTGGGGGTGAAGATCTGATTGTCAGTCTCTCTGTGAAGTAGGGAGGGGTTTAGGGAAGGGACTGCCTGGCACAAGTGTTTTGTTGACAACCTTTTATTAGAACCTTCTGTGTGATCCCTTCCCTTACTGCCAGCTCTAGCCTGCAGCCTCTCCGAGCTCTGTGGGGAGAATTGGCCACTGCTGTGCCCCCGCTGCTCGTGTCTCTGACCTGGCACCCTGTCCTTGGCTCTGCCACATCTGTAACCCACACCGTCTGCGTTCCACCTCCCTGTGCCCGTGCCTTGATTGCATGTAACCCCTTCTTCACCTCTCCTTCCTGTTTTGGGAGGTTATTTCATTCTGTACTTCTTTAGTGGGATTTGGAAGGAAAAAGAAAAATCCATGTGTAAAATCCACCATCTTAAACCAGAACTCTTTTTACCCCTAGTTTTACAAGCCCTTAAGCTCCTGCAGAATCAACCCGTAGTTGTTTTTTTCTTAACCTAGAGAGACATCTAAGTAGGAGTCAACAGGCTTTCCAAGTTCTTGAGTCAGCCAGTGCCATGGGTCTGTGATGCACAGACTCTATGTCCACTAGTTTATGGCAGTAATATAGTCACCTGGGATGGATCTAAGGCCAAATTTGCTGTAGCGAGATCTGTGACTCCAAAGGATTACAAATGCTGAATTATTGCAGTGTGGACCCAATAAGCAACCTGAAGCTGCATCATGGAATTAAACTGAGTTAGAGCCTGAGTATATTGCTCCTTGGGTGATTCTATCCTGCAAATAATACATTATCCAAGGTCTGGTGCTGGAGACAGATTGCTGCAATACGCATCCAAGGGACCTGTTGCTGCCTGAGAGCAGCTCCATCCCATCATCCCAGTGCTGCTGTTTTATTGATGCCAGAGAGTCCCCACAGGTGATGCATTACACACCGAGGAGGTGGCCCCCAGAGGAAATGAGGGATCTGCAAGAGAACTCTGTAATAATTATTGCAGAGAAGACAGCTACCATGCTACATAGAAAAGGTCTTTTTTTTTCCCCATGTCAACTAGGAGAGAATATAGATACTGACTTTTCTTCTCCCAAGTTATTTCTTCTGCTTTCGTAAAATAAGTTCAGATATAACCAAAGTAATTCTTCAGATCCACCCTGCAATTAAACAAAACAACTTCCTTATTTTCTGAGTATCTCTAAACCTCCACAGATTCAAGGACAGATAAGCATTAAAGTGTCACAACCTCCTGAACATGGTGCTTTCAAATTTCCTGTTTCACAACGACTGAGAGGTAATTTGAAGTGCAAAAATGTGAGTGAGAATATCAACTCCACACCTTCAGCCATTCCGTCTTCAGCTATTTACAGATACGTTTTAAAAGCATACCATTTAAATATGACCAGCAACTTCCTGTTAAACTTTGGATGTAGCAACCAACGAGAAATATGGCCCTCGGTGGTAAGAGAGGAAAAAATAGTTTCTGTATACAAAGCCCTAACATAATAAACAAGCAGAAGCACTTCCTGATAAATAGCGCCAAGCAAACATTCACATCCTTGCCTCTGCTATATTCAAAATGTTTTTACTAGACCAAGTGCAAAGTATTATTATCATTAATATTAAGTTTATCCTTCTTGCAACTGAGCCAGGCTCCAGTTCTACAGGAAGGTCTGGTAGGAACCAAGGGTATGGCCGTTTATCGTGGCAGATACTTTGGTTTTAATTCCCTTCATATAAATGTTGTAAAGGCATGGATGGATAGAAACATTACTGCATTTGGTGAAACCCACGCCCAACGGCCCCAGGCCTGCAGCAACCACCCCACAGAATGATCAACACGGAAACTCCAGAGCAGTAAACAGGCCAATTTCAGATCCAGCGACAATCCCAGCAGGCGGCCAGGGGAAGAAAAGCAAGGACGACAGCAAAGACAGACGGGTGCCCACAGGTTCCCTGTAGCTACCGCCACGGAGTGGGAACCCCAGCCAGGGCACAGACAGAGGCAGGGCCCCTGTGAAAAGGGGCAAGGACTCAACTTGCAGGGAAGCACTGCCTTGTGCTACCTTTGTTCACTAACGTGAAATGCTACTCTGAGTGTTCCTTATTTTTAAATCAAAAATTTAAAAACCACACACACACACAGAAACCTTTCCATCTATTGACATATTACATACAGCATCATATGAGTACAGTTCGACGAATTTTGACAAACCGAGCCCACCCCTGTAAATCGCACCCAGACCAAGACAGAAGACATCAGCAGCTCCCAGGAGGCGTCCCTGTGCCCCACTGCCATCAACACCTGCCCCCACGCCCACCCTCCAGGGCAACCACCATCTGAACATCCTTGTTTACACGTCTTCCCGGACTGGAATTGGAATCCCAGAAATCAAGTGGAGTAAATGAAGTGCAACTTTGTGCCAGTGTGTTTGAGTTGCGGCTGCTGGGCCTGCAGGTGACAAGGCGCTGCTTCCCCAGAGACCTCTTTCAGCATTCCCGTGGTATTAGGAGAAGGCACTGCAGCAGAGCAGAGAGAGGAGCAAGGCAGGGCTGGGGAAACTGCTCACATGGAGAGATGTGGGAGGCAGTGTCTCCACGAGATGTCAGGGCCCTGGAAGAAAGGAGACCCTGTTGGAGGGGCCAGGCAGGACGAGGGGACACTAAATACCAGTGGCAGCCATAGAATGATGTGTGTGAAGTGCCACCAGCCACAGGGCTCAGCCATGCAGCTGGGTGGGGTGGGGGTGTGTGAGAGGGTCCTGCTTAGATAGCAGCATCACCACCCCTAGGAGCTGGGCTTGGATCTGATGAGAGTCTGTTTCCTCCCCTAGATGATGAGCCGTTCCCAGGGCTGGCCACTGAGGATCTGGGTCACACAGGCCACTGTCCTCCCCACATGAAGTTTGCAGTCAAGTTAGAAAGATGACAGGTAATGAGGTCCACACCACACAGCTTTGGTGTGGCACGTGTCAACACATTCGCCGACAGAACCAGTGCATGAATGAAAGCTTGAGGGCACAGAGCACCTCTCCTGTCTTGCCTGAGGTGTCCCCAGGAGCAAGCCTGACAGCCAGCTGGGCCACCCTGTGAGACCGGGGCCCGCTGGAGCCTTTCCATGAGGAAGACTGAGCCGAGCGCCTGCACTAGGAGGAGCCACGGTACCGCCAGGCTCCTGGGCCCGCTGGGGGAGTGGGCTGCCAAGCACCCAGTGAGCTGCGGCTGAAACAATGATGACATTTTGTCATCTCTGTCAACACAACAAGAACTTGGGAGGCAGGCAGTCCCCCGCCATGCACAGTGCCCAGTACTGTCACCAGAGCCTCTCCTTTATCCTTCTCCTCTGTCCCATCAGCTGCTGGTGGCTCCTCCCTCCCTGGCAGTCACAACACAGCCACCTCGTTCTGTGCATCATGGCCTCAAACTGCTCCTCCCTGCTCATCAGGGAGGGAACAGCCAATGTTCCCTGTGTCTCATTGGCCATAAGGTCACCTGCCCTGCAGGGTGCTGAGACAGGGACTCTGGTCACAGGTGGCTGTTGGAACCCTCCCTCCTCAGAGCTTCGCAGGTCAAAGGGATGCGATTAGACTCTGTCAACACCTCTAAGAGCTCCACTGTGCGCAACAGAGAACGAGATTCCGTCTCAAAAGAAAAAAAAATCAATCTATCCACCATCATAACTTTAGTCAATATGCTTATTCCGTCACCTCTTCATTTGTCATCCTTCAACAGTATCTACTGATTCTGCACTATTAAAAAATGAGAATTTCCCTCATTTACCCTCCCCCACCTCCTCTCAGTCACGATTGTTAGTTTTCACATTCGTTAGATTCGCACCTGTCAATATAGACTTGGGCATTTACTGCTTTTCCATCCAGCTGAGACTGCTGAATCTTCAGCACACCGTGGAGGCCTCTGAAGCCCTGTCCTGTCCTCCGTCTCCCCTCCCCTCTTCCCCTTCTCTTCCTCCATCCCGTGGGTTTTTCTTTTGCAGCACCAAGGATGGCATCATATTCTGTTTGATGAGCATAATTAAGTTTTCTGTTCTTTGTTAAGTTTTATCTGTGTTGAAAACAAGTCAACGGCATTCGCGTTTTTACAACTTTGTAAGTACCATTCATAGCAGCCAAGTGGCTTCCTTCTCTGTGGTTGGTGGCTTTCCCGGGGCCACAGGAGAGAATGACTTCAGCGTCAAGGCTGAATGCATTCTGTCTCTCATAAACTTTCTTCTTGCTCAAAACCATAACGTGGCCGGGCGCGGTGGCTCACGCCTGTAATCCCAGCACTTTGGGAGGCCGAGGCGGGCGGATCATGAGGTCAGAAGATGGAGACCATCCTGGCTAACACGGTGAAACCCCGTCTCTACTAAAAACACAAAAAATTAGCCGGGCGTGGTGGCAGGTGCCTGTAGTTCCAGCTACTCAGGAGGCTGAGGCAGGAGAATTGCTTGAACCTGGGAGGTGGAGGTTGCAGTGAGCCAAGATCATGCCACTGCACTCCAGCCTGGGTGACAGAGCGAGACTCCGTCTCAAAACAGAAAACCATAACATATTTTTAGTTTTTTCATGATTAGACTGTGGCTTTCACAGACAACTTTTTGATATCCCCCCCATGTTTGATTTACCTTTCATTTTTCTCATGGACGAAGAATAACTGCCTCTTGATTGCGCTTCTCTGTCTTGCAATCTGTGCTGTTTATTTATCTGTGGACATAGCTTCTAACTTGTCACTCCATACTCCCATTTGTAACTGCCAGGGCTGGAAGCCTATGAACTATATTCCCAGCTTCTCCTGATGCAAGTTTCCGGCCAATGAGAGGCACTGGAGGCTGGAAGGCTGGATCATGGGAGAAAGCATGTCCCCTTCTCCAGCTCCGGGAGCAGCTGGCAGCTGAGAGTGACTGCAATCTGCAGATTGGTGGTGGGTGTCACAATAGTGGCGGAGCTGTTGATGTTTAGGCTCCGTAGCAGCGGCCAGAGGGTAACTCCTGGTTTCTGGATGAGGGGCAATCGTGCTCATGAGCTCTCGTAGCTTCACTTTCCATTTCATTCTCCAGTTCTATAGGGGGTCAGTGACCTCCTGTAGCTGCTGCTCTCTGAGTGCTATGGAATGAATGTTTGCGTCCTTCCAGATTTTTATGTCAAAGCCCTGCCCCCCAATGCAACTGTATTTGGAGACAAGGCCCTTAAAGGTAATTAAAGTTAAATGAGGCTGGATGTGGTGGCTCATGCCTGTAATCCTAGCACTTTATGAGGCCGAGGCAGAAGGATCACCTGAGGTCAGGGGTCTGAGACCAGCCTGGCCAACATGGCGAAACCCCGTTTCTACTAAAAATACTAAAATTAGCCAGTCATGCTGGCACATGCTTGTAATCCCAGCTACTCGGGAGGCTAAGGCAGGAGAATCGCTTGAATCCAGGAGGCCGAGGTTGCAGTGAGCCAAGATCACGCCACTGCACTGCAGCCTGGGTGACAGAGTGAGACTCCGTCTCAAAAAAAAAAAAAAAAAAAAAAATTAAATGAGGTTTAAGGATGGGGCCCAGTCTGGTAGTTTGTTCAATTTCTTTTCAAAAGAGCATTGTTTTTGTTTTTGTTTTTGTTTTTTGGCATGAGGTTGTAATCGCTGTGTGCCTGGGGTCGGGAGGCTGACTGACAAGGCAGCTTCCTCCACAGACTTCCAGCAACAGTCCTGCCCTGGCTGCGCTCCTCTCCCCCAGGCCTCCAGGCCACCAGCTTGCAGCCTGTGCTCCTCTGGGGAGGGATCCCCCGCTCCCCCACTCCCAGCCTCGCCCTGACAGTGATCCGAGTTGCGGATTTTGGCTTTCTCCTCCATCCTCACCCGTCCAATTGCCCTCCAGCTCACAGAATCATTTTCTCAAAATTTTCAACTGCTAATGACCCTGTCACCAGGCCACCTGGCAGGGAAGCCCACTTGTCCCCTACCAATAGGCCCATGGTGTCTTGGAGGCTTTCCTGGTCTCCTGGGACAAGACAGCTGCCCGGCTTGTAGCCAGGACTGTGCCTGTAGCCCACCTGCTGTAAGGTCACGCCTGCAGGCCCTGAGTTTTACCGGCAAGATCTAAGTCAGTTCTCTACCAACACCCTAAGGCAGGTACTACTACTTTCTCCGTTTAGAACTGGGGAGAGTGAGATGCAGAGAGCCCCTCCCCCGACCCTAGGCAGAGCCCGAGACTCGCCGCAGGCTCATGCACTGTGCCACCTGCCCTCCTGAGGCCACGCTCTTCTCACGGGAGGTGGCCCTGTGGCCTCACCTGGGCCGGATGGGAATTGCAAACTTGAAACCACTACGTCTTTTTCCCTGTTTTTATTTTAAAAAGGATATTAAACGAACATATCTTTTAAAAATTAAAGTGAATTGAAGTTCATTTTCATTTTATCCTGAGAGGTTCACAGTAGCTCTTGAAATAAATGAAAGTGACTTTAAACGGGCTTTGTTTTGAGGTGATCTCAGCAGCTCTGAGGATACGCACAGCAGTCTTGGAGTCTCACAAAACTCGGCTGGAAATCTCTGGCCCCAGAGGGAGGAAGATGCTTCTCTATTTCTACCTGAGGCCTTCCTTAGGCTCCTGGTCAGGAAGGGAGAAGAGACCCCGGGCAAGGGGTGAGAAGTGGGGGTGGGGGAGTCTTGCCCCTTCCTCTGGACGACAGAGCCCATTACTAGAGGGAATTTCAATGGTGTTTCCAACCCCAGGTCTCACCCAGGAAGGAGGAATCTAAACAAACTCAGCTGCCAGTGGCTCCCCCATAGCGACAGTTTGAGGCCGGATTCACTGAAGTTTTCACAGATGAGTCTAGGTAAAGTTGTGGGGGTTTTTGCTGTTGTTTTGTTTTGTTTTGTTTCTTTGAGACAGGGTCTCAGTCTGTCGCCCAGGCTGGAGTGCAGTTGAGTGATCTTGGCTCACTGCAGACTCCAACTCCTGGATTCAAGTGATTCTCCTGCCTCAGCCACCCAAGGTGTGAGCCACCATGCCCAGCTAATTTTTGTATTTTTAGTAGAGACAGGGTTTTGCCATGTTGCCCAGGCTGGCCTTGAACTCCTGAGCACAAGCGATCCGCCCACCTCAGCCTCACAAAGTGCTGGGATTACAGGCATGAGCCACCGTGCCCAGCCAAAGTTGTGGTTTTAAGCAGGATGTTCCAAAGTCCAGTGGTTATGACCAAACGCCACACAGAGACAGAAGCCTCCCGCACAGCCCCAACTCCCAGCAGCCATGGTGTTCCAGGTCCTCCAAAGTCAGCTTCTCCTCCAGGAGGCCACTGAGCTCCCCAGCTGCGGGGCTGAGGCCACACAGCCCTGTGCGGTTCATCTGCCATCCGGGCCCTTCTTCCTCTTCTGAGCTTCACAGTTAGCCCAGGGAAGAAAACAGGCGTGTCTTCCACAAACCCTGAAGGGAATGGGAAGTGCCAACAGTGAGAAGGACTTAGATGTAAAGGATTTACACACGGTCACGGCATTTCCACAACCCTCTGGGCACCTGAGTACACGTGTGCAGACACACCCCCAGATGGGGGCGAGGGGTGGGGTGCCCCAGCTATTCACACCTAACCATGAGCGTGTGAGGCAGCAACACTTAAAGGCCACTTGCTTTCCGCAGCATCTCGATGGAGCAGGAGCCTGCCTGGGGCATCTCCAGGCAGCTTGGCTGAGCACCCAGGACTGAGTGCAACCCTCAGCGTTTACATTTTTTAGTACTATTCACTAAGAGAGAGAGAGACAGAGAGACAGTGATAGAGACAGGGAAGGACAGAGACAAAGAGAGCAATGGGTGAAGAAAGAGCAAGCAAGCAGGGATGTCGGACATTTCACACAACGCAGTCACCAGGGAGGCAAGAACACTTACAGAACAGTTTGAGCCAAAGAGTCACTCAGGGACAGGAACAGCAATTTCTTAAATATTTAAAGCAGACACCCTGTGAGCGGCTGTGGAGGCGGCTCTTTGTTAATATTTAACACGAGCTGGGCAGTTGCCGGGAAAACAGCTGTTTACAGGAGAGATTAACCAATATTCATCATTGCTCAAAGCTGTGGGGAGGCTTCAGGGGACAGGCAGCTGCCGGTATTTCTAGAATACAGCAGCTCAAGGCCACAGGGCTGGGGAGGCTCACGGTGTCCCCAGGGTGCATGAAAACTGTAAACAGGCAGTTCGGGGTCACCTACCCTGCTCCAGAATCACGGTTTGCAGGAAACCCAGCCCTGCAGCTGGGCCTGGGTGGTGGCTGCTGGCCGGCCAGCCAGCACCTCGCTGGACAGCTGCGTCCCACAGTCCCAGGCTGGGCTGTCCTTCAGGCCCATCCACAGTCCCAGGCAGACTCCTCGTGCACTCCCTGCATGAAGTCGGGGGCAGGTGCTCGAAAGTAGAGGGGTTCCCACTGATGGAAAGTGTCACCAGCCTGCCTGCGAATCCCCCAGCTCACACTTGGGCTTGCAGGGACACCAGCCAGGCCGTCTTGCAGAGAAGACAAGCTGCCTATTTTCAGGGGCTATGAGTCTTGTTCATGACAGTTTTCTCCTCTATGTGCCAAACATTCAAGAGCCTGGCCATTTTCACACAGCCCCATAGCCTGGGTGAATCAGGCCTCACTCCCCTGTACTTCCTTCCAAACATTCTATCACTCCCAACACCCTCCACCCAGGCCTCATGGAACTACACACAGATCACGCTTGGGCCCAACTGGATGCGGAATCCCAGCTCAGGACCAAGGAATGCTGCTGCTGTCTCCACAATGCCCTAGACCTGCAACCCTGGGCGCTTCCTGGCATACCACTGCCCACTCTGCCCACACCACAGCTGACTGACTCCTAATGGCTCTTCAAACAGTTGTTTGCACACCTGACCATTTATTATAAAGGAAGAAGCGCCGAACAGCACGTGCTGCTCTGAGGAATCTGTACAAGAATTGGGGCTCTGCGTATTAATCTTTGCTAAAATGAATTTAGTTTGGGTATTTAGGTTTCACAGCATAAATATATTTTTCTCTACTCTGAGACCAATTGGCACAGGCTGTCTAAGGCATTAGAAGAACAGTCCTTAATCTTTCTGTGTTCACAGCATAGTTCTGAATACCAGAAATCTAGAGGAATGCTTGAAGAGGTTTTTAAAAAATTAAACAACATTAAAGGAGTCAGCAATGATTTCCATCTCAGCAAAACAGGGGCCCTCAGGGTCCAGAAACATCCATGGCCATTGAGCAGTCACTTGGTCATTCTTGTGGATGCTTTTTTTGAGATGGAGTCTTGCTCTGCCACCCAGGCTGGAGTGCAGTGGCGTGATCTCGGCTCACTGCAACCCCTGCCTCCCAGGTTCAAGTGAGTCTCCCGCTTCAGCCTCCCAAGTAGCTGGGATTACAGGCATTAGCCACCACGCCTGGTTAATTTTTGTATGTTTAGTGGAGATGGGGTTTCACTATGTTGGCGAGGCTGGTCACGAACTCCTGACCTCAAGTGATCCACCCGCCTCGGCCTCCCGAAGTGCTGGGATTACGGGCGTGAGCCACCACGCCTGGCCTTCTGGATGCTTTTTATTTTGTGGTTATGCAGCATCAGGACAGCCTTTTAACATTTGAGAAGTGAACCGTCTTAGTGGGAGGCAAAACCCTGCTTCCCTCTACAGAAGCCTAAAAGGCCAAGAACGTGCACTCCCTGACACCGGTGGGGGGTAGCAGGGCTGTGCAGCCACATGCCCAGGAGGCACGGAGACTTCAGGGTCCGTCCCCCCATTCCCAGGTGGCAGAGCAGTGCCCCAGTGTCCTGGGTGCGAAGAGCAGTGGCTAGTGCATGCTCAGCACCAGCAGTGTCCTAGCCACATGTCTTGGGGCTATAGCTGTGGCCACTTGGCACCTCCAGGTTCCTGACCCTTCCCCACAGTGACTCAGCAGGGAGTTGTCTGTGAGCCACTTGATACCCTTTTACAATATTCCCTTTCTGATGATTAACCAGAAGTGCTTTGCAGGCGGGAAGCCTGGTGCGCACAGTCAGGGTCTGCCCTGTGCTGCTGCTTGAGGACTGTCTCCTGCCCTGACGGTGCTCTTCAAAGCTGCCGCGGGCCTGCTTGATGTAATGCTCACTTCTGACCTCTTTGCCCATGCAAGGCACACCCTGCCCTGCCGTCCCTCCCACCCCCTTCCTCCTTGGCATTCTGATGGACTCAGTGGTCCCCAAAATTGCACACATCAATTAAACCAGCAGCACACTCATGGAGGGCGGGTGGCGCCCTGGGTGCTGCTGTGTGCCAGCTGTCAATCACCGTGGGCTGGAATGTGGATTACAAGCCTGGAAGGGGTATCGCGCACTCAGGGTTTAGCCACAGTATACAAACGGCTTTTCCACCTTTCCTGTCCTGAAGGCCACAGCAGGGCCTGCTCTGCTCCCTGCGGCAGTGGTCCTCATGCTTGGCCAGGTGACTAGGCATACTCGCAGTTACTGCAGGGCCACTGTGTCCCCGGCTGAGCCTCGTGCCACAGAGAATTGGTCAGAGAAGAAGGCGGCTTAGAGAGGGTCCGGTTGGCCTGCAAGCCTGAGCCCCTGCCCAGGTGGAGATTAAATCCTTGTTACCTGATGGTATTGACGCTTAAAATTAAAACTGAGTTCAGTTACTGAAAATAGAGAAAGGGCCACTTCTATGCTCCTGAGATCGGAAGTGAGGTTTATCCCCCCGGGGATCTGAAGGATCATCCACTGGGCTTCCCTAAAGCGGCATTGTGTCATTTCTCCCGGCTAGGAGAGGTCTCCCCATTCTCAATTCCCGTCACTTATTCTCACTCAACAGAACCTCTCAGAGCACCTACCGTGTGCATGAGCCCAGTGTCGATGGGCCACGGGCCAGCCAGCCTGGGACGCGTGTCCAGGGCAGCTGGGATTTGGACTCTACTCCACGAGGCCACACAGGGGAAGGGGAAGCCCAGACGGCTGTCAGGGCATTCTTGGGAGCCGGGGGTTTGGAAGGGCTGTTGGGCGTGCTGGGGCACCGGCTAGGCTGTGGGGTGGTGACTCTCCTGCAGCCTTGGGGGGCTACCCTGAGATCATCTGTCACCCCACTGCTTGCTGCTCACTCCTGATCCCGCATTCTGGCTGTGGGCAGAGAGCACTGCCTGCCACATGCTGCGACCCGTGGCCCCTTCGCCAGTTTAATTTTCTTTTGTGCCCGTTCCCCCCTCAGCGTTCTAGTATTTTAATGTGTGTCCTTTTATTTGCTTGTGTCCCAGTATAAGACACACTATTCTATTTTGGTTTCTAAAATTATTTCTTTACTAGATTGAACCTTTTTAATTTTATTTTTATTGTGGTAAAATATATGTAACATAAAATTTACCATTTTAAATATTTTCATATGTACAGTTCAGTGGCATTAAGTATATTCACACTGTTGTACAACCGTCACTGCTATCCACCTTCAGAGCTTTTTCATCTTCTCAGTCTGAAACTTTGTTGCCATTAAACACTAACTCCTCATCCCACCTCTGCTCAACCCCTGAAAGCCATCTTCCTTCCTTTCTTTTTCTTTCCTTCTTTCTTTCTCTTTCTCTTTCTTTCTTTCTTTTTCTTTCGCCCTCCCTCCCTTCCTCCCTTCCTTCCTTCCTTCCTTCCCTTCCCTTCCCTTCCCTTCCCTTCCTTCCTTCCTTTCTCTTTCTTTCTTTCCTTTTTTTTGAGACGGAGTTTCGCTCTTGTTGCCCAGGCTGGAGTGCAATGGTGCGGTCTCAGCTCACTGCAACCTCCACCTCCTAGCTTCAAGCAATTCTCCTGCCTCAGCCTCCCAAGTAGCTGGGATTACAGGCACCCACCCCCAGGCCCAGCTAATTTTTGTATTCTTTTTAGTAGAGACGGGGTTTCACCATGTTGGTCAGGCTGGTCTCGAACTCCTGACCTCAGGTGATCCCCCGGCCTTGGCCTCCCGAAGTGCTGGGATTACAGGGGTGAGCCACCGTGCCCGGCCCCCACCATTCTACTTTCTGTCCCAATAATTTTGACAACTCCAGGCACCTCACATACGTGGAATCACAGAGTATTTGTCCTTTTGTGCCTGGCTTATTTCACTCAGCATAAGGTCCTCAAGGTCTGTCCCTGTTGTAGCACCTGTCAGAATCTCCTTCCTTTTCGAGGCTGAGTCATCTTCCCTTGCCTGCGTAGACCACGTTTTGCTTATCCACTTATTCCTTGTCACTCAGTACTGTTTGGTACTCTTGACCTACATAAGGACTATTTCACTCTTGGCCTCGATGGGTTTCTATGTTCACTCAGCACCAGAACCTCATAGTAGTTTCCTGCCTCTGTGCACATCTGGGCCGTTGCTTCTAATGGGGACCTGGCGTCCCGGGGGTCCTCTGCACCTGACTTCCCCTCTTACCCGTGACACAGGCCCCCAGCCTGGGACGCTCCTGCCGCAAGCCTCAGTGTGCAGGTCTCGTTTATCATTATCTGTGTTTCCGCATTTTATGTTTCCCACCCTTCTTGCTTCCATTTGGCTCTGTTACGGTTCCTCTGTCTGCTTTCCATTATTAATACTGCCCCTTAGCTGAGAATACCTATGACACTTAGTATAGATTCCGATGGGTGACTGTGGCTCAGTGTGTTTTCTCCCTGGGAGAGAGAAGTGCCCCGGGGCCTGCATTTGCCTTGATCTTAGGTGCATGTCCTCCTGGGGACAGGTAATGGGGAAGGTGCTGAAGCTCAGGCCCGGGGTGTCTGTGGCCCCCATGAAGGGGGTTATGAGATGGGAGATGAGCCCTGAGACCATGAGGTTGCTTCTGTTGCCAGCACTTTCCCTAACTCACAGTTGTAGGTGGCCCTGAGAAGAGGTGGGTTTTTCAGGTTGCAGAGCCCACCAGCCCTGGGGAGCAGAGGGGGCAGCCAGGAGGGGTGCCCGAGGAAGGCTGATAGGAATGTACCCAGCCTCTACCCATGCACGCCTGGGACTGGACCCTCACCAACACAAGGCGGCTGGGCTGGGATTGCTGCTATCCCAGAGGAATGGAATAAAGTGGGGTGGACACAGGAGCAGGACTTCCAAGCTCTCCCCACCACTGCTCCCTGCCCTGGCCCTGGGGCTGCTCCCACCCACACCCCTCACGGGTCCCAGTGGCCTCAGGCTTCCCCGGGGCTCTGTGGTTTCATGCTCCCTCTCCCCAAGGTGTCTCCAGGGTCGAGCCGGGCAGGGGTGCAGCCCATGCTCTCACTGAAGCCCGTGGCTCTTCCGGTACCTCCACGGAGTCTGACCCGATTTCAAGCCCTTGGTGGATGCTGACGGGACCCCTGTGGACTACCTGTATTTTCTCTTCATCCAAATGTTGGTGGAAGGAAGGAAAGAAGGAAGGAAGCAAGGACTCCCCATTGAGCCCACCTTTAGCACTCCTGGGAGGGCCTTCCCTACACTGGGCCTCTTCATCTCCTCATTCCCGGCTCTGTCCTCTTCTGAAAACTAATTTCCTCCATCAGTTCCCACCTACCTGGCCAGGCAAAGGACAGCTGGACCTGGGTAAAGTCCCCTAACATGAGTCTGCTTAAATGGAGAGCAAATTTCACAGTCAATAGTGAAAAAAAAACACAAAACACAGGGTTTGACTGGAACCTACGTAAAAAATGAAGCACATTTGTGTAAATTATTTATATATTATATATCAATATATTGTGAAAAATTGTATTTAAATAAATTACTTGATATGCAACCCTGAGCCAATTTTTAGAATGAAAGAGGAAAGGAAGCTATTATTAATTAGTTTTTTTGGCATAATTGTATATGCGCTTACAAAATTAATAGCAAATAGTTAACACCACTTACTGTGTGCCAGGCACCATGGATGTGTATCTACACTCATCTAATGCTCACAGCACTCACCGAGACAGATCCCATTTCTATCTCCATTTCACAGGTGACAAAGCTGAAGCACAGAGAGCTTCTGTGCATTACCAGGTCACGCAGCCAGTGTTAGGAGGGCTGGGGTCTGAACGCGTACCCCCCTGGGCTCTGCTGTGTCCTTTAAGTTTCTGACTTCGGCATCCGATCATGAATAGGGTCATCTCACAAAACCCTGAAGGCCTCGTGGCTTTTCCCCAGGCCCTCTCTGACGCTGTCTTGGAAGCTGCTCCCTTCGAAAGTGCGCACTGGGCCAGGCGTCATCTTTCTCACTTCTCTCCTCTTTGGCTGTAACTGACCTGCCTCCTGGACTTGCTTTTCGTGTGTGACCCCAGCAGCTCTGCCCACCCTGCGCTTTGCTTTTCAATGGATTCACCCAGGTTACACTGTGTTCTTCCATGCATGAGATCCAGGAGTCATCTACTACAGATCAGCTCTGATGCTGAGTGACGGGCAGGGCGAGAGGCTGGAGATGCTGGAGCGGGACTGACTGTATAGGTCGTTTACTTCCTCACTGAGCCGGCTTTGTGTCCGCTCTGATCAGGGCCCCGGGGAGGTAGCAGTAGACAAGACAGCCACAGCCCCCCGTTTCCATGGAGAGGACATTCTGTTACCTTCGAACAGAGGGACACACACACACAGATAAGAAGGGAAACAAAGCAGGTAAAGAGTATAGGAAGTGCCCGGGGTGGGCTGAGGGGTTGCAATTTACATAGTTGGGCCAGAGAAGACATCTGCAAGATGGAGAAATCCGAGTAAACATTGAAGAAACCCAGGAAGGGGGACCCCGAGGGAACAGCCAGGCCCTGGAGTCGGGGTGAGGGGAGGAAGAGCCGAAGCTGGGAGCAGAGGAGCCGAAGGCGAGGGCACTGGGGTGACAGGGCCGGATCTCGCAGCCTTGCCGCAGCCTCAACACTGGCTTTGTCTCGTATGGGACAGGGAGCTGGCGGAGGGTAGGGCCTTCAAACAGCAAAGGGACATGTGGCTTGTACGTGAAAGAGCCACCCTTTCCGCGTGTTGAGGCAAGACTGCAGGGGCACATGTGCATGCAGGGAGGTGAGGCCAGGCGCTTGCGATGTTCCAGGCGGGAGGTGGTGACCACAGGGCCCAGGGTGGTGGCAATCATGGGGGCAATAGTGGCCCCATGGAGGGCGCACTTCCGTGTCCTAAAGTAATGGTGTGGAAGGAGGGGAGTCAAGAAGACGCAAATGCATGGTGCGTGCGACGGAACTGCCATTCTCCGGGGTGGGCGAGACAAGGTGGAGCAGGGGCCAGAGACCCGAGAGGCCCAGGTGTGCAGGACAGGCCAGTGGGAAACGCGTGTAGGGTTGTTTGCACAGATGGTCTTTCAGGCCAGGAGAATTCTCGGCTCATGGGTAGAGGGAGTGTTGATTATATGGGAAGTGGCTCCCATGGAGTCCCCGGTGGTCAATGGGGAGAGGAGGAGGGAGAGACCAGCAGCCAGTGGAGCCCAAGGCAGGCAGAGACAAGGATGAGGACCAGACCGGTGCTGGGTGGGGCAGCCTGGGGGCGAGTGCTGGCCTTGGCAGAGCCGCTGGGAGGTGTGGGGGTGAAAGCCAGGCTGCTTTTTACAGAGAAAGGAAGAAGAGGACTTGGAGACAGCAGGATAGACAGCCTATCATGGAATTTTCCGGAAAGGGAAAGAGAGAGATAGGGCAGTAACTGGGGGGATTGGTAGGGAGTGACTCAAGGGAGGATTTCTTGTTTGATGTTTGTCTTTTAAGACATGAAAAGAGAGAAATAACCATGTGTTTCTAGCCGATGGCCGTGGCCCAGGGGAAGGTCAGGAGTTGCTGGGCCTGTGGAGGGGTGTCCTCCAGAAGCAGGATCTGGGGCCAGGAGGAGCCGCTGGTCTTGTGGGGCGGGGGGCGGGGGTGGACGGCGCAACCCAGACACAGAAGGAAGGGCAGAGCCTCGGGGCCCACAGGCAGCACTGGGGGTGTGGGGACTTCTCCCATGGCCTCTGCTTTCCCAGGGCAGAGAGGGGAAGGCTCATCAGCAGAGAGAGAGGAGGAGGCAGGAGGGGACACGGCCCGAACCCCAAGCAGCTTGCTCACTCTGTGGGATGTGTTGCCACCGCCATGCTCTCTTTTCACAAGAAGGTGTCCCAGGTGGACCCTAGACCAGGCGTGGTTGGTGGAAGTCACCGGAGGGGCCTCACGGTGACCCTGGAGAAGGGATGGCCTGGAGTCCACAGCCTCCCCTGGCACTGGAAGGTCCCATGGAACAGCCTCCTGCTAGGTGGGCCCAAGGCCAGCCCAGAGCTGTGGGAGCAGCGTGGGGACAGACCCGGGGAAGGTGGCAGAGAAAGAACCCCAGTCGGGTGGTGGGTGGTCCCCAGCTCAGCGCTGTCCTGGGGCCAGTGATTCGGCCTCCGGGCCCCAGCTTCATTGTCTGGGTCTTCCTGGCAGGGCAGTGGCGAGGAGTTCTACGAGCTAACGGGAGTGGAATGCCTGCCCTTTCTCATCTCCCTGACGTGAATCAGTTTCTCCAAGTTCTTCACCTAACAGAGCAGAAATGGTGACTCGCGGCCACACCCGGGGCTCTTAGTCTTGGAGGCCTGTCCCCGCCCCATCTGCTGCTGCCCACAGGGAACCCTCCTAGAGCCGTCACGGGGCATAAGGCCCAGGGGGCCTCGCGAGCTGATCTTTCCTGTGCGGAGCCAAGGATGCAGCAGAGGGTGTGCTCACGGCGAGGTGTCCCTCTCCGGAGGCAGCTCTTCAGGGTTTGGCAGAGGAGAGGAGCGCAGTGACCACCCAGCACTGCCCTAAGGTTTGCAGGCACCCGGGAGGGACAATGGCTCCATGGCGGGCGGAGGCCGAGAAGCACTTGGCAAGCTAGCTGGTCCCATCTCTGGATCCTAAGACATTCCCTTCTGCTGTTATTCCCAGCTGAGGAAGGCCGCCGGGATCAGTCGATCACTTGTGTTCCTAAAATGTGCTGCCTGCAGATGCCGTTCTGACAAATCTGCAGGGGCCACAGTGAAGCTCTGCAGGCTTGCCTTCTGCCTCTGGGGATGGCACTCTCATCCCATCCTGGAGTTACTGCCCGGGCTCCCCTCTCATGCTGGCCCCACCTGTGCCCCAAACACAGCACTCCTTACACGGCCCTCTCCCTTGCCATCTGATGGCTGGATGATCAGGAGGGAGCTTCTGAGGGCTGCCTTTCCATGCCATTTAATGGGGAAGGAAGGGGCTTTCTCTCCACTTTTTCTTGCTTCCCATTTAGTGTGTTCTTTCCATTTACACAATGTGTTCTCCAATCTTGGATAGCTTCTGTTCTTATTTAAACTTTTTAAAAAGGGATTCATACTCAACATACAAATGAGGAATGCAGCTGAAACTGGGAGACGTGAGGAGAAGCTTTTTTTTTTCAAGTCAGTGCAAATATTTTTGGAATTTAATTTTCCTTAGAAAAAAATGCCTTGCAGACAGAGCGTCTGCATCCTGTGTTTGAGCACCAGTGGTCTCTGGTGTCTTTATTTGTAAACTCAACATGATGATATATGACCTCACAAACCCTGACTTCCCCCCTAGCAAAATTAGAACAGTGGCTCCTCTCTTCCTCCAGCCAGTACTTCCCCTCTCCTTCCCCCTCTCTTCCTCATGCCTCTACCCTTTCCTCCCTTTCATCTTCTTGTTTGGTTGTGGGCAAATATGATGACACCCTTATAGGAAAGACTTAGAACTAACAGACAAGGAAAGTCTATAAAGCAAGCCTGTGCCACTTAATTGCAAAGCACATTTCAGCCCAGGCATTCTGAAGGGACACAGACAGAGGAGAAATGCTATCCACTCAGAGAAAGCAGAGATACAGGAGAGCAGTATGAAAGGCAGGCCACCATGCCACCATGTATGTTCAGCCTCTGGGACATAGTCTTCTTACTGGACAGATGGTTAAAATGGTGGCAGATAAATAAATCTCCTTTCCAAGTCATTCAGGCCAACCCCAGGAGGATCAAGCCATATATATGCCTTGTGGAGGGACCATCTTCCCTTGTGACCAGTGCTGTCTGGCCAGCAGCTGTCCCCATTACTGTCCCCAGGAAACCCCAGGTTGGGGGTGAAGGCAGCCAACAGTTTTCACGAGGTGGGTTGTGGTGATAGGGCCCTTGGGCAGAGCCATGGTCTACCATCTTTTGATTTTCCCTCATGGATGTTGTAAAACCCTTAGAGTTCCAACCACAAGTTATTGGTTAAACGATGATATTTCCATACGTGTGTGAACCATACAGCTATTCAAAGTGAGTACTGGCATGGTTAACCATTAATAATGCGTTTGGGAAAAACACAGGCTAGAAAACACATCTTTAGTGATAAAAGTCAGAGAGTGTGCAAGCGTGGGGAAAAGGGTGGGTATTGACCAGCAAGGGGCATAGGGAACCCTCCAGATGCCAGAAATGTTCTCTGTCTTGATGGGTGGGGGGATACAAAGGATTATAGACTTATCAAATCATTGAGCTGTATACTCAAGATTTGAGCCCTGCATTGTGTGAATGTTATACCTCAATAAAAGGGAAGCTGTAAGTGTAGCATGAAAATATTATGAAATTTTAACATGGCAGATTGTGTTTTCCAAAAATGGCCATAGCAGTATTTCTGGTCCTGAATGCATTTCCAGAACTCTGCCACTCTCTGTCCGAAGGCGGAGTGTCTCTTCCCTCCCCTTGAGCCTGGCAGGTCTCTGCAACTTTCAGCTAAAATGAGGTGGTAAAGGAGACGCCCATTACTCCTGAAGTTAGGTCAGAAAAGCTGCTTTTGCCTGGCTCTCTCTATCTCTTGGGACACTTGCCCTCGGAACCCAGCCACCATGTTGTGAGGAAGCCCTGGCCGCTTGAAGAGGCCAACAGCACCAACTGGCCACCAACACCCAGCACTGGCCTGAACGAGGCTTCAGATGATACTGACCCTCCTAGTGTCTCTGCTGAGACCCCAGACGTTACTGGGCAGAGAAGAACCATCCCCATTGCACACAACCAAGTTCCTCTCATAGGATAATAGATGGTGGTTTTATGCCACTCTGTTTTGGGGATAGTTTGTTACACAGCTATTGTAACTGGAAGTGTGTGCACATGTACGTGCATGCTTATGCCCACACACAGGAAAATTTCTGAATATCTGGACAGAGGAATTGGAGTTGCTGTTCATTTGTTTTCGCCTATTCTCTAATGTTTCACCAATAAGCTGGTACTATTCATGTAATAAAAATAAAACTGAAACAACGTGAATAAACTTCTCAAATGGAAACAGGACCGCGGCGGGGATTCAAGCATACTGTGCCAGGTCAGCCTGTGCCCTGCTGCCCTCCGGGCGCTGGGACAAGTCCATGGAAGTGTTGAGAAGGACGGAGTGAGCTCTGGCCGAGAGGACGCTGCTGCAACCCTGCTTCCAGCTGGAGTGGCTTCTGCACCTGTGTTTGTTGAACAGCAAGCAGCCTTCGTGGAAGGGGTTCGGGTGCGTGTGTCTGTGTCTGCAGAGGTGGAAGGGGGCCCCTGGTAGGCCAATAATGCATTCCTGGCAAAACTTTTTCTCTCCAGATTCCAAAAATCAAATTAATTAAGGGGTAGCCTCGAACGCTACCTCTAAGAACAGTATTAAAATATTCATATAAACGCCCACATCTTGAGTTTTAGGAATGCAAATCACCGGGTGATGATTCAAAGAGACTTCAACACAAAATACAGTGTGTTCCACATGCCCCTGGCCATGAAATAATAACAGTCAGGTCCAGGGCCTGCCTTGCAGTATGTGGAGAAGCAACGGGCCCTGGCCACTGATTCCTGAAGCCAGGGTGGTGTCTTGTACGGACACTTCATTATCCCTGTCCCTGCCTCCCACTTCCTAAAGCTCCCTCTAGCATCCCACCCTCTGCAGTGTTCAAAGGTCGAATAGCCGCTGAAAGCTTTTGAACCGAGGAAGCCTCTGCTTAGGATCCACACTTTAGTAGGAACAGAGGAACCTGAAGCCTCCTTGTCTTTCCATCCTCCTTTGCCCTCCATCATTTACCCAGGTTGGAATTTCCAAACAACCTGAACCAATCAAGGTGGGTTTGCTTCTTGACCTAAGCACTTGGTGTGAGGCAGGGAACCTGGGAGAATCACCATACTTTGGTTTCCAAGTACCTGGGTTCTTTTGTTTTTGTTTTTGTTTTGTAGAGATGAGGGTCTCACTATGTTGCCCAGGCTGGTCTTGAACTGTCCTCAAGTGATCCTCCTGCCTTGGCCCCCCCAAATGCTGGGATTAGACATGAGCCACCATGCCTGGCCTATTTAAAAAGTGGGTGTCCACCCGGGGTTCCCCAGGTAGATTGCAGGCAATGATGTGGGGGTGCTGGGGACAGCCCATCAGCAAGTCCACCTCCAGCCAGATGCTAGGAGTGATGTTCACCAGGGGGCCCCAGAGGATAACAGTGCAGAGTGCCCAGGGTCATGGCTCTCCAACTAGGAGGACGAGCGACGCCACAGAGGAGGTCTGGAGCCAGCCCCGGGGATCTGGTCTGGAGACAGGTGGCATCACATTCCATTTGCTGGGACTGGTCTGGGAGTGGAGCACAGGTCTCTGAGGTCCGTCAGGGATCAGGGATCCCACGGAGAAGCAGGGGAGCTGGAGCTCTCTGGAGGCCCAGCGCCAGTGCAGGGGCTGAGAATGCAGGTATGGGCAGCCAAAGTCTGGGGAGGTGCCACTCCCTGGGCAGGAACTAGAATGAACCCAAACTGGCCTGGGCTGCTGGGGGTGTGGGAGGTACGTGGAGGGGAGGAGGGTTCCAGGAACAGCTACAGGAGTCAGCTGAGGACACTTTTCCCCACGCCCACCATGCACCCTGCATACCACAGAAATCTGGTGCCTACAACAAGCAGAGCTCCCAGGGCAGCCCAGGGTCTCTGTGGACAGACAGGAAGAGATCCAGGCTACTCTTTGGGGGTGAGGAGGGCATGGCCCTTGGCACAGAGAGACCACCAGGACCCTGGGAGCCTGGAGGCTGGGAGCAGGGTTGGGGGTCTCTGAGATAAGACCATCCAGATGCTCCTGGCCCCTCCTGGAGGGGAGACCAGGTGAGATTTTCCATGGCAGTGCAGTCACCTGTGGGATTTGGTGTCCTCTCTGGTGGGCGTGGCCCAAGACCCCAAGGCTCCTGGTGGGGCTGGCGTCTCATTCCTGGAGCCTCTCCTCCCTGTGAGGCACAGATCAGGGTCTCGGGGAAGTCAGGATGGGCCTCCTGTCCCCTCTTCCACCTGACTCAGCACTGGGACTCTGATGAGGGGTTGAGGCCTGAGGAACTTCCCACGGTTGGGGACTCCCTGGGCTCAGTGAGCTCTGAGATGGTTTCTCCAGGGCGCGAGCATCCTAGCCTCACGTAATCCCCTCCTGAAAGCACCTCAGTTTCCCCTTTGATTGGGTCTATCTGGGTGGCAGAGGAGAGAGCCTGGCAGGGCACCAGGAGGCAGGGCCTGGCGCGGAGACAGTGGTGGTCCCTGCAAGTGCACCGAGGCCCCGAGACCGCAATCCTCTCCCAGCACTGCCTGTTGTCGTCAGCTTCACCTGAATGGTTTATTGAAAGCTGTCTCTGCCATCTCTCCATGCCAGCCTTAGCTCAGGCACCACCTCCCCAGGGAGGCCCTATCTGGCCTCCCAGGTGCAGTCTCTTCCCCAGCACCCCAGTGTTCTGAAATCCCCTGGTCCACCTGTTTGCTCGTCCATCACCCATCTTCCCTCTTGGATGTCAGCTTGATGAAGATGAGGACTTGTGGGCCGGGGCCACCGCCTGCCTGTCCCAGCTCAGTGCCCACACAGCCTGGTAGGGCTCACACCATCTTTGTTGGAGGCAGTGAGCCAGTGGGTGACCCAGGCTCTGAGGTGGGTGCAGGTGATGTGGCAATGAATAAAACACAGCCACTGATGTCCTAAAGGGCTCAGGTGGGTGTGCCCATTACCCAGTTACCTTCAACAGATGGCAGATCTGTGGGCGAGGAGTTTCTGGCTGGAGTTCTCAGGTACTAGGCAGGGGTGTGACGGGGTCGCACATGGACTCTGGGTAAGGTTTGGATGGACAGAATAAAGGAAAGAGCCCTTACTTTGGGATGTAGGGTGGAAATGGCACAGAGGCAGGAGAGCACGGGCCTTACCTGGGCCAGCGCAGGGTAGGCTGGGGCCCGCCCACCCAGGTTCCTCTAAGCCTCCAGGCCTCCAGAGCTGTTTTCTCTGCACCCTCAAGCTCCCTTCCATCCTACTCCTCCTCCCAGGCCCCCTCGCTGTCCTCCTGCCCCTCCTCCTGCCGGACACTAGGTCTTCACGGGAATCCCCAGGACCCACTTTCCCCAGAACTGGGGGAACCCTCGAAAAGCCCCCACAGCCCACACTCCTAGGTTTGTGAGGGGAGCTCAGCTCTGCAGCTGTCAGCCCCTGGGTCCCGGCCACGGTGTCTGTCCTCACACACAGCTGAGGGACTTCATTTTGCCCTTTCCCCGGCCTGAGGCTGAGGGACTTCCCCTGACCCCCCACCCAACCCCAGCACTGCTCTCCCCGCTGACCCCCCACCCAACCCCAGCACTGCTCTCCCCATCGTCCCCTGCCATCTCCAGCACCTAAAACCACCGTCCTGGGGTGGGGAGATCCACTTGGGCAGACTCTTGTTTGGTGGTTGCTGTCTGCAGCCATGAGGGAGGAGGGGGCGCAGGAGCCTAGGTCGGGGGGTTTCTAGGGGCTGTAGTCCCCACTGGCCTTGGGCATGCGCTGCCTGTGGTCCCTCAGGGTGCAATTTTCCCTGTAATGAGGCCTGCCCCCGGGAATATCTACATCTGGCATGTGTCTGGGAGTGGGTGGTATTCAGAGGGAGTGGCGCTGGTGTCAGTGCGGACTCCTTGGGCACTGCCTTCCTCCCAAAGCCTCACACACAGCGGTGGGACCGGGGTCCTTGCCTGGCACAGGAGGCCTCACTTGAGTTTGCAGCCAGACCAAGGGGCAAGTGTCTGCCAGGCCCACTGAGCTGGTTCTGGAGGGACTCTGCCTACAGGAGTGAAGGGCATGGGGGGCAACCCCATCCTTCCTCCTTCCGCTTCCCTTGCTCTCCTGCCTTCGGTACCTTTACCAAACCAGGTGGTATGTTCCTTATGTTATCCTAGGAAGTCAAACACAAGCAATGGCTAGCATCTACCAGACACATACGGTGTGCCAGGCCCTTTTGCTAACACTGACGCTCTCCCCGCAGGTAGAACCTGCTACCCTCGTCCTTCTACAGCTGAGGGGGTGGAGGCACAGGTGGGGCGGGTGAACGGCTCAGCCAGCAGGTGGGACAGATGGGATCTGAGCCAGGCAGGCCGGCTGCGGAGCCCCCGCACCAAACCAAGACCCCAGACTGCCTAGGGCTTAGTGCGTGGTATTTCTTATTTTACTCTAAGGGAAATCACCTAGAGGTCATGGCAAACCACCTTTTATTGTATGGGGTCCTGAGCGGGCTCCTGTCCCCGAGGGCCTCAGCAGCTGAGCCAATGTAGTCCCTGTTCCACAGCAATGGAGGATTACAACAATGACCTGGAACCCGAAAGACCCAGGCTTCGGAAAAGCTCACGTTCATGCCGCTGGACTGATGAGAACAGGGAAGGCTTCACTTTAGAAAGCGTTGTTCACAGCACTGCTTGCAGCCAGCAGGACTTCCCAAGGACGTTCTCAGTCAGCACAGAACTGGCACTGCCCAGGAGCCCCCTGCCCCGCGCGCGCAGGGTCTCCCCAGTTCTGTGCCCACACCACCTGCTCCAGCTGCACTCGTGCTCCCAATAGGAACAGGTGGCCCAGAGCCCTCCGCTGCCTGGCAGGATGGTGGGGGAGCTTTATTTCCCACCCCAGTCTCCCGGGTCTGATGCCCTCCAGCCCACCCCGCCTCCCACCCATCCGTGTGACCTCAGCCTGTGGCTCCTGGCCTCTCTGCTTCTCACCACGCCGTGGCCACTGTGGTCAGAGGCCAGTCCCCCAGTGTCACGGGCCTCCCTGCCCACGAAGACCGTCTGGACGGCCAGTTCTGAGCGGCCATATGTGTGGGTGGAAAGGAGTCTGAAGGCCAAGCCAGTCTCCAAATAACAATATGGAAAAAATGTTAAAGAGGCGAGCGCTAACCTGGGATCGCTGCAAGTCTTGTTCGTTAAAATAAGGAGGAAGGAAAATTGGCATGGGAATAAGGAACATTACAGGGTATTTCCTGCAAGGAATATGGGACATACTTGGAAATTTCTTGAGGCATAATAAGTTTACTGTCCCTTTTCTTAAAAAAAAAACATTGCTGTGGCTCACCTGTCCCTCCTTCCCCACCAAAAACAGTTATTTATGGGTGTAAAATATTCCCTGTTTCAAGCAACTTAAGAGAACAAATACTGCTGTGAGAGACTCCCCCAGCAGTGAAAGATTTGGCACACAGTCAGGATCTGAGGTTTGGCTATTTGCTTTTAGCCATTAATTGCTGTAGAAAGCCTTTGAAAAAACCCTGTATCTGGGAGTCTCCTGCTATAAAAGACCATTTAGAACCAGTGGGAAGCTGGTCTTTAAGTTCTTGTCGACGGAGACTCCAGTCTCCAAGCAGGAACTCCCAATTACACATTTACTTGATAAAGATATAGGCGCTACCTGGGGGGGTAATTAAATGTGAAAATCCCTCTTTGAACCTATCATTGTGGGATGCCCAAATTTGGCCCTAGAGCTGCTGCCTTTGTGAGCCCAAAGAGAATCGCTGTGGGATTGAGGAGAACAGAACGGTTTCTTTCTCCCCCTCCTTCATTAAGAATGCTTTGACCTACTCTCTTATAGTAAAAATTATTAATTAAACGCCCAAACGCAGCCGCTTTGGCACAGGGAACTATTTAGAAGGCAAACACCGAAATTAAGCCCAGACACAAACGCATTCTACTGCAGAAGATGCTACTGATGCACCTTTTGTGTGAGACAGTGAGGAAGCCGGGGTTTCTGAGACTGTGTGTGCCAGGCATGTTGCTTGGCATAAGACGTAGTCAGGTTTAAGACAATCCTCTCGCAAAAGCAGCACTCCTTTTGCCCGCGGTGGTGATGGTCCTGGAGATGGAAGGAAGAGTGGAAATGGGGATGCCTGTCCACTCTGAGCCTGGTTCGTTTCTCTTCTCCACAGGATTTGGGGTGTTGATTCTGTTTCTTCTCTTATCACTGCATTTATTAGAGTCCTTGACCCTCCAGAACCTGTCACCCACCTCGTGTCAGGACCCAGCCTTTGTGGTCAGGATTGCAGCACCCTGAGCCCACCTCGAGACCCACAGGCTTAACTGTGAAGTGGCTCCCATCGGTAGGGGACCTGATGTTGGAGTCCTTAATAAGGAGTGAGCCCTGAAGTCTGGAGACATTTCAATTGCCCAGGTCACTGGGTGAACCTGTAACCAAGAGGCTGCTGGCCAAAAACTCATCAACAGCTTGTGTTTTCCAATTTCCATCTATCATATCCGTAGGGCAATGTTCAACGCATAAGGTCCAAGTGAAGGTTTGCACTAAAAACATTCTGTTGAGTAAACACAAATGGCCATTAAACACACGAAATAAAGCCCCACCTCACTAGGGACCAGGGAAAGGTAACAATTAAAGCTTCACCCATTCTGAAGCTAGCAAGTGGAAAAGATACAAAGATAAATTGTCGTTGGCATAGACGGTGACACCCAGTGTTGGTGAGATGTGGAGAAACGGGTTCTCTTGCCCACAACTAAGAGCAAGCATGGATGCCATCTTTCCAGAGGGCATTTTGGCACTGTTTTCAAAAGCATTAAAAACATGTGAGCCAATGTGTGCTTCCAACAATGTTGGACTAGCTTATTTCAGATCAACCCTCCTATCAAGAACAACTAGAAAAGCTGTAGACAAATGTATAAATCACCTGCTTGAAGTCGTGGGAGTAGCCCCAGGGCAGTGAGCACTTGAAAGGTCCAGGTCCTGGAGAGAAGAGGAACACAGGAGGATAAGCTGGAAGTTCGGTGCCTATTTCTCTCTCAAGGCAGTTGCCGGTTCTCTCTCAGCTGCAGCTGAGAGGTTGAGAAGCTAAGCAACAAGCAGTGATGGAGGGGCTGAAAAAGTGGGTGAACTGCTGACAATCTCATAAGGAAAAAGTGGGTGAACTGCTGACAATCTCACAAGACAAGGGAACAAACATTGGCATGGAGGGTATGCAAAAGAGGAGTCAAAGGTAGATACCCCAGGCCTTCATTTCAGGGGCCCAAAGAGCTACCTAGAGTGACCAACCACCCTGGTTTGTCTGTGACTGTCCTGGTTTTAGCACAGAAGGTCCTCTGTCCCAGGAATCCCCTCAGTCCAAGGCAATCCAGGGTTCTTGGTAACTGCTGTGGTTTGAGTGTCCCCTCCAAAACTCATGCTGGAGTTGAATTGCCACTGTGAGGGCATTAAGAGGCGGGGTCAGGTGGGACCTTTAAAAGGTGATTAGGTCATGGGTCTGTGCCCTTATGAATGGATTAATGGACTATGGCTTGTCATAGGAGTGGGTTAGTTATTTTGAGAGTGGGTCTGTTATAAAAGCCAGTTTGGCTCTCTCTTGTGCACCCCACTTGCCCTGTGTACCCCGCTTACCCTGTGATGCCTTCTGTCATGGTACAAGACAGAAAAAAAGGTCCTCAGCAGATGCAGCTCCTTGACCTTAGAATTTCCAGCCTCCAGAACTGTAAGAAATAGATTTATTTTTATTATAAATTACCCACTCTGTGTATTCTATTATAGGAACAGAGAACAGATGAAGATGGTCACCCTAAATAAACCCTGGAATTCATGCTGACACCCAGGTTCAAATCCTCTCAGGCCCTAATTAAGTTAGGTGATCTGCCATTGATGATGACCAGAAGCAAAAGTTAATATTCTCTGGGGAAAGATAACACCCAGGGTCTTGAGTCTTTTCTGCAGTTTTCAAACACAATAGCTAACATTCCATCAAAACTAACCAGGTATGAAAAATGATAAGGTTGGAGCAAGAGGAAAAAAATAAACAATACAAAAAATCCTCTGGAGATTCTGATATTGGTGTTACGAGGCTTTTAAAAACTAAAATAACTGAGATTAGTATATTCCAGAAATTAGATAGGTATTTTCAGCAGCATCCTGGAAGCAATAAATGGAAACTTTAGAACTTAAAAATATGATACTAAACTTATGGGAATAGTTAAGTTTAACTACAGATTAGACATAGCTGAAGAAAATAAGTAATTGTGAAGATAGTTAGAAAAATATATCTAGACTGAAGCACAAGGAGAAAAAAATGAAAAATACAGAAAAGAATTTAAGAGAAAATATGTAATTAGAGTCCAAGAAAGAGAGAGGAGAGAGATTAGAAGTAATATTTGAAGACAAAATGGCTGAGAGATGACAAAAATGATGGAAAACAGAAAACTACAGATTTCAGAAGAGCTATAAAGCACAAACAGTACAGATTAAAAAAACACACCTAGACGCATAGCAGTAAAACTCCTGGAAACCAAAAAGAAAACTCCAAAAGCAGCCATAGAAAAAAAACCATATTTCCTTCAAAGAAAACAATGAAAGCTAATGGACAACGGAACCATATGTTCAAAGCACTGAAAGTAAATTGCTGCCAACATATAATTATATACACAGCAAGAATATCCTTCAAAAGTGAGGGTGATGTGAAGACATTTTCAGACAAGTGAAAACTAGAATTATTCACCAGAGCACCTGCACTGGAGAAACTAGCAAAAGAGTTCCTTAGGCAGAAGGAAAATGATCCTAGATGAAAGCACAGAGATGCAGGGAAGAATGAAGAGAAATACAAAGATTTAATATGCAGGTAAATCTAAATCAAGACCGATCATACAAAACAACAATAATAATGTTTTGGGAATACTATATGGCATTTTGTAACGATGAAAGATCAATTCACCAGGAAGACAGTAATTCTAAATTAGCCTCAAAATTGTAAAGAAAAAAATTGACAAAACTAAAATGAAAAATAGACAAATCCACCATTATCCTGGGAGATTTTTAACACAACTCTCTTAGTAACTGAAAAAACAAGTAGACAAAAAAAAGTCAGCAAGCATACAGAAAATTCAAACAACACATTTAACAAACTTAATAGATATATGCAGAACTCTGCACCACAAACTGCAGAATGTGCCTTCTTTTTAATTTGCACACGGAGCATTGGCTAAATTTGACCATATTCGGGGAAATGATACAAACCTCAATACATTTCTAATGACTGAAATCATGCAGACTGCGTTCTTTCACCACATTAAAATTAAGCTGGCAATCAAAACTAGGAATCCCCAAATGTTTTTAACTTAAGTTATATGTTGCTAAATAACCCCGGGTCAAAAAGAAACTCAAATAAAAATTCAAAAATATTTTGAGACCGGGAGCGGTGGCTCACGCCTGTCATCCCAGCACTTTGGGAGGCCGAGGCAGGCGGATCACGAGGTCAGGAGATTGAGACCATCCTGGCTAACACGGTGAAACCCCGTCTCTACTAAAAATACAAAAAATTAGCTGGGCGTGGTGGTGGGCGCCCGCAGTCCCAGCTACTCGGGAGGCTGAGGCAGGAGAATGGCGTGAACCCAGGAGGTGGAGGTTGCAGTGAGCCGAGATCGTGTCACTGCACTCCAGCCCGGGTGACAAAGCAAGACTCCGTCTAAAAAAAAAAAAAATTTTTTTCTTTGAACTGAATGATAAATATGTGATATAAAACCTTGAGATGAAGCTAAGCTATACTGAAATGGATATGTGAGAGAAGTAAAGAGGATAAAATTTAATGAGCCAGGATAAATACAAGTGATTCCACTTATATGAGGTACGTAGAGTGGTCAAGTTAACAGAGACGGAAAGTAGAATGGTGATTTTCGGGGGCTTATGGGGGCAAAGGAGTTAGTATTTCGTGGGTACAGAGTTGCAGTTTTGCAAGATAAAAAGAGTTCTGGAGATGGATGGTAGTGATGGCTGCATAACACTATGAATCTACTTACTGTTACTGAACCTTACACTTCAAAATGGTTAAGATGATATATTTTATGTGTATCTGACAATTAACATTTTTTAAATTAATGAGCTGAGCATCCATCTCAAGGAATTGGGAAAATAACAAATTAAACCTAAAGAAAATAAAAGGAAAGGGGTAAAGAATATAATAGCAGAAATTAATGAAATAGAAAACAAATTTGCAAATAGAGGTGTTCAATAAAGTTAACGTTTCTTTTTGAAATGAGCAATACAGTCGGTAGTAAGTTGGGTTTCCTGGGCAGCAGATTCTGAGATGAAGAGCACAGTGCTGAAAGGTTACGAGGGACTGTTCTTGGAATCCAAGGAAAGCGAAGGGAAGGGAAGAGAAGAGAAAGGGAAGAAACCAGGATTGGGTAAAGGAAGAGGTTGAGCTGTAACTCAGCCTCACAGGATGCCTCAGCCAGCTACTCAGGGAGGACGGAAGCTGACACCACCCTTGAGAGTCATCCCAAGCCGGGGCCAGAGGCAGATCTTCATGTCCCATAGTGAGCAGTCATCCCGTAGGCTGCCCTGGAAAGGGCGCATGACACTGGGAGTCACCAGCACTCTCGGCAGCTGGGGCAATGAGCACTTCATTTCTGAAGGGGGATTCTGGTAGCTCTTCACCTTACGAGCAGGGTGAGAAGAAAGGAGCCGCAGATTGCCAATATCAGGAAAGCAGTGGGGGACAGTGAAAGGTCTTACAGACCACTGAAAAGAAAGCGAGAGGATTTTGTCGACATATTCAGTCCTATCTGCTTGAAAATTTAGATGAACAAATCCTCTCACCCAAGCAACTTTTTAAAATGAACACGAGAAAAGAAAATCTGAATAATTTTATATCTATTAAATGTATAATTAGAAAACCTTCCTGTAAGGAAAACTCCAGGCCCAGATGACTTCAGTGCATTCTTCTGAATATTTCAGGTAGAAATAATGCTAATCTGATGAAAGCTCTTCCAGAGAACAGAAAGCAAGGAAACGCCACCCGCTTGTCATGAGGCAAGCATAACTTTGATACCAAAATCTGATAAGGTCATTACGAAAAAGTAAAATGGCAGGTCAATCATTCTCACAAACATTCTCACAAACATAAATATCTGAAACAAAATATTAGTTAAGCAAACCCAAGATAGATAAAAAGGTATTCCAGGAATATGAAGTTGGTTTAATGTGCAGAAAGCAATGGAATTCACCACACTAACAGAATAAAGAAGGAAGTCCTGTAGTAATTATATCACTGGATGAAAAAAAGGGTTTGGTAAAATCCAACACCTGTTCATAGTGGAAACTACAGAAGCTGTGAATGGAAGGGGATTCCTTAATCACAGAGGCACGAAAGGAAAATAAATCTCCCCAAAATCACTAAGCCAAAGGCAAAAGTCGAGCCGGGAACTGCCTTTCATTCTAGTCCTAAATAAGACAGCTACAAAGATTAATAAAAAGCTACCTACCTCCCTCACCATTTGCCCGCAAGGAAATTCCTTGTGGACAACGGACAGGCAGAACTCAAGTCATCCCTCTGCTCACGTGAGACAAATGCATATCCTATTGCTTCCCCTTCCCTATGGTTTCACTGAGCCAGGCTAAGACATAAGTGACTATTCCTGTACAGTGTATGTTGAGTGAAAGGCTAATCAGAAACTCAAAAGAATGCAACCATTTGTCTCTTATCTACCTATGACCTGGAAGCCCTCTCCCTGCTTCGAGTTGTCCTGCCTTTCCAGAACGAACCAATGTACACCTTACATATAATGACTGATGTCTCATGTCTCCCTAAAATGTGTAAAACCAAGCTGTGCCCCGACCACCTTGAGCATGTGTTATCAGGACCTCCTGAGCTGGGTCACAGGTGTGTCCTTAACCTTGGCAAAATAAACTTTCTAAATTGATTGAGACCTTTCTCAGACACCTTTTCGGCTACAAAGGGTATCTACACAAAAACCCCTACAACAAGCATCATACTTAACCATGAAATAGTGAATGTTTCTCCCTTGAGATCAGAAAACACAATTCAGACTAGAAAGAGAAGAATCCACAGATGGCTCCTGGCTTCAAGGGAGAGAGATTCTTCTGGACTTTGGAAGGGCACCTGGGCACGTGAGTGGTGGAGGGAAGTCCTCTAGCCTCAGAAGAGGGTGCAGAGGATTTTTGAAAGGTGGTCAGGTGGTGTCATCACAGCAGAGACGAAGGGAATGAGCTCTGGGCAGATTTTGACCACTCTCTCCTTACCCAGCAAGGCTGGCCTTTTGGAGTAGGGAGCGCCTGAATCCCAGGATGTTGTTGGAGCTCGGGGCCTGGGACAGAAGAGGTTCTCAGCAGCGTGCCTTGTGTAAATGGTGACTCTGAAATAGCATAGCTGTCCAGGCTGAGTGGGGGCCATAAGGGCCTGAGCTCCAGGCAAGGCTCTGTGGTTGAACTCAGTGCCGGGCAGTATTGCCACTTAGGTGCGTCTGCAGGGCCAGGCAGGTGGTGGCAGACCAATACCCTACAGCAGCTCTGGGTGGCCTCACAGAGCAGCCCCACGCGGGGCCTGAGCAGCTCCTAGGGCACTCCCACAAGCCCCTGTGGCTTTTGCTGGAACCTGAGGTAGGCAGCAGGCACCCAGAGTGATCTGCATCGCATACCCATGTGGGTAGTACCAGTGGGGGCAAGGCAACTCAGAGGCAAGTCAAGCATTATGCATCTTTAATTAGAATCAAGAGAGATCGGATTTCGTGCTGCTAAATTCTGCCAGCGGGGGTAACTGTAAAACCCCATGGCTGCCCATGAGCCCTCTGAAACCAGGAGAGGACGGAGGCTAGCGCGGGAGCAATCTCTGCCATGGGACTTGGGGTCCCCTTTATCCCCTCAGAGGAACAGCCTGAGTGCAGCCGCTCCATCCTCAGGGTGTCGGGGACATTGGGGCCCTCCAGCTCCCAAACATTTGCGCCATGGTGAGGTGACGGTTTGCAGACAGGGCTGCTTCTGCAGGAGCTTAAACTCCAGGAGAACAGGGAGTGGTCTGAATGCCTGGGCACCCCAGCACCCAGCAGTGACTGAGCTGTGGCTGGAAGGAGAGGGGGTGGATGCCGAGAATCAAGGACGGGTGCAGTTCTTAGTCCTCTCCTCTAAGTTCTTCAGACTGTGGGCCCGTGAACTTGTGAGCCAAGGAGAGTCCTCGAGGGGACACTTTCCTTCTGCCTGGCACCCCACTGTGGCATTTTGGCCTCCAGAGGAGTAAGAGAGAACGGTCTTTCTCCCAGGGGTTCTCCTGCCCAGGGTTTAGAAAAATCAATACAATTGATTAAAGAAAGATGGTGGCACAGGGATGCTTCATCTTCCCTCCTTCCTGACCCGGGGACCCACAGCAGAAGCTGAGAAGAGGAAGCCTCCCGGCCCCTCCCTCAACACCAGCCTCCCCGGCGGGACCCTTGCTCTCCAGCACACGCCCAGGGGTTCTGGTTTCCACTGCAGCCTCTCTTACTATCCCATTTTGTAGCCCGTGGGGATGCGCCTTTTCATAAAGTTTCCCTTACATCTAAAGCATTACAAGATCATGGTAGAAGACATCTTAAACGTGGAGAAGCCGCAAGCAAGCTAAAGAATAAATTCTTCATAATGCTTTTTTTGCTATTTCTCCTTCCAGAGATTTTTCCTCTGTGTGTGTGTGTGTGTGAGTATACATAGAAAATCCCTATGCTTTGCTTTTTTTTTTTTTAGAAAAATGAACTTATTCCCTACATGCGGTTGTATATTTTGCGTCTTTCATTCAATAGCATGAAAATTCCACATTATTCAATATTCTCAACACTTTTGGCTGCACAGTATTTTATATTTGGAATTATTACAACCAGGCTAGTACCCTGTTGTTGGACATTTACACTGAAAACTATTCTGAGAATTCTTTTGCCCTTGACCCTCAATTATTCTGTTCTTTCCTATGATAGTTCTAAAAATTGTCTTCTTGTGAACACTCTGATTAGTTCACTGTTTTGATTGTACCGTGCACCCACCTCCACTTCCCAGGTTCAAGCGATTCTCGTGCCTCAGCCTCCCAAGTAGCTGGAATTACAGGTGTGTGCCACCACATCCAGCTAATTTTTGTATTTTTTGTAGATTTTTGCCATGTTGGCCAGGCTGGTCTTGAACCTCTGACTTCATGTGATCCTCCTGCCTCGGCCTCCCAAAGTGCTGGGATTACAGGTATAAGCCATTTGCTCAGCCAACAGCACAGATTTATGATTTTACAGTGCAACAGGCCGAAAGACATGGGTCTCGGTGGAATAAAGTCAAGGCCTTGGCAGGCTGTGCTGTCTCTGGCGGTCCCGGAGGAGAATCCACGCCCTTGTCTTTTCCATTTCTAGAGGCGGCCCTCATTCCTTGGCTCCTGGCCCCTTCATCCACCTTCCAAGTCTCCCTGTGCCTCTCGTCCACAGTCCCATCCTCTTCTGACCACAACTGGGAATGGATCTCCAATTTTAAGGATTGCGTGATTGGATTGTTTTTGCCTGAAAAAATCCAGGATCACCACCCCATCTCAAGCTCCTGAACTTCAACTGCGTCTGCAAAGCCCACTTTGCCCCATGGCATGACTTAGTTACTGTCTCTGGGAATAAGGTTGGGGGCAGCATCTTTAGGGGGCCATGATTCCACTTCCCACAATGCTAATAACTCCCATTTTTCGAGCAGCTGCTATTACTGTCAGTGTTGAACTGGGCACTTTACAGGGATTATCTCATTTTACCCCAGCCCCAAATCCACAAGGCAGATACTATGGTTATCCTCACGTGGCAGATGAAGAAAGTGAGGCAGAGAGCAGTAGTTTAGAAGCCAAGGCTAGTCCGCATGAGTAACACAACTCAGCAAAAACTATGAGCCTTCTTGGTTTGTTTATTTAACGACAACATTGAAACCTTAATATAGACCTGGAATTTTCTGAGGAATTGCTGTTTATAAATGCTGAGCCGGCCAAGTCTGTTTTTACTCCTCAGTGTTTGCTAAGTGTCACGAAATCCTCAGGTGGAGGCTGTGGGGCTGGGCCCACGTAGCTGCCTCCCACCGCTGAGGCAGGGGCTCGAGCCGCGATTTGCCAAGGATGACACATTTCTCATGGAACCGGACGTGGTTCTGCGTGACTTGCAGGTCCCAGTGGCACTTGTGGAAGCTGTTAGGTTGCGTACTTGGGCCCTCGTAAAAAACTTTTTCATAAAAAAATTTTCAAAAAAATATTTAAAGAAGTCCTGAGCGACTCCACTCCCACCTTGCTGGCGTGAGGCAGTCATATTCGGCCAGAGAGGAGGCTGCTTCTATGGAATGGCATGAAGCACATTGCCGTGGCCACAGCACAGCAGAGCCTGGAACCCCGCCCCGGGAAGGGACTGCTTTCTGTCCTCAGATGTCAAGTCGCCATCCAGCAGGGCAAGGCAGGAAACACAGTAGGGTCAGGTCCTTCAGGGGCCTCTGAGGCAGGTGGACTTTCTTTTCCCCAGAGGAGCCACAGCGAGGTCCCGTTGGCGTCTCTGAGAGGAGGGTTGTCACATTTAAGCGGAATGAAAACAGGACTCCCAGTTAAATTTTTTTTTTTTTTTTGAGACAGAGTTTTCGCTCCTGTTGCCCAGGCTGGAGTGCAGTGGCATGATCTTGGCTCACTGTAGCCTCCGCTTCCTGGGTTCCAGTGATTCTCCTGCCTCGGCCTCCCGAGTAGCCGGGATTACAGGCGCCTGCCACCACGCCTGGCTAATTTTTTTTGTATTTTTAGTAGAGACGGGGTTTCGTCATGTTGGCCAGGCTGGTTTTGAACTCCTGACCTCATGTGATTCACCCGCCTCGGCCTCCCAAAGTGCTGGGATTACAGGCATGAGCCACCGCGCCCAGCTAAATTTGATGTGGATTGTATTTCAGAGAAACAATGAATAATTTTTTAGTGTATGTTTCCAAAAATGCATGGCTTCATATTTACACAAAAAATTATTTGTTGTTTGTCTGAAATTTAAATTTAACCAGGCATCCTGTATTTTATCTGGCAGCCCTACACAGCGGGGAAGACACACACTTCTAATTCAGGCCCCCAGTTCAGTGAATCCAAGCCTTGTGGTTTAGCCTCCCTGACTCAGGGAAAACAGTTCCATGCCCTCTGTGTCTCACAACATTCTTTTGCCTCTTCCCTCTTTGCTGCCAATCTAAATTTGTTAAGGCCTAACTCACACCTCGCCTTGCCTCCTCCTCCAGGAAGTCTCTCCTGATTGCACTTCACCCTTTTAGTTGAAGGCTGAGGGAGGCCTCTGGTGTTTCCAGAACTGTGCACCGTCCCAGGCTTACTTACAGTCTGGTGAAAGAGGCAGATGTAAACAGAAATATTCAGAGAATGTGAAAATGCATTAAAAGATGTAGCAGGATATTTGGGTGGGAAATGAAATGATTTTATTTATTTATTTATTTATTGAGACACAGTTTCACTCTTGTCGCCCAGGCTGGTGCGCTATGGCGAGATCTCGGCTCACTGCAGCCTCTGCCTCCTGGGTTCAAATGATTCTCCTGCCTCAGCCTCCGCAGTAGCTGAGATTACAGGCTCCTGCCACTATGCCCAGCTAATTTTTTGTATTTTTAGTAGAGATGGGGTTTCGCCACGTTGGCCAGGCTGGTCTCGAACTCCTGGCCTCAGGCGATTTGCCTGCCTCGGCCTCCCAAAGTGCTAGGATTACAAGTCTGAGCCCCCAAGCCCAGCTGGAAATGATTATTTGAAAACACCTGTCCACTTCCACCTTTGATGTGGAGTGTCATCCTTCCTTTCTGTGAGTCAGATCTCTACCTGTTTTTCAGGGACAGTAGGAGGAAGAGAGAAGGAACAAGGGATTCCTCAGAGCTTCTGCTGTACCCCCCACTCCTCTAGATGCTGTCCCTACTTTGGCTGAGCATCCATTGGTGAGAATTTAGATACACGAGGGTAGGTGCAGTGAGTCCTGGGGGTGAAATTTCTCTGTTTAAACAAGCCAGGGACCTTGCAGGTGTGGGGAGGCTGCAGAGCGGTGAGGAAACTTGAGGAGGGCAAAGACGATCGGCAGAGTCACAGGCTTGGTGGCCAAGCAAGGTTCGAAGCGGCAGAGCCACCAGGGCCTTGGGGCGTAGAGGGGTCTGGGTTCCGGGTCCCAGGTACGTTCGTCCACAGCATCACCCCTCCTCTGCTCACAGCTTCAGCAAAGCCTGCTCCGGAGCGCCGGTCTCCTGTGCGTGAGGTACCTGCAATAAAGAAGGCTGGATCGCACTGCCAGGGCCACGTAGAGCAGGTCCTGCCACTGACAGCAGGAATCACTGAATCCAGACTAAGAACTGGAGCCCTTGTAAGAAATCAGGCACCGACAGGCGTCTTGAGGGAAGAGTGGAGACATCCTTGTCAGCAGTCCTGGAGGAAACGTGTTAGTTTTTATCCCTGGTCCTAACTTCCCCAGGTTTGGAAACTGAACAAGACTAAAATTCCTTGGGGTTTAAATATTTGACTTGACACGGCTTTTTTTTTTTTTTCCTGGCTAGGAAGTATTTACATTTGAAAGAGAGAATTCAGTCTGATAGCCCAACTACTAGTCATCTAAGAGGTTGCCAGAAACCAGTGTCCTAGCAAATATGTTGACTGGACAAGCCCAGGACTTACTTGAGAGGACAGAGCTGGAATTCTGAGGACAACCAATGACGACATTGTTCTCTATGTGCCCACAGGAAGGGCCCAAGTGCTAGCCTGGTGATGGGCCTGGCCGAGGAGGACGTGCGATCTGGGGTCATTAAGAGCTCCTCATTGATCCTGGAAATGCAGTGTGTTTTTAAGTGGATTGGTTTTACCAGTGAGCATTAGAAGTGTTTGAGGATGCTGCACATGCCTGATGAACGACCGTGCCCACGCCGTGAAGGAGCAGGGCAGAAACTTCCGCTCAACAGGATCTGGTGCTCAGACGCAGGCAGGACGGCCGTGCGTACCTGAAGCAGCCTCTTGGTGGGAATCCCACCGGCACCTTAGTGTGGGTGTCACTCACTTGGTGTGTGTGTCACTCACTTTGAGGCCTCTAGGATTCTCCAGAAAGGTAAGTACCCCTGCCTGTGTGTCCAGTTTCTGCTTCTTGATCAGTTCATGCCCCCTAACTCCGTCATCTGGGTTTGGAGTGGATGCCTCTTGGAGAGGTCACTCCTGTTCTTAGCCTTCTCCTGGATTCTGCCAGTCTTTGGGCTCGTGAATAGAAGCCAAGCCTCACAACTACATGAGAGAAAGCATTAGTCCTGGCTGGATAGGAGTGGGGCTCCTACCAGATTTTAAGTGACGAAGTCCCAGCTATTGGCAAATTCTCTTTGCCCGCTTATGCATTAAAAAGCTGTATCCACTTTCATGGAGGAACCGGTGGCCAGATGTCTTCAGCTTTAAAAATATTCCTCCTCCCACCTGTAATCACAGCACTTCGGGAGGCCGAGGCGAGTGGATCACCTGAGGCCAGGAGTTCGAGACCAGCCTGGCCAACATGGTGAAACGCCGTCTCTACTAAAATACAAAAATTAGCCAGGCGTGGTGGTGCGTGCCCGCAGTCCCAGCTACTCGAGAGGCTGAGGCAGGAGAATCGCTTGAACCCGGGAGGCGGAGGTTTCAGTGAACAGAGATCACATCACTGCGCTCCATCCTGGGTGACAAGAGCAAAACTCCATCTCAAAAAAAAAAAATTATATATATTCCTCCTGCTGAATGTTGCAATGTCACAAAAAGCCAACTTCAGGGACTGTCCTCTTGTGACCACCAAAGACCGATATTCTTAGGAGAGTATTTTCTGCCTGAACCTTGGTCCCTCTTTCGTGGGTGTATTAGGGACGCTGGAAAGACAAATTCTTGAATCCGCGCAGAGCCCTGCAAGCTGGGCAGGAAATGGTTCGGATTTACTTCAGGTTCACTGTGGTTGTTATTTATGCACTGCAAACCTCCAAAAAAAGTTGTCTGGCCTCGTTCAACCAACCAACCAGCTATTTTTGAAAACCGCAGAGCAATGGATGATTGTGTTGCACAAGCTTCTGTGGACGCAGCAACAGGTGGGAGCAAACCAGGGCACACTACCGTCAGCCATTGTGGAAGCATTTCCCGGAGCATTTGGATTTTGGCTACAGTCCAAAGTCAAGGACAACTGGAATGAAGTACCTCCCACACTTACGAAAGAGCACGGAGCCACCAGCCACCAGAAACCCACTCTCAGGCTTACTAAGAAGTCTAAACTGGTTTTGCAACTCTTAACCAGTGGTCCAGCCAATCAGCTGTAAAGAATGTATGAAGAATTAAGAGAAATGGGGCAAGAAGGGGTCTTGAGGGGAGCAGTAGGTTGTCATGCAGTGGGAGTGCCAAGAGGTGTCCCTCGAACCAGGTCACGTGATGCCAAGAGATACCCTTAGAAATCAGGGTGCCGCCAGAGGGGACATGACTGTGTGCCCACCCTGTGCAATTAGCTGAACGGTCCCTGGTGACAATGTTCCTGAGAGATATTTGGTGAATGTTTGGAAGTAGAAATGAGCAGAAAGAATGATGCCTGCTTCTCTCCTAGAAACCTCTGAGGATGGGAGACTGGTTGGAGCAGCCGCCAAGTGCCAAGGAGAGCTGCCAGGTGCAGAGGGAAAAGGAAGTTGTCAGTCAAGGTCCCAGCAGAAATTCACCCTAAATGGTTAAAATAAAGAGATTTATAAAAATTGAGTTTACTGAGACAAAATCTATACAAAATTACACTCATTCTGTTAAGGTGTCCCATTCAATGAGTTTTGCAGAATATTTCCAGTCATGTGGCCACTACCACAAACAAGATCCAGAACATTTACATCACCCCCAAAAAAGCTCTAGTAGACACACCAAAGATTTCTCCAGAATGTCCACGCCATACGCTGCCGCCGGCAGTGCAGGGGAGTTTTGGTTGCCCCGCGTCCTCACCAACACTCGGAATGGCCACCATGTTTATTTTAGCCATTCCAGTGAGTGTACGACCACCTTTCACAGGTCTTCACTTGTATTTTCCTGATGGCCAACAAAGTTTAACTCTTTTGCATATATTTATGAGACACATGCAGGAAGGTATTCTGATGTGTTCTTTCGGGAGGTGTCTATTCAAGTCTTCAGTTCCTTGTATGTTGGGTTGTCTTTTCCTTATTGATGTGTAGGAGTTACATAAATATTTTGAATCCAAGTCCTTTGTCAGATGTATATATTGCCAATAGATAGTGCTGATATCCCACTCTACCTGTTGCCTTTTGAAGAATATTCCTGAAGGCACTGCTTCAGGTGGGGTGTTGAGGGACCCAGGACTAGCATTAGCAGGGAACCACTCCCACTGATGGATGAAGGGGAAACAGGATGAATTGTTGTCATGTGAGCCCAGTGAGGACTGGCGGTGGGGAGGTCGGGCAGCCCAGCCAGGGCTGTGGATGTGGGGGCCACACTATGGCCAGATGCAGCCCTGTAGCAGAGACAGGGGGTGAGGAAGGCCTCAGACTCCTCTTTCCCTCCACCCTCCACTCCCCTGCTGGAACCTCCATTGGCCAAGCCCAGAAGTCATCCAGGAAGAAAGTTCAAAGATGCAGTCCCTGGGAGTCAGCCTCCTGGGACAGAGAAAGACAAAGATGGGAAGGCGTGGATCAGGAGAAGGGTACAACGGAGGATCCCCAGAAAAGAGGGGCTGCAAGAGATTATCCAAAGCATATGTCTCCGGGGTTAAGAAACTACACAGGGTGCATATCCCCGTGGGGCCTCTGAAGAAGCCACAAAACGCGGTCCTCATGAGAGCCAGCATTTGGGTGGCTGCCATGTGAGAACTACAGCTGCAGAACTAGTTAAGTTAAAAGGGAAAAGATTTCTTGCTTACTTCCTCTAATCCCCCATCCCCCTGTCCTGCCTATAAGGGTGAGAAGAGAGAGGGAAAGGGAGAACTAGGAAAAGAACACGTGTTGCCCCTTCCCTACCCCTGGCCCAGACACCAGCCCAGCCTGTGCTGGGGGCTGTGGGAGGGGGAGTTTGACATGGATGTCAAGTTCAAATTGACTCTTTAATACATAAAAGTGAGTCATTCTCACAAGAAGCAGCCTTTTTCTTGACTAAAAATGCCTGCAAACAGGTGAGCCGGCTATCTGAGATGTCATCAAGGGGCAGGGAAAGCTGATAGGAGTGGTCTTACCTGAAGCCAGGATGTAAGGAAGATCAAGCCATTTCCTGTCTGCTTCTCACTGAGTTCAGACCTTCCCACAGCCAGTTTTAAGTCATAACTCAAATCCCTCTTTCTTCTACAAGCACAAGGCTACGTAGCTTTCATGCATTGTCTTAGTAACCCTCATGACCACTCTACAGTTCAGTACTGTTACTATCCCTGCTTTACAGATGAGGAAATTAAGGCAGACAGAGGTTAAGTGACTTGTCCAAGTCCACACCAACCTGCTGTCAAGTCCAGCAAACCTGATTCTAGAGCCTAAGCTAAAGGCTCTGTGCACACTCCCCATGCCTCACACAGCAGCTGAGAGTGTAGAGTTGTGACGTTGTCTATCTGGTTAGGAACCTCAGAGGCAGGGCTGGTTCCCAGAGTCCATTCAGGCTGGTGGGCAGCTAAGAAGTGGGGGATTGCAGGGCATCAACCACCGCTGATTGAGGGTTGGAGGGGACCCCACATCCCCAGCTAAGAAGTGGGGGATTGCAGGGCATCAACCACAGCTGATTGAGGGTTGGAGGAGACCCCACATCCCCAGGGGGATTGGAGGAAGACCAGGGCCTCCTCATGCAACCCACATTATAGCAGCAAAACCCCTCCTGCAGTTCATGTTGCCACCTCTGGCTTCCAGGTGGAGCAGGGACTGGTCCAGGGAACCCTCGCAGATCCCCCCTGTGGGTTGCACAGTCACATCCACAGAAGCCCAGTCTGGAGAGTTCTGCATGTGGCTTACCAGGTATCAGGGACTTCCGGGGCCAAGACTGGGAAGAGTTGGGGTGCAGCTCCCAGTGGCCGGTGCTCAGGGAAGTCACGCAGGGAAGTCCTGGGAGGCCTAGGCTGCCTCATGGAGAAGCTGCATGGATGTGCAGGGCACAGGCGCACAAAGTTCTGGGGCCTGGGAGAAAAGAGGAAGGAATCATTACCACATGTTCAGGCTGCAGAGGCTCCGTAGCAGAGGAATAGGGAGAAGCAACCAGTAACGGAGGTGGGAGCCGGAAAGGTACCAGGTGTAAGCTGGGGGACAAGGGAGCAGGCGGACAACAAAGGCAATATCTTGGGGAGGCAAGAGGCAGAGGAGGTTTGAATTTTGCCCCCGCCTGTGATGGGCTGCCGGGTGGACTCCGCCGTCCTGGAGCTCCATGCAGGGGCCAGCGCTCATGTCCTGAGAGTGCGGGCGGCTCACAGCACAGAGGACTTGCACTGTGCGATCGCACCTCAGCGGTGGCCGTGCAAGAATGGCCTCATCTCTTAGGTTAGCTCCTGAGAGGGCCTCACTTCCTCCACCCACGGAAGCCAGAGCTCAGCTAAATCAGCGAGGTTCCTTACCCCTGTGCTGCCGTCCACCCAGAGGGCCCCGTTTTGGACATGTATCATCTGGGTTTGAATGCAGCCCAGAACCCAGTCCCAACTCAGCCTCACCTTCATAGGCAATCAGGTTGTCTCTGGGAAGCCCAGGCCTCCCAGAACTTCCCTGAGCACTGGCCGCTGGGTGCTGCACCCCAACTCTTCCCAGTCTTGGCCCCAGAAGTCCCTGATACCGGCAAGCCACACACAGAGCCCTCCAGACCAGGGCTTGTCTTGGGGTAAGATTGTGTACACCACAGGGAACCCGCCAATCCATAACACATAACAGGCCCCTGTCCTGTTCACAAAGATGTGTAACTTGGTAAAACACCATGCAGAAGTAAAAATGCACTATTGCGGTGATGTGGCCATGAGTCCAGTAGGGAAATCATTTTCCACGCTCTTCCTCTGTGGACACCATCTCCTCGAATGTGACTGGGGATTGGAAGCTACAGCTTCTAGAGTCCACAGGTCTTTCTTTTTTGCTGGCAAATTCGGACAACATCTACTCTGCTACAGGCTTCAGCCCATCTCCTATTTGCCAGAATTCACCTCAAGAAATCAAGAACAAAGCGTCATCTCTCACTTCAAAACGTTCTTGGAGGCACGTGGTTTCCGGGCCAATGGCCCACGGAGCAACAAGCCCGAGTCTGACTGTGACGGTATCACCGTGGTGCAGACCTCACCCATGAGTCTCCATCTGCGAGAAAGACACAGGGCGGCGGTGGGAAACACAAAGAGGACAGGAAAGACCTGCGCCGGAAAGGGATGGAAGAGCAGGCTCCGAGCCTGATGCACAGGACAACGGCTGCATTTCAACAAGGAAGGACACCTCCTGCTCCATTCTCCACTCCTCCTCCTGCAGGGGCAGGGATCCCACTTCCACCAGCGCCCAGGTCCTCCTCGCCACCCTGGTGTGATGCCAGCACCCTCTATGGGGGGTCCTCCTATGGTGCCAGTGACAGGCCCACCTCCTCCTGAGGGTGATGCCATGGGACCTGCTCCTGGAATGAGGCCACCCATGGGATGTCACATGCCAGTGTTACCCAGGCCCCCAGGATGAGCCCGCCCACCCATCGCATGGTGGAGCCCACGCAGCCCAGAATAACTAAGCCAGACAGATTAGAATAGTGGAGAGACCTCGTCATATCAGCTTTTTGCTATTTGTTCTTCTCCAGGAGACCATGGTGCTGTGACGCTGGGTGTTTCCTTAGCAGCATAAGGAAGACCTGCTCCCCCTTCCTACCAGAGAATAGTTTTGGAGGGGAGAAGTGAGACCAAAAAAGTACAGTTTTCATCTGTATTGTGAAATGTGAACATAAAATTGCCAACTCTTTCAGTTTTTTAAAAAAAAAAAGTCTTGGAAAAGCAAATAAAAACCACAATGAGATACCACTTCACATCCACCAGGATGGCTATAATTTTAAAAACGAAAAGTAAGTGTTGACAAGGTTGTGGAGAAATTGGAACCCTCGTACATCGCTGGCAGAAATGTGAAATGGCTCAGCCACTGTGGAAAATAGTATGGCGGTTCCTCAAAAAGTTAAATATAGAGTTCCCATATGTCACAGCAATTCCACTGCTAGGAATGTACTCCAAAGAATTGAAAACAGATACTCACACATGTACCCCATGCTCATAGCAGCACTAATTCCAACAGCCAACATGTGGAGTCAACCCAAATGTCTATCATGAATGGTTAAGCAAATGTGATTTATCCATACAGTGGAATATTACTCAGCCTTAAAAAGGAGTGAAGCACTTGTACATGCTCCAGTATGCAGGGACTGTGGAAACATGATGCCAAGTGAGAGAAGCCAGGCATAAATGGTTACATACTGCAGTATTCCACTTATAGGACATGCTCAAAATAGGTAAATCCATAGAGACAACAACTTAGTCTTTGCCCAGGATGGAGGGAAAGGGGAATGGGAAGCCACAGCTTACCAGGTACAGAGTTTCCTTTTGGGTGATGAAAATCTGGGCTTAGATAGAGGCGACGGCTGCACCATATCGTGCAGTTACCAAATGCTACTAATTGTTCACATTAAAATGGTTAATTTTACGTTCTGTGAATTTCAAGCTTTCAAGTACTGGGGTTGAATCTGGAGACGCAAGGTCACTTGGAATCTCTAAGTGTTATTTTCTTAGCCTTTCCTCTTTTTTTTTTTTTTTTTCTTGAGACGGAATTTCGCTCTTGTTGCCAAGGCTGGAGTGCAATGGCACGATCTCGGCTCACTGCAACCTCCGCCTCCCGGGCTCAAGAGATTCTCCTGCCTCAGCCTCCTGAGTAGCTGGGATTACAGGTGCACACCACCACGCCCAGCTAATTTTTGTATTTTTAGCAGAGATAGGGTTTCACCGCGTTGGCCAGGCTGATCTCAAACTCCTGACCTCAGGTGATCCACCCGCCTCGGCCTCCCAAAGTGCTGGGATTACAGACGTGAGCCACCGCGCCCAGCCAGCCTTTCCTTTTGAGATATAAACTGGTTGCGGGATTAGAGTCAATCATTGCTGTTTTTCCAATGGGTTGTTGTATATAGATAATCTGGGATATTTTATTAAAAACTCAGGGTTATAAAACTTGCATAGAAAGATTCTATAATTATTAGGCCTGGAACAAAAAAAGAGGCTTGGTGTCCCAGTGGAATGCTGAGTGGCCAAGGGGAGCACTACCAGTGGCTACAAAAAGGCCATCTGGAGGCCAGGATCAGTTCTGTCTGACCGTAGGTGCTGAGGGTATGGGACGGCTGGAAAGGAGGTTTCTCTAGAGGACACCAGTGTCCAGACAAGGTTCTGGAGGATCTGAAGGAGCACGCTGGTGCCTTTGCTCCTGTAGGATGCTGTGGAGAAGGATCCCTGTATCTTATGTATAGGTTCCATGATCTCTAGAAGCACCATTGCAAGCCCATTTTACAAATAGGGAAGACAGGAGTGAGGGGCTTGCCCAGGGCCACTTGGCTGGATACTCACCCAGGCCAAGCTTGCCCAGCCCTGACAATTCACTGTCACCACCCTTTACTCCTGATGACCACAGCCCAGAAGGACAGGGATTGTGTAACATTCTAAGAAAATCATGCTGCCATGCAGGAAGGAGACAGACCTAGACTCAGCCAATAGCAGCTGAGGGGTAAAGTTGCTTCAAAAGAATTCTTGGCTTCTTGGTATTATTTGGTTTGCCCAGAGACTCCACACCCCACTTTTTTTTTTTTTTTTTTTTTTTTTTTTGAGACAGAGTTTCACTCTGTCACCAGGCTGGAGTGCTGTGGTGTGATCTCAGTTCACTGCAACCTCCAACTCCCTGGTTCAAGCGATTCTCCTGCCTCGACCTCCCAAAGTGCTGGGATTACAGGCATGAGCCACCACGCCCGGTCTCCACACCTCACTTCTACCCTCTGCTACTCTCCTGTTTGGAACGTTGGTTTCTTCTGTTTCCAATGGTTATCATACGGATGGCTATTTGATAAGTCCCAGTTCCAACCCATCACTCTCCCAAGGAGGTTGGAACTGGGACTTAGACCCCTGTGGGACCTGGATTCTAACATGTAAAACTCTAGTGCTCCCGGAAGCTGTGTTACTCCAAGGCAGCAGCCAGGCAGAGAGAGGCAGAGGAAACAAGGAGGTAGAGATGACGTCCTCACCTCCCCACAGTGCCCAGTGCCCAGCTCTGCCCCTAAGGCCCAGCCCCACACTGCCCACAGATTCTGAGGGGTCCTCCAGGATGCTGCTATGTCATGCCCCACAGACTGGTACCCTCACAACCTACCCAGTGTCTTCCCGGGAATCTAGAGGATGGGAAGCCTCAGTCTGCATTTCCCAGACTCCCTTGCAGAGAAGGTTTCACATGTGACCTGGGTCCCACCAGGCAGAGACACCTGCAGACTTGGGAGTTGGAAATGAGCACCCCAGGGTGGTGGCAACACTCAGGGAGATCAGACTTTCAGCAAGTAGAATGGCCCAGGTGCTTGGCTGTTCTGAGTAGCTGGGGTAGAGGGTCTATCATCCCAAACCTAAGCTATGGGCAGCAGCAGTGGCAGTGGAGTTTTCAGAAGAGTCCTGTGATCTAGGCATGTATTTCTCCTGGCTCTAAGGTCTAAGCTTGGGTCTTTGACCTGCCCAGAAATTAACAAACCACATGACAGGCTGTAATAAATTCCTTTCTCTTAAATAAACTGGAGTGGATTCTGTAGTCTGCGCCTAAGAATCCTAATTTATACACCTGCCAATAATAAATTCATCTTGTTGATAATTCGACTTGGGTGTCTGTCACTTGCAAGCAATGTAGTTGTAATACAATAGCCAAGTAATCATCCAAACTGGATAAAAAAACTTTAAAATGGATAAAAAATGTCTTTATCCGAATAACAGACGTCTCCATTTGCAGGCAGCTATGACTGTACCCTCTACATTGAGACATCAAGACATAATAAATTTCATTTTATAGCTTGGAAATGCATGAATATAACAAGTTAACTGACTTGTGGGGAACACTGAATAGCTGGAATTTCATCTAATAAGAGATTTAAAATTAAAATATTTTAAATAAAAATGTTCACCCTTATTGGGTCACTGGTTCCAATATTCTCACTTCAGTCCTGAAGACACAGAGGCCTGGGGTGTTGCTCAAATGCACACAGAGTCCATAACAGGATTAGAACTATTAGAAGCCCTACGCTAAGCTTAATATCTAGGCAATGAAATACTCCGTACAACAAATTCCTGTGACACGAGTTTACCTGTGTAACAAACCTTCACCCGTACCGCCGAACCTAAAATGAAAGTTACAGAAAATAAAGTAAGAAATGAAAAAAAGTAAAGAACGAGAAGCCCTATCACTGAACCCTACACTGGTCTCTCCACCACAGCACAGTGCCTCCGGAGGCAAAGATTTCAGAGCTCTTGACTTGGCCAGAAAATGCAGAGGAGGAAAAAAAGTCAGGGCCCATCACATATTTTGTACTTGTGACCATGCTCATGGAATTAGAAGTCAGAACAGTGGAGCTGTGAATGATGCATCGGGCTGAGTTCTCACTTGTAATTCCTCTTCTGTGGGGAGCTGGCAATTCAGAGGGGGAGAGCGTGAGTTCACGGTCTGTTCCACCCCTCACCCGTTGCCAGCAATCCCCACACTGGAGGAGCTGGACCTGGGTTCCTCATGCAGTCCTCCACGTGGACTGGGGACTAATGCGTCTAACAGAAGTTTCCGCCAAAAGAGGTTTTGCTTCTTCCCCCAAAGCATGTGCTCCAATACAGGTTTTATTTTATTTAAACAAAGCATGCGAAGAGTCTGTAGCAATTGTGTTAGATAGAGATGCTCCTAATGGCTGGGAAGGGTGCTGCTGAGATGGACAGGCTGACTGGAATCATGGATTTGCCTTCCCGTGGTGCTCTGTGAAGTCGTGCAGACGCAGAGGAGAGAAGTGTGTTGCTGGGCACCCGCCAGGGTGTTGGAATGAAGCTCTTGAGTTTCTCCATCAACCTAGCTGGCAGTGACTGTTACCAACAGTCAAGAGAAGCCCAGACAACAGAGTGCCCGCGGGGACCCACATGCAGGGGTCTCCTTGGGCTGCCTCACCATCAGGGGTTGGATGTCAGGGCATGGCCATGATGTGAAAATTTAAGAGCTTTTAGTACTTACAAGCTCTGGGGGGTACATGACACACCTGGAGGCCACACACACCCACACACAGAAGGAGGTCAGCGAGTGCAGGCAGAGAGAGATCAGGGACCCATGGGCCAATGTCTTTATGGGGTTCAGGGCGCTACCCAAATAGGCTTCCCAAGGGAGCTTTAGTTGGTGGGTTAGCAGGCAGGCACAGTTCCAGAAGGTTACACCGTGACCCAGAAGTGATCACTTTAAGTCCAGGGGCAAGTGTCTGAATCCTTTAAAGGAAGAGGGGACCCCAGCCTGTCAAGAGGGAGAAATGCCTCTGTTTTATCTCTGGCCACACACTGGAGCCATTCCAATGAGGTATAGTATTGAAAACCGTATCAAGGTGACTGAGCCCTGCTTCTGGTATAGAAAAGTTAAATTTATATTTTTTTAAAATTTTAAATTAATTTTTTTTTAATTTTAGAGGCGCGATCTCACTCTGTTGCACAGGCTGGAGCTCAGTGGTGCAACCCTTGCTCACCGCAGCCCTGAACTCCTGGGCTCAAGTGAGTCTCCTGCCTCAGGCTCCCGAGTAACTGGGACTACAGGGTGCCCCACCGCACCCAGCTGTTTTTTTGTAGAGACGGGGCGGTGGGGGGGTGGGTGTCTCGCTTTGGGCTGGTCTTGAACTCCTGGTCTCAAGGGATCCTCCTGCCTTGGCCTCCCAAAGTGCTGGGATTACAGGTGTGAGCCACCATGCCTGGCTTAAACTTGTATTTTAAAAATAGATGCCAAGGCTAAAATTATAAGCAGTCACTACACAGGGCCTTACAGGACCCTGAGTATAAACAAAGTCAGCAACCAGCTTAGAAAGTGGGTCCATTCTTTGCACAAACGCTCCTGAAGGTCCTCTCGGAAGAGGGGCAAAGGGTTCGCTGGAGTAGAAGAGAGGGGAAACAATCACTTTTGTCCTGGGCAAATCACTGAAAAACAAGAAGAGCTGCTCCTTATCGGATGTGTCTTCTGGAGATAGATGGCATCGCATAGAGTCAACCAAACGGGAAATGAATCAGTGCTTGAAATAACAGTGACTGCAAAAGATTTTTCTTAATTCCCTTCAGACTCAAGAACAGTAACAATGTCAGTGTCCGGGAGATGCAAGTCCTCTGTCACATACTGAGGAATCACATCTCATTCAACAGCCTGTTACAGGGGTCTGGGAATTGGATGTGGGATCTCACGCCTTATTGTGATCCTTAACCACCTATTTATCTTTGCCAGAAAGACCTAGGGTTGCAGAAATGAAGAGCTTTGCTTTGAATGTCCTTTCTCAAATGGATGCTGGTAGCGCTGTAGGACCATTTTTCAAAAATGAAAATCTGGGAAGTCATACTGCCTCATTTGAGCTTCTTCCCCTCCTGGGAGGGGGTCCTTTCCCAGTTGGATTGGACCATCTGCAGCCAGCAGGCTGGGAACGTGCTTATGTGTCCAGACCAGGGCAGGAGGGCTGGGGCATGGAGGGGAGCCACCAAAGGGAAAAGCCACTACACAGGCCACCAGGAAAGTGTCCCGATGATCTCTGGCAATGATTAATGTAGTTTCTAAGGGCAGGGCGGGCCTGAGGTGCGATCCAGGAGGAGGAGCGTACAATCACAGATTTGTTGCAGGAAGAACAAAAGAAGAAAAGGCAGAACAAAAAGGGCAGAAAAGCAACTATGAGAGGCAGAGAAGATCTGCCGTGGGGGAAAGGAGCCTTGATGTCCATGAGCTCACTACCGGGAGGCCAGCACGGAGGCCTCAGGACAGAAAGGCTGGCAAAGTACGCTCCTTGAATCGGGTAGTTACTGAGCAAACTTAGAACCTACAGAGAGAAGCCTCGGCAAGATAGGGGAAGGCTGTCACCTGGGCTGGGAGCGGGCAGGGTGGAAGGGCCACTCCTGGCTCCCAGGTTGCTCAGCGTTCACACATCTACCCCGGCCGCATCAGCCTCCCTGCTGGCCGCATGGTTAGGAGGACCACAGTTGAAGTGAGGTAGAACAATTTCCACCTCATAAGTCTGTGCTCAAACTATCAACCAAACGTAAGGGTATAATAAAGATATTTGCAAATATTCATGTCCCCAACGTTCTCTGTCATGCATCCTTTCTCACAAGGCAACTGGAGGATATGGCTTATCAAAAGTAAAGAGCGATATAAGCCGAAGAGCATTGAAAACATATGTCCACATAAAAAGTTCCACAAATTTTGTAACAGCATCATGCGTAATAGCCCCAAAGAAGAAACAACCCAAATGTCTATCCACTGATAAATGGGTAAATAAAATGTAGTACATCGACACAATGGAACAAAGTAGTGGTACATGCTACAACATAAAGAACCCTGAAAACATTACGCTGAGTGAAAGAAGCCAGCCACAAACGGAAAGTGACTGCTAATGGGTGCAGGATTTCTTTCTGGGAGAAGTAAAATGTTTTGGTACTACATGGTGGCACAACTCTGTGAATATAATGAAACTACTGAATTATACACTTTGAAGAGGTGAATTTTATAATATGTAACTTATGCTTCAATTAAATGAGTTTTCTATTTCAATTTTAGTTAAAAATAAATATGTAAATTGAGAAAGTCAAATTTTGGAGGGTCTTCAACATAAGAGACAGGCAAAGGGAATGCCCAGGATAATAGGAACATCCCAGGACAGCTGTGCAGCAGTCTTGGAAAGTAACACTTCAAGATTAGAACAGAAGATCGAGGATTCTGAGAAAGATGTCTCCAATTCAAAAATGAGTTGGTGTTGATGAGTTTGAAAATATTCAAAATAATTTTATAATACAATCAGTTTGGTGACAAATTAGTGATTAGTACATAGAAAACTAAACAGAAGGAAAATGAGAAAAACTATTAAATCTAGAAAAGACAAAAAGCTAAACAAGAAAGAAATTATAACTAGAGTACACTATATGACTCAGCTGTGATTAATAGCTGCACAGTCATAATGTAAACACAAATACATACAGAACTAAAAACTGAGATACAATATTGGCAAGAGAGGAAGTCTATGGGTGTTTGTGCACAGGAGGTAAAATGCATTATCAGTAGATAATATCTAAAATCAAAAAGTCAAAAATATCAGTATAGTCAAATATAGTACATAGAAATATGGATATAAAAGCCAGAAAATAAAAAGCAGCTAAAGCAGTTAAAAGCATTCATCTCAGAGGGGTAAATATTAGAAGTTTCATGGATGAGGCAGGAAAAGACTGTTTTTATTATTCACCTAAGTAAACTACTTGATTTTTAAAAATACGTAGATGATATTATTAGAAATTTGAATTTTATTTCGTGTCATGTAAGAGAATGTGTACTGTCTACTGAAAGAATCGAAGGTTCTCTCATTCTCATATTTTCTCTCTACCTCTCTTTAACCAAGTTCATGCACAGTAAGTTCTCGATGTCGTGGATAGGTTCTTGGAAACTGTGACTTCAAGTGAAAGAAAAACAAGTTTCCCAAAGGCTGGTTGATATATACAAGAGTTAGGCCTCTATGTATATTTCTGGCCACAAAAACATTACAAACTTCTAAACAAAGACCAAAATTCTTCCACTATAAAACACTGAAATAACTGTGAGCTATACATCCATTTAAGATAGATTAATAAAAACAGGCAAGGTAATTATTTACCCAATTATTCCAGATCAGGGTGGTGGGTGACCGGAGCCTGTTCTGACAGCTCAAGGCCAAGGTGGAAACCAGTCCCGGACGGGACACCATCCCATCGCAGGGTGCACTCACACGCGCCCACGCTCACTCGCACTGGGACCATTTAGACAAGATGATCACCTCACATGCACGACTTTGGGGTGTGGGCGGGAGGAAACCAGAGCACCTGGGAAACCCATGCAGACCTGGGGAGAACGTGCAAACTCCACACAGACGGGGTCCCCACCCTGGCTGGGAAGCCACGTTTTTGCCCATCAATATTATAAGGAAACAACATTGAACAAAACGTTATTCGAGGACCTGCTGTATGATACTTTTCAAAAAATGATACAAGAAAATTTCCTAAAGTTAAAGAAGATAATTATTTAGGTTGAAATGGACTACTATATCCCTCAATTTTACATAGCTGGTTATTATCACACATATCTTTAAAGCCCAGTTCAGCAAAACTAAATTAAAAGGCCTAATGGCGTGTTTTTTTTTTTTTCTCTTGAAGGGTCTGCCAACATTTTCACACTAAAGCAGTTTAACTGTAAGCAACACAGAGAAAACGCACACCTCTGACCCTTAAGGTTGTGCGCACGACTGAGGTTTCTCCTTCTAGGGCACCAGATGGCACGGATGCATTGTGGGGGTTGATTTCAATGTGTGTGGTTCAATCTTCGGCACCATTTCTCCAAATTACCCAGTGGCCAAGCTTTTAGCATATGAACAGAAAAACACTAGCAAGCCAGGCGCAGTGGCTCACACCTGTAATCCCAGCACTTTGGGAGGCTGAGGCAGGCGGATCACCTGAGGTCAGGAGTTCAAGACCAGCCTGGCCAACATGGGGAACCCCCTTCTCAACAAAAACGCAAAAATTAGCCAGGCATGATGGCGGGTGCCAGTAATCCCAGCTACTCAGGAGGCTGAGGCAGGAGGATCGCTTGAACCCGGGAGGTGGAGGTTGCAGTGAACTGAGATCATGCCATTGCACTCCAGCCTGGGCGACAGGGTGAGACGCCGTCTCAAAATGAAAAAAAAAAAAAGAAAAACACTAGCAATGAGACTTGGTGTGCTAATCATGGATAGTTAAGACTTGTGGATGTCAAAGTTCTGCTCTGCAAAGTTTTTTTTTTATGTTCTGCATAGTTTGAAAATTTATGTTCTGCATAGTTTGAAAACAGTAAAGTTTATCCACTGGGCAAATGCCATACTCATTTCCTGTTAAGAGTACAGAGGGTAGATTGGAAGAATAGTGATACACTTTCTAATGCATTGGTTCTGGCTCTCCATTATCTATGTATGTATGTATCTATCTATGTATGTATCTGTCATCTATCTATCTGCCTACCTGTCTGTCTTTCTCTATATATATATCCTCACTCCCAAGGAAACCAAAGATATATCTGTTGATCACATCATTGTTTAAAGAAGCAAAACTAAAGGAAAATGCTTGTAAACATTTTGAATTGCTTTGCATAGTTTTGAGATAATTGGTGTCAGAATTTTGACTTTCTATATTTGAAAGAATGAAATAAAAATTTTAAAAAAATTAAAAAGCAGAAACGGCCTACTACCGAACAGCCATTCCTCCCTCCTCCTTTGGAACAGAACCTGATTGCTTTAGGTCTTCATGTTCCTGGTGCAGCCCCAGCCCCAGAGCCTGGACCTGTGTTGGTCTACATCCACCATGATCATTCTAATCAGAAGCCTAGGAAGAGGCATGTGGCCCAGTTCTGGCTGATTAGATATTAGAAAAGTCTCCCAGGAGAGGGTCTGTGATGGATTTCTTGGTTCTCGAAATAAGACACAAGGAAAAGATAGTTCCCTCTTCTGCTCTGGACACTGCATGGCCAGAATGTGTTTCCTGAACTCACCACAGCCCTCCGCAGCTAGCTGACATGCTGAAGTTGGCAGACAGAGACAATAGGGAAAAGATGAGACTTGATGGCAAGGCCCTGGGACTGCTTTACTTTGGGAATTCTTATTATATGAACCAATAAGCCTCCATATGATTTAAGTTGCCATGAATTGGCTGTTTGATTACTTGCAGCTGAAAGCATCCTGAATGACAGAGATCCACATCTAAACTCACAGGATGAATTTTCAGAATAGCCAGGATAAATCTGAAAAAAAAGAAGAAAATCCTAAAAAGTGTCCAGAGGGGAAAAAGACGGATGGTCCTCAAAGGAATGAGAATGAGATAAGCCGGAGGCTGAGAACATCACTAGATTCTTGAATACCATGGAGCAGAGCTTTCAGAGACTGAAGGAAAATGGCTTCAACATAATGGTCCAGCCCAAGTGACCTTCCAGTGTGAGGACTCACCACAGAAGTTTTTGGATATGAGGGAATTTAAAAAGTTAACTGCTCATGCATTTTTTTGGGAGGAAGTAACTAAAGAGCATACTCCAGCAAAGTAAGGAAATGAACCAAGAAAAGGGACAAGAAAGACTCTAGAAAACAATAGTTTTGAACCCCAAAGAGCCACCAGAAGACCCAGGACTGCATTTGAATAGCAAGCCTGGATATTAACCATTCCACTGGAGTGGGAGGTCAGAAGGCTCTGGAAGGAAGGACCTGTGAGAAATGGGCTCCTTAGAGAACAGCGTGCTTGAGACACTGCAGGAACCTGAAGTCACGACAAAGGCAAGCAACGTAAGAGGGAGAAATGAAAAGCAAAGGGATGCAGAGTCGTGTATGATGCACCTGGTCCAAATTAGTCCAGGATTTGGATAGGATTCAAGAATAAGAATGAAACAGACCCTGAGCAATTAGAATTTTAGGAAGCAGGAAGCTAGGAGGCATTTGTTGGGTAAGGTGAAAGTTTCTTCTATCCAAAAGAAAAACAAGCTGAACGTACAAGATATAATCCAGATTTGCAGCAAACCAAAATGTATCTTGATTTTGAGCAATTGACAGTGTGAAACAATCAATTGGAAATATTTTCCTTTCATGACTCAAGGACACTGTCAGTTGAACCACACAGAAGGGTATGTCATTCCAGAGCGTGGCTTGACTCAGCAGTGAATAGAATTTGCAGTGAAATCATGTCAACGTTATATTGCTTGTCTCTTGGCTTTTACCTTTGAGAATCAACCTACAAATAAATTCCATATCAATATTCATACATTGATAAATGTTATCCATCTTAACAACATAGAAATGTGTTGACAGAAACTGGGAAGCAGAACTGGGATGAGTAGAGGCAATAATGTCCTCATTCCACCGAGCAAGAAGCAAGAGACAGAGACCGCAGTTGCTACAGCAAGAATGAGCAGAGATAAGATGTTTATGTCATTTAAATATCTCCTGATTTCAGTGGTAATGCTTACAAAGTTCCACCAGTAAATATCATGTTTCCTGTGGCTTGTTTGTTTGTTTGTTTCTTTCAGGCAGAGTCTCACTCTGTCACCCAGGCTGGAGCACAGTGGTGCTCTCTGGGCTCACTGCAACCTCTACCTCCTGGTTCAAGCAATTCTCCTGCCTCTGCCTCCTGAGTAGCTCAAGCAATTCTCCTGCCTCAGCTTCCCGAGTAGCTGGGACTACAGGTGCCTGCCACCATGGCTGGCTAATTTTTGTATTTTTTGTAGAGATGGGGTTTCTCCATGTTGGCCAGGTTGGTCTCGAATTCCTAGCCTCAAGTGATCTGCCCGCCTCGGCCTCCCAAAGTGTTGGGATTACAGGTATGAGCCACTGCACCCAGCCCCTCTGGCTTGATTTTTAAAAATTTTTTTTATCTCTGGGACATTTTAGTTCTACAGAAAAAATTAAGCAAAAAGAGAGAGTTCTCACCCCTCGCTAATTTCCCCAATTTTTAACATCCTGCATTAATGAAGGTTTTTTTTTTTTTTTTTGTTTGTTTGTTTGTTTGTTTTTTACAAAGGGTGAGCCAATATTGACACTGTGGATTGTTTCTTTAGGTTGAGAAAGTTTCCATACATTATTAGGTTTTTGAGTATTTTGATCAGCCTGGGTGTTAGGTTTTTAAACTTAAGAAATGTATCAAGATGAATATATTTCCCCTTAATATGCTAGCGAAGTATGTTAATAGTTTTCAATGTTGAATAATAACAGTAAAAAATAGGATTAATCAGTAGTGTTCGGATGTTTTGGAGGAAAAAATAACTTAGATATATACCTCACACACCACACCCAAAAGCAAATTCCAGGTAGACTAAAGATCTACATGTAAAAATCCAAACCATGAATGAGTCAGAGGAAAATATAGAAGAATGTTTTTACAATCTTGGGATGGGAAGGCCTTACTAACCAAGATAAAAGGAAAAGACGAGGAGATTTTATTACATAAAAATGTAAAATATGTTTCCTGCACCCCATCCCACCCCCCAAGCTGCCACTAACAAAAAGGAAAAAGATAAAAAGATCAGTGGGGCCAGGCGCAGTGGCTCACGCCTGTAATGCCAGCACTTTGGGAGGCCAAATCGGGCAGATCACAAGGTCAGGAGATTGAGACTATCCTGGCTAACACAGTGAAACCCCATGTCTACTAAAAATATAAAAAATTAGCTGGGCGCGGTGGCAGGCGCCTGTAGTTACAGCTACTCAGGAGGCTGAGGCAGGAGAATGGCGTGAACCTGGAGGCGGAGCTGGCAGTGAGCCGAGATCGCACCACTGTACTCCAGCCTGGGGGACAGAGCGAGACTCCATCTCAAAAAAACCAAAACAAAACAAAACAAAAATCAGTGGTAGCCTGGGGTTGGGGGAGGAAGGGATGAACAGGTAGAGCACAGAGGATTTTGAGGACAGTGAGACTATTCTGTATGATACTATAATGATGGATACATGTCGACATTATGTGTTTGTCCAAACCCATAGAATGTACAATACTGGCCAGGCATAGTGGCTCATGCCTGTAATCCCAACACTTTGGGAGGCTGAGGTGGCTGGATCACTTGAGGTCAGGAGTTTGAGACCAGCCTGGTCAACATGGGAAAACCCCATCTCTACTAAAAATTCAAAAATTAGCGGGGCATTGTGGCGCACGCCTGTAATCCCACTACTCGGGAGGCTGAGGCAGGAGAACCACTTGAACCCAGGAGGTGGAGGTTGCAATGAGCTGAGATCGTGTCATTGCACTCCAGCCTAAGGGACAGAGCGAGTGACACTGTCTCAAAAAAAGAGAATGTACAACACCAAGGTGAACTCCAGGGTAAATGATGGACTCGGGCTGATAATGCTGCCTCAGTGCAGGTTCATCAATTGTTACAAACGGACCACTCTGCTGGTGGATGTTGGTAATAGGGGAGGCTGTGCCTGTAGTGGGAGAGGGTGTATGAGAAATCTCTGCACCTTCTGCTCAATTTTGCTGTAAACCTAAAACCGCTCTAAAAAATAGTTTATTTTTAAAAAGCTAAAGGACAGGCTGAGATAAAATATTCACCATACATAGTAGACTTAGGATTAGCATGCATAATATATAAAGAGGCTCTGCATATTGGCAAAACAAGAAACAACTTATTAGAAAATGGATGAAGGATAGAAACAGGCAATTCACCAAAGAATTCCAACTGCTTGTAAATACGTGAAAAGATGCTCAATATCAAAATGTAAGCAAAACACTGAGAGACCTATCAGAATGCTAAAAATTAAATGGGTGGTATGTCTAGAAGGCAACAGAAAAGGGTGAATAGTCAGGGAGAGTCCACCTCAGAAAACCAGGGATGCTGAGGGCTTGCCTTGCTGCTCCTTGAGGTCAGTGCTGGCTGTGAAGGGTGAGGAGCAGGTCTGTGTGGTTCTGAGTCTTCCCAGCAAGGAAGACAGGCGTTAAGCTCCAGGTGGTGGGATCACAGCTGAGCCCACCATGGCAGCTGAGGGTGACCTAGCATTGGTCACGGATGGATGACGTCCATCCATCAGGGTGGATGACAAAGGTTGGTTAGGACAATGGGCCCCAGCCCTTCCCAGCAGCCTCCTCTCACAGCCTGGTCCTTCTCCCTCTCTGCCCCCACCCCATGGCCCTTGCCATCCCTTCTGGAGGCAGGGAACCCCACACTCCAGCTGTGTCCCGGCTCTCTGCATCCCTGGCCCACCCCATCCCCAACCTCCACCAGAGCAGCATCAGATGGAGGAAAAGAAAAGGGGCAAGAGGAAAGAGGGATGGGAAAGGAACTCCAATATCATTTCTTTCCTCCGCATTTTGTCCTGCTAAAGACAGTTTTTTAAAAAAATAATTAAATCTGCCGATATAAGTTCATTGGGAAAAAAATTAAGGACAAATGGAAAATGATGGACCAGTTTAATAATCTGTGGTTAATCATATTAGCCCAGCAAGTAACACAACCTTGATTTCATTTTATTTGGAGGCTTTTGGGGTTGGAAATATGGGTGGTTAGGCTTATCCCTAGCCCCAAAGCTAACTTTTTTTTTTTTTTTTTTTTTTTGAGAGGGAGTCTAGCTCTGTCGCCCAGGCTGGAGTGCAGTGGCAGATCTTGACTCACTGCAAAACGCTCTGCCTCCTGAGTTCAAGAGATTCTCCTGCCTCAGCCTTTTGAGTAGCCAGCATTACAGGTGCCCGCCACCGTGCTTGGCTAGTTTTTGCATTTTCAGTAGTGACTGGGTTTCACCATATTAGCCAGGCTGGTCTCGAACTCCTGACCTCAGATGATCCACCTGCCTCTTCCTCCCAAAGTGCTGGGATTACAGGTGTGAGCCACCATGCCTGGCCCAGAGCTAATTTTTAATCCAGCAATGAGGAGGGACAGGTAAGGATCACCCCAGGGACAGAGGACGCCATTTGCCAGGGACATCACTTGCCTCCATTCTCTGGCTCCTACCTCTAGCTGCATCTTCGGGGGGCCCGGACCCACTCTCCTCACTCCCTGCCCCTCTTCAGGTCCTTCCATGAGCCCTTTCTCTTGCCCTGAACATGTCCTGTTTGGTGATAAATAATCTCCCTTCCATCCTTAATCTTTTCTCCTGTCTTCTTCTACCTGTTGGTCTAAACCAGCCTGATGTCTCCCCAGGGTCTCCGTGCTGGGCAGCCTTCTTAAATGGATATGTTGCCTCCCCGAGTCCCAGGGGCAGAAGCGGGGTCCACATGTCTTGGAGCTGTGTGCAGAACATTGTTTCACAGTCACCTCTCCAGGCTGTCCTCCATGGACGTCTACACTATCCATTGGTCCGCCCTCTCCCCGTCAGCATCACTGAGGCACCTCTAGACCCAGTCCAGTTCTTCCTCACACAGCACCCTTCAGAGTCCCAAGTCCCCTGGGATGTGTCTCCCCCTCAAGTCCGGTGACTTCTCCTGCACTATTCTCACGTGGCCCCGTGATGCTCAGAGCTCACTGCAGTCCCAGAAACCACCCTCAGAGGTGTATGTAGAAACAGGGTAACTGAAGGCTTGGGTGTGCACAAAGTCACCTGGGCTGGAGGCACAGGCCCTCAGTGTGGCTTTGGAACTGGTCCTCACACTGCAGAACTGGAGCTGCATCTCTGACATGACCCAGAAGTGGGGAGGGGGCGGAGGATCAGCGGCGGGCTCCCCATGCACAGCCTCTCTGCGGAGGAGGCTCAACTGCCTCTCATGCCCAGGACGCTGGTCCCTCAGTCGTGATCCACACCAGCCACACAGACGCCCTCTGCCTGCCTCCCACAGGCATGACACTGTTGCCTCCACCGCTGCAGAAAACCAAGTGCCTTCGCCACCATCTCTGTGGTCAGAGCAGAATGAAAGCAATCGGAGCAAGACCTCAGCCTCACCTCCCTGTCCAGGTGACATGCATCTGGCTGTCAGGCCCTTACTGACAGCCCAGAGGCAAGTGGTTCTGAGAAACGTGGGCTTGAACTTTCCAGCCCCCCAGAGGATATCCCCAAGGATGCTGGAGTGGAGGGGCGGTGGTCCAACATCTGCCACACTCACCGCAGTGCCCACCCCTGCCAGGACTCACTCCTTTGAACCCATAAATAACTTTGATCATATCTCCCAGGAACGTGTATATATGTATATGTGTGTGGGGTACATATGTGTGTGCATGTGTGTCCCCTTGTGTAGAGGGTCTGTGTGACTGTGCCAGGGGGGAGAGAGAGACACACACACGCAGTGATAGAGAGAGACAGAGAGAGAGAGAAAGACAAAGAGCCCACAAAGGGGCTGTGCGTGGGGAGCCAGCAGCTGACCCCCTGCCCCCCTCCCCACTTCTTGATCATGGTTTTAACCTCCTTGAAGGCAGGAGATAGGGATGGACTCACTTCCCTGCACAGAGCAGGAGGCTCAGTTCCGTTTGCTGAATGGCGCGGCTGGAAGTGCTCTGGGGGAAGGAAATCAAAGAATATAAGGAAACACAAAGTGGGGAAGGGAACTGACTTTCACAGACAGCTGCATGGCAGTTCATTTAGATGGGGTCAGGTTTTGGCCATCAAAAAAAGCTAGGAAAAACCTTCCTTTCAGAGCTCTTTGACCTTCGGAATCAGAGAAAAGGGATTGTCAGACGTTGCTGTTTTGAGTTATTTCTGGTTTCCCACTTAATTCTCACAGGTCTCAAGGTTGAGCAACTCATTTTATAGGAGAGAAAACGGAGGCTGGGCCAGAAGGACTGTCCTGGGATTGTCGTGGCAGGTGTGGGCTGAATGGAATGGCTAAGCCTCTTCCAACACTGTTCAAACACCCCTCTGTGGAGGAAGAACTGGGAGTCGGGGGCCAGTGCTGCTGTCCCGGGGAACTCCGAACATACACCCCAGATTTGTATTCAAGACTCATTTGTCACTCATGACTCATTTCCAAGTGATGGAATTCCAACTCACAATAGCTTATAAGTTTAGGGGCAGGTGGGGGACTTATTGCTTTGAGTCATGGGGACTTCCAGGAAAGCACAGCGCTTCAGGCATAGCTGGACCCAGGGGGTGGGCAGCCTGTTGCCCAGCAGCTCCAATGAAGGCAATGACTGGCCCAGCTTCGATGGTCTCTCCCCATCCCAAGGAGGGTCAAATTATCTGACTGGCTGGATCTGAGTCACGTCTCAAACTCTGTCACCAGAGGTGGGGTCAGTGCCAACTAAAAGGAAGGAGGGTTAGCCTCCTAAAGACAGCTGGCCAGACAAAAGACATACCGGCAAGGCCACACCACGCACTCACTAACTTGAGCCCCAACTTGGCCTGACCCCCGCAAAGGAGAGAGGGATTCTTTCTGAGACCAAAAACCCTTTCCCAGGTGGAGCACTCCTCTCTAGCAGCCATTTCTCTCCTTAACCGGAACATCACACTCGGCACGTCTGCAAGGGCATATTAAAGTATAAAAGCCACAGAAACAAAATTGAAAATAAAATTTATGACCCTTTTTCGAGCCAATATCCTAAAGCTGACCAAGATAGCCAACCAGATGTGGTCCCGTAAATTGCGGGAGAAGTGTAACGGGCACTTCTATGAAAGCACACACATAGAGGGGGACTCTGCTCATTTCCTAGGTCCCCGGGGAATGGATGAAGAATGTCTCAAAGATCTCGCTTCAGACAGAGAGAAGAGGTGCACTTGCCAACAATCAGCTCATCTCTTCCTTATTTCTGCTAAACTCGTCAAAGCTCGTCTGTTTCAGCTCCTCGGGCCACCTCAGCAGGACTGTTATTGCTACAGAAAAGTTCTGATACGGCCTGAGAACTTCTGTTTCTCTGGCTTAGAGATGTAGGTGGAGGGGCAAATATCTGAGTCCGATTCTGGTCAAGGATGTGCCATTCTTTTTCTTCCCTTTTAAGTCTTTTATTTGCATCTATTTTATGCTGAACTTCTTCCCACGCCGTAAATGTTTGTTTCTTCAGATTCTTCTGGGATACATTTTCTTCTGTGCAACCTCCTTTTCTGGCTTGGGAACAAATTTTCTTTTTTTCTTCAGCAAGGATCACCTCATGGGAGTTCATGTATGGGTTAATCCCACCGTGAGTTCTGTAAATATGGTGGTGCCAATATCTTGGGTACTTTGTTCACCTAGACATGTTCGTTGACCAGAGAATTTACATCTAAACCCTTAAGTTCAGCATTACTCTCTGCATTTTTAAGCAGGTGTGGCAAAAATTCCATACTCTTTTGGATCCTTGGTATCTAATATCTTGGGTACTTTGTTCACCTAGAGATGTTCATTGACCAGAGAATTTATATCTAAACCCTTAAGTTCAGCATTACTCTCTGCATTTTTAAGCAACTGTGGCAAAAATTCCACACTCTTTTGGAGCCACTGACCCTGCATCCAGCCCTACTGTTGGCCTGGGCACACCTCTCAACTCCACCATCATAAGACAGAATGACACACATTGCTTCGGTTAAGATACACCTTTCAGACACTTGGTGGCTTTCCAGATACACACACCTGTCATGGTCTAGGAGTGTTCTTAAAGTGAACACAAAGATTTAAAACTCTTGATGTGCATGATTTTGTGGGGGTTTTCTGCGTCAAGTGAACAGTAAACCACTTTCACAGGTCACCAGAGACCGCTTATAGGCAGAGCTCCCATTCTCTTTAGATGTAACCTTCTCCTCTGGTTGGATGGAACAGGGGCCATGGTAAAAGTTGCCCACAAGACCCAGAAATGCGTGCGTGAGTGCATGCGCGCGCGCGCGCGCACACACACACACACACACACACACACACACCCATGGAGAGCCTCTCCAACAGAGCAGAGGGAAGACAGGACAGACTCTTCACATGGAAGGCTCAGAACATTCCACAGGGCAGTGGCCAACTTTCCACTATAGCAGGCCTGTTTCATGTCCAGCTAACACCTCTTCTCTATCGTTTCTTGCTAAGAGAATAGTGTCTGACGACAATGTGCTCAGGAACGAGGAGTGAATTATGAGTCCCTCCACCAGTGAGTTGAGGGGTAAGGGTAGAGGTGAGCATGTGACCAGTTCTGGCCAATGAAACACAAGGATAAGTCTTCTAGGAAATTATGGATTCATTTTTTACCCTGATTAGAGAGGGGCAAGGGGGAAAATGTTCCATTTTTGCTGTCTCCTTTTCTCCAGCTTTGTGTGCATGGCGTCAGGCAGTGCTGCTTCAAGCTGCTGCAACTATCAGACCAGAGAATCCCAAAAAAGCCAACTTAGAACGAAGGATCCACTGTGAAACTGCCCACCTCTCTGCTTCCTGATAGGTTAGATAATAGTACTTGCATCATATGAGATAGTGTTATATTCTGTTACTTGCTGCTCAGAGGTACCAACAGCTATACTCATGGTTGCTTCTCTGACTTGAGACAGAACTGGGATAAGACGTCACACCAGTGCCCATCCTACTTACTTGGAATTCCACTTTAGAAGGCTTTCCACACCTGTTTGGAGCATTCACCATGTAACTGATACATGCCTTGGGCTCACATCTCCACTTCCATCCAGACATGTTAGGGATAATTCTTGTGGCAGTCACCATGGCCTTGTGTCTAACACTATTTAGCACAACTACATAATTTTGCATTTCTTTTGCTTTTTTTAAAAATTAAACTTTTTATTTTGAGCTAATCATAGGTTCTTCTGCAGCTGTAAGAAATAATATAGAAAGATACAATGAACGCTTTACCCAGTTTCCCCCAGTGGTAGCATCTTGCAAAACTATAGTACAATATCACAACCAGGAAATTGATATTGATAAAGTCAAGATACAGAACATTTCCATCTGCACAGGAGTCCTCCATGTTTTACTTTTACAGCCACATATACTTCCCTCCAGCCCCCACCCCCGCCACACTCAGTCCTTAAACCCTGGCAATTGCTAATTCATTATATGTTCTCCATTCCCATAATTTTATCATTTCAAGGCTGTTACATAGATAGACTCATACAGTAGGTAACCTTTTGGGTTTTTTTCAGTCAGCATAATATTCATCCTGGATATTCATCCTAGTTTTTACATGTATCAGCAGTTCACTCCTTTTTATTTCTGAGTAGTATTGCATAGTATGACTGTACCACAATTTGTCTAACCATTCACTCACTGAAGAACACCTGGGTAGTTTCCAGTTGAGGCTGTTATGAATAATGAAGGTATGAACATTCATGTACAAATTATTGTGTAAACATAAGTCTTGATTTCTCCAGGATAAATACCCAGAAACACAGTTGCTGGGTTGTACGGTAGTTGCACACTTATTTTCTTAAGAAACTGACAAACTGTTTTCCAGAGTGACTATACCAGTTTATACTTTCACCATCTATGTATAAGTAATCCAGTTTCCCTGCATCCCTAGCAACATTTGGCATTGTCTCTTTTATTTTAGCCATTCTGATAGGTGTGCAATGATACCTCATTTTGGTTTCAATTTGCATTTCCCTGATGGCTAATGATGTTGAACATCTTTTTATATGCTTATTTGCCACCTGTATATCTTCTTTGGTGAAATGTCTGTTCATGTCTTTTGCCCATTTTCTAATTAGGGCTTTTTTTCTTTTTTATTTCTCTTTCTTTTTTTTTTTTTTAACTGTTGAGCTTCAGAAGTTCTTTGTATATAATAAATACTAGTCCCTTGTCACTTATGTGGTTAGCAATATTTTCTCCTGGCCTGTAGCAGCTTTTCAACTCTTAACAGGGCCTTTTGTAAGGCAAAAGGTTTTATCTTTTTTTTTTTTCTTTAAGTTCTGGGATACATGTGCTGAACGTGCAGGTTTGTTACATAGGTATACATGTGTCATGGTGATTTGCTGCACCTATCAACCCGTCATCTAGGTTTTAAGCCCCATGTGCACTAGGTATTTGTCCTAGTGCTCTCCCTCCCCTTGTCCCCGACCCCCAACGGGCCCCAGTGTGTGATCTTGCCCTCCCTGTGTCCAGGTGTTCTAATTGTTCAACTCCCACTTATGAGTGAGAACATGTGGTGTTTGGTTTCCTGTTCATGTATTAGTTTGCTGAGGATGATGGTTTCCAGCATCATCCATGTCCCTGCAAAGGATATTAACTCTTTCTTTTTTATGGCTGCATAGTATTCCATGGTGTATATGTGCCACATTTAGGTTTTATCTTTTTATTAAGTTTAATTTATCAATTTTTCCTTTATGGTTCGTGTCTTTGATGTTAAGTTGAAGAACTCTTTGCCAGACTCTATATCCTGAGCCAGGCATGGTAGATAGAGCCTGCAGTCCTGACTGTTCAGAAGGTTGAGGCAGGAGGATTGCTTGATTGAGGCTGCAGCAAGCCATGATCATACCACCACACTCCAGCCTGGGTGACAGAGTGAGACTTTGCCTCAAAAAAAAAAAAAAAAGTTTTGCATCCCCAAGATGTTTTCCTATGATATTTTTTCTAAAAGTTTTAGTTCTACATTTATAACTATCATTCATTCCAACTTATTTTCTTGTATAAATGAGAGGTCTAACTCAAGATTCCATGTTTTTTTAATGGGTGCCTACTTTATCCAGCACCATTTATCAAAAAGGCTATCCTCCCTCCATTGAATTTTTTTTTAGAGACAGGTTCTCACTCTGTCATAGCTCACTGCAGCCTCAAACTCCTGGGCTCAAGCAGTCCTCCAGCCTCAGCCTCCCAAGTTGCTGAGATTATAGCCATGGGCCACTGAGCCCAGCCCTCTATTGAATTCTTTTGCATCTTTATCCAAAATCAGTTGGGCATATTTGTGTTGGTCTATTTCTGGATTTCTCTATTTGATTCCATCAAACTATGTGTGTATCTCTCCATCAATACCGTAGAGTTTTGTTACTGTATGTTTTAAAGTTGAGTAGACCAATTCCTCCAATTCATTCATCCTTAAAATTGTTTCAACTCTTCTAGTTCCTTCGCCTTTCCTTATAAATTTTAGAATATTTATATCTATGTATATATTTATTTTTTCAAAAACCTTGCTGAGATTTTGATAGAAATTACATTTAGCCAATAAATAATTTGGAGAGCATAGGCATCTTTACTACATTGAGTCTTCCAATCCATGAACTTAGTATGTCCCTTGATTTAATTAGAGCTTCTCTGAATTCTATCATGAGTATTTTGTAGTTTTTAGCATACAAGTCCTGTAAGCATTTTATGACATTTATGCCTATTTCTTTGTCTTTTTTTTAGTGATCATAAATAGCACTGTATTTTAAGTTTCAGCATCCACATGTATTAATAGTATAAAGAAATAAAATTGATTTTTGTATGTTGTTCATCTTTCTATGTCCTTGATAAATGCACTTATTAGTTCTATTTTTTTTGTATATTTCTTGGGATTTTCTGTATAGACAATCATATATGCAAATAGGAACATTTTTAGCTCCTTTTTGATTTGTATACATTTTATTTCCTTTTATTACCTTATTGTAATGGCTAGGACTTCCCTACTATGTTGAATAAAAGTAAGAGTGGATATTTTCACCTTATTCCCAAACTTAGAGGGGAACTATTCAGTGTTATTATTATTATTCAACTAAGCATTAAGTATAATTTTAGCTGTAAGGGGTTTTTTTTGGTACATGGTCTTTCTCCAATAGAGAAAGTTCCTTCTATTCTTAGTTTTCTGTAAGTTTTTTTTTTAATCATGAAAAGGTGTTGATTTTTGTCAAATGCTTTTTCTGTACCAGTTGATACGATTATGTGATTTTTTTTCTTCAGCCTGTTAATATGGTGGATTACATTAAATAACTTTTGAATATTGAACCAACCTAGCATCCTTGGAGTAAGTCCAACTTGCTCATGATTTAGATTTTTTTTCTATATTGATAAATTCTATTTGCTAAGAGTTTGTTAAGAATTTTTGTATCTATATTAAAGCGGGATGTTAATCTTTAGTTTTCCCTTTTTTTAATTGTCTGTCTGGCTTTGGTATTAGGGTAATAGCAGCTTTATGAATCAGTGGAGATGTGTTCCTTCCTTTTCTATATTTGGAAAGAGATCATATAGAATTGGTTTTAAATATTATTTAAATGTTTGGAAAACAATCTTCAGTGAAACCATGTGTGTCTGGAGATTTCTTTCTTGGGAATTTTTAATTTAAAAATTCAATTTCCTGACTTTTGGTTACCAGTGCAACATCTAAAGAGCTTGAAAGTTGTTATTCCCATCTCCACAGCAAACAAACCAATGAAAACACCAAACAACCTGAAAATCAACAATTCTTCTTAGATCCATCAGGGAATTGAAGCCACAGGACAAACTGCCACTTTGAAAATTACAGTGACAGATGGGTATTGAAATTTATAGCTGAAATCACCTTCCTTTCCCCGCCAGAACCTTCTAAGAACACTTAAAGGGTAGCTGACTAAGATTGACTGTAGACCAGCTTGAGAGCTAAACTCCTAGAACCTGGCTTAGTGGGCCCCACATTCTCATGAGTTTTACTTCTAGGAGACATACCAGATTCTCACCAGAAAGATTGGAGAAAATCCCAAAATATTTGGTGATTAAACAAATTATAAATAATACATGGGCCAAACAAGCCTGAAGAGAAATATTAAAATATTTTGGACTAAATGAAAATAAAAACACAACTTATCAAAATTCACAGGATGAAGCAAAAGTAGTTCTTGGGGGAAATTTATGGTATTAAATGCATTATCAGAAAAAAGAAAGATCTAAAATCAATAATCTAAACTTTTACCATGGGGAATTAGTAAAAGAAGAGCAAATTAAATTTAAAGTAAAAATAATAAAAGAAATAATAATTAGAGCAGAAATTAGTGAAATTGCAAACAGGAAAAAATAGAGAAAATCGACAAAATCAAAGCTGATTTTTTTCAAGATCAATAAAATTGATAAGACTCTAACCAGGGTAACCACAAAAAACACATCAGCAATGAATAATAGGAATGAATAATATCAGAAATGAAAGAGGGATCATCACTACAGAGCCCATGGACACTAAAAGGATAATAAAGGAATATTATGAACAACTCTATTTAACTTAGATAGAATGGACCAAGTACATGAAAGATATAATCTATCAAAACTCACGCAGCCAGGCACGGTGGTTCACTTCTGTAATCCCAGCAATTAGGGAGGGTGAGGTGGGCGGATCCACTGAGGTCAGGAGTTCAAGACCAGCCTGGCCAACATGGTGAAACTCCATCTTTACTAAAAATACAAAAATTAGCCAGGCGTGGTGGTGTGCACCTGTAATCCCAGCTACTCGGGAGGCTGAGGCACAAGAATCTCTTGAACCTGGGAGGTGGAGGTTGCAGTGAGCTGAGATCAAGATTGTGCCATTGCACTCCAGCCTTGGCAACAGAGTGAGACTCCATCTCAAAACAAACAAACAAACAAACAAACAAACAACAAAAACACGAAAAACCAACCAAACAAAAAAACTCTCACAAGGAGAAAAGTCTAAATAGGCCTATATCTGCTTAAAAAATGGAATTAGTAACTAATGACTTTTCAAAACTGAAAGTACCAGGTCCAGGTGGTTTAATAGATGAGTTCTGCCAAATATTTGAGGAAGAAAAGATTTCTATAATCTCTTCCCTAAAATAGAGGGAGAAGGAATACTTCCTACTCATTCTATGTGGACAACATTATCATCATAACCAAAACAACAAAAGACATCACAAGAAAGAAAAACTACAGATCAATATCTTACATGAACATAGATGCAAAATCCTCAAAAAATATTAGCAAATAGAATCCAACAATGTAGAAAAAAGTACATATATTACAACACAATTAAAAATGCTCAGCAGGCCTGGTGTGGTGGCTTACACCTGTAATCCTAGCACTTTGGGAGGCTGAGGCGGGTGGATCACCTGAAGTCAGGAGTTCAAGACCAGCCTGACCAATATGATAAAACCCCATCTCTACTAAAAATACAAAAATAAGCCAGGTGTGGTGGCATGTGACTGTAGTCCCAGCTACTTGGGAGGCTGAGAGAGGAGAACTGCTTGAACCTGGTAGGTGGAGGTTGCAGTGAGCTGAGATTGCACCACTGCACTCCAGCCTAGGTGACAGAGTGAGACTCTGTAAAACAACAAAAACAAAACAAAACAAAACTCACAAATGAGGAGGAATAGAGAGAGATGAACTTCCCCAACTTGATAAGGAACATATTCAAAAAGACTACAGCTAATATCATACTTAATGGTGAGAAACTAGATGCTTTTCTTCTATGATTAGAAAAAGACAAGGATGTCTTTTTTTTACAACTGCTATTTACCATTGCACTGGAAGTCCTAAGTAATGCATGCAATAAGACTTTAAAAACAGAATGAAGATAAACTGATTGGGAAAGGAAGAAATAAAACTCTCTTTGTTCACAGATGATATGATTGTTTATATAGAAGACTTCCAAGAATAATCACAACCACAATATTCCTGGAACTAATAAATGATTACAGCAAGATACAAAGTTAATATACAAAATTCAAAAAAGTATTGTCCTACATTTCATCAAAGAATAATTGGAATTTGAGATTAAAAACTCACCATTTATATTAGCACCAAAAATGAAATTCTTAGGTATAAATTTAACATAATATGAATAATATCTATATGAGAAAAACTACAAAGTTTTGATGAAAGAAATCAAAGAATAGTAAATAAATGGAGAGATATTCCATGTCCATGGATAGAAAGACTTGATATTGTTAAGATGCTAGTTCTTCCTAACTAAACTTTATCTATAGATTTAATGCAATCCCAATGAAAATCCCAGCAAGTTATTTTGCAGAAATAGACAAAACTGATCCTGAAGTTTATTTGGAGGCCAGGAGCGGTGGTTCATGCCTGTAATCCCAGCACTTTGGGAGGCTGAGGTGGGTGGATCACCTGAGGTCAGGAGTTTTAGACCAGCCTGGCCAACATAGTGAAACCCCGTCTCTACCAAAAATACAAAAAAATTAGCCAGGCATGGTGGTGAGTGCCTCTAATCCCAGCTACTCAGGAGGCTGAGGCAGGAGAATTGCTAGAACCCAGGAGGCGGAGGCTGCAGTGAGCCAAGATCACGCCATTGCACTCCAGCCTGGGCAAAAAGAGTTAACCTCCATCTCAAAAATAAATAAATAATAAAGGTTATAGGGAAAGGCAAAAGATGTGGAATAGGCAACACAATATTGAAGAAAAAAAAAAGTCAGAGAATTGACACTATCCAACTTCAAAATTTACTAAAAAAGTACAGCAGTCAAGATGGTATGATATGGATAAAATAATAGGCAAGCAGATGAATAAAACAAAATATATAACTCAGAAATAAATTCAACGGAAATAGTTGGAAATACATTCAACTGATCTTTGGCAAAGAGGATCAAAGGTAATTCAATGGAGAAAGGGCAATCTTTTCAACAAATTATGCTGGAAAAAACTGGGGACACACACAAAATGAATCTAGACAGAGATCTTACACTCTGTCTAACACGCTGTTTTAGCTTAAACAAAAGCTAACTCAAAATGGACGAGCAAAACTATATAATTTTTAGAATAAACATAGTAGAAAATCTAGGTGACTGGGTTTGGCAGTGACTTTTTAGATATAACACCAAAAGCACAATCCATGAAAGAAAAGATTTATAAAATTGATTTCTTTAAAATTTGAAACTTGTGTTCTGCAAATGGCACTGTGAAGAACATAAAAATACAAGCCACAGACAGTGAAAGCTGATAAATGACATGCATCCAAAATAAACACACAAACAAAAAAAATTAAAATTCAACAATAAGAGAACAAACAACTCATTCAAAAAGTGGGCAAAAACTCTGAACAGACACCTCACCAAAGATGGTATACAAACAACAAATACGCGTATGAAAACATGCTCAACATCATATGTCATTAGGGAATTGCAAATTCAAACAATAATGGGGTACCAGTAATCAGTAATTTGGCCAGAATCCAAAATACTGACAACAGCAAATACTGGCAAGGATATGGAGCAATGGGAACTCTCACTCATTGCTGGTGGAAATACAAAAAGGCACAAATTCGGAAGACAATATGGCAGTTTCTTACAAAGCTAAACATAGTCTTACTATACAATCCCACAATCATGCTCTCTAGTATTTACCCAAATGAATTAAACATTTTGTCTATACAAAAACCTGCCCACAGATGTTTATACCAGCTTTATTCATACTTGCCAAAATTTGGAAACAGATGTCCTTCGGTAGGTGAATGGATAAACTGTGGTACATCTACACAATGTAATATTAACGCAGCATTAAAAAGAAGTGAGCTATTAAGCCATGAAAAGACATGGAAGAGACAAAATGATGCATATTACCAACTGAAAGAAGCCAGTCTGAAAGGGCTACACACTGTATGATTTCAACTGCATAGCATTCTGGAAAAGGCAGAACAATGGAGAGAGTTGTTACCAGGGGGCCAAAAAATATATATATTGAATAGGTGGAGTACAAAATTTTTAGAGCAGTAAAACTGTTTTCTATGGTAACGGAACGGTGCATATATGTCATTACACATTTGTCAAGATCCATACATGTAGAATACCAACAGTGAATTTTAATATGAAATATGGACTTTTAGTAATAATGATGTCTCAGTGTAGGTTCATTGATTGTAACAAACCTACTATTTTGATGGGTAAGGGGAGGAGACGGTCACAGCAGAGGAGGCTGTGGATGTGTTATGAGACAGTAAATATACGAACTCTCTGTACTTGCTACTCAATTTTGCTATGAACATAAACCTGCTCTAAAAACTTGTCGATTAATTTTTTTTTAAAAGTCAGTTTCTTAATAGTTACAGAGCTATTCAAATTATCTAATTAATATTGGGTGAATCGCTATAGCTGGTACATTTCAAAGAATTGGTCTATTTCATCTTAGTTGTCAAGTTTGTGTGTGTAGGATTGTTTGTAATATTCTTTTATTTTTATTTTGATATCTGCAGTCTGTACTGATATCTACTCTTTGATTGGTATTGATTGATTTTCTATAGATTGGTATTGATTGATATTGGTAATTTGTCTCTTCCCTTGTTAGTCTTGTTAGAGATGTGCCAATTTTATTGATCTTTATTTCATCTTTTTGGATTAATTTTATTGATTATTCAGTTGTTTATTTGAAAAAAATCTATTTATTGTTTTTTTCAAAGAACCAACTTTTGGTTTATTCGATTTTTCTCTGTATTTTTCTGTCCTCACGTTTATTTATTTCTGCTCTTATCTTTATTATTTCCTTACTTTTACATGCTTTGGCTTTATTTTGCTTTTTTTTTCTAGCTTTTGAAGTGAGAGCTTAGATTATTTTAAGACATTTCCTCATTTCTAAAGGAAGCATTTTGTGTTTATATATTTGCCTGCTAGTTATTTAGCTGCATCCCACAAATTTTAATATGTCGTATTTTCATTTCATTCAGTTCATTGTTTTTGGGTTTTGTTTAAATTTTCCCTGGTAGCTTCCTCTTTGATCCAAGGATTATTTGAAAGTATGTTGTTCAATTTCTGAGTATTTAGACATTTTCACACTATCTTTCCGTTATTGATTTCTAGTTTGATTCCACTGTGCTTGAAAAAAACACCCTGTATTATTTCAATCTTTTATTTACTAAGTTTTTATTTTAATAGGCCAGAATATGATCTATGTGGCTATATGTTCTGTGGGCACTAGAACGATATGTATTATGCTGTTGCTGGGTAGAGCGTTCTGCAAATGTTAGAGATCCTGTCAGTTGATGGTGTTGTTGAGTTCTTCCATGTCTTTGCTAATTTTTTCTCTAGTTGTTCTATCAATTGTTGAGAAAGGGGTATTGAAATCTCCAAATATAATTGTGGGTGTGTGTGTTTCTCCCTTAGTTCTATCAGTTTTTATTTCACATATTTTTGCAGCTCTTTTGTTTGGTACATGCACATTTAGGATTGCCATGTCTTCTTGTTGGATTAACCCTTTTATAACTGTAATTTCCCTGTCTGTCTTTGGTAATTTTATTTTCTCTAAAGTCTACTTTCTTTGCTATCAACATAGCCACGCCTGGTGTCTTTTGTTGATATTGCATGCAATATCTTTTTCCACTCTTTTACTTTCAACCTACCTGTATCATTAATTTGAAGTGAATTTCTTTTTGAGAACATGTTATTGAGTCATGTTTTCTCATACATTCTGCCAATTTGTTTCCTAATCAATCATCACATCATCTACATTTGACCTAAGTATTGATATGTTGGGGTTTTTATTTTTCATTTCCTGTTACTTCTGTTTTACTTTCTCTGTTTTCTTTTATTTCAAAAGGCTTTGGGGGAACAGATAGTGTATGATTACATGAATAAGTTTTGTTTTTTTTTTTTTTTTTTGAGACAAAGTCTTGCTCTGTCCCCAGGCTGGAGTGCAGTGGCGTGATCTCGGCTCACTGCAAGCTCCGCCTCCCGGGTTCAAGCGATTCTCCTGCCTCAGCCTCCCGAGTAGCTGGGACTACAGGCGCCCGCCACCACGCCCGGCTAATGTTTTGTATTTTTAGTAGAGACGGGGTTTCACCGTGTTAGCCAGGATGGTCTCGACCTCCTGACCTCGTGATCTGCCCTCCTCGGCCTCCCAAAGTGCTGCGATTATAGGCGTGAACCACCACGCCAGGCCATGAATAAGTTCTTTAGGGGTGATCTGTGATTTCTGAGATTTTGGTGCACCCATCACCTGAGCAGTGTACACTGTACCCAATGTGTAGTCTTTTACCCCTCAGCCCCTCCCACTCTTTCCCCCAAATCCCCAAATTCCACTGTATCATTCTTATGTCTTTGTGTCCCCATAGCTTAGCTCCCACTTGTGAGTGAGAACATACAATATTTGGTTTTCCATTCCTGAGTTACTTCACTCAGAATAATGGCCTGCCCTTCCATCCAGGTTGCTGCAAATGCTGAGCATGTCTATGGCTGAGTGGTATTCTATGGCATATACATACCACATCTTCTTTATCCACCTGTTGACTGATGGACATTTGGGCTGATTCCAGATTTTTGCAATTACAAATTGTGCTGCTATAAACATACGTGTGCAAGTGTCTTTTTCGTATAATGACTTCTTTTCCTCTGGGTAGATACCCAGGAGTGGGATTGCTGGATCAAACAGTAGATCTACGTTGGTTCTTAAGGAATTGCCACGCTGTTTTCCACAGTGGTTGTACTAGTTTATGTTCTGACCAACAGTGTAAAAATGTCCCCTTTTCACCACATCCACACCAACATCTATCACTTTATGATTTTTGATTATGGCCATTCTTGCAGGAGTAAGGATGACATTGCGGTTTTGATTTGCATTTCCCTGATAATTAGTCATGTTGAGCATTTTTTCATATGTTTGTTGGCCATTCGTATATCTTCTTTTGAAAATTGTCTGTTCATGTCCTTAACCCACTTTTCGATGGGACTGTTGGTTTTTTTCTTGCTGATTTGTTTGAGTTCCTTATAGATTCTGGATATTAGTCCTTTGTCAAATGTATGGATTGTGAAGACTTTCTCCCACTCTGCGTGTTGTCTGTTTACTCTGCTGATTATTTCTTTCACTGTGCAGAAGCTTTTTAGTTTAATTAAGTCCCATCTATTTATCTTTGTTTTTGTTGTGTTTGCTTTTGGGTTCTTGGTCATGAACTCTTTGCCTAAGCCAATGTCTAGAAGGGTTTTTCTGGTGTGATCTTCTAGAATTTTTATGGTTTCAGGTCTTAGATCTAAGTCTTTGACCCATCTTGAGTTGATTTTTGTATAAGGTGAGAGATGTGGATCCAGTTGCATTCTTTTACATGTGGCTTGCCAATTATCCCAGCACCATTTGTTGAATGAGGTGTTCTTTCCCCACTTTATGTTTTTGTTTGCTTTCTCAAAAATTAGATAACTGTAAGTATTTGGCTTTATTTCTGTGTGCTCTATTCAGTTCCACTGATCTATATGCCTGTTTTTATACCAGTACCATGCCATTTTGGTGACTATGGCCTTATAGTATAGTTTGAAGTCAAGTAGTGTGATGCCTCCAGATTTATTCTTTTTGCTAAGTCTTGCTTTGGCTATGCAGGCTCTTTTTTTTTTTTGGTTCCATATGAATTTTAGGATTTTTTTTTTCTAGTTCTGTGAAGAATGATGGTGGTATTTTGATAGGAATTGCATTGAATTTATAGGTTGCTTTTTGCAGTATGGTTATTTTCACAATATTGATTCTACCCACCCATGAGCATAGAATGTGTTTTCATTTGTTTATGTCTTCCATGATTTCTTTCAGCAGTGTTTTGTAGTTTTCCCTGTAGAGGTCTTTCACTTCCTTGGTTAAGTATAGTCCCAAGTTTTGTTTTGTTTTGTTTTGTTTTGCAGCTACTGTAAAAGGGGTTGAGTTCTTAATTTGACTCTCAGCTTGGTTGCTGTTGGTGTATAGCAGGGCTACTGATTTGTGCACCTTAATTTTGTATCCTGAAACTTTGCTGAATTCATTTACCACTTCTAGGAGCTTTTTGGATGAGTCTTTAGGGTTTTCTAGGTATACAATTATGTCATCAGCAAATAGTGACAGTTTGACTTCCTCTTTACTGATTTGGATGCCCTTTATTTCTTTCTCTTGTCTGATTGCTCTGGCTAGGATTTCCAGTACTATGTTGAATAGAAGTGGTGAAAGTGGGCATCCTCGTCTTGTTCCACTTCTCATGGGGAATGCTTTCAAATTTCCCCCTTCAGTATAATGTTGGCTGTGGGTTTGTCATAGATGGCTTTTATTACCTTAGGGTATATCCCTTCTATGCCGATTTTGCTGAGGGTTTTAACCAAAAGGGATGCTGGATTTTGTCAAATGCTTTTTCTGTGTCTCTTGAGTGACTATGTGCTTATTATTTTTAATTCTGTTTATGTGGTGTATTACATTTACTGACTTGTGGATATTAAACCATCCCTGTATCCCTCCTGTAAAACCCACTTTGTCATGGTGGACTCTTTTTCATATGCTGTTGGATTCAGTTAACTAGAATTTTGTTGAGGATTTTTGCATCTATGTTCATCAGGGGTATTTGTCTGTAGTTATTTTTTTTTGTTATGTCTTTTCCTGATTTTGGTATTAGTGTGATATTGGCTTCATAGAATGTTTTTGGAGGATTCCCTCTTTCTCTATCTTTGGTATACTCTCAATAGAATTGGTACCAATTCTTTGAATATCTGATTGATAGAATTCAACCGTGAATCTGTCTGGTCCTGGACTTTTTTTTTTGGCAACTTTTTAATCACCATTTCAATCTCACTGCTTGTTATTTGTCTGTTCAGAGCTTCTGTTTCTTCCTGGTTTAATCTAGGAGGGTTGTATATTTCCAGGAATTTACTCATCTTCTCTAGGTTTTCTAGTTTACACACATAAAGATGTTTATAGTAGCCTTGAATGATCTTTTGCATTTCTGTGGGGTCAGTTGTAATATCTCCCCTTATATTTCTAATTGGGCTTATTTGGAATATAAGTCCTCTTCTCTCTTCTTTTCTTGGTTAATATCACTAATGGTCTATCAATTTTATTTATCTTTTCAAAGAACCAGATTTTTGTTTCATTTTTTTTATTGTGTTGTTTGTTTCAATTTCATTTAGTTCTGCTCTGATCTTGATTATTTATTTTCTTCTGCTGGGTTTGGGTTTGGTTTGTTCTTGTTTCTCTTGCTCCTCGAAGTGTGACCTTAGATTGTTTATTCGTGCTCTTTCATGCTTTTTGATGTAGGCATTTAATGCTATGAACTTTCGTCTTAGCACTGCCTTTGCTGTATCCCAAATGTTTTGATAGGTTGTGTCACTATTATCACTCAGTTCAAAGAGCTTTTAAATTTCCATCTTGATATCATTGTTGACCCAATGATCATTCAGGAGCAGGTTGTTTAATTTCCATGTATTTGCATGATTTTGAGGGTATTAAAATATAAGGTACTATTCTATTCATCATGCTATTTGTTGCCTGAATACCTTGTTTTTTTTTTTTTCATTGTGTCATTGTTTTATAGGTCCTGTGAGATTTATGCTTTAAGGAGATTCTATTTTGGTGTATTTTGAGGATTTGTTTCAAGATTTAGAGCTCCTTTTAGCAGTTCTTGTAGTGCAGGCTTGGTAGTGGTGAATTCTCTCAGCATTTGTTTGTCTGAAAAAGACTGTATCTTTTCTTCATTTACAAAGCTTAGTTACATCAGATACAAAATTCTTGGCTGATAATTTTTTTGTTTAAGGAGGCTAAAGATAGGACCCCAATCCCTTCTAGTTTGTAGGGTTTTTGCTGAGAAATCTGATAGATTTTCCTTTATAGATTACCTGATGCTTTTGCCTCACAGCTCTTAAGATTGTTTTCCTTTATCTTGACTTTAGAGAACCTGATGACTATGTGCCTAGGCCAGTATCACCCTAATACCAAAATCAGGACCAGACATAACAACAACAACAACAAAACTACAGACCAATATCCCTGATGAACATAGATGGAAAAATCCTCAACAAAATACTAGTTAACTGAATCCAACAGCATATCGAAAAGATAATCCACCATGATCAAGAGTTGCAGGATGGTTTAATCTGATGATCTTTTTGTGATGAATTTCCCAGGCATTTTTTGAGCTTCTTCTATTTGGATGTCTAGATCTCCAGCAAGGCTGGGGAAGTTTTCCTCTATTCCCTCAAATATGTTTTCCAAACTTGTAGATTTCCCTTCTTCCTCTGGAACACCAATTATTCTTAGGTTTGGTCATTTAACATAACGCCAAACTTCTTGGAGCCCTTGATTATTTTTTTAAATTCTTTTGTCTTTGTCTTTGCCAGATTGGGTTAATTTGAAAGCCTTGTGCTCTGGCTCTGAAGTTCTTTCTTCTACTTGTTCAGCTCCCTTGTTGAGACTTTCTAGTGCATTTTGCAGTTCTCTAAGTTTGTCCTTTATTTCCAGAGTTGTGATTGTTTTTTATTTGTGCTATTTCACTGGACATTTTTCCATTCATATTCAGTATCTTTTTTTGATTTCTTTAAGTTGGACTTCATCTTTCTCTGGTGCCACCTTGATTGGCTTAATGGTTGACCTTCTAAATTCTTTTTCTGGCAATTCAGAGATTTCATGTTGGTTTGGACCCATTGCTGGTAAGCTAGTGTGATCTTTTGGGGGTGTTGAAGAACCTTGTTTTGTCATAGTATAAGAATTGTTTTTCTGGTTCCTTCTCATTTGGGTGGACTATATTGGGAGAAGATCTGGGACTCAAGGGCCACTGTTCAGATTAGTTTGTCCCATGGGGTGCTCCCTTAATGTGCTGCTTTCCCCTTTTCCCTAGAAATGAGGCTTCCTGAGAGCCAAACTGCAGTGCTTGTTATTTCCTTCTGAATCTAGCCACCTGGAAGAGCTACTGGGCTCTGGTCTGGTACTGGGGAGTGTCTGCAGAGTCCTGTGATGTGATCCATCTTCAGGTCTCTCAGTCACGGATACCAGCACCTGCTCTGATGGAGGTAGCAGAGGAGTGAAGAAGACTCTGTGAGGGTCCTTGTTTGTATTTTTATTAAGTGCACTGGTTTTGTGATGGTTGGCCTCCTGCCAGGAGGCGGTGCTTTCAAGATCGCATCAGCTACAGCAGTACAGGGAGGATCAGGAGGTGGGTGGGGCCATAGAGCTCCCAAGATATATTATGTCCTCTGTCTTTGGAGTTCCTCTGCTGTCCCACAGAGCCTTCGGCTGCAATCCATCTCCTTCAAAGGGTCTGTGGATTATCTCAGCTCTCCTGGAATGTTCCTGCAGTAGTTCTTCGAGTCAAAGTTCACGATGTGGGTCTCCACACACTGCTGTGTCCATCCAAGTGGGAGCTGCAAGTTAGTCCTGCCTCCTATCTGCCATTTTCCCTCCCAGATCCCCAGTGTCTCTGCTTTCATTTTCCTGCTTTCTAGTGAGTTAAGCAAACATTTTTTAGACTTATATTTTTATTTACCTATAGTGTTTTTAAGTGAATCTTTTTTTTCCTCTATTTTAGTGAATATCTGTATGGTTTTTTAAGTGGTTGTTTTCGGTATTAAATTATATATACATAACTTATTATTCTACTGATGTCAACATTTTGCCAATTTGAATGAAGTATATTAATCTTACCTTCCCTTACATCTCTCTGTCCTATACCACTTATAGTATAAGTAACTATTTCTTCTATAGCACATTTAAGACTTCATCAATGATGTTATAATTTTTATTTCAACTCTCAAACATAATTTAGAAAACTCAAGATGTGAAGAAAAATGTAGTATATTTAACCTCGATCTCCACTCATTCCATTGTTCCTTCTTCTTTCCTGATGTTCTAAGATTTCGTCTTTTATCACTTTCTTTGTTTGAGATTTTCCTTTAGCCACTCTCTTATGGTAGGTCTCCTGGCAACAAATTTTCTCGGTTCTCATTTATTTGATAATGACTTGATTCCCCCCTAATTCCTTAAGGGTATTTTCTCTAGATATAGAATTTTGGGTTGGGGCCTAAGAGATCAAAATAGATGCCCCTTTATCAACTAAGATGGACCCCAAGGTTAAGGTGAGTTACCTTCAGGTCGAGGGTAAAAGGCTCAGCTGGCATGGGAACTTTCTCAATTCATGCAACCACAAGAAAATCACTCTTGCTAAACTCCCTAACAATAGGAGCTATGGGGCAAATTCTCAGGCCCTTCTTAACTCTGATTTACAATCCAGACCACTACAACTTTGAATGGACAGAAGACTGGCCTTACACACATTATTTCCTGATAAGCAACTGCAGACCTTAAGCCCATTTCAGCAGCTTATAGAGACTGCATACAAATGGTGTTTGCTCCCTATACTTCACCTTTGGATGTAAAGAGCCAAATTCCACCCTATTTTAATGCTAAAAGCCTGCCCCAAAGTGAACATGGGATATATATTACATATGTGTTTACCTATTGCACATGTGCCCAACTTCCCTCATTAATATGAACGGCTTTTCCCCTAAATCTGCTGAATATGTTTGACTCTATTGTGTGATACAGGCTCTGTAAGACATAAAACCTAACCTTCCCTTTTCCTCTTCAAAGAGAGAGCACCTTCAGTCCACACCAGAGACTGTCTCTTCCCAGTTTACAAATTGGTATCGCCAATAAAGCTGTCCTTTCTACCATGTATAGCCATCCTGGGTGGTCTTTGCATGACAGCGTTGGCAGTTCTTTTCTTTCGGCACTTGTTAAATGTTGTGCCACTTCCTTCTAGCTAGCCTCCATGGTTTCTAATGAGAAGTGTTCTTTTTTAGATTGTTTTTTTTCTCTATAGATAAGATGTTTTTCTCTTGCTGCTTTCAAGCTTTTTTTCTTTGTCTTTAGTGTTCACAAGTTTGATTATGATGCATCTTGGCATGGATTTCCTTTAATTTATTCGTTTTGGAGCTCCCTCAGCTTTTTGAATCTGTATTTTGCCAAGTTTCTGTCTTTTGCCAAGTTTGGGTTTTTTTTTTTTTTCAGCAGTTATTTCTTCAAGTGCTTATTAAGCTACACCCCTTTCCCTTTCTTTCTGGGATTCTGATAACACAAATGTTAGATCTTCTATTACACAGTCCTCCAGGTCACTGAAACGATGCTTACTTTTTTGCAGTCGACTTTGTCCCTGTGGTTTGGATTTGGGTAATTTCCATTGTTCTGTCTTCAGGTTCACCGGTTTTCTTCTTCTGGACCCTCCATTCTGCTGTTGACCCCATCCACTGAGCTTTTTATTCCCAATGCCCTATTTTTAAGTTCTTTTTTTTCTTCCATTTTTTTCTTCATGTCTTTTCTTTCTTGAGATTTTCCATTTCTTACTGAGACTTTTTCAGTTTTCACTCATTTCAAATGTGTTTGTAATTGCTCATTGAAGCATTTTTATCATGGCTGCTTGAAAAATCTTTGTCGGATAATTCTAACATCTCTGTCATCTCAGTGTTAGTGTCTATTGCTTTTTTTTTCATTTAAGTTGAGATTTTCCAGGTTCTTCATATAACAAGTGATTTTCACCTGGAACCCAGACACTTTGAGTATTATGTTATGAGGGCTTGAATCTTATTTAAACCTTCTGTTTTAGCTGGCTTTCTCTGACACTACTGCAAATGAAGAGAAGTCACTGCCTTGTTATTGTCAAGCGCAGATTCCCTTCTGGCCTCCATTGACACTGAGAAGGGAAAAGACTCCTTGTTACTGCTGGGCAGTGGTGGGAATTCCAGCTGCCTACTAGCCCTGGCTGGGAGGGGCAGGAGTGTTTCACCACTGTTCTCCACGTGGCCTCTGCTGACACTGCAGGTGGGAGGGGGTGCCTCATAACTGCTTAGCATAGATGAAAGCCCCAGCTTCCTGCACAGCCGTCTCTGACACCTCTGCCTCACGGGAGCTGGAGCACCTTGCTCTGCAGCCTGATGAGGGTGGAAGTCTAGGCTCACCCATTCAGCATGGGTGGAAGGTGCCAAGGTTTTTCTGTAGAGTTTGGCTGGAGCAGCAGTCATGGACTAAACGTTTTCTGTCCTTCTAGGCTTCCCCTTTCCTGGTCCTTTGATTAAAGAGAGAAGGCTTTTGTTGTTTTTGTTGTTGTTGTTGTCTGTAGCCATTGGTGTTTCCAGTTTGCCTGCTTCTTCAAGCTCCACGTCTGAGACATGTGATACAAAAGGAGAGCCCAGGGAACTCATCATAGTCATTCCCTGGGTCCTGAGGTCCCTGGTCCATTGCCTTCTTCCCTCAATCTTTTGGAGTCTTCTTATGCTGCTTTTATTAATAATAACCCATGTTTTTCATTGCACTTAGCAAAAGGAGTAGGGATAGTATGTCTATGCCATCTTCCTGGACCATTTGGATTTTCAGGTGTGAATTTTCCTGTATCTACCCAGGATTGGGTACCTAAGTTGATTTATCACACTACAAAGAGGCTGCTCTTTAAATATATTGCAGATCTCCACGACCACATTATATTGCTTTGCTTCTGAGGAGAAATTGCAGGGCAGAAACTATCCAAATTTTACTTTAGAGTTAGGATACAGCACCATGACATAAAACCCATGAAAACATAAGACAACTTACTGAGAATTTCAGGGTACTAAATCAACTCTTTGTGGTTTGATTCTTACACAAGTCTCAGAACAAATTGCTGTATTAAATATTATTATTATCATTATTATTTTGGAGATAGAGGTAGAATTACAGTGATGCTGATCATGTTTCAGAACCCCCCACTTTCATGGGCCTTTCCGAATCCCTAGTTCACATGGTTACACGTTATACAATCTACAAGAATAACGGATTTTATTTGTAGTTGGTTGTGACTACTTTTTGTTGCCATTCTGATATCCTCTCTGTCATATGTCCCCTCTTGTTGGGTAACTTTTGAAGTGACTATGTACAGTTGGGGCATTCATTAAGGGGAAGGGAGCAGGGGATACATTTAATTCGGGTTTAATGAGATGTGTTTATGTGATTCATACTCATTTCCATCTATAGTTAAATTATTGGAAGTTATCTGGTATAAAAATGTTTCAAAATTTCCTTACTGCCCACTGTGTTGACTTGCTGGGCAATGTAGCAAGAAAATATTGATGACTAATTGGATAACAAATATTATCAGTTCAAAGTTTATTTCAGGCTGGGCGCGGTGGCTCACACCTGTAATCCCAGCACTTTGGGAGGCTGAGGCAGGCCGACTGCCTGAGCTCAGGAGTTCGAGACCACCCTGGGCAACATGGTGAAACCCCATCTCTACTAAAATACAAAAAATTAGCTGGGCATGGTGGCGCGCATCTGTAATCACAGCTACGTGGGAGGCTGAGGCGGGAGAATCACTTGAGCCCGGGAGGCGGAGGTTGCAGTGAGCTGAGATCACGCCACTGCACTCCAGCCCGGGTGACAGAGTGAGACTGTCTCAAAACAAAAAACAAAAAACAAAAAACAAAAACAAACAAACAAACAAAAAACATATATTTCAGATTGGCCATTGCTCAAGTGTCCTGAAATCTCACAGCTCAGATATCTCAGAAACTGGATAAAGATTTCTCTAAATTTGAAATAATACAAAACTTTACATGACATTTTGTTAATGACAAGGTATGAAGCTGAAAAGTTTTCTAAACTATCAATAAAAAAAAATCAAATTTTAGGCCAGGCATGGTGCCTCACGCCTGGAATCCAAGCACTTTGGGAGGCTGAGGCAGGTGGATCACCTGAGGTCAGGAGTTCGAGACCAGCCTGGCTAACATGGTAAAACCCCATTTCTACTAAAAATATAAAAAATTAGCCAGGCATGGTGGCATACGCCCATAATCTCAGCTACTTGGGAGGCTGAGGCAGGAGAATCATTTGAACCCAGGAGGCGGAGGCTGCAGTGGGCCAAGATCATGCCATTGCACTCCAGCCTGGGCAACAAGAGTAAAACTCCATCTCAAAATCAATCAATCTATCAATCAATCAAATTTTAATGAATAGTGTTAAAGGAAAGCCTCATTTATCTTTTAATTCTCTCTATAGAAAATGCCATTGCAAAATATTGTCAAAAGCATAAGAAAGAAGTGTCCTAGAGGTATGTTAAAGTAGAAAATTAATTTTTAAAATTTTATAAGATATTTGAGGTTTAAAATTTATAATTTCTTGTGATTTATTTTCTCATTAAATATTCACCTTTGTATATAGTTTTGTTTGTAAAACTTTATATTCTTTTACTTTGTAGGATCTTTCAACGATAGAAGCATTGGGCCCCACACAGCTGGATCTGCTCATGTGGAGGCCTTTCTTTGGGTCCGTAGACATCCATGGCACTGGCCAGGGGCCTGGTTGGAACCAACAGAAGCCAATCAATTTGGTTTCAGCAGGAAGGGATTTATTGATTAGTTTGAGAAATCTCACAGTTCTGTCGGGGAGGATTGAAGGACTCAGCTCTGGGCTGTGCCTCGAACCACAGAATGGCAAAGCTGGCCTTACTGCCCTCAAGGCCACCCTGCCTCCACCATGCTGTTCCTGCATCCTCCACATGGATGCCCACCCTGTGTGGTGCGTCCCGGACCCCATTCTGAGCCACAGACTCACATGGTGTCTGATGGGCAGGTGCCAAATCAGGCTGGGAAAAGATGTCAGTGTGAAAGGCAGGGTTGACAAAGTGGGGGGTTGGGAAAACGTCTAGAACACTTGTAAAAAGATGATAGGCCTCCCTACTGACCAATGTCCACTACACCTACTACATAACAAGGATCCTCTGAGTTCCAAGCACAGACAGGTAAGGAAGGCAGAGTCCCGACTTCCAGAATGCCCAGGAGCATGGGTCAGACAGAGTGGTACCCAGACACCCCAAAGGAGAGCGTAAGGGTTCCAGCCACAGGCGCCATACTCAGACTGTGACTTATGGGAAGGGAGGACCATGGATTGGTGATTTTCCAGCTGATTGATCACGAGAGAGTAGAGTCAAGGGTTGGCCTCTCTGGCACCAGAGCAGACCATCTCCAGCTTAGAGTTACTGTTGCTGCTGTGGCTACTGCCTCGGGAATTCTCAGTTTCTGGTAAATGTTACATTCCATCACATTTGCAAAAAAGAAGAGAGATTTAAAAACCTAAAAATATAATATATACCAAACAGCCTCTTCTTCCCTCACCCACATAGGCACAGAATATAAATTAAGGTGTTCTTTCAGAGTTTCTAAATTTGTATGTATCTACAGGATCAAAAAATGAAAGGATAACTAAAATTTTATTTCAAAAATACAATCTCCTAGCAGTTGAAACATAAAACATTTGTTAGGAACGTTCCTTCTGTAATGCAGGATGGGGAGAGAATGCATAAAATAGTAATGATTATTTCAAATATAAAGACCACGAAGACAGAAATAGGTAGAAAGATGCTGCTGACCCAACTTGATATTGAAACCATTTTCCCTGGTGCTGGGATATCATCTGCTTTGGAAAAGGGCCAAAGAAAGTGGCATTACGTTCCATAATATACATGACAGGCCCTGGATGCTTATCATGTCTGTTGTTTGGAAATTAAAAGTCTAGGTGTTTCTGAGACATTCTGATTTTTCAATCAGTCACACCCATTGGCCCCTAAGGCACCTGCCAGATTCCAGGTTCAGATATTTGGTCTGGAAAATGTGATCACTATAACTTAGAGGTAAGCAAGAAGACAATGGATTTACTGAGTTATTACTCTACACCAGACCCCAAGCATTGCTTTTCATGAGGCATCTCACTCCCTCCTCTTTGCCCCACTGGGAGGTGGCTACAATGACAACCTGGCTTCCCATTTCAGTGAAGAGACAGACACCATCAGAAAGTGCTTCTGCAAGCCCCCTCTACCCCTTCTATGCCGGCTCATCTTCCCACCCATCCTTCCCACCTAAAGCCAGCCCTCTGCCTATGCACCAGACATTGGCTTCTGCCTACTCAAGGATGTGTCCAGCAGGGCTTGCTTCTCTCGCCTGCATTGTTCATTTCCCCTTTGCAGGATCATTCCCATCAGATGCATGGATGAAACCTAGATGCCCCTTCCCCCAGTCCTCTCCGGCTACTGCTTCTCGTTCCCCTTTACAGCATAACTGAGGAACATGAAGGAGCATTATTCTCCCAGTCCTCTCCTCCAGCATAAACTGAGCCCACACTAGTCAGCTTCCCTCACCCTCCTCATCCCATGGAAATAGCTCTAGTCAAAGTCACTACATGCCCCTCCACTGCCACTCCTAATGTCAACTCTCAGTCCTTATCTCACATGACTCATTGGCACCATGGGAACCAGTTGGTCTCTGCCTCCTACTTAAAGCACTTTCCCCAGGAGGCTCCCAGGACCATGTACTCTTCCAGCTCTCTTCCAGACCCACATCCATTCCTCAGGCTCCTTAGTCTTTTCTCCTCAGCTCCCAGGCCTCTTGATGTCATTGCACCCTGGCTCAAGTTGGCCATTTTCTCCCCTCAATTGCAGTACCCCTGAGGCTTTCCATCCACCATGGCAGTGAGCTTGGAAGTGTGTTCTCCCCAGGCAAGCCTTCAGATGAGACTGCAGCCCCCGCCGACACTTTGATTGCAGCCTTGACAGGTGAGAGACCTTGAGTCAGAAGCAGCAAGCAAAGCCATACCCAGATTCTCACCCAGAAAAACTGAGAGATAATAAATGTTTGTGTTTTTAAAGTTTTAGAGTAATTTGTTGCATAGCAATAGATAATACATTCTTCTATGACCTACGCTTTGCCCTGTTTAAGCTTCGAAGCTTTCCCAATTCTAGCCTTCTGGCATCTAGAGGATAAATCTGTGCCTTCCTCAGTAGGTTCCCAGAATATAAGAGAAGTTTGATTTTAGAAAGATGATAATTTCTTCTGGCTGAGTGTGGTGTTTTATGCCTGTAATCCCAGCACTTTGGGAGGCTGAGGCAGAATAACTGCTTGAGACCAGGAGTTCAAGACCAGCGTGGGCAACATAGCAAGATCCTATCTCAAAAAAAAAAAAAACTAAAAAATTAGGCATGGTAGTGTCCACCTGTAGTCCCAGCTATTCAGGAGACAGAGACATGGGGATCATATGAGCCTAACAGTTCAAAGCTGCAGTGAGCTATGATCAAGCCACTGCACTCCAGCATGGGCAATAGAGCAAGACCCAGTCTCTATAATTTTTTTTTTTTAAAAGAAAGGTGATCATTTTATATAAGCAATTTTCTCCATGTGTTATGTTATTAAAGATTTAAACTGGACTCAGAGTTCAGCAGAGGGGAAGAATCAGTGTCCACTAATGTCCTGTTTTCTCTTCCTGCATGATTTGCGGCAACTTTGAAAACTCCCTTTTTCTTTGTGTGCCAAAAAGTCTGGCTTCTCAGCCTCATTCCCAAGCGGCCTTCTCTGGGTTATGGAAGGAATCCACTTGCCTCTGGAGGAGGGCTACGCAAAGATGTCCACCTCCTCACATATCTTGTAGGACCATGGCATGAGGCAGAGCCCTGGCCAAGTACTCCACGAACCAGATCCAGCTGAAGTAATTATTGCATTCCAAGATCCAAAGTGTATCCAGCCATGGGAACAAAAGCTTCATCTTATGTTCCAGTGGGACTGGCTGCTTGCAGTGCTCTGCGGAGAAGGATGTAAAGGCCAAGTTCACACTCTGTGGGAAAGAATGCCATGGTCAGTGATCAGCTAGTGATGTCTGTCATGATCACAGGGATGGGAAGTGGAGGCAGGCTTTCCACTGATGATGCTCCCTCCATTCCTTACAAAATCTTTCCCCCTTGTCCTGAAGGCCTTTTGAATAAGCTCTGCATCCAGTTGTGTCTAGGTACTTTTAAAAACAGAAAGGGCACAATCGGAAATGGCAGCCCAAGGCCCACCCAACCCCAGGTTAGGTCCCATTGATCTTGTCAACTGTTCATTCAAGAAAAGAAAGGCGGCTGAGCGTGGTGGCTCATGCCTGTAATCCCAGCGCTTTGGGAGGCTGAGGTGGGCAGACCACCTGAGATCAGGAGTTTGAGACCAGCCTGGCCAACATAGGGAAACCCCGTCTTTACTAAAAAAAAATAAAATAAAAAAATCAGCTGGGTGTGGTGGTATAGACCTGTAATCCCAGCTACTCAGGAAGCTGAGGCATGAGAATTGCTTGAACCTGTGAGGCAGAGGTTGCAGTGAGCCGAGATGGTGCCACTGTGTTCTAGCCTGGGCAACAGAGTGAGACTCCATCTCAAAAAAAAAAAAAAAAAAAAAAAAAAGGAAAAGAAAGGAAAGGCAGGCCAGACGAGAGGTCCAGGAAGTCAGGCAGGAAGCTGCAGGTTTGTGTTGGGTGGGAACATGGGGGTGATAGTAACCCGGCATAGGGCAGCCACAGGCAGTGAAGACAGAGGGAACAACAACCCCCCATCGATGGATTGTACTGGGAAGAAATGCAGAAAACTCACAGCCTCATCTTCCGCTGAAACACAGGCATCCTCGGAGGTGGTTGATCCAGATCCATTTAACCATCTGTGGATGGAGGTAGCTGACCACGGTGGGTGACAGGCTCACCATAGAGCTCGGGACTGCAAGGTCCACCCTCAGGTGCAAAGAGCACTTTACCTTTTCGGGGGCCTTAGGCTCCCTCTACCTCCCTACTGGAAATAAGTATTAAGCAGTGGTGGGCTGATAAATGCTCAACAGCTGGCCCTCTGGAGGGAAAGATTGTGTGTGTGTGTGTGTGTGTGTGTGTGTGTGTGTGTGTGTGTGTGTGGGGTGTACATACACATATAAATGAAGAGATAATTTATTATAAATGTTACTGATATAAAGAATGTACAACAAAACATAATGATACAATATCCTTTATTATAAGCTGCATATAGTTGGTTGATCCTCACAGAATGCCTTTGTTGAGTTTTTCCAAACTCTTGTATCTACAGCCTATGTCTGTTTGCATATGATGACTAAGTGTGCTTTACACATGAGGGTTGGCTATTTTCATTTCGTTTCATTCTCATGAGGCTGATATTTTCATTTATGTTAACAAGTAAAAGTGAGACAATGAAGGCGAATATCAGAAGTTCACTTATTCATCAATGTCACAAGTGACTTCCTTGCTGAATCAATCAGGCCACAGTTTTTAAGCACTGGAAGAATAAATCCTCAATTTTTTTGCTTGTCACAATATAGGGGTGCATCAGTGTAGTAGGTTAAATAATGGCCCTCAAATAATATACGCAGATCTGAATCTATGAAGCCTGCAAATGTATCTTATGTGGCAAAAGGGACTTTGCAGATGTGATTGAGTTGAGGATCTTGAGAAGGAGACATTATCCTGGATTACATGGGTGGGTCCCAAATGCAATCACAAATGTCCTGATAAGAGAGGATAGAGGGAAATCTGACATAGAAGAGAAGGCCATGAGAAGACAGCGTGGAGAGAATTTTGAAGACGCTAAGCCACTGCCTTTGAAGGCGGAGGAAGGGGCCACGAGCCAAGGAATGCAGCTCTAGAAGCTGGAAAAGGCAAGGAAACAGACCCCCCTGGAGCCTCTGGAGGGAGCGGCCCTCATGGCACCCTGATTCCATCCTGCTGAAACTGATTTGGGACTTCTGACCTCCAAAACTGTAAGAGAACAAATGTGCCTTGTTGTAAGCACCAGGTTTTTGGTAATTTGTTACAGCAGCCACAGGAAACTCACACAGGCAGTTTTTAATCTATTGCATCTCAGCTCTGAATGCACCTTTCAATATGTGCTTTAGGACAAAGATTGGAACCTTTTAACCATTTTGAATTTAAAGTGAACAGGATGTGAAGCTTTCTCAGTAGACGGTGCTGGAAGGACTTTCCTGTAATTTCCAGGAAGGTCAGCCAAGCGGAGACTATCCCGTGGAGTCGGACGGAGCCTCAGAGCCAGAACACAATGACTCTGTGGCCATGCCTGGCGGTGACTGTCTACACAGCAGCTGGCCTCCGACCTCACTACGCAGCCTGCCACTTCCTCTGCAACCTCTCCACCCGCCAAGCAACCTCAGCACCCAGAAGGCCTTCTGCCCTGGGGGCACTCAGTTTCCCACTGCAGTTCACGCCTTTGGTTACTAATCACCTGTTCCCTGCCTGCCCTCCAGAGGGTGCCTATTGTGTGTCCACCAACTCCAAACCAGCTGTAGCTGTGTGCTCTGGGCTAAACTTCATTGCTATCCAGTGGCTGAACCACACCCTCTCCAGCTATGTCTGAACCCCAAACAACTTCATTTTTACTTTGGGAGCTCCCTCAGCCCTAGGATACTGCATAGAGCTTCTTTTTATCTTACTCTTTTTTTTTGAGACAGAGTCTTGCTCTGTTGCCCAGGCTGGAGTGCAGGGGTATGATCTCGGCTCACTGCAACCTCTGCCTCCTGGGTTCAAGCGATTCTCCTGCCTCACCCTCCCGAGTAGCTGGGATTACAGGCACCTGCCACCAGGCCTGGCTAATTTTTGTATTTTTAGTACAGATGGGGTTTCACTGTGTTGGTCAGCCTGGTCTCGAACTCCTGACCTCATGATTCGCCCACCTCGGCCTCCCAAAGTGCTAGGATTACAGGCATAAGCCACCGCGCCCGGCCTATCTTACTGTTTTACAACTGTTAATAATTTTAACTTAAATTTCCCCTGTTTAACCTGCTGTGTGATTTCTGTCTCCCGATTAGAGCCAGACTGCTACAAATGGCCCCAGACATGACCCACTTATAAGTTGAATCTGTACTATTAACAATTTTTTATTACTTTCTTAAGCCTAGAAAATCAACAAAACAATAACACAAGCTCTGATTTGCAGTGTTTGCCAACTTCCATGGTGTAAATACTCCTATCATGGCCAATCCCAAGCTTTCAATGTGACGTCACAGATTGTGGGCTTGGGAAGAGATGCCCAGTAGCTGTCACTATATACTCTTCCCACGGCATTGATATAATAGATGCAAGTAACCCTCAAAGCATAGAAAATAGCAAAAGTAGTAAAACTCATTGGGAAGGGGTGTTTGTTAACATATTTGATTATAAGTTCATATGATTAATTGTGAATAATGCCTATATTTACAACTGGCTCACAAAATCTGAGCACATTTAACGCTTGGTTCTATTGAATGTTACAAGCCAGCTCCAGCACAGCACTGGGATTAAGGGCCCCCAGCAACAAACCAGGGGGAGCTCCGCATTCTTTGGGCAATTGCTGGCCCCCTCTGGCATCAAGACAGGTCTCCGGTTCAGCCTGTGGCATTGAGATGGGGCGGTGGAGGGGGGACAGAGGAGAGGGTGCAGGCAAGAGTTTCTCTGTTGCAGGATTCACTCAGGACCTCCCATTGCTCCTGTTTTCTGCCCTGACGTTGATGCCCCTTCATGTCCTGGCCCGAGGATGGAGGCAGCAGCCTTCCCCTGGACCCTTTCCGGCACGGTCAGACCTGCCGTTTGCCATGCATCTGAGAGTCCTTGAGGTCATGGCAGCCGCTCTTTTGCCCCCACTTGAGGTCATTGAAGGAGAGTGAGGGAATGGCTGTAGGTATGGTGGTCAGCGAGTCAGGAGTCTAGTCCCGACCTTACTCCTGGCTGGTGGAAAGACTGGGGGCCAGTCGGTCACGCTCCCAGGCCTGAGGCCCCACCTGTGCGGTGAGGGTGGGCCTGATGCCACTCTGAGGACTGATGACCCTGAGGCTTCTTCCAGCTCCAGGATGAAGTCCTGCCTCACGTCCACCTTAATGGCAGGCACAGTGATGCCACCTCCCAGGATCTGGCAGCTGCAGGGGCATCAGCAGGTGCTGCGGTCCTGCTGGGATAGCCTATCCCTGGGAACTGGCCCCAGACGCTGATCTCAGGACCTGCCATCAGATAGCTCAGCCTTCGCCAAGAGAAAACAAAATGCAGGCAGGTCATCTGATCTTCCTTTTCCACTTTCCCAGGGACCAACTAGCCTTTATAATAAAACCCAGAGGAGACAGTCCCTTCCCAGAGATAAAACCCTTCCCAAGCCGTCCCTGCTACTAGGGCAACGCTGGGCGCTGCGCGGCTGGCAGGGAGCCCCAAGAGCTCTCTGCCAAGGGGGCTGGGCTGGTGGGGCCGAGGTCCCAGAGGCTGCCTGCCCAGAGCCTGTGCTAATGAGGGAAGAGGGCTACACTCCGCTTTGGAGCACCTCTCAACAGAGGGGACACCTTGGGGTCGGGGGTCAGCATGACGGATGTCTTCAAGGTTCAGTGTGCAGACAGGACCAACCTCTCCCACAAGCAAGATGCTAAGGGAAGACCCCAGAAACAGCAAGTGCAGGACATGTGAGTATGGGGGTGATGCAGAGAGCCTCACAGTACCCAAGGACAGGGTCGGAAAGACCTGAGGTGAGTGGACCGCCCTGGCCTGGGAGGCAGCCTGTAGACTGTGGGGCCAGTGACGGTCCCCTCCTCCCAGGCGCAGTCCTCCCCTTCCTGCGTCACCCTCTGCACACCCCTCTCCATTCCTGCTGTCATGCTCGGGCCAACGTCCCAGGTCTAACTAGTGAAGCCTTTGCAAGCTCCACGCTGCACTCTTAGAGAGATCCTACTCAAAAGCAGGGCTCAGAGTGGACTTTCTTAGAAGAGACTCTCTTTTCTCTGACTGCCCTTCACCAGTGCCCTACCCAAGGCTGCCCCCGCCCTGCCCCCACTTGCTCATTTTATCACCTGCCCCTCCTCCCCACTGTTCCTCCAGGCCTCAACCAAAGGCCCTCCTTCGGGTCATCCTTTCTTCCTTAAAACAGCGTCTGATGTCTGACCTAGTTCAAGAAAGCCGTGGCTCAGTGTCCGAGGAGCCCCGTCTGCAGTCTGCCCTGGCCACGCCTAGCTGCATCTCCCTGTGCTTAAACAAAGTGTCGCTAAGTCGGGAATTCATGGGCCTGTTAGCAGCGGCTTGGCTTCCACATGTCCCCTTTCATGGTCTCACTAGTGAAAGGTAGATGAAAGAGCTGGGCGTGGTGGCTCACGCCTGTAATCCCAGCGCTTTGGGAGGCCGAGGTGGGTGGATCACAAAGTCAGGAGATCGAGACCATCCTGGCCAACATGGTGAAACCCTGTCTCTACTAAAATACAAAAGATTAGCCGGGCATGGTGGTGAGCACCTGTACTCGGGAGGCTGAGGCAGGGGAATTGCTTGAACCCGGGAGGCGGAGGTTGCAGTGAGCAGAGATTGCACTACTGCACTCCAGCCTGGCCAAAGAGCAAGACTCCATCTCAAAAAAAAAAAAAAAGGTAGATGAGAGAAGAATAAAGCATAAAGCTAAGGTCTAACTTGCTAGGTTATTCAGGAGGGAGAGAGGACAGAAATTACAAATAAATATTGATATGTATACATACACCCGTACTGTAGATAGGTGTATGTGTATATATGTGCAAATGACTGTATATTATGCATACACATGTGTGTATGTGTGTGTGCACATGGTATAAATGTGTGTATATGTACATATGTATTTATACACACATGTATCAACTCCCATAAATGCACAAGGCTCAGCCTGACCTGTCATTTAACCAAACACCAGACAGTGCCTTCCCAGAACATTCTACCCTCAAGGCAGAGTGCCTCCGTGACACGCAAGGCAGGGGGCCAGCTGCAGGCGCCAGGCCAACAGGATGAATGTCTCAGGTTTTCACGCCCCTGGTGGCAGGGCAGGCCACTGTGGGCCTGCTCTCTTCTCATCTTGCTGTCACTTTAGTGTCCTTGAGGTGCTGAGGACTCTCAGTTTGTATGTCCAGCCCAACAGCTCCTGGGCTCTAGACCCAGAGACTCAGCACTGCTCGATACGGGTCCCGGGCCCACAAGTCCCCTCTACCATCCTCCTCCCACTGTGCATCCAGAAGCCTGGGTGCTCCCGGACACCCCTGCTCCCCACATGCCCATCTCCCACCGTCTGCTTGGTTTTCACTCCTAAACAGTCCTTGGGTGCAGCCACTTGTCGGCATCACCACCACCCTGGGTCATACCCACTCTCGCTCTCCAGTGAGTGCAGCCAGGCTGCTGTTTGCAGGACTTAACTCTCATCCCACCAGCTGTGGCTGCCCAGCTCCTAAAGCAACACTAGGGCCCTGGGTGGGGCCTGCAAAGGCTGCGAACCCAACGCAGCTCCCCCTCTCCTAGCCCGGAGCTGGTTCCTCCTCTGTCCTCCAATGCCCCAGCCTCCTCTCTGCGTGACTGCTATATTACCACCTGACCCCTGCTCCCCGGGGCAGGGACTTTCTTAGAAGAGACTCTCCAGACAGCCAAGCACAATTGGAAGCAGCACCTGCTCAGATCTTCCAAACTGAGGCTTGGTGAGGCCTCCATTGGGAGCACTTCATTGACAAACGTTTGAAATTCTGAAGATGACCTCCGTGGGTGCTGGGGAGGGGACCTGGGGCTTGGCTGAGGCCCTGGCCCTGGTGAGTGAGGCCCTCCGGCTGGGCACCTCTGGATATTGGCTGGGAGGGCACCCAGGGCCGGTTGAGGCCGCAGCTTGCTTTTCGGCCTCTCCTTGCTGCTCCCTCCCCACATGGCCTTGGGCAGGTGACTGCTAATGTCGGTGACCAGGCCAGGCTGCCGCCACCCCCACCCCATTTCCCAAGCCTGGCTGCTGGTGGCAGGGTCTGGTAGAAGTGCTGTGGCCTCCACGCAGGCATCCCTCTCCATGGGATCTCCATGGAAGAGCGTGTGCTGGTGCCTGGGTGTCGGGACCCCATAAAAACCACGGGTGACCCCTGTGCAGGGGCTGGGGCTGCTGGGACTGTGGATGGTCCCCCTAAGCCCCATGAGGCACATTTCCCAGGCATGGCAGCATGGCGGTACCTCTCTGGGGCTGTCCCTTGTGCATGCACTCTTACTCCAGCAGTCTCTGGTCCCTCTACCTTTCTCTAGTGGCCCTCGGGCTGAGAAACCATGAGAGTGTGTCCAAAGCAGGCAGCGGCCTTAAAGAAATGCCAGCCCACCTCCTCCCCACCTAGTGTCCAAAAGAGCTGCATGTTGGAAGCAGGGGTCTGTGCAGCCCTCCCCTCTCCCCTGGTACACCCTACTTGGGGAGCAGATTTGCCTGGGCAGGTCTGCACGGGGTCTGCTCCCTGGCCCAGCAGTCACTGGTGAGACACCCAGCCCTGGCATCCTCTGTTCCTAATTCCCATGAAGGTGCCTTTTGTGGCTGCACCTACTTGCATAAGGACTGAGGCATCGGCCAGGAAAAGACGTCAGGCTTGGCCAGCTCCATCTAGCAAGACACTCCAGGTCACCGGGGAAAGGGCTTTTCACTAAAGCCTCCAGGGAGACTTTGGAACATGAGCAGCACAGCTTGGAGACGAGCCAGCAGAGCACGTGACAGCGAGGAGGCAGCCGTGCACGTCGTCACCCAAGCCCCAGGCCACAGCATCCACGGGAGAGACTTTCCTGCAGCACTGCGTGTTGGGGGTAGGGAAGAGAACAAACTTAATCCTGGGCTGTTACGGGAAGCCCTGACGAGCCCCAGGAATATCAGGGACTGCAGGAAGGGTTCCAGTGTCACTGGGGAACCCGGATTCCCACAAATGCCTTGCTTCCCACAACCCGGCCTCCTGGTCCCACATGCCTCACCTGTTGTTCCAGCCTCTGCACCTGCTCACATCTCTGGGGAGTCACCCGATGGGGCTCCCCAGTCCCCGCAGCAGCATTTTCCTCTGACTCTCAGGGCCCTGCTCTGCCTTCTGTGCTCAGCAGTTGTTTCGGATTGGGAGTCAGGAGGCCATTCCCACACTTGAAACAAGGCTGCAAGAGGAGGCTGAGCAGAAACCGCACACCCCGAGGGCAAGGCGACATGCTCATTGCCCTTGCGCCCTTCCTCCTTCCCCAGGAGCAGGACTTCTGGCCGCTCTGAGTGCACGGGTGACGGCTGCCGTTTATCAGCCTTCAAATTTGTGCCCGAATCACCTGCTTCCAACTCCTCAAATACAGACTGGCTTAGCTCAGCCTGATTAAGACCAAATTAGGAAGGGCAGCTGTGTTCCACCAGAGCCCAGGGAGCCAGGCAGAGGGCAGGAGGATCAGGCCACCAAAGGTCACCTACACACAAGCCCGTACCGGTGATGTCATCGTGGATGGAGGAGATGGGCTGGCATTTTTTAAGGCTGGCCCCCTGCCTGGGACACACTCTACATGTTTCTAAGCCTATGGGCCACTGGGGAGAGCTGGAAGGAGCCAGGCACAGCCACAGGGAGGTGCCACCATGCTTGGGAAACACCTCGTGGGTCTGGGCTGCAAATGACCATCCACAGTCCCAGCCCTGGCAAAGGGGTAGCTCATGGTCCTTATGGGGTCCCGACACCCAGGCACCAGGACACGCTCTTCCACGGATGCAGGTTAGATAAGAAACCACCTTCAGGACTCTCCTACACATCTCTTCACACCTGTGCACAAAGGAATCAGCAAAAGATCCCCTCCCAGCCTGCTGTGACCGCAAAATTCCATACCCAAGACCAGGGCTGCTTAAATAATTTGAGCTCTGCAATGGAAACCTACAAAGCCACTAAAAGCAGCAGAGAACGCTGGTGAGCAGCTGTGAGTGGCAGCTGAGATTCATTACAGTTCCACAGTCGGACTCGGGAAAATGCTTCCGTGTGTGTAGCAGGCTGTGATGCGGTGTGTGGTCCCAGCTGAGGCCCCCACACTGACAGCAGTAAGAGCCGAGTATCTCACATCCTAAAGATGCCGGTCCGTGCCCGAGAGCAGATAGTCTATGAGACCTTAACCGGGGCTGTCCCAGATGCCACTCTGAGCCCTTCTGGAAGGGTGAGTTTGATCAGGGAGATGGCGAGGGAGGAGTCCTTGTCCAGGAGCTTTGGGGACAGTTTGACAGGAGCTTTTGGGATGTCAACCTTGCTCCTACCATGGGGAATGCAGAAGGGGGCTCCCCCCCCCACCTCTCCTCACATCTGCTCCACCTCAGCCCAGATCAGAGGCAGGGAGGAGAGCCTTGAGGAGCCCCGGAGTTGGGTGCACTGACTGGACCCCGCCCTGAGTAGAAGAGGGAGGCTGGCCTGGAGGGGCTGCAGGAGAACAGCAGAGTTGCTCAGCAGGACAAAGGAGACACTGCGGAAGGGGTCTGAGTTCAGGTCATCTTGACTGGTTTCCTCAGCACGGCCCATCATGAGGCAAAACCCTAAACGCTGACTCAAAGTCTGGGAACGGAATGGGCTGTTTTGTCCTTGGCTAGAGCCCTGCCAGCTGTCCCGTTCCCTCTAAGTGCTGCATGCACTGTGGACGTGGCATTCCCTCTAAGTACTGCATGCACTGTGGATGTGGCCTGCCCTCTAAGTGCCGCATGCACTGTGGACGTGGCATTCCCTCTAAGTGCTGCATGCACTGTGGACATAGTGTTCCCTCTGCCTGGTCCTCCTATGTGAAATCCCCTTCCCAGCCAGCCAGCGCCCCCACCTGCACTCCTGGCCCCACCCTTGAGGTCCTTTCTGGGGTGGCTGAGCTCTTCTGCAAGACCTGTGTCCGGGCTTCCCTCCACCACAGCTCAGACCCTCCCAGGGGCCCATGTCCATGTCGGTAGAATGCATGAGGGACGCCCAAGCCCATTCGGTCCCAGATGCCTCCTTCGAGGCAGGGCCGTGTGTGTGTCATCAGCATCACACACTCACACACACTCACCCGCAGGCAAAGCCCCTCCCTGAGCCCAGGAAGGCTCCAAAAGGGGCGTGGTCACAGCCTCCTGCGCCTTCAGGGGCGGGAACCCAGAGGAAGAGCAGCCCACGTGCGGACTCCGCAGGAATGAATGGACACAGTTGGGAGGAGAGGGGAGTTTCTTGGAAGTAAATTCCCCCTGACATTGAGATAACTGGTTCAGGGTCCCATCCACAGAGTACGTGCCTGTTAGCAGGGCAGGAGGCCAGAGGGCGGGGCCTCGGGAAAGCTGCCCAAGCTCAGCAGGGACTCCACTGCTCACAGAGCAAGCAGCCCGACTTGTTCAGCTTGGAATCTGGGCTGGGACCGCTGGGGTCAGCAAAGAAGATCTAGGAGACATCCCATAAAATATCAGACTATCAGGATCCAATATAATACGTGTGATATTGAGCTCATTGCACAGAAGCTACAAGTAAACATTGGGTTTAGGCCACTCAGGGAAAAATGACGGAGCCTCATTTCCATAAGGAGCTGGCCTCATTTGAAAGCTTTCCACCCCACCTCTCGCCTCACCTCCCCCGCGCTCCTTTCTTGCTTCATAAACTTTCACCACTGCCATCGACCAAAAAGCAAACAGAGACTTGGAAACCCCGTGTACAACACGTACACTGCGCTCTCGTTGATCACTATTGGGTAAACTAAAATGTAGCTTACCACCCAGGGGAGGCGTGATGTGTGGGTGTGTGTGTGCACGTGTGAGTGTGACTGCGGGTGAGTGTGTGAGTGTGTGATGCTGATCACACAGGATAAGGCATAGTCCTTTATCCTGGGTCTGAGAAGATGCATGGTTTGTAGAAACAGACAAATCTGTGAACTGCAGGATGAATGGCCCTGGCTGCTGTGAGCCCATCACCCTCTGATCACACATCATAAAGAGACCTTGAGGAAGGAGTGAGTTTACTGACTGACATCTCATTAATTCGGCCCCGGCAGGAAACAATGAAATCTAACTTTTCTAGACACCATGAGATACCCTTAGAATCACGCAAGCTTACAAATGAGCATTTTGTGGGAAACATTTTTATCCTTAACTAAAACATTCAAAGCACAGCTTAATTTTCCTTCAGACTCTGGGTCCTCGCTGTGGAAGATGGTCATTCCTTGGAGCTGCAATCAGGATGACTCCAGCAGGGTGCCCACTTGGCCCCAGAGAAAATGGCTCTAGATCACTGCATCTTGCAGCCTTGCATCTACTCGCAATGGTCAGTCGTAACCATGTGAATGAAGCGATTCACAGAGGCACACGGGGATCAATTATAGCAAAATGGCCGAGGTGAACATCACCCTAATCCATTAAACTGCTCCAGCTCAGCTGACACATAATCGATAGCGTCGTAATCCATCTAGTTAAAAGTTTGCAGAAGCAAGGAGAGAGGGCTGGAGCGAGATCCACGGAAGCAGGGGTTTGCTTCCGTCTCTTAACCCTGAGCCGCCACAGGTCTACGTCGTGGGGCCAATGTTATTATATCTGCAAACTCTGGCCGAACTTACACACTACAGCCCTCCTGGAGTTACTGGCTGGCTCGGACCCCATCATATTCCACGTGGGATTTGAGGTGGCAGCCACTTGTTGCTGTGTGCCTGGAGTCCTTACCCGCCAGGCAGCCCTCTGAGCTCCACTGGCTGCAGCGGGCAACCAGATTTTAAACAGACGGCTGCATGTCAGGGGTGTTTGCAGCTGGCGGGCCACGCTTATCTGCGGAAATGCTGGCATTTGCACTGTTCTGTTTCTGCGGTTGCCTCCAGGACCTGGAGAGCTGATTCAGTTCTCCCTGGCTGCTGATACTCCTTTAGGGATCCAGACTAAACCAAGAGCCAGGAGCTGCAAAGCTGAGGCCCAAGCCCTGGCTCTTGGTGACTGTCACCCTGGAGGGCCTGGTAAGCTGTGCAAATAAAGACAGGTCGTTGCTGTTAATAACAGTAAAAGTGCAAAAGGTGGCAAACTTTTTGTATTTGTAAATTAGAGTGGATTATAAATATCATATGAGGAGATCTCGAATTGTGTTTTTACACAGATTGTGTCATTTGCAATCCCATGAGGTAGCTACTGATAATCCCTCCATTTTACAGATGAAGAAACTGAGGCCTTGGTTGGCTACAGACCACACTGATGTATCTGAGAGCTCTGGGGCCTTGGCTCCCCACCGCTTTGCTGCCTGTCTCCTTGTGAGCCGCCTCTCCCCACCTCCTTCCACCCCCGACCCGTGTCTGTTACTCGCTTGCTCGCCTCCTGGTGCAGGAGAGAGAGGGCTGGAGTTACGCCGCCCCGCCAGCCAGCACCGTAACCTGCAACTTCTCTCCTCAGGGTTACTGATCAGAAAAGATTCTTCAGTGTCTGATTTCATTATCTACTTACAAAATGTTTTCATGATGATTACATCAAAAATTAGCTGACTTATTTTTCCTCCAAGAATTTCCTTTCTTACATAGGCCAACATTAGCCGTCCCCCTATCCACGACACACTGTGGCTGACCCCAAAAGGCTGGGCCAGTTGGGGGTGGCGTTTGGCTGCTAGTAGCCAACTGTGGCTTAAACAGGAAAGAATTGTTTTTTCTCTCCGGTGGGAAAGAAGGCACAGCTGGGGTGGAAGCTCCCTGTATCCTTGGGGACGGTGTATCTTTCTTGTCTGCCTTTCTGTCACAAACACATCCTTACTCCAGCCTGAAAGGAGGAGGAGAGAAGAAACAGGCAGAAAGGACACAAACTGCTTCCAAACGAGTGGTGTGTGTCTGGTCCCATCCAACAAAACAAAACAAAATAAAACCAGAAACCACAAGAGGCCTCTTTTGGTGATGGATGTTCCGGTGGTCTTGGGTTGGTGGGCTTCCACAAGTTCCAGCCCGATTCAGCCAAGATCTCCAGTCCCAGGCGTATCAAGCAAAAGGAAGTGAAGATGAGAGTTGGGGGACTGAGAGGAAAAGGAGCAAATGTGGCTGCTGTGGTGACCCTGATATTGGTGATTGCAGGAAGCAGCTGTGACCCCTGGAGCCGAGGGAGCTCAGAGGAGGGGCTGGCGCTGTACCTCTGAACCCAGCACGCTAGGCCGGCAGGCAGAGGCCTTGCTGTGGCCATGCCCATCTTCTGCTTCCAGAGCAGTGGGGCTCTCCAGGGCACCTGTTTGTGTACCCACAGCCAACAGCTCTGGGCAGTTAGTGGGAAATTACAGCAACCAGTAAAGTCAGAAGCACTGAGGCTTTAGACTCACACACGTGCAGTATCTCCCCAGCCGCTAGCTAAAGACATTGACCTTTTTTGGTGATGGATGTTCTGGTGGTCTGGGGTTGGTGGGCTTCAACAAGTGGGGGTTTTAGCATGATTCAGCCAAGATCTCCAATCCTGCAGCCTGGGACCCTGACTTGGTAAAACGAACACATCTGACACCGCTTGAGTCGCCATCTATAGGAGGTAAGTGTGAGTCTGGGTTCCAAATATTTTATCAAGCCTGTCAGGGAAGCAAGCGCTGTCTGTCTGCAGGAAGATGTCTGTGGGGAGAGGGCAGATCTGAGTCCAGTGAGTCTCTCCTGCAGCCAGCCTCCAGGTCCACCCTCCCCCAACAGATGTCCTCTCGCAAATGAAAAACACTCAAGACGTGGAAAGCAGACAGATGGCAGGAGGGTCCTTAGCCCGGACTGATGACAGCCGGCTCTGGGCCAGGTTCTGGACAGGATTGTGGGCACACGGTCCCGACCCACCACTGCAGTTCTTGTGGGATGGTCTTGGTCCACATGCGAGCCCCTCTCAGGCCAAACACCTGCTTACTCCATATTTTCATGTAATTCTAATTCATGTAAATGATGTTATTTCATCAAGGACAATTGAAGTTATGGTTGGCCACTTTGGGTAACTTATTTTTTATTTTTTTAAATTTTTTTTGAGATGGAGACTCACTCTGACCCCCAGACTGGAGCGCAGTGGTGTGATATCGGCTCGCTGCAACCTCCGCCTCCCGGGTTCAAGCAATTCTCCTGCCTCAGGCTCCCCAGTAGCTGTGATTATAGGTGCCCACCATCATGCCTGGCTAATTTTTGTATTTTTAGTAGAGACGGGGTTTCACCATGTTGGCCAGGCAGGTCTCGAACTCCTGACCTCAGGTGATCTGCCTGCCTTGGCCTCCCAAAATGTTGAGATTACAGGTGTGAGCCACCACGTCCAGCCACTTTGGGTAACTTTTAACATAGACAAAATAGTTATTTTGAGAGGCATCCTAAAACAAATAGAAAAAAAAAATCCTGACTATCCAATGGCCTGCATTCTTTAGTTGGCATAAGGAGACTTCTAAACTCAATTCAGATTCTAAAATTATCTACCTAAGTTATTCTACTCAGGTCAGAAAAAATGTCAGTGATAAACTGAGACTTGTGCCGCGCATTTATATTCTAGGCTTTTCTGACTTCCTCTGACCAATCATTTCCCAGGAGGTGCGAAGCCTTGCTGGATAAAAGGTAAGCGGCGTGACCCTGAAAAGGACACAGGGTTAACACATCCTCGAAAACACAAACACACAAACAACAAAATAGAAACTCTTTTGACAGGAACACTTGGCAATAGTGCGAACAAAAGAATAACTGGAAAGTAATATCCCACCTAATTACAGAAAAAAAGAACTAGTGAGTTCTGAGGGATTGTGAAGGAAGACTCCAGCCAGCCCCTCTCACCTTCTTTTCCCCTGCTCTTCCTCCAGCTCTTGAAAGACTCTGGAGGTTAATTATAGCAACTGGTATTTTCTAAAAATGGCCTCTGTGTGGTTTCTAGTTTCATTGCTTTTTCTGAATCTTCCTGCCCTCCTGCCCCCCCCAGTCAGAGCAGGAGTTCACGTGTGCTCCCCTTGGCTTCGGGTGGATCTTTGTAGCTCACTCAATTAATGGGCTGTGGTACGTGTACCGCAGCTTGGCTTCTGGAGCTGGGTTAGAACAGCCGACACAGCTTCCGCGTGGCCAGCCAGCATGCCGGAAGGGAGCCCAAACCAGACCCTGCGGGGAGACCACACGGAGAAGCCCCTGTGGAGAGGATCCCCAGGCAGATGACTAAGGAGCCTGTGGGTGATTCCAGCCCCCATCCTCGGAGTCTCCCAGCTGCGGCCCCAGGCATCACAGAACAGAGACAAACCATTCTGCTGTGCCTGTCCAAATGTCTGATGCACAATATCTGTGAAAATGTGTGACTGTTTTACACCACTGAGCTTTGAGGTAATTTGTTACACCGCCATAAAAAATCAGAACATCAAGTAATGACACAAATGTTCCATCATGATGTGCATACTCTAGAACTAACTAGCACAGATAAACAGATACCCCACAAAAGAAAAGTAATACATATTACAAGGTCTATTAAAATCCATGGGAGATGCTGTCCTAATTGGTTACAGAGAGCTTATATAAATTTAAAATAAAACAATGCAAGAGTTTCCAGAAGATAGAGAAAAATGTTAACCTTCTCGTTATGTGTTGATTCATTTTATTTTCAAAGGAAAAAAGTTTAACTGTGACTTTCATTAATAACTTTGGTTACTAGGTTACAAAAAAAAGACTATTCACAGCTTTTAAACATGGCTGGAAATGCTTTAAAAATCATTCTATAAATACAGAAGAATGTATTTAAAAGTTCATATAATGTTCTTGATAGATGGCTTTGTAGACAAACTAGAGTGAGATGGTGATTTTGAAACATCTCGTTTTAAAACATCTCATTGCTGCTTCCATGTGGGATGTAGAAAGCTGCAAAGAATAATAAAAAAACCTGGCTAGTGTACCAACATTATAATTTTTCTTGAGTCTATCAAAGATCTAAGATGGCAAGGCAACCAAATAAGCAGAATTCCAAAGAGGGAGCAGGCACTCCAGGGAGACACGAGACACATGGCGTTTCTCACCTTTGCCTGAGCACAGGAAAAACATGTGGCCCCCATTAGGTATGAAGCTATCAGATAAAATGTTAGTAAATCATTAAAGTCCAAGTGTGGCCTAGGATGTAAGTTTGGAATAACTGGGAAACTCAGGGAGTCACACTCACTCACAAAATCACTGAGGGCTCTCAAGAGACATATTAGGAGTGGGCAGGAAACGGGGGCTGCTCCTTCAGAGGCACAGGTATGTGGGTGTGCAGGACAAGATCAGCTGCTGTTGGAGGACAGGAACAAAGCCCCACCCACTTCCCCTGGATCCTTCCTTTCTATGCAGTAAACGCCTTAAGACATTGAGGGGAGGGGACCGCATCCTCCCACACACAGGGCACAGGCAAAATCCATTGCTCTTATAGAAAGACTAGAAGCAAAACTTATATGCCTCTGGAAGAGGGGTAGGAAAACTCTAGCCCCAAGGACACAGGAGAAAATCCTTTGGTACTGTGGGAAGGGTAGATGCAAAAATGTCCTAGTTCTGAGATAAAATAAAGAAGCTATTCCAGGCCCAGGATCCTATACCAGTACCAACCAGAAGTCTGCTACACTGAGGGAGGGGAGAGCAGGAATCTCCTGTCCAAGACCATCACAGATACAAGGCAGAATTTAATTGCCGTAGGAAGGAAGAGCAGAATTGCTGAGACAGCCCCACCCTAAGGTTTATATCTGTCTAAGATTGAGGTTGCAGCAAGACAACAAAGAAAACCCTATCTCACCATAAGCCTAGCACAGAGTAACAAGTAAAGAGAGTCTATCCCTGAAGAGGCGAGAGTATAGATAGAGTCCCTCTGTGGCAAAGACATGCAGGAATAGCTAAAAGGTAAAGGGAGCATTAGGAACACAGAAGAAAACCACCCAACACCCCAGTCCCCAATCTAGTACAAGATATTATAGAAACATCTCGTATTTACAGAAACTTGAAGCCTTAGCAGCACTGAAGATAGCAATAGCAACAAAGTAAACCCAAACCCAGCTCAGCTCCTAACTAGATCGACTTCACCTTGCACACTAGAAGTCAGACATAATAGGCATAATAATTTGGAGATGTGAATATTATTTACCTCAGTCTGTACTGTTAACACACAATGTCTGGCATTCGATCAAAAATTATAATTTTTTAAAAAGCAAAAGATAAAACAATCTAGAGACAAAGCAATCAACAGAAATAGACTTGATGACCCCAATAGTTGGAACCATTAGACAGAGATTTTAAAATAACTATAATAAATATGTTAATGCATCTAATGTAAAAGGGGCAACAAACGCAAACAGATAGGGAATTTCACCAGCGAGAGGAACACTACAAGACAAAGTAAAATAGAAGTGCTAGAAATTAAATATATGACATCACAGATAAAGAATTCTTTTGACAGGCACATGAGTAGAATGAATACAGCTTTGAAAAAAATCAACAAATTTGAAAATAGGTCAATAAAAATTATCCAAAGAGAAACACAAAGAAAAAATAATGGCAAAAGCAAAGCAGAGTATTCAAGAGCTGTAGGACATCATGAGACGGGCTAACGTATATGTTATCAGTCACAGGAGAGGAGGGAATGAAGAAGAAGAAATATTAGAAGAGACAATAGTCAAGGATTTTCCAAAAGTAATAACAGACATTAAACCACAGATCCAAGACTCTCAGAGAACCCTATGCAGAATTAATACCAAAAATAAAAGAAAGGAAAAAGAAAACACCAACACCACCATCAGCAAAAAATCCCACTTAACTATACACATCATAGTGAAACTGTCAAAAGTGGAAGATGAAGAGAAAAGCTTGAAGATAGCAGAGAAAAAAGGGAACATTACATGCAGAACAGTAAAGATAAGAATTACAGGACACTTCTGATCAGAAACTACACAAGCCAAAAGACAATGGAGTGACATTTTTAAAATGCTGAAAGAAAGGGAAAAAATCTCTCAACCCAGAATTCTATATTAAATAAAAATATTTTTAAAAATTAGGGTAAAATAAAAACATTTTCAAACAAACAAAGGCTGAGACAATTCATTCTCGATTCATTTAAAGAAATTTCTTCAGATAGTAAGAGTGTATTATGATCACCTTGAGGAGGATGGGATCGGCCCCCTCTCACTGGAATAGTTTAAATGTCAAGAATGATAAGGCCGTATGCACCGAGAAGATATGGAAATGCTTCTTGCTCATGCCATGGGACTTTCTGAAGAGAAAAGGTCAGGTGCAAGTCAGTATAAATGGTGGGAGTGAGGCAGAGTTAATGGATTTGGCTTGTATTGTGAGTAGGTGGTGGGACTGAGGAAAAGGTTCAAGCACAAAGGGTGGGGCTTGTGTGGTTCAGACTTCCTGCTGACACCAAGGGAAGAAATATGCAGGTCCTTGTAACTGGAGAAGGAATGAGGTTTGAAAGCTATCAAAGGTCAAACATAAAAAATGGAATCTTACTCTCTATTACATGGAATGTGAGAGCAGACAAAAATTCGGGTCTACACCAGGGGTGTCCAATCTTTTGGCTTCCCTGGGCCACATTGGAGATAGAATTGTCTTGGGCCACACATAAAATATGCTAACCCTAAGGATAGCTAATGAGCTTCAAAAAATCGCAAAAAATCCCATAATGTTTTAGGAAAGTTTATGAATTTGTGTTGGGCCACATTCAAAGCCATCCTGGCCCTCATGTGGCCCATGGGCCATGGTTGGACAAGCTTGGTTTACACAAAGAAATGAAGAGCATCAGAAATGGTAAAACATGGAAGTAAGTATAAAAGATTCCTCTCATTTCTATTGGAGTAACCACATTCCATCTTATATTTCCCACTATTTACAACCAAACTCTGGATGAAATCTCTAAAGCAACCATCAGAAGACTGAGAGGCAGAGAAAAGAAGGTGACTTGGCCAGGGATTCTGAGACATGAGGAACAACCAGGTGGTGAGTTCCTTGTTATGATTTCCCTCCCGTATATCTTCATTTGAGTACCGGAGAGGCCCACACTCAGAAATACCAACAGGCACAAAAAACAAAGGCTCCAAGGAAAGCTTACTTTCTCTAGGCAAAAGTATTGATAACGGGCAGCCCTGAGAGATAGAACACATTCTACACCAGATGAACAGATGGTATAAAAAAAAAAGTGATACAATCCTCCAACCCCATGCAACACCGCAGCTGCAGGGACTGAGGGCAGAGCCCTGTCAACCATCCCTGTCCTACCCTAATGATCAGGGACCCTTTCTTCTCCCGACTTGGAGTCTATGGTCAGGGAGACCGTGTTAGTTTGTCCTCCTGCTGCTAATAAAGACATCCCTGTGACTGGGTAGTTTATAAAGGAAAGAGGTTTAACTGACTCACAGCTTAGCATGGCTGAGGAGGCCTCAGGAAATTACAGTCATGGCAAAAGGGGAAGCACACATGTCCTTCTTCACATGGTGGCATCAAGGAGAAGTGCCAAGCAAAAAGGGGAAAAGCCCCTTACAAAACCATCAGATCTCATGAGAGCTCACTCACTGTCATGAGAACAGCAGCATAGGGTAACCGCCCTTATGATTCCATTACCTCCCACTGGGTCCCTCCCATGACATGTGGAGATTATGGGAGCTACAATTCAAGATGAGATTTGGGTGTGGACACAGACAAACCATATCAGAGACTGTAGTGGAGACCTGTTTGGCCATTTCTGTCTTGCATTAAGGAGAAAGAACCCTTCCTCCTCTACACCAGGACTCAGAGCAAACTTCAGGGTGAAGCCCTTTCAACTATTCTGATCCTACACTAACATGGGTAGAAGTGGCACCCCTCCCCCAATACCTATCACTGTGGAGACTGTAGAGTGAATCCTTTCTACCATCCCTCTGCTGCACTAAGCAAATGTCAGCAAAGAGGTGATGCTTCTCTCCCACTCCACTGGTGCATAGACTGTGACCATCCCCACCGTGCACGAAGCAAACAGCAGCAAAGAGGCAGCACCTCCTCCCCTCCCAATTAGAGCAGGGTAGGTAGGATTACGGAGGAGAGAACCTGTGTATTAATTCCTGGGCAGACCCCCAAGCAGCCTATGCCTAATAAGAATCAACACATTAGAAGATTGGAGAACTGAGCTGCAGTGTCAAACACTGCTATCATTTCACATTGGCCTCTGGGCAGCACATAAGCTGGGAAGACCAGGGTAGCAAACTAAATTGGCATTTGAATCTCAGCCTATGAAAGTGTACCGGAACATGCATCCTGAAGCTAAACAGGTTGACTGCCTGCTGAAAGAAGATTTAAATAGAAACCAGAACTTCATGACACAACACTCAGAATGTCCTAGTTACAATCCACAATTACTCATCACACTATGACCAAGGACATCTCAATTTGAATGCAAAAAGGCAAACAACAGACAGCAACACCAAGATAATACAGATACTATAATTGTCTGACAAGGGTTTTAAGGAACCAGCATAAAAATGCTCCAAAAAGTAAATAGTAACACTGTGGGAGAAAAAAAAAAAGAAAAAATAGAAACTCTAAACAAAGGAAAAGAAAACTTACCACGGGAGGAGCCAAGATGTCCGAATAGGAACAGCTCTGGTCTACAGCTCCCAGCGTGAGCGACGCAGAAGATGGGTGATTTCTGCATTTCCATCTGAGGTACCGGGTTCATCTCACTAGGGAGTGCCAGACAGTGGGCGCAGGTCAGTGGGTGCGTGCACCGTGCGCGAGCCGAAGCAGGGCGAGGCATTGCCTCACTTGGGAAGAGCAAGGGGTCAGGGAGTTCCCTTTCCGAGTCAAAGAAAGGGGTGACGGACGGCACCTGGAAAATCGGGTCACTCCCACCCGAATATTGCGCTTTTCAGACCCGCTTAAAAAACGGCGCACCACGAGATTATATCCCGCACCTGGCTCGGAGGGTCCTACCCCACGGAGTCACACTGATTGCTAGCACAGCAGTCTGAGATCAAACTGCAAGGCGGCAGCGAGGCTGGGGGAGGGGCGCCCGCCATTGCCCAGGCTTCCTTAGGTAAACAAAGCAGCCTAAAGCTCGAACTGGGTGGAGCCCACCACAGCTCCAGGAGGCCTGCCTGCCTCTGTAGGCTCCACCTATGGGGGCAGGGCACAGCCAAACAAAAAGACAGCAGTAACCTCTGCAGACTTAAATGTCCCTGTCTGACAGCTTTGAAGAGAGCAGTGGTTCTCCCAGTACACAGCTGGAGATATGGGAACCGGCAGACTGCCTCCTCAAGTGGGTCCCTGACCCCTGACCCCTGAGCAGCCTAACAGGGAGGCACCCCCCAGCAGGGGCAGACTGACACCTCACAGGGCCCAGTACTCCAACAGACCTGCAGCTGAGGGTCCTGTCTGTTAGAAGGAAAACTAACAAACAGAAAGGACATCCACACCGAAAACCCATCTGTACATCACCATCATCAAAGACCAAAAGTAGATAAAACCACAAAGATGGGGAAAAAACAGAACAGAAAAACTGGAAACTCTAGAAAGCAGAGCGCCTCTCCTCCTCCAAAGGAACGCAGTTCCTCACCAGCAACGGAACAAAGCTGGATGGAGAATGACTTTGACGAGCTGAGAGAAGAAGGCTTCAGACAATCAAATTACTCTGAGCTACGGGAGGACATTCAAACCAAAGGCAAAGAAGTTGAAAAACTTTGGAAAAAATTTAGAAGAATGTATAACTAGAATAACCAATACAGAGAAGTGCTTAAAGGAGCTGATGGAGCTGAAAACCAAGGCTCGAGAACTACGTGAAGAATGCAGAAGCCTCAGGAGCCGATGCGATCAACTGGAAGAAAGGGTATCAGCGATGGAAGATGAAATGAATGAAATGAAGTGAGAAGGGAAGTTTAGAGAAAAAAGAATAAAAACAAATGAGCAAAGCCTCCAAGAAATATGGGACTATGTGAAAAGACCAAATCTACGTCTGATTGGTGTACCTGAAAGTGATGGGGAGAATGGAACCAAGTTGGAAAACACTCTGCAGGATATTATCCAGGAGAACTTCCCCAATCTAGCAAGGCAGGCCAACGTTCAGATTCAGGAAATACAGAGAACGCCACAAAGATACTCCTCGAGAAGAGCAACTCCAAGACACATAACTGTCAGATTCACCAAAGTTGAAATGAAGGAAAAAATGTTAAGGGCAGCCAGAGAGAAAGGTCGGGTTACCCTCAAAGGGAAGCCCATCAGACTAACAGCGGATCTCTCAGCAGAAACCCTACAAGCTAGAAGAGAGTGGGGGCCAATATTCAACATTCTTAAAGACAAGAATTTTCAACCCAGAATTTCACATCCAGCCAAACTAAGCTTCATAAGCAAAGGAGAAATAAAATACTTTACAGACAAGCAAATGCTGAGAGATTTTGTCACCACCAGGCCTGCCCTAAAAGAGCTCCTGAAGGAAGCACTAAACATGGAAAGGAACAACTGGTACCAGCCGCTGCAAAATCATGCCAAAATGTAAAGACCATCAAGACTAGGAAGAAACTGCATCAACTAACGAGCAAAATCACCAGCTAACATCATAATGACAGGATCAAATTCACACATAACAATATTAACTTTAAATGTAAATGGACTAAATGCTCCAATTAAAAGACAAAGACTGGCAAGTTGGATAAAGAGTCAAGACCCATCAGTGTGCTGTATTCAGGAAACCCATCTCACATGCAGAGACACACATAGGCTCAAAATAAAAGGATGGAGGAAGATCTACCAAGCAAATGGAAAACAAAAAAAGGCAGGGGTTGCAATATTAGTCTCTGATAAAACAGACTTTAAACCAACAAAGATCAAAAGAGACAAAGAAGGCCATTACATAATGGTAAAGGGATCAATTCAACAAGAAGAGCTAACTATCCTAAATATATATGCACCCAATACAGGAGCACCAAGATTCATAAAGCAAGTCCTGAGTGACCTACAAAGAGACTTAGACTCCCACACATTAATAATGGGAGACTTTAACACCCCACTGTCAACATTAGACAGATCAACGCGACAGAAAGTCAACAAGGATACCCAGGAATTGAACTCAGCTCTGCACCAAGCGGACCTAATAGACATCTACAGAACTCTCCACCCCAAATCAACAGAATATACATTTTTTTCAGCACCACACCACACCTATTCCAAAATTGACCACATACTTGGAAGTAAAGCTCTCCTCAGCAAATGCAAAAGAACAGAAATTATAACAAACTCTCTCTCAGACCACAGTGCAATCAAACTAGAACTCAGGATTAAGAATCTCACTCCAAACCGCTCAACTACATGGAAACTGAACAACCTGCTCCTGAATGACTACTGGGTACATAACGAAATGAAGGCAGAAATAAAGATGTTCTTTGAAACCAATGAGAACAAAGACACAACATACCAGAATCTCTGGGACACATTCAAAGCAGTGTGTAGAGGGAAATTTATAGCACTAAATGCCCACAAGAGAAAGCAGGAAAGATCCAAAATTGACACCCTAACATCACAATTAAAAGAACTAGAAAAGCAAGAGCAAACACATTCAAAAGCTAGCAGAAGGCAAGAAATAACTAAAATCAGAGCAGACTGCAGGAAATAGAGACACAAAAAACCCTTCAAAAAATTAATGAATCCAGGAGCTGGTTTTTTGAAAGATCAACAAAATTGATAGACCGCTAGCAAGACTAATAAAGAAAAAAAGAGAGAAGAATCAAATAGACACAATAAAAAATGATAAAGGGGATATCACCACCGATCCCACAGAAATACAAACTATCATCAGAGAATACTACAAACACCTCTATGCAAATAAACTAGAAAATCTAGAAGAAATGGATAAATTCCTCGACACATACACCCTCCCAAGACTAAACCAGGAAGAAGTTGAATCTCTGAATAGACCAATAACAGGATCTGAAATTGTGGCAATAATCAATAGCTTACCAACCAAAAAGAGTCCAGGACCAGATGGATTCACAGCTGAATTCTACCAGAGGTACAAGGAGGAACTGGTACCATTCCTTCTGAAACTATTCCAATCAATAGAAAAAGAGGGAATCCTCCCTAACTCATTTTATGAGGCCAGCATCATTCTGATACCAAAGCCAGGCAGAGACACAACAAAAAAAGAGAATTTTAGACCAATATCCTTGATGAACATTGATGCAAAAATCCTCAGTAAAATACTGGCAAACCGAATCCAGCAGCACATCAAAAAGCTTATCCACCAAGATCAAGTGGGCTTCATCCCTGGGATGCAAGGCTGGTTCAATATACGCAAATCAATAAATGTAATCCAGCATATAAACAGAGCCAAAGACAAAAACCACATGATTATCTCAATAGATGCAGAAAAAGCCTTTGACAAAATTCAACAACGCTTCATGCTAAAAACTCTCAATAAATTAGGTATTGATGGGACGTATTTCAAAATAATAAGAGCTATCTATGACAAACCCACAGCCAATATCATACTGAATGGGCAAAAACTGGAAGCATTCCCTTTGAAAACTGGCACAAGACAGGGATGCCCTCTCTCACCACTCCTATTCAACATAGTGTTGGAAGTTCTGGCCAGGGCAATTAGGCAGGAGAAGGAAATAAAGGGTATTCAATTAGGAAAAGAGGAAGCCAAATTGTCCCTGTTTGCAGACGACATGATTGTATATCTAGAAAACCCCATTGTCTCAGCCCAAAATCTCCTTAAGCTGATAAGCAACTTCAGCAAAGTCTCAGGATACAAAATCAATGTACAAAAATCACAAGCATTCTTATACACCAGCAACAGACAAACAGAGAGCCAAATCATGAGTGAACTCCCATTCACAATTGCTTCAAAGAGAATCAAATACCTAGGAATCCAACTTACAAGGGATGTGAAGGACCTCTTCAAGGAGAACTACAAACCACTGCTCAAGGAAATAAAAGAGGATACAAGCAAATGGAAGAACATTCCATGCTCATGGGTAGGAAGAATCAATATCATGAAAATGGCCATACTGCCCAAGGTAATTTACAGATTCAATGCCATCCCCATCAAGCTACCAATGCCTTTCTTCACAGAATTGGAAAAAACTACTTTAAAGTTCATATGGAACCAAAAAAGAGCCCGCATCGCCAAGTCAATCCTAAGCCAAAAGAACAAAGCTGGAGGCATCACACTACCTGACTTCAAACTATACTATAAGGCTACAGTAACCAAAACAGCATGGTACTGGTACCAAAACAGAGATATAGATCAATGGAACAGAACAGAGCCCTCAGAAATAACGCCGCATATCTACAACTATCTGATTTTTGAGAAACCTGAGAAAAACAAGCAATGGGTAAAGGATTCCCTATTTAATAAATGGTGCTGGGAAAACTGGCTAGCCATATGTAGAAAGCTGAAACTGGATCCTTTCCTTACACCTTATACAAAAATCAATTCAAGATGGATTTAAGACTTAAATGTTAGACCTAAAACCATAAAAACCCTAGAAGAAAACCTAGGCAATACCATTCAGGACATAGGCATGGGCAAGGACTTCATGTCTAAACCACCAAAAGCAATGGCACCAAAAGCCAAAATTGACAAATGGGATCTAATTAAACTAAAGAGCTCCTGCACAGCAAAAGAAACTACCATCAGAGTGAACAGGCAACCTACAAAATGGGAGAAAATTTTCGCAACCTACTCATCTGACAAAGGGCTCATATCCAGAATCTACAATGAACTCAAACAAATTTACAAGAAAAAAACAAACAACCCCATCAAAAAGTGGGCGAAGGACATGAACAGACACTTCTCAAAAGAAAACATTTATGCAGCCAAAAGACACATGAAAAAATGCTCATCATCACTGGCCATCAGAGAAATGCAAATCAAAACCACAATGAGATACCATCTCACACCAGTTAGAATGGCAATCATTAAAAAGTCAGGAAACAACAGGTGCTGGAGAGGATGTGCAGAAATAGGAACAGTTTTACACTGTTGGTGGGACTGTAAACTAGTTCAACCATTGTGGAAGTCAGTGTGGCGATTCCTCAGGGATCTAGAACTGGAAATACCATTTGACCCAGCCATCCCATTACTGGGTATATACCCAAAGGACTATAAATCATGCTGCTATAAAGACACATGCACACGTATGTTTATTGCGGCATTATTCACAATAGCAAAGACTTGGAACCAACCCAAATGTCCAACAACGATAGACTGGATTAAGAAAATGTGGCACATATACACCATGGAATACTATGCAGCCATAAAAAATGATGAGTTCATGTCCTTTGTAGGGACATGGATGAAATTGGAAAACGTCATTCTCAGTAAACTATCGCAAGAACAAAAAACCAAACACCGCATATTCTCACTCATAGGTGGGAATTGAACAATGAGATCACATGGACACAGGAAGGGGAATATCACACTCTGGGGACTGTTGTTGGGTGGGGGGAGGGGGGAGGGATAGCATTGGGAGATATACCTAATGCTAGATGATGAGTTAGTGGGTGCAGTGCACCAGCATGGCACATGTATACATATGTAACTAACCTGCACAAGGTGCAAATGTACCCTAAAACTTAAAGTATAATAAAAAAAAAATTTTCTTAAAAAAAAAAAAGAAAACTTACCACAAAATTTAGAACTGAAAAATAAAATATGTGAATAAAAAGAAGCTGTCACTGAATGGGTTGAATAGCAGGTGGAGACAACATTAGAAACAATGAATCTGAGGCTAGATCAATATAAATTATCCTAAATAAGGAGAAAATAAGACTTTAAAATGAATAGAATCTCACAAACACGTGGGACGATAACAATCTAAAATTAATGTGATCAGAGACTCAATGGAAAAGAGAGTGTGGTGCCCAAAAATATCTGAAGAAAAAATGATTGAAAATTTCCCAAATTGGGCAAAAGACATAAGTTGACAAATTTAAGAGATTGAGCAAACTCCAAGCAGGATAAATCCAAATAAATCCATGCCCAAATACATAACAATAAAACATCTGAAAACTAAAGACAAATTTAAAACTTTTAGAAACAGCCAGAAAACAATTATTACCTACAGCATTAAAACTATTCAAATGACAGCATATTTTTCAGCAGAAATCATGAAGGCCAGAAGGACGTGTCATAAGACTTTTCAAGTGCTGAAAGAAAAAGAAAAACTGTCACCCAGAATTCTATGTTTGGCAAAACTAACTTTCAAGTATGAGGGTGAAATAAAGATATTCTCAGATGAAGAAAATCTAAGAAAATTTGTTACCAGCAGAACTGCCTTAAAAATTTTTTTGCTGGAGGAAGTAATTCCGACAGAAAATAAATGATAACAGAAGGAAATGTGGAACGTTTGGAATGAAGATGAGCCTCGGAAAGGATATATTACTTTTCTATTGCTTTATAACAAATTACTAGAAACTTGGAAGCTTAAAACAACACGTTGTGGATGAATATTTTGGGCATCGCTTAGCTGGATTCTCTGTTTCAGGGTGTCACCAGGTTACAACACAGGTGTTGGTGGGACTGTGTTCCTTTCTGGATCTTGGAGTCTTCTTCCAACCTCATCACACTGTTAGAAGAATTCAATTCCTTGCAGTTGTAGGAGTGAGGCCCTCAGATCCCGAAGGACACCCACAGATTTTGCAATGTGTTCCTGAATAAGCAGTTCCTATCAGACCATCTTTCTTCTTCAAGGACTGCTGTGGTTAGGGACGCTCATCTGCAACAACACAGTGTAATTCAGCACTTCTCATGCTCTTCTTCTCACGCTCCTCAAAAATCCACCTTTTTCAGGGTGATGTCAATGAAGTCCAACAGTGAGCTGAACATGAAGCCCCACCTGGGCCTGCAGACTATACCCAAAAAGAAGAAGAATTTAAAAGAAAAAACAATTAGTTCTTATGACATAATATCCAACATGTCCAGGAGACAATAAAAAATCCATATACCAAGAACCAGGACATTCACAACTTGATTGAGAAGAGATGATCAAAAGGTGCCAGCGTTGAGAAGACTCAGACATTGGGATTACCTGACAAGAATTTTAAAGCAACTATCATGAAAATGCCTCACTGAGCAATTACTAACACTCTTAATACAAATAGAAAGTAGAAAATAAATAGAAGATATAAAAAGGTACCAAGGGAAATTATGTAACAAAAAATATAATAATTGAAATTAAAAACTCACTGGGCTGCCTCAGTAGTGGACAAGAGATGATAGAGGAACGAAAAATCGATGAACTCAAAAGCATATCAATAGAAATGTCCAGTCTGGGCCAGGCATGGGGACTCATGCCTGTAATCCCAGCACTTTGGGAGGCCGAAGCAGGTGGATTACTTGAGGCCAGGAGTTCAAGACCAGCCTGGCTAACATGGCAAAACACCGTCTCTACTAAAAATACAAAAATTAGCCAGGTGTGGTGGTGCATGCCTGTAATCCCAGCTACTCAGGAGGCTGAGGCAGGAGAATTGCTTGAGCCTGGGAGGTGGAGGTTGCAGTGAGCCGAGATCGCAGCACTGCACTCCAGCCTGGGCGACAGAGCAAGACTCCATCTCAAACAAACAAACAAACAAACAAAAAACTGAAAAGAGAAATACAGAAAGCCACCATTAGAGTTGGAGACTGCAACATTTCTCTGTCAGTAATTGACAGAATAAGAACACGGAATATTGGCAAAGATAGAAAAATGCTGAAAAATACTATCAAGCAAATTGACCTAATCGTCACTGATAAAACACATGACCTGGACCAGTGGAATACACATTATTTTCAAGTGCACATGTAACATTCAGCATGATAGACCGTATGTGAGCCATAAAGCAAATCAACAAATTTAAAATAACTAAAATAATACAAATTTTATTCTCTTACCACAGTGAAAACCAGCTACAAACTAAGTACAAAAATATATCTTGAAAATGTCTTTGAGGACATTTTTAAGACCAATAACTCATTTAAACAATTATCTTTAAATGCTTTATTTAAAAATTATCTTTTGGGCCAGGTGCAGTGGCTTATGCCTGTAATCCCAGCAGTTTGGGAGGCCAAGGCAGGAGGCTCACTTGAGCCCAAGGGTTCAAGACAAGCCTGGGCAACATAGTGGGACCCTACCTCTAGAAAAAAATTTAAAAATTAGCCCACCATGGTGATGCAGACCTGTGGTCCCAGCTACCCGGGAGGCTAAGGTGGGAGAATCTCTTGAGCCTGGGAGGTGGAGATTGCAGTGAACTGAGATCGTGCCTCTGCACTCCAGCTTGGGTGACAGAGCAAGACCCTGTCTCAATAATAATAATATAAATCTTTTGACCAAAAGGAATTCAAAAGTGAAATTATAAAATATTTTAAATTATACATAATAGAATTTGTGAAATGTTCTCAAAGTTCAGACGGAAATTTATAGCATTACTTATAATACTTATATTAGAAAAGGAGAAATGTCTCAAATTAGTGACCCAAGCATCTACCTTAAGAAACTAGGGAGAAAAAAGGAATACTGTTTGCAATCTGTGAGCATTTTTTATATTTAGTGATTAAAATCACAGCCTGGCTACTATCAGGGCCATTTTCCACTTTCTCAGCATGAACTCACTTTTGGTGCCACATTTCTTTTACTGTGAAATAAATTCTTTGATCAGAAGCAATCTTGTGTGAAACAGTGAATAAAGCTAGAGAAGGCGAATCCGTGTTCAAAGTAAGCATCTATTCCAGTGTGGACAAATCAACGTTCCCTGCTTGATGGGGAGGGGCGGGGGTTCAGTGGAATCATCTCTTTGTGCTTATATTTTTGTGCACAAGAATATGACATGCTTCATGAAAGGAAGAACTTAGCTTAGTGCTAAATCCCCAGGGCTCAGGAGGGTGCATGCCACATAGGGGCTCAGTACTTTCGCTGAATGAAGAAATACGCTTAAGTGTTCTATAGTACAGAGTTTTCGCAGGGGCTTTTCCTGTGTTTCTTGGATTATATTTTCCTCAAGATGAACTCTTCATCTTTCTTTCGCAGACTGTGTTTCTTCCTGTCTTTCCTTTCATCTGGGTTCTCTCGTTCCCCTTCTATCATATGTATGTGTGGTTACTGAGCCGTTTCTTTTTTTTTAAGACCGCTTTATTAAGAAGTAATTTATATGCTGTAAAGGTTACCAGCTTAAAGTGTAACTGGCTTTCTTCCCTTAGCACCGTGTTTTTGAGGTTTATTCACCTTATGGTGTGTATCAGTACTTCATTCCTTTATGTGATGAAATAGTATTCCATTATATGAATGAACTACATTTTGTTTATGTATTATTCATCAGTGGGACATTTGGGTTGTTTCCACTTTTTTACTATGAATAATGGTGCTGTAAACGAGTTTTTTAGTGTATGTCCTAAAACCTAAAATAACAATAGACAGATAGGCTCTCCAAAGGAGTTTATCTGGGATTGGTGGGGGATTGCAATCCAAGATACCCATGCCACAATGAACCAAGAAACACCCAAAGATGCTGGGGTCAAGGCAAACTTTTATAAAGACAAAAAGGAGAAAGTCATGTAAGCTGGTTTGAAACAAAAACTCTTGACTGTTGAAGCTCATAGCTCCTCATTGGTCACGCTGGCTGTTGCTGGGGAGATGTCTTCACAGCAGCAGCTTAACATGGAGTGTTTATGGTTTCCAGGGAGTCCTTGTAATAGTTCTTATCATAGGTACATGTGCGTGAGTACTCCTCCTTCAGGGCCTCCCGGATTCATTTTGCTAGGGTTTGACCTAAGTGACCCCATTTTGGTGCTGACAACTTTCACAACATATCTCCACTTCTCTTGGGTGTATACCTAGAAGATTCCCCAAGTCACATGGTAACTCTATGTTTAACATTTTCACAAATTGCCAGACTGTTTTCCTGGGCAGCTACATCACTTTACATCCCCACCAGCAATATATGAAGGTTCCAATTTCTCCACATTCTCATCAATACTTGTTATTGTGTTTTCTTTTTCTTTTATTTTTTAGAGACAGTGTCTCGCTCTGTGGCTCAGGCTGGAGTGCAGTGGTGTGGTCACAGTGTCGATGAAGAGTCCAACTCTGTAAAATATTTGAAGAGATTTATTCCGAACCAAATATGAGTGAGGCACAGTATCAAGAGGTCCTAAGAACATGTGCCCGGTGTGGTCCGGCTACAGCTTGAATTTATACATTTTAGGGAGACATAAGACACCAGTCAATACATGTAAGATGCAGACTGGTTCCATCTGGAAAGGCAGGACAGCTCGAAGCAGGGGCTTCCAGATCATGGGTAGATTCAAGGATTTTCTAATTGGCAATTGGTTGAAAGTGTTATTGTCTAAAGACCTCTAATCAACAGAGGGGAGTGTCTGGGTTATGATAAGGGATTGTGGAGACCAAGGTTCTTATCATGCAGATGAAGCCTCCAGATTGCGAGCTTCAGAGAGAATAGATTGGAAATGTTTCTTAGACTGAAAAAGGTGCCAGATTTGTGACTGATTCTCTGCTGTGTCAGGGAAAAGACCTGAAAGGGAAGGGGATTCTTTGCAGAATGTAGATTTTTCCAAGAGACAGCTATGCGGGGCCATTTCAAGATATGGCAAAGAAACATATTTGGGGTTAAAATATTTTGATTTATCTGTCATGTGATGTTATGCCAGAGTCAGGTTGGAAAGTAAGCCACATCACATAGGGTTAAATAAAACTGCTTTGAGATTTTATAAGGTGCAACTCCCCAGCCCCTTAGATAGGAATTTGGGCAAGAGGGAAAAAAGGTCAGAGTTTAGTCCTCAGTAGCTAACTGTAACTCCACCTCCTGGGCTCAAAGATCGCTCCCACCTCAGCTTCCCAAGTAGCTGGGACCACAGGCGCACACCTGCTTATTTTTATTTATTTTTTTTAGAGACAGGCGTAACTACGTTGCGCAGGCAGGTTAAGAATGCCTTTTATTATAGTCATTCTAGTGGGTGGTGAGTCATTTCATTTTGTTCTCATGTAAAAGGACAACTTCATAATATGTGAACAAATTCCCTTGGTTTTCTCTTCGAGCATTTTGCAAGTTGTATTTTGTGTTCTATTCTACATTCCGTGCCCTGATAGCTAGGAGTGAGGCAGGGAAAAGCTCAGCTGAGACTATATCTTTGCTAGAATATCTGGTCTCTGGTTTCTTGACTAGGATTTTCTAAATGTCCTGAATCAAAGTTTCCTCCCCAGGGAATGATGCAATGACCCCTGGGGGTCACCCCAGGCTTTGGATCCTTTATCTGGTTCAGCAGGGAACCCCTGAACCCATCAGAGTCCCTCCTGTTTGTTCACGAGCCCTCTCTCACTGGTCTCTTCCCAGCAGCCCTTTTCACTTCCCCCAGCAGTAACAGGAGAAAGATATAGATACCTCTCTTTCTCCGAATTAACCTGTTTTTCCTCACCAGTGAGACCCCCCCACCTTTTTTTTTTTTGGAGACAGAGTTTCGCTCTTGTTGCCCAGGCTGGAGTGCAATGGTATGATCTCGGCTCACAGCAGCCTCTGCCTCCCAGGTTCAAGCAATTCTCCTGCCTCAGCCTCCTGAGTAGCTGGGATTACAGGCACCTGCCACCACGCCCACCTAATTGTTTTGTATTTTTAGTAGAGACGGGGGTTTCACCATGTTGGCCAGGCTGGTCTCGAACTCCTAGCCTCAGGTGATCTGCCCGCCTCGGACTCTCAAAGTGCTGGGATTGCAGGTGTGAGCCACCACGTCTGGCCTCCAGTGAGACTTTCTGAGTTTTGTTGCGCCAGCAGGGCCATTTGCGGGAGTAATCTTACACACCTGAGCAATAATTTTTTTTCCCTGTATTCACAATTTTTTGACGTTTTTGGCATTTGGCTGTATCCTTTTGCTTGTTCGCTGTGGAGTTTTCATTTGTTTGCTGGTTTTGGGCAGGAAGGAGGTGCTGGCTTTTCCTACAGTGTGTTTATCATTTAAGTATTTGAGAAGGGAGATGCTGCAATCCAGCTGCACTCTACCACTTTAAAAATTCTCAGCAATACTTTTAGGTGTTTAGCTTACTCCCAGCAATTCCTCCTTACTCATTCATCAAACTCCTAGTCACTGTGCACCTGCTGCATGGCCGGCAGGGCTCTCAGAGCTGAGCTACAGCAGAGAACCAGAGCCCTGCCTTCGTGGAGCCTTAGTAAATTATGTCCACGTGTCTCCATCAAAGCGTATTTTGCATAAAAGTGTTGTGTTTATGGAAGACAATTTCAATACATTTAAAAGAATTTAAATCAAATTTGCCTAGGTTACAAAATTAACCAATAGGTCTAGTGCATAGCATCACTACAGTTATCATATTATAAATTTGCTAAGAGTAGATTTTAAGTGCTCTTACCATGAAAGAAACGCATACGATGTATATACAATAAAAGTTTAAAAAATGTGTCTACCCCCTAACATTCATGTGACACTTCATACTCTACCAAAAGGGCAGAACAGAGGGGAAGCTTTAGAGCAGGAGCGGAGGAATCTGCCTCCATTTTTCCTGGGTGTTTTTTTTTTTCCTTTTTATGCATATTCTACTTATGTAGTGCCTTCATTTTCAGGCTTTTTCAATGTTGTATTTGAGAAGCTGCATCAGGTACAGCTCATTTTCCACTCATTGCTTACAGGATGAATTAAAATCATTTGCATATTCCGTAGCTGATGATATATGCCCAAAATAAATGCAAGTCTGGCATAAGGCATTAAAAAAAAAGTACAGAGAAATGAAGTTGTGTGGCATAGAGAAGGTATTTTTACATTTTAAAATCTTGAAGCATAAGATCTTTGAAAAAATCTTTTTATACGCACCATAAACCAGTTGTTCCTCAGCAATTTGCAGAAATCAGATCAACATGGTGTTACAGACAAATATTTACTTGAAGCCAATTTCTATATATTATCTCCTTGCAGCCACCTCAACTGCCAGTCCCTGGAATTGTACACAGTCCCTTCAAAACCTTGAGGACACCCGTGGCATTAACTCAGCAAATAAATGAGAGCCTCTGTGTGCACGGCATTGTTCTAGGGACAATGGAGGGGGTAGACATAAATAACCCAGCACCTTCCCGTGAGGCATTACTGGGGTAAATGGAAGAGAGCTGACAAAGCAAGGTAGAGATTCTTAAGGGGAAATCATGACAGATGGCCTGCTGCAGTGATAAATTCTGAGTGTCTAGAGAACTATCAATAGAGGATGGTTGACTGATATGGTTCCCAACCTGTGTGAACAGGATGGCTATCTAATCATATCCCTGGGTCAGAGCCCATAGCTCACACATGATGGACTGAGTATTTGTGTCTTTTCCACCCCAAATTCACATGTGGAAATCCTCACCACTGTAATGATGGTATCAGGAGGTGGGACCTTTGGGAGGTGATCAGGTCATGAGGGTGGAGCTCTCAGGATTGGGATTAGTGCCCTTATAGAAGAGGCCCCAGAGAGATCTTCCCTGCCTCTACCATGTGAGGATGTGAGAAGATGTTATGAGGAAGAAGGCCCTCACCAGATACCAAATTTACCAGCACCTTCATCTTGGACTTTCTAGCTTCCAGAACTCTTAAGAAATAAATTTCTGTTGTTAAGCCACGCCGTTTATGGTATTGTTATAGCAATCCTGAAAATCTAAGACAGCAGAGGAATAGAACCTGAAGGTCAGACTCCAACATGGCATTTTGCTGCCAGCAGAGGCCCATGGGATTTGCTACAAGAGATTGCACCCACACTCCCTAGTGCCCTTTGAAAGTATAGTTTTACTTTGCAGTTTCTTTTTGGGGCTGTGTATGAGTTCATCGTTCATAAATTTGTTTGTACTATTTGAAAATCTCTTCGTATTTCCTGCTAGTTCTGTCTCAGGCCATCAGCTCTATCAAAGTCCTTGATCTGAAGCATTCCTGACTGGCTTACATCCTTCAGGTTCCAAGGGCTATGCCCTTGTGCAAACTTTTTAGGATTTGGGAACAAGTTCATTTATGCCTCCTTTCATGGATTCTGAATCTTTGAGCTTTACTCTCAGACACTGCAGCTTCATTATCTAATTCAGGCCCCAGAGCCACAAAAATGGTTAATCAAGGATGCTGTTACCTATTTCCACCAAGGGCAATGCATACTTCCTACTAACTTCCCACCGACTCCCTGGTTCCACCTTGCATGGTTGCTCAACAGGGAAGTATTAGATTCTCTTCTACACAGAGCTACATAAGGAGACTCAGGAGACATTTTTATTATAGTTAGCAAAGGGGCTACTTCTTGAAGAAAAGATCGTCTTCTAAAGAAACACCTGCTCAATCAACAGTTTAACGGATACAAAAAGTGTGTCTTTGCTCTCAGAAAGAAAGGTCCACATAAACCGGGTTACTCCCATCCTGAAGAACTGCTCATGCTCTGTGACAAGTTCCTCGTAAACAAAACAAAACAAAACCAGTTTTTTTTTCTGTTTCTGGAACTAGAATGGGGAAGCAAATGTAATGGGGATGCGCCACCTAGCGACGAGAGATGGAACTGTCACTCAACTAAGAAAAGGACTGTGCTTTAAACAGCAGCAAGTGATCACTGAAACCTTTCAGGTAAACTGAAATCAATAAATCATCTGCTGAATGAAATATGCAGATATTTTATAGCTTCTAGATATGATATGGTGGTTAACAGTCTTCTGGATAATACACACAAGTGTTTAAAAAGCAGTAACTCAGATACCCACATTTGAAAGAAAAAATGCTAAGTTTTTAAATGTTTCAAAAGCAAGCTTGAGTAAAAATCTTTTTGAATAACTGAGTTTTTTTTCCCCGATAAAGGGTCTATAACAGATCTATACTCAAAAACATTTATATATTTCCACTGTGTCAATAAACCAGCCAATTATGACTCTGTTAGAATGGAGTAATGCCCTGAAAGATAAAAATGTTATTCTTAACAATAAAGGTAAGTTGTAATGATTATTCAAGATTATATTTAATATAGAAAACAGGCCCACAGTATTTCTTAACTTGCAATTTTATTAATTTTTCAGTACTCTTACCTTTTATATACTACTAAGAAAATTTAAACCATAACTAGACATAAACATTCTGCAGTTTAATTCAAATTTTCATATATACAGACCAGACTACATATGTATTACACTGCAAAACTTACACATGACTGAAGCTGAGCCTAATAACTTCAATTAGCCAACAACAGAAACACTCCCACTTCCTGCAGTCACAGCAATTAGCTAACAATAAAAACACTCCCACTTCCTGCAGTCACAGCTGAAAGACTTTTCAAGGCAGACTACATTTGGGCTGGAGATACAAGTGATGTAGTTTGACTTGGGCAATACAAAACAAAAGTCATAGGAATTAAATGGATTTTCAATCACTGTATAATTCATTCTCCTGGCTTAAGTACGTTTTAATTTTTTCACAGAAAAAAATATATTTCAGGCAAATAAAAACAAATTCCAGATTAGCATAGTTCAGCGTTTCATTTATCTTACCTTTATCAAGGCAAACAAAGTACAGATGCTGTACATTAAAAACATAGAAATATATCACTCACACCACATCAACTCCTACGGACAAAAGGGCTTTTTCTAAGCCCTGCTCCTTTCTGAAGCACACACCACAGCTAAATGTACAAAGAGCCATCTGCTGGTCCAACATAGCCAACTCCAATGAGCAGGACGTCTATCAGCGTCCATATTCCCAGGCCACCGAAGCTGAAGAGCTTGCCGAGGCCTTCCCGCCACTGGCCCAGGTAGAAACGGTCTGCTCCAAACCCACCGAGGGTGATGCTGCGATGGCAAACAGACAGGATTCCATGAGACCACCTCCACCCCAGCTGTGGCCAGTCACGGTTTAATCACCACATTATGTCAGATTTGAGAAAGGGCTTCCCCTGATCGTAGCCCTTAACTGGAACACAAGTGACTATTTCACAAACTGACACCACCAAATAATTACGGGCAGGAAGACAGTTTAAATGTCAAAAGTAAACATACAATTTTTAGCTGTACTAAAAAACCAATGTTTTCTTTTTTTAAAGTTATCAATCTCATTGCTTTTTAGTCAAAATAAAGCAAAGACCCAGTCTAACAGGAAGTGCACTAACACGGGGTCAGGGCTGGAGTCAGGAGGAGCTCACCACCACCTGGACGACCTGGATCAAGTCATCCATGTTTTCAGTCTATTTTTTCATTCATCTCTAAAATCTTAATGTTAGGAATAAATCCTTAAAAGATTTAAGGATCTTTTAAATTCTAAGATCTAATAATACTGAAACTATATTATGGAAAATTTCTAAACACCTAACAATAAAAAGTAAAGAGAACAGTACCCATGACTCAGCTCCAATAATCAACACTTGGCCAGCTGTGTTTCATCAAAACCCTCCTCTTTCCCCTCCAGAGTACCCTGAAGCAAACCTTGGGCATCATCTCATTACAGTGATGATTTTAAAAGAAACCATGTTGCCGGGCGCGGTGGCTCACGCCTGTCATCCCAGCACTCTGGGAGGCTGAGGCAGGCGGATCACAAGGTCAGGAGATCCAGACCATCCTGGCTAACACGGTGAAACCCTGTCTCTATTAAAAATACAAAAAATTAGCCAGGCGTGGTGGCGGGCGCCTGTAGTCCCAGCTGCTCGGGAGGCTGAGGCAGGAGAATGGCGTGAACCTGGGAGGTGGAGCTTGCAGTAAGCCGAGATTGAGCCACTGCACTCCAGCCTGGGTGACAGAGAGAGACTCCGTTAAAAAAAAAAAAAAAAAAAAAAAGCAAAAAAAAAAAAAAACCATGTTGAGTGCTGAGAAGTTTTAATTGTTGAAAGTATGTTACAGTATAGTACTGTAAGAGGTTAACAATGTAGGGAAACCAGGTTAGGGGTATATAAGAACTCTACTATCTTTGCAACTTTTCTGTAAATTAAAATTATTCCAAGTTTCAAACATTTATTTATTTTTTTAAAAAGCCAGTTGTTAATTTGAACCATTGTCAGCAATGGTTACTAATCTTTTTTTTTGAGACAGAATCTCACTCTGTCACTGAGGCTGGAGTGCAGTGGTGCAATGCCAGCTCACTGCAGCCTCCTCCTCCTGGGCTCAAGTGATCTTCCCATTGCAGCCTACCACGCAGCTGGAACCACAGACATGAACCACGATGGCAGGCTTTTGTATTTTTGGTAGAGATGGGGTTTCACCATGTTGGCCAGGCTGGTCTTGAACTCCTGACCTCAAGCAATCCGCCAGCCTCGGCCTCCCAAAGCGCTGGGATTACAGGTGTGAGCCATCGCGCCCGCCCTATCTTATTTTTGTTAGTCTCATTTTCTATCCTGGCACCCTCTTTTACTTTTCAGTTACACTTTTCCTGCCAGGCAAGATCCTTCTTTCCTCAGCTCAAATTCTAATGCAGTGGTTCTCAGCAAGGGGCAATTTTGTCCCCTAGGGGACACCTGGCAACATCTGGAGACACACTGTCACAGCTGCAAGGGATGGGGGGTTTGCTACTGACAAGTAGTAGGTAGAGGCCAGTGATGCTGCTCAACACCCTGCTATGCACAGCACAGCCCCAAGACAAAAACTCATTCAGCCCAGAACGTCAGCAGTGATGAGGCTGAGAAATCCTGCCCTATGGCTGCAATGCTGCAGGCCTCAGGGTCTCAGGCACGAACTCAAAACTTCAAGTGTAGGCAGCGTAACCTTTTCACTAATCAGTTAACCAGGGTCTTACCTGCCCTTCCCTTTGGTGGGAAGAACTGCTATAATTTCTTAAAGTACTGTTGAGAAGTTTAACAAACAGCACATTTCTATGTAAGAAATATAAGCCTATAATTATCTGCTGCTGATGAAATTATAGGTAATTTTTAATGTTTTTGTCATTTTCATTTTTCCAGTTTTCAGTGTTCATCATGTATTACTTTTTATAATAGTTACTTAAAATTAAAGATATACATCATAAAACTGCCTATTTTGGATAGTCCACAGCATTTTACTGATTCGTGGTACATTCAGAATGGTAAACGTAATGTGCAGGCATCTTGGGAGAAAAGCTAACATGCCTGCCAGTCAACTCCACGGAGGTACTGGTCTGATCATCTAAACTCTTCCAGCTGTTTGCTAGAGTCTAACACACGTGGTAGGATCTGAGTGAAGAATGAAGGGGACTGAGCTCAATGTCTGAAGATTCCACCAATCCCAAAGAAATGCAAACGGCCTTTTACACTTACGAGTAACAAGGCTTACCTTAGAGCCAGAGCCGTAGACCACTTATAGCCTCCAGTCCAATTGCAATATAGCATTTTGGGAAAAGTACGGTTACCTTAAAAAAAAAAAAGAAAGAAAAATACAGGGTATAAAAAATACTCTCAGAAAGACTTAATTGTAACAAATGGGCTCAAAATTTAAAATGTGAAAAGTCAACTCTCTTTACGGTAATACATGTTGAAGTGAAGAGTACAAAGCGCTTACCATCTATCTACATAGATGTAATATTTAAATCAGCTAAGTTAGGATTACAACGTGAGGAACATGAAATGCTCACCCACATATCAAGACCTACGGGGAAGTTACGAGTATATAAGACAGTGTAGTCTTGAGGCATAAAAATCACCCAATAGGAAAAGAAGAGAAAGTCAAGAACCAGAAATATACAAACACTTCATGTATGAGTGTTATGACAGAGGTCACACACGGATCAACAGGGAAGAGTTGAGACAACTGGCCATCCATGTGGGGGGACAATTAAAGTAGAATCTACCTCACACCATCTACCAGGACCAATTCCAGGTGGATTCTAAACCTAAATGTGAAATGTTATACTTACAACTTTCAAAAGAAAATGTAGCAAATTGTCTTTATTAACCTGGGGTAGAAAAAGATTTCTTAAAACCACCACAAAAAAGGACTAACTCTAATAACTTCCAGTAATTATATTTTTAAAGTTCTGTTCATGAAAATATACAATAATGCAAAAAAAAAAAAAATCAAAATCTGGGAGAGGGTTTCAGGGACAGCACAGGTAATATCCAAAATATAAAAGAAGTCTAGACAACTTTAAGACCAAATTTAAGAATAACCACTCTTGGAGAGAATATGGCTCATCAGGAACAGTTACATAGCGCGGGTGGGAATGCCAGTCAATACAGCCATTTAAAGAATGACACACGCTGGAAAGTACATGCTGAAGAAGCTCTTGCACCTGTGCCATTGGGAGACAGGCAAAGAAATTTGAACAGTCACAACAGCGGAAAACAGCACTTAACCAAATATATTGGAGAATAAACTGTGATACAATCTTACAATAGATTATTACACAGAAGTAAAAAAAAGAAGAGAAGTCACGTGGATGAATCCTAGAGCCACAATGTTTAGGAAATAAGCAAGTCCCAGAAGAGCACACAGCCTGAAATCATTTTACACGGTTCTAAAACATGCATTATTGAATATTATTTTATTACATATAGACAATAAAACTACAGAAAAAATTTAAAAGGAAGTGAAATAAAAAATTCAAAAGGGTGGTTACCTTGGAAGAGGAGGAAAGGCAACCAGGTGAAGGCAAGCACTCAGGCACTCAGGCGGCCGCAATGGTATTGGTGCTGCTTTCATTGTTATTTTGGGTAAAGGTCAATTACTGTGTATTATGCTTTATACTTCAAATGTTTTTCTTATTTTATCAAATATTACATTTAAAAAGAACTGCAATTTTCTGGATGCTTTACTTTAGTACGTTGAGTTTATTGATGATGCTTGGCACATCTAAAGAGCTGCTGATAAATGTTTCTAATTAAGTAACTTGACTCGCAAATTTCTGGTTAAAGTCCCTTCAATAAACTTGGAGAAAAACATTTTGTTGACAAATGTCCTTGAACTCTGACCTACCCAAGCAGTGGACGTGGTCCCGCACCGTGCAGTTGGCAGGGTAGCGCTGCCGAGGACAGGACACCGTCATGCAGCTGGTGGAGTTGGTACACTCGTAATCTGTTTCAGGAAGCTGCCAGCAAAATCTGCAAGTCATGTTAATGATGAAGTTCTTTTGGGATTTGAAGTCTTGATCCTATGTAGCAAATGACACAAAACTCATCAATCACAATGGTGTAGTCTGTTAAGATGTCAGTAAGACTACACAGTCACATGGCACAAAATTCCGTAAATGCTTGTATTTAGGACCTAGGAGTAAGTGCCAGAAAAACAGTTACCAAAACAATATGTATGTAAAACAAATGCCTATGATGTGACCTCATAATCATAAAACTACACACCCAAACATATGTACTTAAGGGAAAAAACTAGATAAATTCACATCAAAATAGCAAAGGTTATTTCAGGGTGATATAATTATTTCATAACTTTTGCTTAGCTAAATTTTTCATAGTAAACGTATACTTTTATAATGCAGAAAAGAGGAAAATTTATTTTAGAAAGTCACAATCACGGATGGCTGGAAGGAACTGATGAATGCATTTGTTGAAGGTCACTGAGCTTCAAGTGAGGAGTGGAATCCAGGTCCCTGAACTCCAGCCTGATGCTTCTGTAATGGTTAACACACCGCCTTGCTTCCGAGTTGCCAACCTTCCCTAACATCCCCTACCTTGCACAGCCTGGCAACTCAGGGTTGTTACAGCTGCTCCTACCACCAGGGCATGTGGCATGTTTAATCCAGAGGCAGCCCAACTCAGAAGCACCACATGGTGTGTGGAGGCTCAGTGAGTGTTCACTGGTGGCCAGAGAATTTTTCATTTCAATTTTAAAAGCCATTATTTTGTATTCTGCTTACAAAAGTAGAATGTTCTTTGTATGTTACATATTTGAAGATTATAGACAAAAACCTATAGGTGTTCAGAGCTAACCACTTTTAATCTTCTTTCCGTTTCTTCTACATGTATATTTATAAATTTACTAAAATGGAATTATACTGAAAGCACTTTGTAGTCTTTTTACTCTACCTGACATTACATTGCAGTGCATATTTTTCAAAATCATTTTTATGTGGTCACACATCTCTGGAAGCATCATGTATATATATGTATACATATATATACACATACACACATTATTTTTTTTTCTTTTTTTGAGATGGAGTCTCGCTCTGTCGCCCAGGCTGGAATGCGGTGGTGCAATCTCGGCTCACTTCAACCTCCGCCTCCCAGGTTCAAGCGATTCTCCTGCCTCAGCCTCCTGAGTAGCTGGGATTAGAGACGCACCCCACCACGCCCAGCTAATTTTTGTATTTTTAGTACAGATGGGGTTTCACCATGTTGGCCAGGCTGGTCTCAACCTCTGACCTCAGGTGATTCACCTGCCTCGGCCTGCCAAAGTGCTGGGATTACAGGTGTAGGCCACCACGCCCGGCCCATGTTTGTTATTTTTTTTAACATTTCACAAATTTGCATGTCATTTTTGCAGAAGAGCCATCCTAATTCTCTCTGTATGGTTCCAACTTTGGCATATGCGCTGATGAAGCAAGTACTATTCATTTTCTTATCAATGCAAAAACCACTTTTTATGGAAAACATTCAAATATGGGTAAGGCATCACTTGATTTAGGCAAACAGTTGGATCTGCAAAATAATACGTTTACATCTGCCTATTTTCAGTGATGTGCTTAAAACACACTTTTTTTAATGGTTTTTTAAAAAGTAGGTGACACATGTACATGGAACACATGTCAAGACACAACAGGAGAGTGAGAAGTGAGCCGGCCTCGTCTGGCCCAGCCGCCGGGAGCCCCTGCCCTCCCCAGGCCAAGTACGCTCTGTGCTTCCAGAGAGAGCTGATTCTACACATAGGCACATTTATGTCACCTACATTTAATGTTCCCCAATACTTTCACTTAATTTTGGACATCTATCAGTACATTACCTCTAGAGCTGCCTAGTTCTTTTTAATGGCTACAAGGTGTTTATTCTATTACACGTGTACCATAAATTAAGCAGTTCTTAGACATTTCACTTCTTTTGAATCTTTTGCTTTAATGAGCAATGCAGCTAAAAAATAAGCACACTTATCTGCATCCATGTATAATGATATCTATAACATAAATTCCTACATGTACAACTACGAGCTCAACGATTGTGTGCATGTGTAAGTTTAACAGATATGGCAAATCGCCTACAAGAGGTTGATCAATTTGATTACCTATTAATAAGATATGAGCATCTGACCCTTATACTCTCACAAACTCAGAGTTAATCAAATTAAAAAAAAATTGCCAATCTAAGGGTTAAAAATGTATTAATTAAATACTATGAGAAAACTTATATGTTTTTCATGTTATATATCTATTTGTATTTCCTTTCCTATGAACCATCTGCTCATGTCCTAACACTGTTTTTCTACAAGACTGTCATCTTTTCCGTGTGGGTTTTAGGAAGTGTTTATATATTACTGATATTACTGTATTATTTGTCACATATTCTAGAAACGCTTTTTCCTAGTTTGCCATGTCTTTTGCCTTTATGCTTTTTTTTTTAGGTCATGCAGAAATCTCCAATTTTTAGGAGTCAAATGTATCAATTCTTTATTTTATGGCTTCTAAACTTTATTTCATACTTAGAAAAATATTCTCCATTTTGGGATTATAACAGCAACTATCTGGTGTTTTCTGTGGTACTTCAGGGTTTCATTTTTCACATTACATCTTTGGACTATCTGGAATTTATTCTGGATAAGACAGGCGTTCCACTTAATTTTGTTCTAGAGAGCTACCAGGCATTCCGGCATTTACTGAATCCATCTTCTCACCACAGATAAGCACTGGCCCTTCAAAAGCTCATCTATGGCAGAAAGACACTGCCACCCCCTCTGTACACTAGCTGTCACTATTGAGAACACAGAATCCATCTGAACGAATTAGACTTGCTTCAGATATGCTAGTAGACTGAGATCTTCTCCAGTCCTACAAAGCAACATTTCTGTCAAGTGCATTTCCAGCAGACATCAACTGGCTTGACAGTTATCATTATAACTAAAACAGTAGTGAGCTGATATGGAAAGGTCTATTGGGTTTTTTAATTTATTTCTGCTTACATACTCAAAAGGGAAATCATAAAAGAATATAAAAATTCTTCAGAATTTCTTCCCAATAATCAAGTCTGAATTGTTCTTCTAACTTAAAGTTTACAATGAATTTATTTAGAATAAGTAAGCTGCAGTACTTACAACACAGGTAACAGATGGTTTCACTGCACAGTCAAAAGTGACAGGCTTCCCATAGGTACAGGAGAAATTTGTTGTGCAGTCTATACAGTCTGCAGGAAGCCTGCTACACAAACCATTGCTCGGACACTTCATCACATAAGGTGGGATTTCAGTACTTTCTGTGAGAGGCAAGAGAGAAGCTTATTCTCCTATAATACTGATTCGAATAACAGAGAACAATCTTCTAAGGTTAAGAGACGTGATCATTAGCAAGTAGACACTGCACTGGAAGGGAAGAAGCATGGGACTGGAGTCAGAGACACCTGCAATTAAAGCAGAATTCTGCCCACGGCCAGCTGTGGGACCTGGTGAGCACCACACTTGTAAAACATTACTTCATTCCTGCCTCCCACGTGGCCGTGAAAACTAAAGGTGCTCATATACAAATAATGTATAGAAAATTCTGGGTATACATTAAGGGCTTAAAAAAAAGACTATCATTTTGTAAGTTGAAAAAAAACTTACAGTAGGGTTTTGCAAAATCACAGAGGAAGTCTGTGGCAAAACTGGAACTAGAACCCAAATCTCTCCATTTCCAATCCCGTGTTCTTTTCATCTGAATTCACTAATTCAGAAATGAAGCCACTGACATCCTCAGGGCATCAACTTTAAAATGTCATTATTTCACACTGGTACTTCGATAAGCCACATTTGCTAATATAATATTTACAGTTTTACGCTACCAAAGTTCAAAACAGTTCTCTACTTTAATAACATCTTCAGTAAGCTGCAACTTATTTCCAACCAACCTAATGAGTGTGCAATGTATTTTTACCAACTGAAAGGATCAAAATTGCAAGTATTCCTGAAAAGAAGGGCTTTCAAAAGCCTGCAAGAGTTAAGAACTCTTGTGCTTTCTCTAAAAAGTAATCTGAGTTTAAAATTCAAGTGCACTGCTGTTTTTTACATCCAAATAAGAATCAGTAAAATATCTCTGCCAGTTTCAATTCACTGAAGTAATGTCACTTTAAAGTGATGAAATTATAGTCAGAGCCTCCACCTAGCAAAACACACTAATGCTTGTTTAAAACTGGTCCTACTTTACTCACTGTATTAAGGAACAATTCTACAAAATACTCTTTTTGATCCCGTGACTATGTGGCTGGAAGGTGGACACTTAGAATCACAAAGCAGAAATGACTTTAGGTCGTCAGACCAACCCCACCGCTTTAAAGATGAGGACCAAGGTCCAAAGAGGATAAATAATTTGTTCAAGATCCCAGTAGCAAAACCAGATCTAGATTTCAAGTCTCCATCAGTCCCGCTGTAATCCTTCCATTTCCACAGTCCTGAGGGAGCCTTTAATATTCCAACATCAGGAACAGGGTTTTAGCAGTAGAGGAAATTTGCTGAAGGGAAAGAAGCACGGACTGAAGGTTATTTTGATGGATGAAGTGGAAAAATAATAGAAATAAGGTGACAAATGAGCGTGGGATTGGAAAAAGAGAGGAGGCAGAAACGTCAAAAGGTATAAATACGAAGACTATCTACTGAAAATGGCTGTGTATCTACCCTTAATTCACATAATCTAAAATACAATAAATATTCAAAAATGGAAAGTGACTTCGTATACTAAAGGGAATTTTTATAAAAACAAAGAGAAACTACTAGAGATAACTACATGTATTTACTAGAATAGAAAACGTCTAGTACCTGCTGCCCTGGGAACTACTGTGAATGTGCGTGTTGGGCCCGGATCCTTTATTGACTGAGCCAGCGCCTGCGATTGCTCTAAATTTAAGGATCGTACAATTAGAGAAACACGTTATCCCGGGACAAGAAAACCTTATTTTGTGTGGTTAACACGGCGGGTCTACACCAGGCCAATAAGCTGCTCATGAAAACCTCACGGCTGGTCAGCCAGAAAACACAAAGCTTAGGGACGAAACGTCAACAGAGTAGACATCAGTTCAGGTCAGCCGGCAACGAGGGACCGAAGGATGACATCGCGCTCCAGTTCCGCCTCCCCGGCCCAGCCCCCAAGCGCTCCATCTCCGTGCCAGGGCTCCGCAGCCGCGATGGCGGGCTCGGTGTCGCCGGAGCGGAGGGGCGGCCTCGGGCCGGGCGGCCAGGGCGCCAGACTCCAGATGCAGCGACAAGCGGCCCGGAGCCCGGCACTCGGCCTCCTCCCCGCGTCAGCGTCCGCCCGTGGGCCCGGCCTCCTCGCAGCTCCCGGGGCCCTGCTGCCACTCAGCCCCACCCGGCGCTGAACCCAGCCTTTGACTCACCACCGCCCGACAGAATGCAGAACTGCGAGAGGAAGAGCAGCACGCGACACAAGGCGCGGAGGCCCCTCAGCGGGAGCACCCCTCCCGCCATCTTGCCAGCGCCTGCGCACTTCCGGGCCGGGGGGCGGGGCGCGCCTGGGAGCCGGAGCGTGAACTGGACGCAGGCGCGCTGCGACTCCTGGCGGCCGGCGTTTGCGCTTTCGCTGTCCTCGCGCGGGTCGCGGGTTTTCTTCCGGTTGAGCCTTCTGGGAGGTCCCCGAGGAGGATGCGAGCCTGGGAGGTTGTTCCATTTCCACGCGCCCCTCACGCCCTTGGACGAGGCCCTCACCCCTGGTTCCACTGCAGGAGACCTGTTAAAGGTCATCCGTGGACCGAAATGCGCGCCCGAAGCAACCAAGAGCAGAGGCGGGCGAACGCGGGAGGCTGGCCGCCCCAGTGTGTGGTCGGATGTTGTGTGCTGGATCTCGTGCGAAGGTTCCGAGGACACTATCGCGTGGCGTTTCATCCTAAAGACACTTATTTACAGTCGGGGAAGCGGCCCCGGGACGACGAGGGCCCGAGGGACCCCTCCCCTGGGGCCGGCGCTCAGGCCTGCCGCGGCTTTCACTTCTGGCCGGCCTCTTGAAGATACGCAGCACTTCCAGAAAGTTCCTCTCAGGCCTGGAGAAGCAGGATGGCCCGAGGCGCTGGGAAGTGAGGGGAGGGTCCAGAGCCCAGCCCTGCCTGGGGAAGGTCGCGGCCGTCTGGGGAGCCGCGCTCAGGCCCCAGCTTGCGGAGACCCTTGCCGGTTTCTGTCACAGCACACCTGGGAGAAAGCGCTGGTGACAGGTGCTCTCCTCCCACCCACGTGCTTCGGGATCGTTCATTCCGCGGTCTTCTGACTACCACCCCCTCACGTGCATGTTTGCTGAATGACTTTTTAAAAAATACATGGAAAAGTGCCGGCACATAAGCCCTGAATGTTAGCTTTAAAAATCGTATCACGGCCGGGGGCGGTGAATCACGTCTGTAATCCCAGCACTTTGGGAGGCCCAGGCGGGCGGATCACGAGGTTAGGAAATCGAAACCATCCTGGCTAACAACACGGTGAAACCCTGTCTCTACTAAAAATACAAAAAAATTAGCCAGGCGTGGAGGCACGCGCCTGTGGTCCCAGCTACTGGGGAAGCTGAGGCAGGAGAATCGCCTAAACCCGGGAAGCGGAGGTTGTAGTGAGCCGAGATCGCGCCACTGCACTCCAGCCTGGGTGACAGAGCGAGACTCCGTCTCAAAAAATAAATAATAAAAATCATATCACACAATCTGCACCTTATACTACTACACAAGCCTGATATATATTGTTTTGTTTGCCAACTGTTTCACTGTTCACATCCCTCAGGAAGTTAACTAAATGATCAGTATATTGAAAAGAGATTATTTCTTACATTTCTTTTGAATTTCACAGCATATCGCAAAATAAACAATACTTCTTGTTTGGTAGCTGAATTCTCTATTGACATAATGCCATTTTAATTCAGTTCTGAGCACGTAGAGCATTCCTCTCTTTAAAATCTGAAATCCATTTCAGTACATAAATCCATGGAATGTCATCCCATCAAAAAAGTAACAACTCTAGGTGAGCGGCTTAGTGGTGGTAGAAGCCCACAGCTGAAACGCTGGAAACACTGATGCAATTCATTTGGGAATTTATTTTTTTCTAAAGCGGAACAAAACCTAATTATGAATAAGAAACATTTAAATGGCAACTCTTAACCTATAGTGCAAACACCAGATTCCACAAAACTGAATTCCTTTGTCAGTAATCCAATATTTAGCAGTAGCTGCTGCTTTTGTGGTTGTTGGTTAGTTAAAATTAAGTAATGATTCCAGTTTAGAAGATAAAGTTTCAGTGTGAATTTTAGTAGAAGTCATAAAAATACCTGAGACATATTAGAAAATAAGATTTTCCCTCCTATTTAAAAAAAACTCTGCAGACTTTTATTTGAAGCCCATCTTTTGAAAATCACTAACATTTCATAATCATTTCCTAGTGTTTTGTTTCACTTTCTCGATGAATAATATTTCCCCATTTAAGTTTCTCAAGGCATTGATTGCTGGAAAATTTCCCACGTGCCCTCTAAACGTCCCCCGTGGACATGAGTAAATTAAACTTCGTGCATGTCAGCTACACGTTCATCGTCTCCTTTCTCAGCTGAGGCCATGAGTGGACCCATCAGTGGCTCCAAAGTCGTAGAAGTACTAACATGTTAAGAAAAATACATTTTTAAGGGTCAAAACAAAGTTACACAGAAGCAAATATCAGGGAAGGACTTCAAAAGGCCTCCTCAGCATTGAGTGTCCGTGTCTTCCTGAGATTCTTCAGTTTATCAATGGCAGAAGTTACTAAAATCTCTCCATGAATTTTGTTGTCTCTTGTTCGCACGTTTACAGCATTATCTATCTTTTCCTTTTCTCCAACCACTGCAGAAAAGAAAGGTAAAGAAATGTATTTTAAATCAGCAATTTACCAAACATTAAGTCAGCAGTCCCATGACATGTTTTTATCAAGTTTTTCTTCACTAATATTAAATATCATCTAATGAGCATTTGGTTCATCCTCTGATAGTTAAGTTTCTTGAGGGAAGCAATGACTTCTGATCCCATCTCTCTATTGTCCACCTGAGAGAACAGCTCTTGTGGTCCTGGGGTGCAGATGAGAGGGGGGAGCTCTTACAGACTCACACTGACTGCACCTGGCACTAGGGCGCAAATGAGAGCGGGGAGCTCTTACAGGCTCACAGTGACCCCACCTGGCACTAGGGCGCAAATGAGAGCGGGGAGCTCTTACAGGCTCACACTGACCCCACCTGGCACTAGGGTGCAAATGAGAGCGGGGAGCTCTTACAGGCTCACACTGACTCCACCTGGCACTAGGGCGCAAATGAGAGCGGGGAGCTCTTACAGGCTCACACTGACCCCACCTGGCACTAGGGTGCAAATGAGAGGGGGGAGCTCTTACAGGCTCACAGTGACTCCACCTGGCACTAGGGCGCAGATGAGAGGGGGGAGCTCTTACAGGCTCACACTGACCCCACCTGGCACTAGGGTGCAAATGAGAGGGGGGAGCTCTTACAGGCTCACAGTGACTCCACCTGGCACTAGGGCGCAAATGAGAGCGGGGAGCTCTTACAGGCTCACAGTGACTCCACCTGGCACTAGGGCGCAAATGAGAGCGGGGAGCTCTTACAGGCTCACACTGACCCCACCTGGCACTAGGGCGCAAATGAGAGCGGGGAGCTCTTACAGACTCACAGTGACTCCACCTGGCACTAGGGCGCAAATGAGAGCGGGGAGCTCTTACAGGCTCACAGTGACTCCACCTGGCACTAGGGCGCAAATGAGAGCGGGGAGCTCTTACAGACTCACAGTGACTCCACCTGGCACTAGGGTGCAAATGAGAGCGGGGAGCTCTTACAGGCTCACACTGACCCCACCTGGCACTAGGGTGCAGATGAGAGTGGGGAGCTCTTACAGGCTCACACTGACCCCACCTGGCACTAGGGTGCAGATGAGAGCGGGGAGCTCTTACAGGCTCACGCTGACTCCACCTGGCATACCTGATGAGCCAAGGAGTGGACACCAGACCCATGCGAGCCAGCCAGAACTTTCTGGAATGTGGGTAAAAAGTTTGTTCTCTCTAGTGACCCATATTGTGAGATGATGCAGGAATCTACAGCCATGCTTCTTGCCACACAGAAGGAAGAAACCGGTCTGCAGATAAGTGGAATAAGGTAGATATTCAAGAGAAGCATAAAGAACCAGAGCAAGACAGGAACGAGAAATGGGGAGAAATACTCCTGGTGAGGGTTGAGCTCCTGATTGCTCTTCTAGTGGTTTGGCTATTTAATTCTACCTTTCATGTCATGGGATACTCCAAGACCCTTCCAACAAATGCTGTCTTTGTCTAAACCAAGTTGAGATTTCTGCCACCATAAGAAGCCTGACTGAAACAGCACAATACCTACTCTGGTGTCAAACATTATCATTGAAACACTGTCAATAGAACAATGCTATGCATATTTATTTCGCCTTCTACAGACTCTCAACTTACAAGAAATAGCAATACTGTGCCTGCAGTTATATCAGTGTTAGTTTCTCTTAATTTTGGAATCATTTTTAAAGCCTAAATTTTAGATTCTGCATCTAATTAGTCATATGCTAAAAGGACATTTTACTTTTCATCTAAATCTTTTCCTTTAGATCATTTTAAATTTGGGATCTTTTCTTTCTGTTAGTTTAATCCCAAAGTTTCCTAATAAGCCAGAAAAGTGAGGGAAAATATTACAGGCCTGTGAGGCTGAAATATAAAGTATATAATTCTACTGATGGGATCATTTTCAGAGTTGTTTTCGTTGTTTGCTTGCAATATGAACTATTGCTAGTAAAACTATCCCAGGGGATTCAGGTGAAACTTTACAACTCTTCTTCCAGCAAACAACAAAGAGTACCTAGGAACAGCTAAGCTAGGAATGCTATGGACTCTTCCTTTTGTGTAAGTATTAAATAGACAAATCATGATAATCAAGTAGTTGAACCATATTTCTTATTTGGTCTTTTGGAATTGAAGTGGGAAAAAAAAGCATTTGGAAAAATATATACAAACTTAAATTACCCAAAATAAAATTATACTGAGCCAGCTGTGCATTTCGTATTTTCTTATTTAGTGTACAACTGTGATCCAAGTCAACGTCAGCCATAAATCCTTCTTCAAAAAATTCACTGGATACCTAGAAGAAAATGAAACACCTTTACTGTTACATTATGGTACCTAGCCTCCAAGAAGACCCCGTTGTTCCCCACTCTTGGTATTCACACCTTTGTATAGTTCCCTGCTCACTATACCAGAGCGGGTCTGCGTGACCATAAAGAAGTGCGGAAGTGTCGGCGCATCGTTTCTGAGACTAGTTTATAAAAGGCTGCAGCTCCCATCTCTCTCAGATCACTTGCTCTGGGGGAAACCAGCCACCATGCAGTGAGGACATTCAGGCAAGCAAGCACCCAGGTGATGAGGAGCTGCATCCACCAACTGTGAGCGAGCCCCGAGCTCCGCAGCCCTGGCTGACAGCCTGACTGCAGCCCCAGGAGACGCTCTGCGCCAGAATCCACCAGCTGAGCTGCTCCCAGACCCTGACTCGTAGGAACTGTGAGATCATCAATGTTTGTTGTTTAAAGCTGCTAAGTTTTGGGGTCACTTGTGACACAGCAACAGATAATATTCTTCCCTAATAGAGCTGTGTAGAAATGAATAATTATGATATGTTTTAAAATACTAATTTCTCAAAAAACATTAAGAATGAAATAGTTCTGAGACAGCTGCAGAGACATGATTCGTGTGTTACTCCCACCTGCTGAAAACACGGTTTAAGCTAATGTGTCAGTTCTGCAATATTTTAAAGCATGAAGGACACTCCAAATCGATGACCTACACAGAATACATGCAAGATTATTATGTACTTTAAACACCTCTGATTTTACCTGAAGTGCATATTTTTCACAAGTTGGCCCCACAGGGATGACCATCACCTGACGAGGAGATAGCCAGAAAGGCCTGAAAAATATATATAAAATATGTATTTTCAAAGTGTAATAATGGCTACTTATTACATGATTTTCAAATAACCAAAGATTCTTTTAAAGACTTCACAAGAGGGCAGTTTCAGTAGCGCAGCATGGAAGAAAACTAAATTATATTAAAGTTTGAAGGCAGCAAAGTAAATGAAAGGAGAATTTTGGAATTTTGATAGCACAAGTGCAGGTAGAATGAGCTGGCAGACAGCCCAAAGGGCTGAGCATGCACTTACTGTCTGCCCCAGCAATTGCACTCCTGGCATTTGTCCCAGAGAAATGAAAGCGCAGGTTCACACACAATACTGCTCACTAACGTCCATAGCAGCTTTATTTATAATAGCCCCAAACAGGAAACACACACCCCAAATGTCCTTTAGCGGGTGAATGGCCAAACTGTGGTGCATCCACACTGTGGAACGTGGAACACCATCAGCAAAAAAAAAAAAAAAAAAAAGGAACCAACTAATTTATCTCGAAACAAAACAACATGGATGGCTCTTAAGGGAATTCCACTGAGTGAAAAAAAAAAAGCCTACTTCAAAAGTTTGTGTACTCTGTAAATCCATTTATGTAATATTCTTTATATGACAAAATGATGGAGCTAGAGAACAAGTTCATGGCTGTCAGATAGGAGGACAGGGTGGGATGGTTTGAGTGTGGGGAAAAAAGGGCAGCAGGAGGGAGCCTTACAAGTGATGGACTGTCCTGTGCCTTGACTGGTGGCCTTACACCATCTGTCCGTGTGACACAGCTAAATACACGTTCACACAAATGAGTGCATGTGAGGCTGGTGAAATCGGAACAAGGTTGGTGGACAGTCTCAATGTCTAGTTCTTGGCTGTGATATTGTATCTAGTTTTGCAAGATGTTACCATTGAGGAAAACTGGGTAAAGAGTGTGCTGGACTTCTCTGTATAACTTCTTTTTTATTTTTTTTGAGATGGAATCTTGCTCACCCAGGCTAGAGTGCAGTGGCGTGATCTCGGCTCACTGCAACCTCTGCCTCCCGAGTTCAAGTGATTCTCCTAGCTCAGCCTCCTGAGTAGCTGGGATTACAGCCATTGCCACCACACCCAGCTAATTTTTGTATTTTCAGTAGAGACGGGGTTTCACCATGTTGGCCAGACTGGTCTTGAACTCCTGACCTCAGGTGATCCACCCACCTCGGCCTCCCAAAGGTTGGGATTACAGGCGTGAGCCACCACATCCGGCCTCTATATAACTTCTTAGAACAACATGCGAACCTACAATTATTTCAAAATATAATTTTTCTAGAATAAAAAAGATGGCAGGGTAGGTATAAACAGTGTCCGCTGTGGGACATGTTTGCCCTTTCCCTGTCATAGTGAGTATTTAGTCTGAAGGTGAAAGGACATGCAAGGAGGACTATTTCAGATAGCATTTTATAAATGTGCATATTTATATATTTATTCTCAAATTACAAACACAAAACAATACATGATAAATGGTAGAACACAGAAATACAGGGTATATAATGGCAACTACATATTTCCTTTTGAGCTCTGTCCTTATCCCATCCCCAGCCCTACTCCTCTCAAGGACCCACACTTTAGCCATCTTTACTTTTGGCTCCTGGGGAGATTTCCCCACAAGGCTGACTGCTGTCTGAAGTCTGGATGTATGAAGTGCAGGGAGTATACTTCCGTCTCTGCGACAAAGGAAGGCATGCTCAGTGCACTGGCCCCAACCACCTCCTGTCTCCCTCTCCATCTCCTATTTCACTAGTTCTCTCTCTTTTCTTTAAACCACTTTCACTGCAACCATTCTAATGCAAAACACCATCATCTCTTACCTATGGTAAACTATTTAAAACCAACTGGAAAGAAATATAAACATGTTAACTCATACTCAGGCGGCATACATATTCATACCCATACTTTTGGCTTAACTGTAACTTCAACAGCTTAGAAACTCCATGATACCTAAGTATATTTCTCTATGATCACAAAATATCAGGAATATACACAGACTCTCTAGCTACCCAGGTCTTTTGGAAGACACTTTGTTTGGGAAACTTTCCACCTTATGTTTCCTGCTCAAAAATTTGCTTCCCCAGTCTCGCTGGACATGAATGGTAGTATGCATGGGTGTGATCTAGGTTCTGCTAATGTATAAACATGGCACTCTGACTTAAGACAGAGTGGAGAAGGAGGCACCACATGGAATCCATTATGGCAAGGAAAGGTGATGCAGAGACATGGAGCTTTTGGAGGAACTGGTTGCAGTGACCCTAGCAGTATCATCCGGTGCCCAGTGTCCACAGTGGGAGCTGCAGGGACTGTGCCCGGCAATAGTAGCAGTGGGGGCAGTAGTTTCTGAAGAGAGAGCTAAACTGCATGAGCAGATGCTTAGCCAATTTCTAAAAATGGAATGGGAGGTAGAAATTTCACAGGTGGTTGCTGGTTTGCAGCATTTCCACATACTAGGATACATCATCACAAGATGTTGTCTGCCAGCTGGTGCTATAACTGCTAGTAAAGCCACTTGCTTCTGAATGCATGGTGATAGTAGTGAATCCCTTAATGTCAGTGCAATGCTTTACTTATTTGCTATAAAATCTCTTTCATAGTCAGAAGCACTGTTGTGTTCCTGGCAGCACCTAAGTACATATTTGGTGCCACTGGCAGAAGCATGGCAGCAAAGAAGAGCAAAGCAAAATCCACAGTGAGTCTCTCTTCAGTGAGAATGAGGCATTGCTCCTTACATGATGAAAGGGATCCAACGTAATCAACCTGCTACAAGACCACTGGCTATTACCCCAGGTTATGGTACCATCCCGGGGGATCACAATTAATCACTGACTGATGGCAACCTGAATTCTCAGAAGAGATGTAGCCAGATGGAACTTAGTGAGGCAAAGTCCATGTCTTTGAGCCCATGCCTATCCACCAGTGGCCACTTTGCCCATGAGCCATTGAGCAACAACTAGGGGAAAAAGCAGCTGATTTTAACAGAATGGGTCCTCTTGTATTGGAATACTGAAAAATTCCTCAACAGCGGGGGCCTTTTGGTGGCAATACCACCTCTGTTGGCCCATTCTGAGTGATCATCCACATTTCTGCTTCCCAAATCTATGTAATTTGTTTTTCAATCTAATTAGTTCTAAATCTTTGACTCTGTGGCCAAAGCAGTAACTAGAGCCTGTGCATCCATGTAACTCCTTATCTCCGGCCATTCTTCCTTCCGGGCAAAAAGGACCACAGGATGCACCACTCAAAAAGGACCACAAGATGCACCACTCAAAAAAGACCACAAGATGCACCACTCAAAATTCTGCACTTTAGGACACTTCCCTTCCCCACTGTCATCCTAAATGGGCTGTGCTGCTGAGCCATCCTCTTTGAGTTTGTGCCATTTATGAATCAGGTTTACATGTTTTCCTCCTCAGTGGCTGTAGGGAACCCCAAAGGCAAACAATATGGGTTGAAGGAAGGATGGCTGGAGGGCAAGAGGTGGTACCTAGGAGTGTGGGTCACATGTTTTCAGGACAGCAACTAGATCTCTGAAGGGCTTGAAACAGGTAAAAAGATAACTTTAATTCTACCGAGTCCCCCAAAAGGTAAATGGTACAGTTTTATGCCACTCTCCCTTAGTTTTTATTTTCTGATCTGGCAAATCGAATAAGAATTCTTTATTTGCTGTTTGGACAATTGCTAATTACAAGGCAGGAAAGGCCCTTTCTTTTGTTACTACTTTTTTCTTTTACACATGATTTTTTAAGAATAGAAATATTTTTAAAAAGGAAAAATGAGTAAATTAATAAAAATTAAAAAGAATAATAGACATATAGTTTTTCTTTTCCATATCACTTACCATTTTCCGCCATAGTTTTCTGAAAGAATGGCTATCATTCTTTCCACTGATCCCAAAATGGCTCGATGAATGATCACAGGTCTCTTCTTATCATCCCCATCCTTACTAAAAAATGAAAATTATACATTTAAGTCTTTTCCTAAGATTCAATAACTATCTTCTAGCCTTATATTTAATTTTGAGAATAGATTTAGATTAGTGATATCAGATCTCTCCATTAACCTTATTTGTTCTGTGACTGTCTTGTTTTCTCATTGCTTTCTTTGCTAATCTTTTTTCTTTTATTTTAAAAACTTTTTATTAGAGCGCACTGAAACATATACAAAAGTAGAGAGAAGAGTATAATGAACTTCCACATACCCTCTCTCAGCTTCACAAAATGTCAACTCACAGCCAATCTCATCTGATCCAAATGCACCCCCATTCTTGCCACTATCTCCCACATTATAATCTTCATTTTTAAAATGTTCCTGATATGTGTTCTTGAAGTCCACTGGTCAAATTCCCTGAAACCCTCATGAGGTGTATCTTACATTTAATTATTCCCTCTTCCCCTTAGGAAAAAAAAATGAAAAAAGCAAATGATGACTTAATTGTAATGAAGTAAGCCACTTCAAGATCTCTGCACAAGCACAAGCTTCTCAGAAAGATAAATTTCACATTATTGCAACAAATGTGACATGCGACACTTACAAAGTTCTTTTGATAAATTTTTATCTAAAAATTATACCAGCTAGCTACTACTACAATAAATGAAACAAATTTAACAAATAAATAATAAAATAAAACAAACAAAAACAGAGAAACCCATTCATTAAACCTACTTCAAATGAGTTGTAACTGGATATCATCACTGCCAACCATTTCTGCTAAGAGCCATTATAGAATAACTGCAGGCAAAACTCTCTGTCTGGACCCTACAGGAAGCTTTGGGGTAGGGGTGAGCGGCTTGAGTCCATTCCTATGCAGGTATATGAAGAAATTCATCCCAAAAATTGAAACCAGTATGAAATATTCCTGAATATCCCATCATGTTGATTTTGTGTAGGGAAGAAAGAGAAGCAAACTGATCCTTTCACAGAGCCTGGGTATCCAAAATTTCTGTCCCATCATTTCTTTGAATCATGTCTAGACTTAAGAAGAGCAAATAGTGACATAAACTATGATTACACATCTGTGCTATCAGATAAACATTGGAATGAATGCCAAATTCCCCCAAAATAACCCCAGTGGATTTGCTTACAATTATATTAGATTAATAGATAAATTTGAAGAGAATAACTTCACAATGTTGATTCTTCTCATTCCAAAGTGTGGTACGAATCTTCATTTAAATAACTCTTTTTTGTGGTCTTGGAGAAAAACTTATAGCGTATGCTTATAAATAACATCTATAGTCATGTGTTGCCTAATGACATTTTGGTCAACAATGGACTGCAGATATGATGGTGGTCCCACGAGATTATAAAGAAGCTGAAAAAAATTTTTTTTTAAATTATACTTTAAGTTCTAGGGTACATGTGCACAATGTGCAGGTTTGTTACATATGTATACATGAGCCACGCTGGTGTCCTGCACCCAAGGAAGCTGAAAAATTCCTATCATCTAGTGATCTGTGTTACAAGTACCTAGAGCATTCAGTACAGTAACATTCTGCACAGGTTTGGAGCTAGCAGCAATAGGCTATCCCATACAGCTTAAGTGTGTAGTGGCCTATGCCATCTAGGTTTGTGTAAGTACACTCCGTGATGTTCACACAACAATGATATTGCCTAACGACACATTTCTCCAAACATATCCCTGTCATGACTACATTTATGGGGATGCATGACTATATTTATATTTATTAAGTTTATTCATATTTTCTATTTTGTGGTTGCTGTTGCTTCTGAAATGTTTTTTCCATTGCATTTCCTAGCAGATTATTGCTAACATTATGAAGGCAAATTGATTTTTGCATTTTTACCTTCCATTATTATTAGTGCCCATTTCTCCATTTGATTCTGTTGGATTTCTCTATATTTTAACATCTACTAATAATAATTTTATCTCTTGCTTTCATGTATTTGTAATCCCAGAATAATTTTGAGTAACAATACAAATAGTAGTCATATTCGTCTTCTTCCCAACTGTGTTGAGATGCTATTGCTGTTTTCTGATAAAAGCTCTTTATCGTGATAAGGAAATTTCTGTTCATTTCACAGGAATGAATGTTAACTTTTATCTGATGCCTTTCTGCATGCTGAATGTAATGAATGACAACAGCACACTCTCATCCACCCCTGCTTTTTTAGGGAAAAACCCTTACTCAATCATGGTGATGACCTTGATGCTTCTCTCTCTCCTCTCATACATAAGCCTGAGCAAATCACATCAGTTCTTCCTCCAAAATACACTTCCAGTACCCCTACTTTGTTCATCTCTATGCCACCTGGCTCCAACTGTCATCATTTCTTACCTGGTCTGCAATCCACTGCTTCCACCTTTGCTTGCCTACTCGCCATTTGCCACACAACACCTATGATGGCTGGCTGGGCTGATTTGTTTCTCCTCCACGTCCTCCTTAAATGAGTAGTTTCACTTGCATTCTGATGGCCCTAAGCAATTTTGTTGTAGGACTGATCCTGAAGGTTTGACTTTCTCTCTAATAGTTCTGACCCTTGCTCCTCCAAAACGGAGAGATTAGACTTTTCGGAGTCCTACTAACTCCACTGTACCAATCAGGCAAAAAGTTAGAGGTCAACTCCCAGAAGCTTTTCCGTTTTGGCACACGGTATGACCTATGGGACTTGGCCACTGGGTGGCGAACACATGGAACAGATGTGAATATCACTATAAAGGCTTCGATAACTGAACTGACACCGAACCGCAGCCCACAAAAGTGGGCTGGAAATTTCCACCTGAACCTAACCAGGCAGATTCACTGCCAAAACAAGACAACCGCCTTAGGATTTAAACAAGACACAGCATCTCATAACATAATATTCAAGACATTCAGGATATAATCCTAAATTACTTAGCATATGAATCATTAGGAAAATTTTCAATTTGTGAGAAGAAAAGACAAACAACAGTCCAGCAGCAAGAAAACACAAATGATGGAATTACCAAAGGCTAGAAATAGCCATTATAACTGTACCCCAGGAAGCAGGGTAAACACACCTGGAGTGACTGGAAAGACCAAAGTCTCAGGAAGAAACACAAAACACGAACAACAGAGATTGTAGAACTGAAAACTACAATCACAGAAAGTTTTAAAAAGTCATTCGATGGATTCAGTAGCAACAGAGATGGTAAAGAGTTGGTGAATTTGAAGATAAGTAAATAGAATGTATCCAATCTGAGAGATATACAAAGAAAGACTGAAGGAAGCATAAACAGCCTCAGAAAACTGGAAAAATACCAAAAGGTCTAATATTCAGGTCACCTGCGTCCCAGAAGGAGCGGAGGTATAGTACCAAAGAAATATGGAAAAACAATACAACGTTTGCAAACCAATAACTTACAGATTCAGGAAGTTCAAACCGCCACAACATAGACTTGAATAAGTCCACAGACAGACACATCACAATCGTGTGACACATAAAGGAAAAGTGACTGCAATTACTGCATATTTCTCATCAGAAACCATAAAAGCCAGCAGCATGTGTAACAATATTTTTTGTTTTTACTTTGCAAGAAAATAAATTATATAACTTAAAAAATAAAACCCCCAAACTAAGCAGTTCATCAAAATATTTCAGCCTACAGCCTACAGAAACTGCTACCATTTAAAATTGTACAGCGTTATCATCTCAGCGTGTAGTGGCACACGTGCAAATAGCATAGACCACATGAGGACAGATTACAACTTAGGAACTCAAATTTGTTCAACACTCTAAACAACATACAGTGTAGATGACAGGAAAGCTCTCATGTAATGTTTATTTTACAAACATGACCTTGGAAGAATTAATAAGATGGCATCTCAGTTATTTACATAAAAATAGAAAAATCAGCTTGAGTTTAAGACGGCAAATCTTTCTATAAAACTAGCCAATCTTTCACCCAGATTGAAGTTTTAAAATTTGCTCTTTGAAAGGGCTAATGACATCTTACTGCAAATAATGTAAAATATTTTTTAACTACTCAGGTCATATTTTGTATTAAATTTAATACAAAGTAAAAGTAAGAAAGCTAAGTTTTTACTTTGGGAAGCGTTAACATTTATGCACAAGATGAGAACAAGACTTGAAAAAACAAGTTGATAGAACTCGGGAGCCCCTCCAATAAATGCAAACATTGGAAGACTTCAGAATTCATTTCGAGATCCTCACTGAATCATTGGAGCAGTAATGTTCTAATATTTACCTCACTGTAAGCATCAAAATTGTTCTGTATTTTCCCTTCATAAATTTTATTTCATGTCTACTTACTCTGGAAATGAGATGCAACAAAGGTTAACACAAAAATGGATGTCTCTGTTTTTAAATTAGAAGATGAGTGTTCTAGGTCAGGATCGGTGGCTCACGCCTGTAATCTCAGCACTTTGGGAGGCTGAGGTGGGCGGAGGTAAGGAGTTCGAGACCAGCCTGGCCAACATGGTGAAACCCTGTCTCCACTAAAAATACAAAGTTTAGCCAGGCATGGTGGTGCATGCCTATAGTCCCAGTTACTCAGGAGGCTGAGGCAGAAGAATTGCTTGAACCCAGGAGGCGGAGGTTTCAGTGAGCCAAGATTGTCCCACTGCACTCCAGCCTGGGCAACAGAGCAAGACTCATCTCAAAAAAAAAAAAAAAAAAAAAAAGATGAGTGTTCAAAGTTTGCATTAACCTCAGAAGCGTCCTCTTGCTATACTACTAAGTTAATATATATTTTTAAACAATATTTTTAAAATATTAAAACTAAATAACTATCAACCCAGAATTGTACAAGCAAAGAAGGTTATTTTCTTTGAAAGTACAACAAAATAAAGACATTCTCAGATGAAAGAAAATAAGGCAATTCATCTTCAACCGACCTGCTTTAAATAAACTGTTTATTCTCTTATATCTTCAGATATATGAGAAATGATACTAGAGGGAACCCTGGAACATCAGGAATGAAACAAGATCAACAGAAATGGTAAATATTTGGTAAATATAATATAATGTTCTCCTCCTAAGCTCTTTAAAACATGTACTATGATTGAAAACAAAAATAATATTGCTTATGAGGTTGTTAATGTATATGGCATGTAGTGTGTAGTATGCCTTCCAAAATGAATTTTTAAATAACAAGACTTGAAAGTCAAAATTGTGCCTTGATCCATGGGCTGCAGAATGGATGTTGTGTTAATAGGCATGAGAAAACATTAATCTCCTTGTACGTCTCCATCAGAGCTCTTGGATGACCAGGTGCATTGTCAATGAGCAGTAATCTTTTGAAATGAATCTTTTTTTTTTTCCTGAGCAGTAGGTCTCAACAGTGGGCTTAAAATATTCAGTAAATCATGCTGTAAACAGACGTGCTGTCATCTAGGCTTTGTTGTTGCATTTCTAGAACACAGGCAGAGTAAATTTAGCATTATTCGTAAGGGTTCTAAGATTTTCTGAATGGTAAATGAGCACTGGCTTCAACTTAAAGTCACCAGCTGCATTAGCTCCTAATAAGAGGGTGAGCCTCTCTTTTGAAGTTTTGAAGCCAGTCATTGACTTTTCCTTTCTAGCTATGAAAGTCCTAGAGGGCATCTTCTTCTAATAGAAGGCTGCTTCATATATATTGAAAATCTGTTGTTTAGTGTTGTCATCTTCATCATTGATCTTAGCTAGATCTTCTGGATAACTTGCTGAAGCTTGTACGTCAGCACTTGTTGCTTTACCTTGCACTTTTATATTATGGAGATGGCTTTTTTTTTTGAGATGGAGTTTCACTCTTGTTGTCCAGGCTGGAGTGCAGTGGCGTGGTCTTGGCTCCCTGCAACTTCTGCCTTCTGGATTCACATGATTCTCCTGCCTCAGCCTCCCAAGTAGCTGGGATTACAGGCACCCACCACCACGCCCAGCTAATTTTTTTATTTTTATTTTTGTATTTTTAGTAGAGACGGGGTTTCACCAACCATATGGAGTTGGCCAGGCTGGTCTTGAACTCCTGACCTCAGGTGATCCACCTGCCTCTGCCTCCCAAAGTGCTGGGATTACAGGCATGAGCCACTGCACCTGGCCCTGGAGATGGTTCTTTTAACTTCATGAACCAACCTCTTGCTAGTTTCAAACTTTGCTTCTGCAGCTTCTTCACCTCTCTCAGTCTTCACAGAATTGAAAAGTTAGGGCTTTGCTCTGGATTAGTCTTTGGCTTCAGGGAAACTTTCTCCACATCAGCAAGAAGGCTGTTTCACTTCCTTATCATTTGTGTTCACTGGAGTAGCACTTTTAATGTCCTTCAAGAGCTTTTCCTTTGCATTCACAACTTGGGTAACTGGTGCAAGAGGCCGAGCTTTTGGCCTATCTGGGCTTTCAACAGTCCTTCCTCACCAAGCTTAATCATTTCTAGCTTTTGATCTAAGGTGAGAGACTTATGACTCTTCTTTAAACATGAATATTTACAGGCTGTTGTAGGGTTATTAATTAGCCTAATTTCAATGTTATTGTGTCTCAGGGAATAGGGAAGGCTGAGGAGAGGGAGAGAGATTAGGGAGGGGCCGGTGGAGTGGTCACAACAGACGACATTTATCGGTAAAGTTCATCGTTTTAAATGGGTATAGTTCATGGTGCCCCCTAAAATTATAAGAGTAATATCAAATATCACTAATCACCATAACAGATAGAATAATAATGAAAAAGCTTGAAATACTGCAAGAATTACCTAAGTGTGACACAAAGACATGAAGTAAGCCCATGCTGTTGGAAAAATGGCACTGACAGACTTGCTTGACACAGGGCTGCCACAAACCTTCAGTTTATAAAAAATGCAACGTCTGCGAAGTGCTATACAGTGTGAAGCATGATAAAACAAGCTGTGCCTGTATATATATATACCGTCATGCACTGCGTAACAGTGTTCTGGCCAACAACAGAGCACATACATGACAGTGGTCCAGTAAGATTATAATGGAGCTAAAAATCTTCCCATTATTCAGGTGTTTGTGGTGAGGCTGGTGTAAATAAATCTACCATGCTGCCAGCTGTATAAAAGGACAGTGCATACAATTATGTACTGTACATCATACTTGATAATGATAATAAACAACTGTTACTGGTTTATGTATTTACTACACTATACTTTTAATTGTTATTTAAGGTGTATTCTTTCACTTACTTTAAAAAAAAAAGTTAGCTGTAAAACAGCCTGGGGCTGGTCTTTCAGGAGGTATTCCAGAAGAAGGCACTATTATCATGGGTGATGACAGCTCCATGCGTGTACTGCCCCTGGAACCTTCCACTGGGACAAGATATGGAGGTGGAAGACAGTGATATCGATAACCTTGGCCTTGTGTAGGCCTAGGCTACTAGGCTGATGAATGTGTTTGTGTCTTAGTTTTTAACAAAAAAACTTAAAAAGTAAAAATTTTTGAAGTTTTTAATAGAAAAATGTTTATAGAATAAAGAGATAAAGAAAATATTTTTGTACAACTATAATGTATTTGTGTTTTAAGGTAAGTGCTATAATAAAAGATTCAAAAGTTTTAAAATGTCAAAAATGTATAAAGTAAAAAAGTTACAGTAAGCTAAGCTTAATTAACTATTGAAGAAAAAAATTATTTAAATTTAGTGTAGCCTAAATGTACAGTGTTTATAATGTCTACAGTAGTATACACTAATGTCCTCGGCCTTCACATATACTTACAACTTACTGACTCGCCTGGAGCAGCTTCCGGTTATGCAAGCTCCATTCATGGTAACTGTCCTAAACAACTGTACCATTTTTTATCTTTTATACCTAATTTTACTGTACCTTTTCTATGTTGAGATATGTTTTGATACACAAATACCTTACCACTGTGTTACAGTTGCCTACAGTATTCAGTAGAGTAACATGCTTTACAGGTCTGTAGCCTAGAAGCAATAGTCTAGACCATATTAGCCTAGGTATGTAGTAGGCTCTACCACCCAGGTTTGCGTAAGCACACTCGGTGATGTTCACACAGTGAACAAAGGGATAATCAGTGGTCCCATAGAACAGAATTTATAATCTAGAAACAGACCCACATATATATGTCCAACTAATTTCTGACAAAGATCCAAAGGCAAGTCGATGGTGAAATAGTGGCCTGTTCTTACATCATCTGATGTGTGAATAATGAGACACTTAGATGCAAACAATGAATCTTGACCCAAATGTCACATCTTACACAAACAATGAACTCACATCAGATCTTAGAACTAGAAAACTTTTAATATAAAACATAGAAGAAAATCTTCATGGCCTGTACTTAGGCAGAGCTTATAGATATGATGCCAAAGCATGATCCATAAAAGAAAAAAATGGAGAAATTAAACTTTATTGTATTTAATAACTCAGGATGAATGGGAAAGTAAAGATATTACAAAAAATGAAAAAGCAAGCTACAGACCAGGGTAAAATATGTGCAAATCATATATTCCTCCAAGGGCTAGTATCTAGAATATATAAAGAATTCTCAAAACTCAACAGTAAGGAAACAAATCACTCAATTAAAAATGAGCAAAAAGACTTTGGCAGACTTTTAACCAAAGAGGATAAATGAATAGCAAGTAAGCACATGAAAAGATGTTAACATCATTAGCCACTAAAAAACATGTAAAATCAAAAGATAATGAAATACTACTACACACCTATTAGAACTACTTAACAAACAAAACCTGACAATATCAAGTACTGGCAAGGATGTGGAACATCTGGAACTCTTTACACATTGCAGGTGAGAATGCAAAATGGTGCAGCTGCTCTGGAAAACAGTTTGGCAGTTTCTACAAAGTTAAATATTTAATTATCATATGACCCATTCCCAGTTATTTAACCTAAAGAAAACTTCTATTCACACAAAAACCTATACACTAATATCTACAGCAGTTCTATTCATAATCACCAAGAACTGGAAGCAACCCAAACACCCTTCAATGAGAGATTGGATCCACAATGGCACACTAGTCAGTGACAGAAAGGAACAAACTATCAATACTTGCAGAATCATGGATGAATCTCCACAGCACTGTGCTACGTGAAAGAAGCCAGTCTCAGAAGGCTCGATACTGCATGGCTCCGTTTACATGACATTCTGGAAAGGGCAAGACTATGGTGATGGGGAGCTCATTAACGGCAGCCAGGGGTTAGGAGTAGGAGGAGTGTGTGACTACAAAGGAGCAGCACAAGAGAACAACAGAATCATAACCATCAAGCTGTACACACAACACACACACACACACACAGAGTTAATTTTACTGTATTATTTTTAAAGAAGTTGTTGGTTTACAGTGATAAAATTGCCTTTTTTCCCCTGCTTTTTCAAGAAAACATCTCATCCTTAAGACACAGACCCAATGCCAGCATTTTGTGAAGTCTTCCCCCTGTAACTCAGGGAGAGTCAGCAGCCTGGATCATATTTTCATGGAACTTTGTTCATATCTCTACTCTCATGTTTACTTATCTTCCTCCCGCTACTAGACCAGAAAATTCAAGTTGATTCGCAACTGGATTATGATCAGGTAAACAAATATATATTGCGTGTATAGCACATATACTAGACATTCACTAATGTTTATTTTTGCATTGCTAATACTCAAATGACAAAAAATTAGAATATTAGTACTATAATATTTATCACATTCAATCACTCACCTAACATATGTGAGATTAAATCTAATAGGCAGTTGGAAGTCCAGCTGAATTGTAGCACATTGATGGTATCTGCCAATAGCATCCTTGATTTTTATGTCAATCTACAAATTAAATAATGTTTGCTCAGAAAAGAGTATTTATTTTTCTTTTACATTTTGCTGTTTTGAAGCATGTGGTCGACTCACTTTAGGGCCATAAAATGCTCCATCTCCTGGGTTCATTTTCCACGGTTCTCCAAAGTCCATCAAGCTGTTCTGCAGTTGCTTTTTCAAAAGAAGAAAAAAGATACAATTATACACTGTATCTTTTTTTTTTACATACAGCTCACAAAAGTTACTATAACTCTTCATTACAGTCTATGTTAGTTCAACATATATTTATTGAGCATCTTTTACATTCAATAAACTATTGAGCAGGGACTACACAGAGATGATTAAGGTGGCACCTGCTCTCAAAGAAACATAAACATTTCAACTGGGGAGAAAAGATCATTTATAAATTGTTCCAGTGAATTCCAGGTAAGCATTAGGGAGGGGTCGCTTTTGACCCTCCTCCCAACACAGGCCCCCTGTGCCCTACACATCAACCAGCTTCTGCCTCCTGGTGACGGGCCTCCACACATGAAAAAGCAGAAAAGCCTTGATCACACTCCCTCTTCCACTCTGAGTCTGGGTGGGTAAGAAGGCCAAGAGGGCAGGCCTTACTACTTCCTTTTTGCCTTTCCTTCACCTCTGCACGTGTCTGGGAGGGTCACTTATAATTTATAGGGGTGTGGAGGCATGAGGCTCCACTTTTGTCTTCAGCCTAAGCCACCACATGCCTTCAACTTAGCTTGTAGTGAAGATGTTCCACATTGAAGGTGAGGATGCAAGTGTATTAATGAAAAATTTCCCAGAGTCTTCCAGTATTCCCGTGAATCCAGCTTCCCTGGGAAGCACGTGGGCATTCCTGAGTCCTTGGCCAAAAGTACTGCCAAAACACGAGCCAAACTCCCATCATCACCTCCAACATACGGGTGCCCATGAGGGGGCAGACTTGGGAGTGACGCGCCTCATGGGGAAATCAGAGCCGTGGCAGAGTCTTAGGGCCGAAGCTGCCATCATCAAGAAAGCTGACTCCTGGGAAAGCTGACTCCTGGAGTCCTGGCAGCCTTTCCCAGGACCTCAGTCAGGATCTGATCTTGAGAGAGACGGAGATTTTTTTCCTGGGATCCTGGGAGTGTCCCGCATAGGCCTGATCTTACAGAAGCAGCTTCTTTTCTACTTAGGACCAGAGAAAGCCACCCCACGGAGACACTTCCGGGGCCTGGAGGCTGCGCTCCCCTGTTCCACTCTGTTTCTCAAAGGAGAAGGAACACAGGTACATGTTTCCAGGACAAATGAGGCCCTCCTACAGCAGATACCAAGTGATGGAAAGAATTCTGGGGACTGCAAGAAGCTAAAAAGCCAAGGAAAGGCCAAGTTTTGGAGAAGAGGATAAAGCAGGGGTCACTGCTGCTCCTCGGGCCTTGGAGGACACAGGACAGGAGGGCACAGTAGGAGCTGCCAGAGCCGAGAGAGCATCGGATACATGAAGATGTGTCTCTTTCAAACCATTTCAGACACTTCTGAAGACAAAATATTTCAATGCTCACCTCAGTGATTTCCAGGCCAGGGTTAGTTATTGGAGAGAAATATCTCAAAAGTGGAAGCAGGTCCATCCAGTCACACCCCTGGGTGACCTCAGGCTTGGCTGCTAAACTATTTACCCCCATTAATTAAGAAAGGAGCAAAAATGCTGGGACTTCCAGCCTATTCTCCCCATGCCAGGTCTATACCTGGTCCATCCCCTTTTCAGCTCCCCACACCCCACCAAGTTTCAAATGAATGGAGTAATGACAACGATACCAACACCTGACATCTACTGGGCACTTACACGTGCCTGGCACTATGCCTAACACTCCATGTAAATTCCTTCATTTAAGTTCACCATACCCTCAGGAAGTGGGTGTCATTGCTACATCACCACCACCACCATCACCACCATCGTTATCATCATCACCATTTCATGCTGGATCCTGATGCTTATAGATCTTCTATAATTTACTCATGGAGATAAAGTACTTTCAGACTTTAAAGTCTGGAGCAAATGGCTCCAGAGCTGAGCTCTGTGTCCTCATTTCCTCTTCCTGCTTCCACATGGCTGTTAGGTAAACTGAGTCTGCATCCTTCCCAGGGTAGATAGGCTATCTCATTTGGCCCTCTTTGTCCATGCAGTGGATGTGGAAGAAGAGCTTAGGATGGGCACGGGTCAGTGGGGAGGAGAAGGCCCTCCTTAGAGCTCAAGGCTAAACTGCTTCTGTGCAGCCTCTGCTCGGCTTCTGCACCTATTAATCACGTAAAAATAATTGTTATACTATTAATCCAGGGCTTCTCTGATTCTTATTTCTCATATTGGTGTGTTAAGCTCCCAGGAGTACAGTAGTCCCCCTTCTCTGTGGTTTCATTTTTCTCAGTTTCAGTTACCCGCAGTCGACTGCAGTCTGAAAATATTAAATGGAAAATTCCAGAAATAAACAACTCATAAGTTTTAAATTGGGCACTGCTCTGAGCAGCAGGATAAAGCACTCTCCTACTCTGCCCTACCTGGGATGTGAACCGTCCTTTCGTCCAGAGTCTCCATGCTGGGTGCACTGCCCACCTGCTAGTCACTTGGGAGCTGCCATGTTTATCAAATCAACTATGCAGTATCACAGTGCTTATGTTCAGTCACCCTTATTTTCCTGAACCATGGCCTCAAAGCACAAGAGTTGTGTTACTAGCAATCTGGATATGCCAGAGTGAAGCCACAAAATGCTTCCTTTAAGTGAAAAGGTGAAAGTTATCCATTTAACAAGGAAAAAAGACTCCTATGCTGAAGTTGCTAAGAGCTATGGTTAAAAAAAAATCTTCTATCCATTGGGTAAGTTGTGAATTAGTGAAGAAGGAACAAGAAATTCATGCTAGTTTTTGCTGTTGCACCTCACACTGCGAAAGTTCCAGCCACAGTGCATGAACAGTGCTTAGTTAAGAAAAGAAAGGGCATTAAATCCCAGCACTTTGGGAGGCCGAGGCAGGAGGATCAGGAGGTCAGGAGATCGAGACCATCCTGGCTAACACGGTGAAGCCCTGTCTCTGCTAAAAATACAAAAAATTGGCCGGGTGTGGTGGCGGGGGCCTATAGTCCCAGCTACTCGGGACGCTGAGGAGGAGAATGGCGTGAACCCGGGAGGTGGAGCTTGCAGTGAGCTGAGATCGCGCCACTGCACTCCAACCTGAGCAACAGAGCAAGACTCCGTCTCAAAAAAAAAAAGAAAAAAAGAAAAAAAGAAAGGGCATTAAATTTGTGGGTTGAAGGCATGAACAGATACGTGTCCTTAACCTGATTGCCATCAATTTGGTACCATCCAGGGTTTTGGGCATCCACTTGGGGTCTTATTCCCATGGATAAGTGGGGACTATTATATTCCAAGAAGAGGAGAACTAACAGGCAGAGCAGGGTGTCTGGCCATGACACCATCCTCATTTTTAATAAAAGTGAACACAGGAAACACACTATATCCTTTGTGTTTATTAAGAAAAAAAAGCAATGTGATGATCTCCTTATCTTGGTTTTGCAAAGCTTAGATGTAACATCTTTGGGCTTGAGTGTCTTCAGACAGACACAGGGCAGGGCACGACAGGACGTGACTACGAAGGGGACTATGCACATCTACATCTAGACCATGCAGCCCTGGGACTCTACAGTCGGACTAAGATGACTCAACAGGCAATGCTTTAAAATAAACCACACAAACCGAGAGTTACAGCAATCAGAGGATTTCTTTAAAATCCTGGGCCAGCTATTAGTGACCAGCACTGCAGGACTATAAATAAAAGCCAGATATGAACTTTAAGTGTGAAGCAAATGTAAGGTATTATTATCACCGTCACAAAGATAATGGGATAACCACATTCTACAACCTATATATCTATCTCATAATTTCCAGGTTCAAAATTTCTATTACAAATTATTGCATCCTCCTGTGAAGACTGCAGCCTCTCAGGTGTCTTCCATACGACTAAAATGAAGAGGAAGCACAAGGTGTGTCTCTTACCTTCTCAGCCTCATTCCACATCTCAATCTCTCCTAGGAAGTTTTCCGGCCTTGTTGACAGGTTTAATTGAAAGGAGAAGCCAAATGTTGAGTAAACAGATTGCAAAAACTGCAAACACCCCTTTATTTCTTCTTCAATCTGAAATCAAAGCAAATGAAACATTCAAATAGAACATCAAATTCATTTATGTTTTAAAAAATACAATTCTTCATGTCAGACAGAAATAAAGCATGTTTTTAATGGAGTACAGTTGATGATCCTGTTTTGGTTGCTTATCCAATCCTGAGCTGAACCTTCGTTTGAGTGCTAGGCACGTGCAGGGAATGGAGAAGGAGTAGGCGAGGGAACCGTACTGTGAAAAGGCAGCGCCGCGCACAGGAGAGCGGCACGGAGGGGCTGCCCAGAGGAAGTGAGACTGAGCTGCAGCAGGGGACAAGCAAACGCTCTGCATGGAGCGGAAGCTCAGGAGCTCTGTGAGCAGAGGACACACTGAGTTGAAGGCTCCGTGGACAGAGGAGCAGACTAAGTCGGGGGGCTGCATACGATGGGCTGAAGGGCAGAGGGGCAGTGTGGTAGGTGGGCAGGGGCCAGAGAAAATTAAGTGCTTTCAAAGCCAGGCGAATGTATGGATTTTTTAGGCTGAGAACAACGGGGAGGCAATGAAGGGTTTTTGTTTTGTTTTGTTTTGTTTAAGCAGGGGACTAACATGAGTCAATGTGTTCTTTCACAGTATGTGGAATGAACTGGCAAGATTAGAAGAGAGCCCCATCAGGAAGCTGGCTGAGTCAATTAGGAGCAAGATGACAGTGGCTTAAACCAGAGAGAGGCAGCTGAAATGCAGGGAATTTGATGGATTTGAGACATCAAGTCTTTCATTCATTAACTGCAATGGCTAGTTTTTTGTTTTGTTTTGTTTTTTGAGACAGTCTTGCTCTGTCACCCAGGCTGGAATGCAGTGGTGTGGTCTTGGCTCACTGCAACCTCTGCCTCTCGGGTTCAAGCGGTTCTCATGCCTCAGGCTCCCGAGTAGCTGGAACTACAGGTGCTCGCCACCATGCTCGGCTAATTTTTGTATTTTTTTTTTTTTAGTAGAGAAGGGGTTTCGCCATGTTGGCCAGGCTGGTCTCGAACTCCTGGCCTCAAGTGACCCACCTGCCTCAGCCTCCCAAAGTGCTGGGATTATAGGCATGAGCCACTACACCCTTTTTTTTTTTTTTTTAAGTTCCTGGGTGCACGTGCAGGATGTGTAGTTTGTTACATAGGTATATGTGTGCCATGGTGGTTTGCTCCACCTATGAACCCGTCACCTAAGTATTTAAGCCCAGAATGCATTAGCTATTTATCCTGATGCTCTCCCTCCCTCCTCTTCCCTCCGACAGGCCCCAGTGTGTGTTGTTCCCCTCCCTGTGTCCATCTGTTCTCATTGTTCAGTTCCCACTTATAAGTGAGAACATATGGAGTTTGGTTTTCTATTCCTGTGTTAGTTTGCTGAGGATAATGGCTTGTGATGGCTACTTTTAAGTGTTAACTCGACTGAGCTAAAAGATGCCAGACAGCTGGCCACCCTTACAACATTTATTTCTGGGAATGCCTGTGAGTGCGTTTCTCGAAGAGATGAGCATCTGAATCAGTGGAATTGGTAAACAACTTCCACCCTCACCAATGTGGGTGGGCCTCATCCAATCTGTTGAGGGCAGGAATAGAACTCAAAGGCAGAGGAAAGGCAAATTCTCTCTCTTTTTGAGTTGGGACATTTATTTTCTCCTGTTCTCAGACACTGGAGCTCCTGGTTCTCAGGCCCACCAACTCTGGGACTTACACCAGCTCCCTCCTTTGCTCACCCCACTGAGGCTTTTGGCCTTAGACTGGGAGTTATACCATCAGCTTTCCTAGTTCTCCAGCTTTTTTTTTTTTTTGAGACGGAGTTTTGCTCTTGTTGCCCAGGCTGCAGTGCAATGGCACAGTCTCAGCTCACCACAACCTCCACCTCCCGGGTTCAAGCAATTCTCCTGTCTCAGCCTCCTGAGTAGCTGGGATTACAGGCACATGCCACCACGCCTGGCTAATTTTGTATTTTTAGTAGAGACAGGGTTTCTCCATGTTAGTCAGTCTAGTCTCGAACTCCCAACCTCAGGTGATCCACCCACCTCAGCCTCCCAAAGTGCTGGGATTACAGGCACGTGCCACCAAGCCTGGCTAATTTTGTATTTTTAGTAGAGACAGGGTTTCTCCATGTTAGTCAGTCTGGTCTCGAACTCCCAACCTCAGGTGATCCACCCACCTCAGCCTCCCAAAGTGCTGGGACTACAGGTGTGTGCTACCATGCCTGGCCTTTCTCCAGCTTTTAATTGGCATATCATGGGACTTCTTTTTTTTTGGGGGTCATTTTTTTTTTTTTTTTGAGATGGAGTATCACTGTCACCCAGGCTGGAGTGCAGTGGCATGATCTCGGCTCACTGCAACCTCTGCCTCCCAAGTTCAAGCGATTCTCTTGCCTCAGCATCCTGATAGCTGGGATTACAGGTGTGTGCCACCACACCCAGCTAATTTATGTATTTTTAGTAGAGATGGGGTTTCACCATGTTGGTCAGGCTGGTCTTGAACTCCTGACCTCATGATCTGCCTGCCTCAGCCTCCCAAAGTGCTGGAATTACAGGCATGAGCCACCTCACCCAGCCTGGGTCATATTTTTTAATCTACTATGTCAATCTCTTTTAATTGGTTTATTTAGACCATTTACACTTAATATGTTAGGGCTTTACACTGCCTTTTTGTTTCCTTCTTGTTCTCTCTTGTTATTCATTTCTGTTTTATTTTTCCTGTCTTCCTATGGATTACTTTAACATTTTTCTGGAATTCAATTCCAATTTATCTATAGGTTCTCTTAGTGTATCCCTGTCTATAGCTTTTTTTTTTATTGGTTTCTCTAGGTATTATATAACTTATCAGTCCAGATATTGTCACTTTACCAGCTCAGGTGAAGTACAAAAACTTTTATTCCCTATACCTTACCCCATTTATAGTATAATTTTCTTAAACATTTCTTCTACATACATTTAGAACATCAGAAAGAACATGTGATTTTTACTTCAATGATCAAACATAATTTAGAAAACGCAAAAGGAGAAGGAAAATATATTGTATTTACCTGTTTTTATTTTCACAATCTTTTTCTTCCTAAAGTTCCCTGATTCCTCTTTTCATCATTTCCTTTCTGTTTAGAAAACTTCCTACAGCCATTCTTTTGGTGGGTCCAATGTCTTGATTTCCCCTCAATTGCTGAAGGGTATTTTCTTTAGACATAGAATTCTGGGTTGAAAATTCCTTTTTCTTTTTTCAGCACTTTAAAAGTATTGTGCCACTTCCTTCTGGCCTCCAGGATTTTTGTTTTTTGTTTTTTAATGAGAAATTGCTATCATTCAAATTGTTTTTCTCTTTAAAGGTAATGCATAATTTCTCTCTCATTGCTTTCAAGCCTTTCCTTTGTCTTTAGTTTTCAGTTTACTATGATATATCTTGGTGTAGGTTTCTTGGAGTTTATCCTGAACAGCTTTCTTGAATCTGTAGATGTCTTTTGCCAAATTTGGCAAGTTGTCAGCTATTATTTCTTTGAGTACTTTTTCACTCCCACCTTCAGTCTCCTCTCCTTCCAAAATTATGATGATATGAATGTTAGATATCTTGTTATATCCCACTGTTCTCAGGCTCTGTTCTTTTCTCTTTCAGTCTGTTTTCTCTATGTTTTTCAGATTGTGTAATTTCTGTTCTTGTCATTATGTCTGTCTTCACCATTCTGCTCATGAATCTATTCACTGAATATTATATTTCTCAGTTCAAAATTTCCATTTGGTTCTTCTTTATATCTTCTATTTCTTTCCTGAGATTTTCTGTTTCTTCGCTGACTTTGTAATTTTTGTTTGTTTCAAGTGTGTTAGTAATTGCTCATTAGTTAGTAATTGCATTTTTATGGTGGTTGCTTTAAAATCTCTGGCAGATAATTGTAACATCTTTGTTATTTCAGTGTTACCGTTCATAGATTGTCTTTTTAAATTCAAGTTGAGATTTTTCTTGTTCTTAGCATGATGAGTGATTTTCAATTTCTTAAACCTGGACATTTTCGGTTTTATAGTAAGCCTCTGGATCTTAAATGTTGTTTTAGCTGACTTCCACTGACACTCTTCCAGCAGAGGGAGGACAGTACTGGACAGTTACTGGCAAGTGGGAAAAGCAGTCCAAGCTCCTTTTAGAAAGGAAGTAAGGGGAGAGGAGCTCCTCGTTACTTCTGGGTTGCACAGGTGTTCTAGCCCCCCTCCATGGCCTTTACTGCACACAGAAAGCATGGCCTCATGACCAATTGGCAGTGAGAAAGTCTTATCTTTCCACTAGACGTCTTCTGACACTACTCAAGCAGGACTGGAAGAGGCACCTCATTACTTCCAGGGGAGGGCAAAAGTCCAGGCTCCCCACATAGTCTTCACTGACACTGCTGGGTTGGGGGAGGGGGATGGGATCTTGTTAATGCAGGAGTAAAATTCCCAGCTTCCTAATAAGCCTTCTCTTACCCATTCCAACAGGTATTGAGGTACTTATTTAGAGCCTGCTGAGAGTTAAAATATAAGCTTCTCAATCAGCCTTAGCTGGCATATAAAGGGCCACAGTTTTTTCTGTGGTGTCTGGTTGAAATAGAGTAGATATTGTCTAAAACTTTTCTATCTTTCTAGGCTGCCCCTTTCCTAGTCCTTTGGCTACAGCAAGCAGACTTCTGTTGGCCTGTTTTATCGATGCCTGTTGGCATCTGTTGGTTGCCAAGTCTGGAATATATGTGGCAAAACAAAACAAAACAAAAACACCTAAGGAACTCACTACCATGTTGTTTCTTAGGTCCTGATGTCCATAGCCAGTGTGCCCTTTTTCTCAACACCTTTCAGAGTCTCGTGTTTGTTTTATATGTAATATCCAAGGTTTTTACTTGTTCTTAGAGGGAAGGAAAGGGAAAGCACCTGCTTCATCTTCCCCAAAGCAGGTCTTTTTTGCTCATTGTTTAACTGGGTTGTCTGTTTTCTTATTGAGGTTTGAATATTTGTTAAGTATTCTGGATTCAAGTCCTTTATTTGATATATGCCTCACAAATATTTTCTCCCAGTCTGTAACCTGTCTTTCCTGTCTATGATCAGTATTTTTTGAAGAGCAGAAGTTTTAAATTTTGAGGAATCCAATTTATCAACTTTTTTCTTTTATGGATTGCCCTTTGGTGTCATATCTGAGAAATCATCACCTATCACCTAATTACAAAGATTTTCCCCAATTTTTATTCTAGAAGTTTTGTATTTTTATGTTTGACATTTAGGCCTGTGATTCATCTTAATTTTTTCATATGGTATGAGGTATGAATCCTCATACCTCATGTTTTGCATATGGATACACAATCATTCCAGCATCATTTGTTGAACATATTACCTTTCCTCCATTTTATTGCCTTCGAATCTTAATTAAAAATCAGTTGTCCATATATTTGTGTCTATTTCTAGACTCTGTTTTGCTGATTTATCTATCTAGACCAGCATGATTACTGTAGTTTCTCATAATTCTTGAAACCAAGCATAGTGACTCTTCCAAATTTGTTTTTATCTTTCAAAGTTCTTTTGGCTATTCTAGGTTCTTGTGCTTTCTATACGAATTTTAGAATCAGCATGTCAACTCTTACAGGGAAAAAAGGTCTGCTTGGGTATTGACTGGGATTGTACTGACTTTATAGATCAACTTGGGGATAACTGATATTTTAATAATATTTAGTCTTCCAAACCACGAACAAGGTATATTTCATTTATTTAGGCCTTCTTTAAATTTATCTCAGCAATGTTTTAAAGTTTTCACTGTATAGGTTGTGTATGTATGTATTACTCAGCTTGGGCTGCCAGAACAAAAATCCATAGGCTGTGTGGCTTAAATAAGAATCATTTATTCTTCACAGTTCTGCAGGCTGGGAAATCCAAGATCAATGTGCCAGCTGATTCAGTTCCCTGGTGAGGGCTTTCTTCCTAGTTTGCCAACGGCTGACTTCTCACTGTGTCCTCACACGGCAGAGAGAATCAGAAAGCCTCTGGCATCTCCTTAAAAGGGCACTAATCGTATCATGAGGGTTCCATCTTCATAATCTCATCTACACCTAATTACTTCCCAAAAGCCCCATTTCCAAACACCATCACATTGGGGGTTAGGACTTCAACATATAAATTTTGGGAGTCACAATTCAGTCCATAGCAACATATTTGTCAGTCTTATCCCAAAGTACTATCATATGTTTTGAGATGCTATTACAAATTGTTTCTTATTTGCAATTTCCAAGGGTTTATTATTATGAAATGCATATACAATTCATTTTTGTATGTTGATATTCCATACTACAATTTTTCTAAATTCACCTTACTTCTAATAGCTTTCTGTAGATTCCATCTGATCTCTACATAGATGATCATGTCATTTACAAGAGTTTTAATTCTTTCCAATCTAGGTGTTTTTTATTTCTCTTTCTTAACTTACTGCATCAGAAAGAACCTGCAGTACAATGATCAGAGAAGTAATGAGATAATCCTTACCTAATATCTGATTTTAAGAGTAAAGCATTCAGACTCTCACTATTAAGTATGAGGTTAGCTGTAGGTTTTTCATAGAGGCCTTTTATCAGGTTAAGAAAGTTCCCTTCCATTCCTAGTTTTGAGAGTTTTTATGAGATATGGATGTAGAATTTTGCCAAATACTTTTCCCTGCATCTACTGAGAAGATAATATGCTTTTTGTCTTTTTGTTTGTTTTCTTTTTTTTAGTTTGTGAATGTGGGGAATTACAATGATTCATTTTCTAATGTTAAACTACCTTTTCATTCCTGGGATTCAGTCCATTTGATTAAGATGTCCTTTTTAAAAAATTACTAGATTTGACTTAGTAAAATGTTGTTTAAATTTTTTGATTTTATGTTCATGAGAGATGTTCAGTAGTTTTCTTTTAATTTCTTTGTCTTATTTTTCTATCACAGCAATATTAGCTTCATTAGCTTCATGAGGTGGTGAAGATTTCCTCCTCTTCAATTTTCTGGAAGAGTATCTCTAGATTGGTATTATTCCTTCTTTAATGTTTGGTAGAATTCACCAGTAAAACCATCTTGGCCTGGAGTTTTCTGTGTAGGAAGGTTTTTAACTATCAATTCAATTTCTGTAGTAGACACAGGGCTATTCAGATGATCTACTTCTTCTTGAGTAAAGTTTAATAGTTTTGTCTTTCAAAGATTTATCCATTTCATCTAAGCTGTCAAATGTATGAGCATAAAGTTATTCATAAAACTGCCTTATCTTTTTAACAGCTACAGAATCTGTAGTGATGACATCTGTCTCATTCCTGACATTTTTATTTGTCTTTTTTCCCTCATCAGTCTGACTAAAGGTTTATCAATTTTATTGATCTTCTCAGAGAACCAGCTTTTGTTTTATTTTTACTCTTTATTTTCTATTTCAGTGATTTCTGCTCTGCTCTTTCTTATTTTCTTTCTTTTGCTTCCATTACATTGGGTGTAATTTGTTCTTCTTTTTCTATCTTAAGTAAAAGCTAAGTCATTGATTTTTCTTTTCTAATGCAGGTATTCAGTGCTATAAACATCCCTCTACCACTTAAATCGCATCCTACAAATTTTGATGTGTTTTTATTTCATTTGTTATATAAAATTGTCTAATTTTCCTTTGGATTTTGTGTTATCTATTTTTAATTCTATTGTGGTCAGTTAGGATTAGGGTTAAACATTAGGGTTAATTAAACATTTTATTTTAATTGCATCCCTTTCAACTCACTGAGACTTGTTTTATGGTCCAGAATATGGTCTATTTTAGTAAATATTCTACGTGCAATTTCAAAGAACAAATACTCTGAGCTTTTTGTAGTTCATAAGCGTGATGACTGGGTGTACACACATGTGTAAGATGTACCTCCCTCACACCTCGGTACAACATTGGCATATTACCCACCCCACATGAAGCACATTGGATACAACACTGGCACATTACCCATCCAACATGAAACCAAAGAATGTATATTCTGCTGTTGTTATATAAACATCAATTAGGTCAAATTGTTTGACAGTGAAACTTTGCATGGCAATTTTAACTTGAATTAACACAAAAACTTGAAAAAGTAAATTTTAAGTTCTAGGCGATACTGAAAAACAAAACATCCAGAATTCCACCAAATCCCTTAAAATACTCCACTTAATGGAATTTAGGTTAATAAAATCACTGAAGGAATATATTTCATGTCAAGAGATGATTAATCTATTGACCTAATTTAGAGAATCACAGCAGGTTAGAGCTGAATGAATCTCAGAGACTAGACCAAACGTCTATGTTTCAGTAACTCTGAAAGAATACAAGATGTGTGCGGGGCATCACACTCAATTTGTGACCACACTGCTTCACTCTGTGTTATTGTTTACCTGCTCCACTGTGCAAAAAATGTGAGCATCGTCCTGCTGGAAGCGCCTCACTCTGGTCAAGCCGCTGAGAGTCCCCGACAGTTCATTTCTATGCAGAACTCCAAAATCAGCAAATCTAATAGGCATTTCCCTCCAAGATCGTGGACGATGGGCAAACATTAGACTAGAAAAGATGTGGTAACACACAGCTTTTACACAGCACAGAAATATTAAATAATTATCTAAATATAAAGAAATTACAATTAAGCCTCAAGATTCATAAACTCCTTATTCTAGTTCTTAGATCACCAGGTTAAAAAAAAAATTCTTCCACAAATTAGTGAACCTTGCATTTACATCACTGCAGCACTCTGAGAAAGATGCTTGTCTATTATCTCTTCCCAGAAATGCTGTTCCCTCCCCTTATCCACACAGTGAATCACCATTTACTGTTTATGATTCATTTCAAAGGCTACTTCTTAAATGAAGCCCTCCTAGACATTTCCCAGACAGGGCTAGGCAGTTTCTCCTCACGTTCCTGGAACACCTCAAACATGCCATCATTATGGCACTGGTCTTTTTATAACAGATTGTCTACATGCATGGCCCTGCCCACTCTGCTCATGAGTTCCATGAGGGAATGGTTTGTGTCTTAATCACCTCTGCACTTCTAGCTCCAAGCACAAAAAGCACTCAACTATGTTCTCTGTTGAATGAAAGACTTCTCTCCTGCAGAAAGCACTCCTAGCTTCCATATCCCATTGCCTCTAAGCCACCGTGGTCTTGCTTTCTTATTCTGAGGTGTAAAAAGACAAACTTAAATTCTCTACTTTCATTATAAAGTACGAGGCTATAATTTTAAAGGATGCCTTTGAGAAGATGAGTTAAGAAATTGTTAACACAAGTGTTTTACAATGCAAAACACTAGCATAGCTTCTACCTTCTGTTTAGAAAGAGAGGATACAGAATGTTTACATACCGGTGTTCCTAAAATTAAAGTTATATATATTTTTTACATGACATCATCATAAAGTTAAATTTCTTCTCATCTTCACTTAAAAGGGCAAAGAGCTTTCTTCAGTGTTCAGTTACCGGTTTTAATAATTATCTTCTAGGTAAATTTACTTGAAACTATGTATGTTGATAATACAAAAACTACAATTGTTGGGATTGTTTTTTGTGGACAATTATGCCTATTCAGTTTCAGTTGTACAATATGTTTGTCTTACAAGGTTGAATTTGCATACCAACTTTATGATAATTAGTCTTTCATAGAATCAAAGACAGCATTGATTGTAAAATGTATCTTCATTTTATGTGCTACAAAGAAAGAAAATAACCTATTAATTAAATTATGATATAATGCTAAGATGCCACCAACTATAAGATGCATTTCAACTTCAGAAATGTTGAAATGTGGAAGAAAAATGGTATCTTGGAATCAGTGAAATCCAGAAACCCATTGATTATGACCTCATTGATCTTGTTATAATCCACCCAAACAGTATGAAAGAACTAAATATTCTGCAAATATGAACATGTGAAGTGCATTACTATAAGAAAGACAAATATTATAAAACTTATAAAATTGACACATAACATTATCCTTTAATCAGCACAAAAAAATGCAATGGTTACCAGCTAACATCCCATACCTGCCAAAGATCAAATATATTTTCAAAAGTAAATCCATTCTCCGGAATGAAACAACTTAGTAAAAATTAGTAATCACCACTCTTCAGATTAAAGGGACTCTTTCATTCCACAAAGCATTAAAAGATAATTGTGACGAAGCGTGCTATGTGCTCTCATGAAAAGGTCTGCTTCGCTTTTAATACTCACCAGTGCCCTGGACAATTCATGGGTTTGAGGGCAAAAGTGTCCTTTTCAATCTCAAAGGTAAACATGTTCTCGCTGTAATGCTGCCAGTGGCCTGAGGCTTCCCAGAGTTTACTGTTGTACATATTGGGAGAGAGCACCTCCGTGAAGTCCCGTTTGTGATATTCCTCCTTCAAGATACATGCATTCAACATTAAAATCTGCTAGGGCAGATCACAATTCCATGCAAAGTAACACTATGAGCAAATATTTTCAAATTGGGCTCATGTCCTATATTAATTCATGATTAATGTACCCTCAGTTTTAGGTGTGGTGGTTTCTGGATCTTGGAAGAAAGATTTACATATGCTTAGTATAATTTCTATTGAGTATATTTATTTTATAGCATATAACAGTATATAGTATATAATGTTTTAGTTCTTTGAAAAGTAGTAATTGAAATACAATATATATAGAAACTCACTGTAACTACTCCAAAGTCCTTCTAAACAGGTTTTTTCCTATTAAGAGGCAGAAAAAATTTATAATTTAATAAGCCTGAATGCCATGTTGCATGTTATAATTTTGATTTATTTAGTTTTAAACAGAAATAAGAATTTTAGTGTATAACGATTTAAGTAGTTGAAATTATTAAGTCATGAGCTGGCCTCTCTCCCTCCCTACCTATTAACAGCTTCCCTAATTGAATTACTGGAGACAGGAGAAGAGAGTTTTTTTCCAAGCAAAGTTTTAACTTTATTTAAACTTTCTTTAAAAACAAAACAATTAGGTGATCTTTGTTGGGTAAATATTTTATGTGCACTTTCCAAAAATGCATATTCTGCTGTTGTTTTACAAATGTCAATTAGGTCAAATTGTTTTGACAGTAATTTGATAGGGACCCTTTGCATGACAGTTTTAATTTGGATGAACACAAAAAGCTGAATAAGTAAGAATTCTGAGAATCCTTAGATTCTCAACATTTGTAAACCACTTAATGGACATCTGGCCCAAATCTAGAATGCCATGTATACTTTGAGCACATTTGAAAAACTGTTTTCACAGCTAAAAAAACATAAAACATAACATTTTAAGATTACTAACAATGGTTTTATACAACTGAAAGGAATGTTGTCTGTTATTCTTCAGCAGGGCATCCTGGCAGTCCACGGTAGACAGCTTAGGTCTCGGCCATTCAGTGAGCTGCTTTACCTATCCTTTGTTTTTACTAAATTAGAAAACCTTAACAGGTAGGGTGTGGTGGCTCACGCCTGTAATCCCAGCACTTTGGGAGGCCAAGGTAAGTGCATCACCTGAGGTCAGGAGTTTGAGACCAGCCTGGCTAACATGATGAAACCCCATCTCCACTAAAAATACAAAAATTAGCCAGGCGTGGTGGCACACACCTGTAATCCCAGCTACTCAGGAGGCTGAAGCAGGAGAATCGCTTGAACCCAGGAGGCAGAGGTTGCAGTGAGCCAAGGTCACGCCATTGCACTCCAGCCTGGGCAACAAAGCTAGACTCCATCTCAAAAAAAGAAAGAAAATGTTTAACAAAATGATGTCATTAAGAATGGCAGTGATTATTGGCTATTTCAGATGGTTCCATATATTCAGATTAAACAAGGTCCCAGAAATTAAGGGTGAGTGTGTGGGTGTGTGTGTGGCAGGGTGTGCGTGTTCGCTTTTACTAAAAACTACTTTTAAAGTCTAGCTCAGGAGATACTGCTCAATGCATTTTTAATTCACTCTGAATGCAACCATGTTAGGAATGTATGTCTTCTTGAGATGTTTAGAAATGATTTTAAACTATCCCTGCAATGGACTGAATGTGTCTCCCCCAAAATTGTGATATTGATACCTTAACCCCAAGGTGATGGTATTAGGAAGTAGGGCCTCTGACAAGTGATTAGGTCATAAGGGTAGAGCCCTCATGAATGAGATTAGTGTCCTTATAAAAGGATTCGCAGAGAGCTCTCTGGTCCTCTTTCTGCCATCTGAGGTTACAAGAAGTCAGCAGTCTGCAACCTGGAAGAGGGCCCTCACCAGAACCCAACCATGCTGGGACCCTAATCTTAGACTTACTGCCTCTAGAACTGTGAGAAATACCCTTATGTTGTTTATAAGCTACCCAGTCTAGGGTACTTTGTTATAGCAGCACAAACTAATGAATATAATCCCTATGAGATGAAGTGTCAGCAACTATTATATTTTTACATAAATATATAGGAGATATCTATATATATTATGCTGCTGTATCTCTCCATATTGTAATATACATATTGTTTTGTCTCTCACACACACATATAAATAACAGAGAGATAAAGCAAACTGGCAAAATATTACCAACTAATGAATCCAAATGAAGGAAATATGGATGTTCATTGCATTGCATTTTAGTTTTTCTCTAGATTTGAACTTTTCAAGAGAAAAAGTTGGGGAGTAAAATATGTCTCATGCCATGCCATTAATTTCTTTCTCTAATGCTGGGAAAGAGTAAACTCTCAGTGACTGAGCAGTTCACAGCTCAGTCCAGTCTCCTGAAGAAATCCAGATAACTTATCTGGAACATTAAAAATCATATTTCATCCTGGAAATACCAGTTTAGGTTATTGAAGGAGCTGAGTCTCTACCCATACCTAGTGATCTGGCCACTTAAAAACATCTAAATAGCTTCTAAGAATCAGTGTCATAAATTTGTTTTCAAGTAATTTCTCATTGTAAAAAATAAGGCAATTCCACATAAACAGCTCCTTTCCAAAACCCCATTAAAATAAGAGTAAAGAAAGTTTTTATAAGAGCATAAATCTACCAGGACAAAGAAAATAGGAGAGAAGATGAATGCTATAATAAGTTAGAATCTGCAAAGTAGGTGATCAAGTGTTAATTGCCTCAGAAGACCTAGGAAAGCCAAAACTAAATTGGCAGTGGGAGAAACCCAGAAGCAAGCTACTTTAACTGGGTATAGATTTCTAGGCTTCGCATTACTAAGGCATTGTTCCTGTCTTCTGTTTTTCAGTGTTTCCACTGAAAATTTCAATGCCATTCAGATACCCAGTCCTATGTCTGTGGCTTTTTTCTCTCTGGAAACATTCAGGATATTTTCTTTATCCTTGGAGCTTTGGAATCTTTCGATAACATGTTTTGGTGCCCAAAGTATGTTTTCACCAAAAACTGAGACATGCTTGGGAGTTGAGATTGTCCATTGCCCATTATGGGCTCCCTTTACTATAGAACTGATAGACAGAAAAGGACTTACTACCCTTGATCCCAATTACTTGGGGAAAGACTTACTACCCTTGATCGCAATTACTGGGAGAAGTCGTATTGCTTACAATGGAGTAAGGAGGACTGTGTCTGGAATTCAGTGGGGAGCCTTTGATATCAACACATCTAGCAACAACCATCAGTGGGAGCCCTGAAACCCCACAAAGAGCATTACTAAAACCTTGGATCCTAAGGACAGACTGAGGCCATCCACTATTATTGGTTTAACTGTATTCTCCAAATAAGATATTTTGAAGTCCTAACTCCTAGTACTTCAGAATGTGTCCTTATTTGGAAGTAGGGTCTTTATAGAGGTAATCAAATTAAAATGAGATCATTAGGGTAGATCCTAATACTATATGGCTGGTCTCTTTATAAAAAGGAGAAATCTGGACACAGAGACAGATGCACACAAGGGGAAGACAATGTGAAGACACGCAGGGAGAACATCACGTGAAGACAGAGGATGGGAATGACGCTTCAACAAGCCAAGGAACACTAAAGATGACTGGCAACCAACAGTAGCTAGGAGAAGGCAAGGAAGGATTCCCCCATGGGTTTTAGAGGGAACACAGCCTCGTCAACACCTTGATTTCACACTTCTGGCCTCCAAAACTGGGAGATAATAAATTTCTGTTGTTTTAAGTCACCTAGTTTATGGTATTTTGTTATAATACCCTAGGAAACTAATGCACCCACCAAATAAAACAATGCCCATCTGGGGTGCCACCAGGATAAGGCGAATGTGGAATGAGTGATGGGAAAAGAAGGCTCTGATGTATCAGCTTGGCCCTAGCGTCCATCTACAGAGGCTGAAACAGTTACATTTAGTTATGACTTTTCCTTGCATTCTTACATGAAGGGCACTCATGGTGGCCAATGGCACGATTCAGATTTAGGTGAAACTGAAATGACATCACCACATGATGACACATCGGCTGATCGGAGTTTGTGGGAGGAAACCAATGTCCTCAGTGTCCTCCAAGCAAAAGGCAAGAATGTGCTGAGAGGCACAGGGGGTGAGCCAGGCTGGTTATTTTCCATTTGCCACTGCCTGTCTCGCCTCATCTTGGCCCATTTTCCTTCCTTCTCTGCCCTGCACTGTGTTCCCCAAAGCTGACTTCTGTGGGCTCCGCACAAGGCTTACTTGCTGTGATTATTATTTTTTTATTTTATAAAATATATACTTTTAAACACAATAGTATAATACAACATGCTTAAATTATGTTTCATGTGGAAAAAAATAAGGTGTATAAAGAAAACCTGAACATTTTCTCTCATTCCACCCTTTACTGCCCTGAGATAATGCTAATGGCCTGCTGTTCCTGTATTTCAACCCTCTCCTCCATGACTGTGCAAACACAAAACACACATACAGGATTTTGTTGTTTTTTGCTTTTACCTATAAAAAGAAAGGATACACTATACATTTACTCTGTCACTTCCAGTTTTCAATGGTGAGGTATACTGAACCCCCTTCAAGTTAGTATGCATAGATGTATTTTTGTACTAACTGCATAGTGCTTTATTGTGTGGACATGTCACAAAGTATTTAATCCTTCTACTATTGAGAAACATTAGACTTTTCATTTTTGAATACTACAAACTATTCTGCAGTAAAGTTTTTTTCTATGTGATTTTAATTGTATATTTTAGATTCCTTTCTAAGAATATTGCTAGGAGTGTGCATTTTTTTCACATTAATATTTGTTACCAGATTAGTAGCAATTTAAACTTTCTCTCTAAGTATATGATAACTGTTTCCTCACATTTCCTTCAGCAATGAAAATTATTTAATGGGTATCAATCTTTTTTTTTGAAATGGAGTCTCGCTCTGTCACACAGGCTGGAGTGAAGTGGCGTGATCTCAGCTCACTGCAAGCTTCGTCTCCTGGGTTCACACCATTCTCCTGCCTCAGCCTCCCGAGTAGCTGGGACTACAGGCGCCCACCACCACGCCTGGCTAATTTTTTTGCATTTTTAGTAGAGATGGGGTTTCACCGTATTAGCCAGGATGGTCTTGATCTCCTGACCTCATGATCCACCCGCCTCAGCCTCCCAAAGTGCTGGGATTACAGGCATGAGCCACTGCGCCCGGCCAATGGGTATCAGTCTTAGAACTATTACCTCAGTATTTATATATATATATATATATTTTTGAAACAGAGTGTTGCTCTCTTGCCCAGGCTGGAGTGCAGTGGCACAATCTTGGCTCACTGCAGCCTCTACCTCCTGGGTTCAAGCAATTCTCCTGCCTCAGCCTCCCAAGTAGCTGAGATCACAAATGTGCACCACTACGCCTGGCTAATTTTTGTATTTTTAGTAGACACAGGGTTTCACCATGTTGGCCAGGCTGGTCTCGAACTCCTGGCTTCAAGCGATCCACCCCTCTCAGCCTCCCAAAGTGCTGGGATTACAAGAGTGAGTCACTATGCCCAGCCTTTTAAATTTTCTTCAATAAATTTTATTTCACATATTTGAGATTCACAACATGATGTTATAGGACACAAATAGTAAAAGAGTTACCTTTTTTGTGTGTGTGACAAGAGCAGTTAAAATCTAATTACTTAACAAAACTCCCTGATAAATATAATTTTGTTAACTTTAGTCCTCATGTTCTGTATTAGATCTCTGGCCTTGTTGATCCTAGATATCTATTTTGTATCCTTTGATCTATATCCCCCCATTTCTTCCCCCCAACCCCTGACCATGGTAAGCACTGTTTAATTCTCTGTGTATGTACCTGAGCTCTCTCCTTTTTTTAGATTCATCAGCTCCCCTGGTTCTCAGGCCTCTGCACTCAGGCGAGAATTACATCTCCAACTTTCTTGGACCCTCAGATCATGGGATTTCTTGGCCTCCATAATCACACAAGCCAATTCCTCATAATAAATCTCTTCTTTTCTATGTATCTTGTTGGTTCTGTTTCTGTGGAGAATCCTGACATGCCAATATACTTTCCATATGGTTTCTGATTGGGTCTGACCAATGGGAAGTTCCAAAGGATTCACAGGGTAGTGGAAGAGAGAGGTCTGGATATTTCTTTCCCTGGTTCTCCCTGCTGTGGGTTTACTCAGGTTCTGGCTGTGTTCCACAGTTACAGCTTCTGTTGTGTGGCCTCTCCTCCACGGCTCCAAGCTCTCTGTGGGTTCTGGTATTACTACTCCATCTCCTCACTTCTCTCCTCCACGGCTCCAAGCTCTCTGTGGGTTCTGGTATTACTACTCCATCTCCTCACTTCTCTCCTCCACGGCTCCAAGCTCTCTGTGGGTTCTGGTATTACTACTCCATCTCCTCACTTCTCTCCTCCACGGCTCCAAGCTCTCTGTGGGTTCTGGTATTACTACTCCATCTCCTCACTTCTCTCCTCCACGGCTCCAAGCTCTCTGTGGGTTCTGGTATTACTACTCCATCTCCTCACTTCTCTCCTCCATGGCTCCAAGCTCTCTGTGGGTTCTGGTATTACTACTCCATCTCCTCACTTCTCTCCTCCATGGCTCCAAGCTCTCTGTGGGTTCTAGTATTACTACTCCATCTCCTCACTTCTGCAGGCCTAGTGATGGAGGGGAAGGGATTCTTGCTATTGGTAATCCCTGGGCGCTCTATCATCCCTTGTTAGTTACCTTAGCCAGGCCCATATCTCCATAAATACTTCCTTCACTAGACTCTCTTCAGTTAAACCCTTGGAGTGCATCTTTCAGGACTCTCCCTGCAGAAGAGCTGAATGTTTTGAGGCCTGCCATGTTCACAAAGACAAGCTTGGTCTAGAAATTCACTCCATCTAAGGTTGTGTGAAGAGGAAGCAAAAATTCCCCAAGTGGGTTATTAATATAACAACAAGAGAAGCCACTCCCCTCCCCACTCCAGGGTTTCAAGACATGCATCAACAAGTCAGGCAGATTCCAGGAAATGCAAAAGGTGTGACTGAGATGAGCTTTACAAAAGCAACCCTCATGCACAGCTGGTGGGAATGCAAAACAGTAGTCATTTTGGAAAATAGTTTGGCATTTTCTTATAAACTTAAATTTACCATATCTATTCTCACACTGCTAATAAAGACAAACCCAAGACTGGGTAATTTATGAAGGAAAGAGGTTTAATGGACTCACAGTTCAGCATGGCTGGTGGGGGGGCCTCACAATCACGGTGGAAGGCAAAGGAGAAGCAAAGGCACATCTTAAATGGCAGCAGGCAAGGGACTTTGTGCGGGGGAACTCCCTTTTATAAAATCATCAGATCTCAAGAGACTTATTCACCACCACAAGAACAGTATGGGGGAAACCACCCCCACGATTCAATTATCTCCGCCTGGCCCCACCCCTGACCCTTGGGGATTACTACAATTCAAGGTGAGATTTGGGTGTGGACACAGCCAAACCATATCACCATATGACCCTGAAATCACACTCCTAGGTATTTACTCTAGTAAAATGAAAACCTATGTTCATACAAAAAACTGTACATGAATGACAATAGCAGTTTTCATAACTGCCAAAAGCTGAAAACAACCCAAATGCCCCTCAACTGCAGGATGGATCTGAAGCAGTGGTATGTTCATATGATGGAATACTGCCCAGGGACAAAAGCAGAGGCCCGCTGGGGACACTCAACTCGGATGCATCTCCAGGGTGTTATGCTGGGTGAAAGCGGTCAGTCTCTAAAGGTTTTATAAAAGTATGATTCCATTTATATGCCAATATTTTAGGGGTAGAGAAAAAATCAGCCGTTCCCTGAGGTCAGGGCTGGGGAGGATTTGATTTTAAAAGGGTAGCATGAGGGAGTTTTGAGGGGTGACGGAACTGTTCTGTATCTTGATTGCTGAGGTGATAACACAGTTCTGCATGTTATCAAAAAGGCGTACATTTTACTGCATGACAATTAAAAAAGTTAATTTAAAAAAAGGTAAGAAAAGTACAGAATCAGCTGACAGATATTTTCCAGAATGCAGGGAAAAAAAAATTCAAGGAGACTAACAAAAAGATCTATTTATTCACTATCAGTTGTCCACACAGTCAGTAACTAATATACAAACAAAAGTTCACTTGCCTTTACTTAAACCTAAGTGGAAGTCATTTTACCTGAGTCAAAAACTCAGAAATCCTGAAATTTCCCTCAGTGGGAGCAGTGTGCACACCCAGCCCATCCTGGCCTCCTACATCCCTTCCACAGAAATGCAGCAGTTCCAGTTCTGAGGAAAAGGATGCTTCCTGGTAGAATGCGGCCATATATTCCATCGTGCTCAGCACCATGTATCCCCAGCACTCTGGCTACTACTGACTGGTCTAGGACTCAGCACCAAGGCAAAGGCTACTGATATTGGACCAGACCATGGCCCCTGAGGCAGCCCAGCTGTGACTGAGAGTCTGTCCCACAAGCACACCCTCTACTGGCTGGTGACTAACAGAACCAACTGGAACCTCAGGGAGGACCTTGAGGCACATGGAAGAGGGCAGAGAGGAAAAAAGACACAGGCAGATAGACTGAAAAATATCAAGACCCAACAGTATTCTTTTCTCCAGCAACGTACTTTAAATATAGAAACAGAGGCAGAAAATAAAAGGATAGGAAAAGATATATCATGCAAACACTAATGTAAGAAAGCTAGCTTGCCTATGTCAACACCAAAGGAGACTTTTAAAAAGATAGTTTTATTACAAAAGGTCAAATAGCCTATGAACCCATTTATATGTGACACCTAGAAATAGTCAATTTCATAGCGACAGAAACTAGAGTGGTGGTTACCAGAGGCTGGGGGAGGCAGGCATGGAAATTAGTGTTTAGTGGGTACAGAGATTAAGTGTAGGATGATGACAAAGTCCTGGCGAGTTTCGGATTTGCAACGTGGAAAGAGTTCTGGAGATGGACCATGACAGTTGCATAATAACATGAATGTACTTAGTGAGAATGAATTGCATACTTAAAAATAGTTAAAATGGTAAATTTTTATATTATGTGTATTTTACCACAAAATGGCTTGAGGTAAAATTTACACGCCATAAAATTCACCAATTTTAAGTGTACAATTCAGTGACTGTTGACAAATGTATACAGTCATGCGACTTCTGCCACAGTCAAGATATAGAACATTTCCACCCTCCAGGAAGTTCCCTCCTGACCCCCTGGAGTCAATCCCCTCTCCCCACCCACTGGACTCCTGATCATCTTTCTGTCACTATAGTTTTGGCATTTCTGAAATGTCATATAATGGAATGGTGCCTTATGCATTCTCTGACTTATCTGGCTTAGTACGATGCTTTCGAGGTTCCTCCTTCATGTGTATATCAGTATCTCACTGCTTGTAAATGCTGAGTTGTATTCCACAGCATGGACTTTCCACATTATGTTTATCTTTTCACAAGCTGAATCTGGGGTTGTTTCTGGTTCTGTGCTATTATAAGTAACGCTTCTATGAACATCCAAATACAAGTCTCAGTGTAGATGCGGGCATATGTTTTTATTTATCTTGGGATAATTAGAAGTGGGGGCTGGCGTGGTGGCTCACGTCTGTAATTCCAACACTTTGGGAGGCTGAGGCGGGCAAATCACCTGAGGTTGGGAGTTTGAGACCAGCCTGACCAACATGGAGAAACCCCATCTGTACTAAAAATACAAAAATATTAGCTGGGTGTGGTGGTGCATGCCTATAATCCCAGCTACTTGGGAGGCTGAGGCAGGAGAATCACTTGAACCTGGGAGGCAGAGGTTGTGGTGAGCTGAGATCATGCCATTGCACTCCAGCCTGGGCGACAAGGGCAAAACTCCATCTTAGGAAAAAAATAAAATAAAAAAATAAAAGGCCGGGCGCGGTGGTGGCTCATGCCTATAATCCCAGCACTTTGGGAGGCCGAGGTGGGTGGATCACGAGGTCAGGAGATTGAGACCATCCTGGCTAACACGGTCTCTGCTAAAAATACAAAAAAATTAGCCAGGCATGGTGGTGGCAGGCGCCTGTAGTCCCAGCTACTTGGGAGGCTGAGGCAGGAGAATGCATGAGTCCAGGAGGCGGAGCTTGCAGTGAGCTGAGATCGCGTCACGGCACTCCAGCCTGGGCAACAGAGCGAGACTTTGTCTCAAAAAAAAAAAAAAAAAAAAAAAAAAAAAAGAAGTGGGGCACGTTTATCTTTACAGGAAATGCCAAACTGCTACAAAGTAGTTCTACCATTTTACGTTCCTACCAGCAGTAAGTGTTATACTTGCTTCATATTCTTGCCAATGCCTGATGTTTTTAGTCTTTCTATGATGGGAAGGGGACATTCTTCAATCAATAACCCTGGCATGAGACTCTACCTGAATACAGTCATGTAAGGGACCCAATGCGAGAACCACCCACAGGAGCCTAAAATTTGGAACTATGAAAGACAGTAATGATGAAATGGCAGTTTTAAACTATTAAGTTCTGGGATACTTTGCTATGTTGCAATAGCCATCCAGAACAGAATTTTGCACTGGATGTAGGTACTGCTATAACTGAGAAATAAAAATAAAATCCTAAGCTCCCCAACTGACTGAACAGACACCCTCTTGGCCAAAGGACCCCAGAGAAACCTTAAAAACTGAGTTACTGGCAGTGACAAGAGGTTGGACATGCCTAATTATACCCACTCTGTCACTAACAACCATTAGGCTTTCTTTCCTAAGAGTTAATCAGAAACAAGCCCTTTTGAAAGACTTGTTCCACCACTGATTTACACAACTGAGCAGCATTTCTTCCTGTTAAAAGACCACTCACCATGCACTGGTTCTGGTTGGTTTATAAAGGCTGCACATGGGATGCCTCCGTGTCCTCCATTTGACCTTTTGGTTATACAGCCTAATTTAAATGCATTGTCTCCACCCCAAAGTGAACAAGGGATGCATGTAACATGCATGTTTGCTTACTATGTATATAAATGTCCCCCCTTTGTGAATATTCATAGCTCTTCTTATAACCTGTTAAATATTTATACTTGGCCAATCTCATCAGCATAAATTCCTGTCTTACTTTTCCCTCCCTTGAAATGCCTGCTTCTGGTTTCTGCCAGAAGCTATGAAGCTTCCTAGCCTGCAAGATTTCAGGCTGCAACCCCTCAGAAGAAATGAAGCTCTCCTTTACAATTTTATGAACCTCATGATTCTTCAGTTGACATAACAATAACCTAAAACATGTAGCTTTGGGGCCAGGTGGTGGGCAGAAGCTAGAAGGGATTCTTATTACGAGGTGCCAGAAACAGATGGTGGGTAACACTGTCACCAGAAGTAACATGGAAAACAGAAAGGGTACCCAAAGAACTCATGGACTTAGCTGGGGAGACGTCCAGGCAGAATGTAGAAAATGACAGCCGATTTTTGGCTCCCTATGGTAAAATACAAGAAAAGAGGTATAAACCAAACGTGAAACTAATTAACTTTTTGAGCCAAGTTTAGAGGAAATATAAAGCCACCAGGACCTGCTGGGTTCAAAAATGAAACCTTCTTATCCTTAGACTGTACCAAAAAAGACTCACGAGGCTTCAGGACACGGATCAAATTCAGATTATAATCATCAAAGCACAGCCTTACGGTAAAGATCTTAAGGGCGGGGCTGTAAGACACTGTGAAAACCTCAGAATGATCTACTGTAAGTGCACCTAGTAAGGCTTCTGAAAGTCTTAGGAGTGTGCTTTGTAGACCCTTTCCATTAAACACGAAGGCTCTGAAGACTCTGCAGTGTACTATTGTCTCACAGTAGCCTCCCAGGCAAAGAAGGATCGGTGTCAGAAAGATGTGGATGTGGCTTTTATCTAACCGTGTTGATGATAAATTTATAGAAAAGGACTCGCAAAGTTTTTAAAGGAATTGTACTAGCTTAGATTGAAAGGCAGCACAAAATGAAATAAGGGCTTTGGATTCCCCCAGCCTTCTACAGGAAGGAATCAGGTTGAGAACAAAGCTACCCCAGGCCGGGCGCGGTGACTCACGCCTGTAATCCCAGCACTTTGGGAGGCTGAGGCAGGCGGATCACGAAGTCAGGAGATCTAGACCATCCTGGCTAACACAGGGAGACCCTGTCTCTACTAAAAATACAAAAAGCCTGGCATGGTGGCAGGCGCCTGTGGTCCCAGCTGCTCGGGAGGCTGAGGCAGGAGAATGGCGTGAGCCTGGGAGGCAGGAGGTTGCAGTGAGCTGAGATCACGCCACTGCACTCCAACCTGGGCGACACAGCGAGACTCTGTCTCAAAGAAAAATAAAAAATAAAAAAATACATAAATAATTTTTTTTTTTTTAAAAAAGAAAGCTACCCTAAGGCACATATGGGCCATTTCTTATGGAAGAGAAAGGATGACTCAGAGGGCAGAATCACAGCCAGGCAGAGCAAAACTGGATCTTAATCAAAGTGTATCTTTTGACCCTGGGGCAGTGATGACCGGTAGATACCAGAATTTCTACAGATGGTGACTACCATGTGCCTCCTACTCTACCCCACTCCTTTTTGAGTAAGACTATCTATTGCATTATTCCTCAAGCACCATTTTACAATGTGAGGGAGATGAGAGGATGAGGTGGCTGATAGATAACTTGAGTTTTTAGTTCACAGGTCTTAAACTGTAGAGGAAATGTACTTGATAATCTGTTCCCAACAAACTGCACCCGAGGAGCCTCATCTGCAGCTAGGCCTGATTCAGAAGATGTCCTGGATTTTTGAGCCAATGTAGTAATTAGATGAGCCTTGGAATTATTTGTTAAGAATAGAACACTTTGGAAGAGTAGAATGGACTTCCCTACAGTCCTTTGGGGCTGAAAAGACATAAACCCACCAGCCTGTCAAGTGGAAACCCAAGGGGGTCATGACCTAGAAACAGGAATCAAAAGTTGAATCTTATTAAAGTGGAAGCCGGCCCTAACCCAGTGCAATCTCTGATCGAATTCAATGATCAGTCCTTAATAGTGGCAGAGGGTGAATGCTCCAGTGGGAGATATCATCTAGAGCCTCTACACCTAAATTACATGTAATACTTGGCATCTAACAAAATATTACTTGATATGGGAAGTGACACAACCATAATAACAAAAAACCAACAGAAAAAACAGCTGAGTTCTCCAAAAGGTTTTTTTCATGGTAAGGCCAATTCCTTCAGACAAAGGTATCCAGAAATGCAAAGTTCTCAGTGTCGCCTGTGTCTGTCAAATATTCCCATTCCAAGCCTCAGGGACCCTTCCCAACCAGTGCCCTTACCTTAGAATAAGAGATCACTGGGTTTGTGCATTTAAGTGCCTTTACAGTTTGGTGACCCTCACAATCAGGCCCTGCTCCTGTTCATCAGCCACATCTGTCTTGCATCTATAAAAAATAAGAGATCCCCTTAATGCCACTGTAAAGGCTTTCTGTTCATTCTCCATCTATTGTACTCCCAACTTGAGAGTACAAGGTGCCAGGGGCCATGCTGATTTTCCAGAGAAGACAGCACATCCAAATCAGCAGCTGTGATGGTCATCACCACCTGCCTAAATGTAAATCTCTGATAATCTTCAGTGATTCTTCAAGTCTCTTCCACTGCCCTCTGATCTCCTACCATTGCCTCGCATTGGCCAGTCCCTACTGGAAGATGTGTACCCCAGGTGATAGAATACAGACATGTCAGCCTCCAGGGGCACAGCACAAGAAGAAAAAGACGGAGAACAAGACTGGAGAAGCAAACAGAGAATAACCAGTGCAGGCCACATGCCATGGATTGTCTTCTCAGAAAGTTACTGAAGAAAGTGATCCCCAAATGAGAATTAAAGATAAGCAACGAAGAGATATACAGGGACCAGGAAAAGAGACTCAGCATAGGAAGAGACATGAGGGGAGTGGCCAAGATGATGATGAAAAGAAGTCCTAAGCCATCAGTTTGCAAGAATCTTAGTAGCAAGTTAATTCTGGAGTAGGACCAAATTTGAAAAAAAAAATTACTGAGCAATTACCTGAATCATTGCAGAATATGTTGCAAGGAGATTTGTAGTTTTTGAGAGAAATTGGAGCATGAATTAGTGGTAGGCACATAAAAAAACTAAGTAAATGAAAAATTTAGGTAATGATTATAGGAAAGACAAAACAGTGCAAGCATGGAAATGTAATCCCAGTAGTCCACCCGGATCACCTGTGAACACTATCTACACAGTCCTTATCATGTAAATACTAAAGACTTTCCCACCTATGAACTTGTAATACAAGTAGGTATTTTGCACTGTTGGTTTTTTCCTCTTTCCTCTGGAACTGCCAAATCACCTGGGAGTCATGCTATAGGCAAAGGGAAGCATCAGTGGCCCATGGAGCACATTTGGAGAAGCAATGCTTCATGGCTTAACACTCTGTACCAGAGACGACACTTTCTCCTTTCTTCTTTTTCACAGGGAGTGCCACACTTAGTCTAATGCTTACCTTTATATTCTACATGGTTTAGAAACTTATATGGACAAAAAGTGAATTTTATGAAATCCAGGAATGTATTCAGGGGAAACAGAAATTATCTCCATGTTATTATTAGAAGGTACAATCTAGTACCTCACTTTTTTTTTTTTTTTCTTTGAGATGGAGTCTTGCTCTGTCACCAGGCTGGAGCGCAGTGGCACAATCCTGGCTCACTGCAAACTCTGCCTCCCGGGTTCAAGCAATTCTCCTGCCAGCCTCCCAAGTAGCTGGGATTACAGGTGTGCACCACCACACTCGGCTAATTTTTGTATTTTTAGTAGAGACAGGGTTTCACCATGTTGGCCAGGCTGGTCTCGAACTCCTGACCTCAGGTGATCTGCCCACCTTGGCCTCCCAAAGTGCTGGGATTATAGGTGTGAGCCACCGTGTCTGGCCAGTATCTCACTTTTAACCTCAAAATTCTTATTAATGTTACCAAAGTAAAGTTAATGGAAACGCTTGACCACTTTATTATGAGAGAAAATAGTAAAAATGTAAACTGGAATTGAATAAGAATAAAACATTTTAAAGTTAACTTACTCGTATGAAATCTGTAAGCGTATTATAAATGAAGGCTCCTCTGGGAAGGAAAAAACAGCTTCCAGGACTCAAATCGTGGAAAAAGAAAAGTTCTTGTTCCTAGATTGAAACAAAAATTGCATTTCAAATGTCATCTGCTATTGCTTAATATTTACTGCACACACATATAATACTCAGTTATTTCCATCTTCTCTAGTAATAGACATTCCAAGGCCATTCAACACTTATACCTAAATGCATGCAACAGCATATGTAAAATTTCCAATCATATTTATGCCTAATTAGCTTTGAACTTAGCTTTTACTTCACCTTCTGCTATTCTCTGCGAATTTTCTTACTTGGCACACTTGGAGTACGGCACTCATGGGGAGACAACACGGTAGAAAGACCAAAAAAGTTCATTGCAGGAGGTGGGCTTTAGGTGATGATGATCATCATGGCTGCTGCCTACTGAGAGCCTATCCTGTACCAGGCACCGTCACCCAGTTTCTGTCTTCACAGCCACCCTGCAAGGCTACCCAGCAAGGAAGACAAGGACACGGAGCTTGCCCATCATCTAACACAACTAGTGAGTACAAGGACTGGGCATAAAGCTCAGGCCGAGCTGCTTTCCAGTCTGAGCTTTTCCTTCTACACGCTGCTCTGTCTCCCAGATACAAAGGATGCTATAAAGTGCACAGAATGTAAAAAACAACTCTTTTTTTTTTTGAGACTGAGTCTCACTCTGTCGCCCAGGCTGGAGTGCAGTGGAGCGATCTCAGCTCACTGCAACCTCCGCCTGCCGGGCCCAAGTGATTCTCCTGCCTCAGCTTCCAGAGTAGCTGGGACTACAAGCGCGTGCTGCCACGCCTGGCTAATTTTTTTGTATTTCTAGTAGAGGTGGGGTTTCACCAAAAACAACTTTATTTTTTATCATGACAAAAATAAGAGAAGGGTACAATTTTCAAAAATTAATAAAAGATACAGGAAGGAAAGAGGTTAGAAGACATCTGGGGTATTAAAATGAAAGCACTGAGCAGCGGACTGTGAGTGCCAGCAAAATAGGAGAGAAGAAGAAGAAATCTTATTTTTAAAGCAACTTAGTTTTGTGAGACAGAAACATTCCTATGTTGGCTTATGATTACATCTCCAGTGATTAAGATGTGGGGCATACCTTCCCGATCTTCCTGTGATCTCGGTTCTTTGCTTCCTCTTGGAACTTTTCCCAGTCTCTCATCATCTTGTTATCAGGAAAGGATATTCCATAGATCCTCTGCAATGTTTCCATTTCCGGATTGCCCTCCCAATATGTTGAGGAATTCTAAATATCAAAGAGGATTTTGGTAAATATATCATACATTCAGTTGTAAGTAAAACTGCTCTTAAATACAAATGCAATTTTCCACTATCATATCAACAAAGCAGCCCTGCATGGTGGCTCATGCCTATAATCCCAGCACTTTGGGAGGCCAAGGTGGTTAGATCATTTGAGCTCAGGAGTTTGAGACTCGCCTGGACAACGTGGCAAAACCCCATCTGTACAGAAAATACAAAAACTAGCCAGGCACGATGGCACATGCCTGTAATCCCAGCTACTTGGGAGACTGGGGCAGGAGGACTGTTTGAGCCCAGGAGGTCGAGGCTGCAGTGAGCAGTGTTTGTGCCACTGCACTCCAACCTGGGTGACAATGCAAGACCTTGTCTCAAAATCAAACAAACAAACAAACAAAATCAACAAAGCTTAAAGAAGACTATTTGTAGTGCTGGGAACAATCTTAAAATGGATTCTAACTAAACCTTCCCAGCCTAAATTATACCATTAACCAGCAAATTATGTAGAGTCTGCTATGGATTCTAGGAATGACAGTGAGAGCACACAGAAAGGAGGGAAGGCTAAGCAGCAATCATAATCACCAAGGATGGGGCAGAACAGACAGTAGGTATGGGGAAGTAAAGGTCGGTCTTGCTGACCTACAGTCAATGATTAAGAACAGTGCCATTAGCCAGCCCCATTTTACCTGTAAGAAAATCAAAGCCAAGAAAGGCTGGGACTGCCAAGTCAGTCCCATGCCTCCTAATCCCAGAGCGATGTTTTCTCCATTACAACATCATATCCCCTCCTGCTGTTTTCTTTATGCCGCAATACATTACTTTCACATGCAGACAAATATTCTTGCTTACATCAGGGCTATTCAAGAAAACCATAGTATATAGAACAATATTTTAAAATAGTGTATGAAAAAGGCCAGGCGCAGTGGCTCATGCCTATAATCCCAGCACTTCGGGAGGCTGAGGCAGGCGGATCACCTGAGGTTAGGAGTTCGAGACCAGCCTGACCAATGTGGTAAAACCCCATCTCGACTAAAAATAGAAAAATTAGCCGGGTGGGGTGGTGCAGGCCTGTAATCACAGCTCCTCAGGAGGCTGGGGCAGGAGAATCGCTTGAACCCAGGAGGCGGAGATTGCAGTGAGCCAAGATCACACCACTGCACTCCAGCCTGGACAACAGAGCAAGACTCTGTCTCAGAAAAATAAAAAATAAAATAAAATATCGTATGAAAAAGAAATGTTATAACACTTACAATAAGGTAAAATGATAAACAAAAGCCACCTATAGTGTTCTAATTATCAAAATTCTAAATGATTTTATTAGTTTTCATCAAATAAGAATGAAATATTTTAAAATATCATGATGTTCAGACTACAAAAGATATGATTGAATAAGATATGATTAAAATCCTTTAATAGCTAGTGCACCTTAAGTTTACTGTATTAAAAAAAAATCAATCCTTACCTTAAAAATTTTGATGGTTTTAATTTTTCCAGTGTGTCTTACATGTGGACCTTTGCAAAGGTCAATTAATGGACCGCACCTATAATGAAATATTTAGGACATGCTCAGGCACAGTTACAGTGTTCTGGACTATTCATTATAAGCCATAATATCCTATGTTTTAGGTAGAGCTTCACTTATTTATATGTAGCAATGCCATTTTTAATTTAGGGTGAAGGAGAGAGGTGATTCATCTAGCCTCAGAGTCCACTCTGCCCTCTAGATTCAAAAACCACAGAACATCTTCTGAAAGAAACTAGGCAATTCTCTGATTAAAAACTTAAAAATTACAATGAATACAAAAAGGGACTGGCTTACAGAGTGGCAAACACGAAAATGTCATCTCTCTCAATGGTCAGTCTTTGTGTATTGTTCTCTAGGGAGAGAGCTTGTAAACAACACTCAGATGAAGGGAAGGAATGCCAAATTAGCATGAAAGGCTTCAATACTCTAATCTTTACATAGAAAGTCACAGGGCCGGGTGTGGTGGCTCACACCTGTAATCCCAGCACTTTGGGAGGCCGAGGCGGGTGGATCACGAGGTCAGGCATTCGAGACCAGCCTCGCCAACATAGTGAAACCCTGTCTCTAATAAAAAATATAAAAAATTAGCTGGGCGTGGTGGTGGGCGCCTGTAATCCCAGCTACTTGGGAGGCTGAGGCAGGAGAATCACTTGAACCTGGGAGGCAGAGGTTGCGGTGAACCGAGGTCGCGCCATCGCACTCCAGCCCGGGCAACAGTGCAAGACTCCATCTCAAAAAATTAAAAAAAAAAAAAAAAAGAAAGCCATAAAAGAAAAGCTTTATTTTTTTTTCAAAAATTAAATACAAGCCATTCAAATTGAAAAACTACAAAAAGTGTCAATGTTGACGTAAGTAAGGTTCTCAAACCCAAGAGCTCAAGCATTAGAAGCCAGAAATTTAAAACTTGGCCTGTTTTCTACATTTTCATTTATTTTTAAGCTTTAAGAAATGCACCGTGCATAGCTTTGCACAAAGGGGATATGATTTTACTTACAGTACAATTAAACCAGAGAACCATAAGTCCTTGACTGTCGAAAGTAAGTACCATGAGGGAGAATATCTGTGGTTATAATTAAATAAATACCAGGTCTTCTAAGGCGGTACTGTGATAGTCCTAGCAGCACCCAGATGGCCGGAACACACGGAAAGGGGAACAGCAATGACATATAAGGCGTATACACACGAATAAAGAAAAAGGTGCTCAGGAACCTGAGGTTAAATGAACAGAGCTAAGTGATTCTGGTATTAACTTCACTTGTCTCCTCTTACATTTGATCCTGCCTTTGTTTCCCAGTATTTTCTTTTGGTCTCATCATGAGTATCCTGCTAATGCATGAAGACTGTACACTTGGACTCTGGACAATGGGGCAGACTCTTCTACACTTGCACTCTGGACAGTAAGTATGAGGCAGAGAATCACTGCCGAGGAGATGGCTTGTAATGGCCCCCACTGCCACATTAATAAGAACGTGGAAGGACAGAATAGAAACTCCTTTCCCAACAGTATCACTCACATGGAGAAAAATCCTGTTATAGCTAACACCCAGGAAACAAAATATGGGTCTCAGTACTGTCCTGATTACTAAAAAGGGGAAAATAATCATTTCTCTTTAGTGAAAACATTTTGAAGATTGTAACTACGGTAGATTATCAACTACACAACTTGAAAAATCGATCTCCAACCAGAAAACAAACTCGGCCTCTACTGCTAACACCTTCAAGTTTACCACTGAGCAGCGTTTACCATGTGTGGACACAAACCTGTACACGGTGGTAGTTGCAGTGTTAACTTTCTCATTCAGAATGCGGCATTTAAATTTATTGTACTACGAAGAAAAACATATTTACACATTATTACACACAATGTTGAAATGAAGAAAACAACTCTACTTTTCTTCAAGAAACATTGAAAGGTCATCTACTGATGTTCTAGGTGCTGAGACACGAGGGATACAAAGAGCTCACAGCCTTGAGCGACACCGTGCAGCATGGAGGCCACAAGCCACGTGGCTACTGGGCATTTCAAATGCCATTAATTTGTGGTTGTTGTTGTTGTTTTTGAGACAGAGTCTCACTCCCTCACCCAGGCTAGGGTGCAGTGCCACCATCTTGGCTCACTGCAACGTCCGTCTCCCTGGTTCAAGCGATTCTGCCTCAGCCTCCCGTGTAGCTGGAATTACAGGCATGTACCACCATGCCTGTATTGTATTTTTGTATTTTTACTATGTGCTAATTTTTGTATTTTTAGTAGAGACAGGGTTTCACTATGTTGGCCAGGCTGGTCTCAAACTCCTGACCTCTAGTGATCCGCCTGCCTTGGCCTCCCAAAGTACTGGGATTACAGGTGTGAGCCACCACACCTGGCCTCAAATGCCACTAATTTGAAAGAAGATGTGCAGTGAGTATAAAACACACTGGACTTTGGAAGTATAATGTTGCAAAAAGAAGAAGAAAATCATTCGTTAATCATTCTTTATACTGGCTACCATTGAAATTATACTTTTTATATATTGGGTTAAAAATTTGTTAAAATTAATTGCAACTTTTACTTTTAAAATGTAGCTGCCATAAAATTATAGGTTACACATGTAGCTCAGACTAGTGGATTCCATTATGTTTCTATTGGACAGTACTGTTCTAGAAGATCTAATTTTAACATTAATCAATAAAATTCTGACAAGGACACAGCTATATTATTAATTTGTATAAAAACAAAAGCAAAGTTTATCGTAATGATGATATATTTATAAAACTAAGGGTTTTTTTCCTTTTCCTTTCTTTTCTGCTTCCATCACTACTATCGGGGTATACAAGGCACTTTATATTAAATAACTACTTAAAGAAGCTAGTTGTTGGGAGAAAAACCCGTATCTGCATGATTTAACTGTTTCGTATCTATATATTCACAACAAATCATTTTCCTTAACAAAGATTAATTGTGTTTAGTTCTTAAAAGTAGCTGCAAAAAAGGCAACCCACAGAATTAAATATTTGCAAATCACATATCTGTTAAGAAATGGATATCCAGAATATATCAAGAACTCTTATAACTCAAATACAAAAAAACCTAATTAAAAAATGGGCAAAAGAGCTCAACAGACATTTCTCCAAAGACATTTCTTCAAGAAAATACACAAATGGCCAATAAGCACATTAAGATGCTCACCATTAGTACGTCATCAGAGAAATGCAAGTCAAAACAAAACCCCAATGAGATACCACTTCACAACCATTAGGATGTCCATGATTAAAAAAAAAACAAAACAAGTGTTGGCAAGGATGTGGAAAAACTGAACCCCCTGTGCATCACTGGTGGGACTGTAAAATGGTGTAGCCACTGCACCAAACGGTATGGCGAGTTCTCGAAAACTTAAAAACAGAATTGCCATAGGATCCAGAAATTCCCCTTCTAAGTATATTCCCAAAAGAAGTAAAGCAGAGACTCAAACAGAACTTTACACACCCATGTTCACAGCAGCGCTGTTCACAATAGTAGCCAAAAGGCAGAAGCAACCCAAGTGTTTACAGGTGGATGAATGGATCAACAAAATGTGGTCTATCCGTACAATGGAATATTATCCAACCTTATAAAGGAAGGACATTCTGACACACATTAAAATATTAAAATATGGATGAATCTTGAGGACTTTTTGCTGAGTGAAACAAGCCAGTCACAAAAGGATAAATATTGTCATGATTCCACTGATATGAAGTGCCTGGAGGAACCAAATTCAGAGACGGAGAGTAGAATGGTGGTGGCCAGGGGCTGGGGGCAGGGCGGGAATGGGGAGCTAATGTTTAATGGGTATAGAGTTTCTGACTGGCAAGATAAAAAGCTTTGGAGATTGGTGATGGTTTGACAACATTGTCAATGTACTTAATGCCACAGAACTGTATACTTAGGATTAAATGGTAAATTTTATATGTTATATATTTTACTGCACAAAAAAGAATACTGCAATTTTTTACCAAAACCAACTCTATTTTTTTATTCAAGCCCACAAAACTGATAATACTGTGTTTTCAAAGTACATGTTTTTGGTTGGGCGTGGTGGCTCACGCCTGTAATCCCAGCACTTTAGGAGGCTGAGGGGGGTAGATCACTTGAGGTCAGGAATTCAAGACCAGCCTGGCCAACATGGCAAAACTTTGTCTCTACTAAAAGGATAGAAAAATTAGTCAGGCACGGTGGCACATGCCTGTAGTCCCAGCTGAGGGACTGAGACACGAGAATTGCTTGAATCCAGGAGGCGGAGGTTGCAGTGAGCCAAGATAGTAGTGAGCCAAGATAGTGCCACTGCACTCTAGCCTGGGAGGCAAAGAGAGACTCTGTCTGAAAAAAAAAAAAAAAAAAAAAAAAAAAACCCAAAAAATAAAAAACAAAATGTATGTTTTCTCCAATATGTATGTTTTAAAACATAAAATCAGGAATATATTTAAGTACGTTGGTCAAAAAAATATAAAGAGAAAGTTACTGTTTTACACAGGTTACTCTAGGTTAAAATCTGAAACAAAAGTTAACAGAAAACTCCCACAGAAAAGAGAAAAAGGCAGCATTTTATATGGGATTATAAATATTGTTGAATTTAGGTGACAGATATTCACAATACTCAGAATTAATCAGATTTATAAACACACATGTGAAAATTATTCACCTGGCCCTTTACCTACCTATGTCTCCCCTCAAATGTTCAGGAAATAGATGGGGAGGGAAATGTCACAGCAAGTAACTGGTAACAACCTCACAGTAGCTTAACAGGATTGGAATAATTTGGTGAGCAACAGGTAATTATTTGGGGGAAGGTGGGGAAGCTAGTCTATATTGATTTTTAATATTCCTAGTAAGAGGTTTAGGAGTTTCCCCAAGTTACCTTAAACATTTCCAGGAGGATTTCCTTGCTGACTTCTAGTCTTTCAAAAGGTTGCTTTTCTTTTATGATGGCTTTACATATATTCTCCAGGGCTGACAATTCTGTGCTGGACACTGCTCTAAAAAGAAGAGCAGAGAACCGACATCCATCTTCCAGACATTATGCATTCCCTCTTTCCTTTGTCCTGGAGCCTCAGCAGCCATAAATTTGAATCTGCTGTCTTATTGTTCCAGGACTTCAGAAAGTCAAACGTTCATACAGTCACTACTCTTGTGTCTCAGTGAGGGAGACTGGGCATCAACAGTTGCCAAGACCTGCCTCATTTCTCCTCTGCTGCAAGGGGAGAAGGAAGCCCTGCTAGGAGACACCCAGGTGGACTGTGAGCTCCTCTGAGGCCTGTTCTTTTGTGTGGTCTTCCTTACCCTTCACATGCTTTAGTTTTGCTCAAGAGCCAGATGCAGTGCTCATCACGTCCCTGCCCTCACTGGCTATGGAACCAAGGCTGGGAGACATCTGTATGGACTGCAGAGTCGCGGTGCTCCCAGCAGCACTCAGCCTCCGCTATGCATGGACTAACTTCCTTTCAGTCACCCCCTGGTCAGTGCTCACTCCCTCCTGCCACACTAGCTTCCTTGCCACTCCTCAAACAAGCCACACATATCCCCACACCAGGACAGTCCCACAGAGGCCTGGAACCTTCTCCCTGCAGATGTCATAAGTATCCCCATCCTCAGGGCTTGCTCCCTCCCTCCACTCCGGTCGGCTTCAATGCCACCTGCTCCTTCCTGCCCACCTGCCTGTCATGGCACACACCTCCTACACCTGGCTGATGTTCCTATAGTCATCACCACCCGGCAGCAGATGGCTGCTTGTGCATTTGCTGTCTTCCCCCAAACACTGTTAGCTCCATGAGGACAGACTGGTTCCTTCACTGCTGAATCACCAGCACCCAGCACAGAGCACACAGCAGGCAGCAAAAACATCTTGTTGAACGAATACTGGAGCCATGTTAACAAGAGATGAACGGGATGTGATACTGTGATACAGTAAGAAACACAAATTTGGTCTTCATCCAGATTTCTGGCACAGGGTTTTTAAAATCCTGAAATCTCTGGAGTGATACGAGTGTCTTTTGTGTGCTGATGAGATGACTGGTGGCTAGGTCCCCTAGGTAGCTTCAGAGCAGGAACTGGTCACCACAAAGACCAAGGCATGATTAAAGGGTTGGGACTTTCAGCACCCCCACCTGCCTCCTTAGGGGAAAGGAGAGGGGCTAGAGATTGGGTTATCACCAAAGGTCAATGATTTAATCAATTGTGCCTCTATAATGAAACCTCCATTAAAATCCCTAAACAACAAGATTCACAGAGCTTCCAGGTTGTTGAACACATCCAGGTGCTTGGGGCATGGCGCCCAGAGACACATGGCATCTCTGTGGTCCCTCCCACATACCTCACCATAAGCATCTTTCATCAGGCTGTTCATCTCTATCCTTTGTAACATCCATTATAATACACTGGTAAGGTAAGTAAAGTGCCTTCTTGAGTTCTGTGAGCCAGTCTAGCAAATTATTGAACCCAAGGATGGGGTCATGGGAACTCCCGATTTGTAGCCTGTAGGTCAAAAGTATGGAAGGCCCAGACTTCCAGCTGGCATCTGAATTGGGGCCAGTCTTGTGGGACTGAGCCCTTGACCTGGGGAATCTGCATTAACTCAGGGTAGATAGTGTCAGAATTGAGTTCAATCATTAGACACCTCATTGGTGTCCAGAGAGTTGGAGCACTGGCCATTGATTTGGGAAAAAACCCACACCTTTGAGATAAGAATTGTTGTAGGTAAACACAGTTTCATGCTTGTGAGTAATAGTGGTTCAGATTGGACAAGTCTGTAAGTAGTAGCTACACAGCATTGGGTGCTCGGTTGGGGAGGTCATTAAGCAGCGTGCAGGAGAAGGTAAAGACAAAATGCACCATAGTCATCCAGGCCAGAGATGCCATGGGGCTAACTTAAGGCAGAAACAAGAGAAGGAGAGGGGGGTGGGAGAACTATTTAGGAGATAAAATTGGCAGAACTGGACTAAACAACTGGATGGTGGCGTGGTGGTGAAGAGGAGGGAGGAAGTAGAAGGATCAGAGGTTTTGGTTGTGGCAGTTGGAGGTACCCTAGGAGCTATGAGGAATTCAGGGCAGGAGGTGGACGGGGCTGGCTGTTTGCTAACGATTCAAGCATAGGCCTATGGAATGTGAAGCATCTGTGACACATCCCTGTCCGGCACTCAACTATGTGAGATGTTTGGCTGAGGTTAATGAGGTCCTTGATTATCACGGAGCGAATTAAACTAGCCTCTCTCTAGGAATTAAGCTTTCAATTCTGGTCTTAATTAATACCATGCTCTAGCAAGTCCAAGATTAGATAAATAGCATATCATATTCTTCTGGGGACAAAAAAGAAAACAATCTTAGAAGTATCTCTTGAATCTAAACTAGATTTGACTAAAAATAATTTTCAGTTAAATGCCTTAGACCATTTCTAAACTAAAAATAATTTTCAAAATTGGTCAACCAATCTATAATCATCTTATGCAATACAGTTGACCCTTGAACAACAAAGGTTAGAACTGCATGGGTCCACCTATATGTGGATTTTCTTCTGCCTCTGCCACCCGGAGACAGCAAGACCAACCCTTCCACTTCCTCATCAGCCTACTCAACGTGAAGATGAAGAGCTTTATAATGATCCACTTCCACTAAATGAATGGTAAATACATTTTCTCTTCCTTATGATTTTCTTAACATCTCTTTTCTCTAGCTTATTTCAAGAATACAGTATATGATACACCTAAGATACAAACTATGTGATACTCAACTGTTTATGTTTTCATTAAGGCGTCTAGCTAACAACAGGCTATTAGTTAAGTTTAGGAGGAATCACAAGTTGAACTCGGATTTTCAACTGCATGGGCGTCGGTGCCCCTAACCCCACATTATGTAAGGGCCAGCAGTATACAGTTACTAGGCTAGTATGTAACCATTACAGAACAATACAATTGAAACACATGCATTCACAAGCCAGTATTCAGTGTGTTACCTGTCTTCAATGAACATGTCATAATAAAATCCATTTTCAATGGGCGGACCGTAGCACAGGTGGCCTCCATAGTAAAGCTCCATGGCCTCCCCAAGAATGTGAGCACTGGAGTGCCAGTACACCTGCATGGCATGGACAAAGAGGCCATTAGCTACCAAAAGTATGTCATGGAAAATTAGTAGTAAAATGATGTAAACCAGTAGAAAATTTTAAGGAGATACATGGCAAGACCAAGGGCAGCAACATCAACTTGAAAGGAAAATCTTCGATGCCCACTTAGAAGAGAATGCTTTCTGAGCCCTCCCTGACATTCCACCGGAGTCACTTGCTCAGTGCCAGTGTGAAGCTGCTCTGCTGAGTGGCAGCTAGAGCTCGGCCACAACCCCATTTCCTCTGTGCATGTCAGCCACGAGAGATGAACACCTCTCAGAACAGCCAGCAGAGCAGCTGTGTGCAAACCTGATTGAAGCCCAGAGTAGGAGGAAGGCCGAGGAGTGCCAGATGCTAGCTGTCTTCTTTTTCTCCAGGGGCACCCTCTCTGAGCTGGACACAGAGCACTGAAGTGTTCCTGACACCACTACAGTTAACGAGATCCTGCATCTCCAGAGCAGTCTTCGTGTGTTGAATAGCATGTGACTGTGGAAGTTTGAAAGATGTCTCAGGAAGAAAAAAGTGTTGCCAGGGAACGTCTGCTGGCTGCCTGGGACGCCTGAGAAGTGTATATATGGGCTCATTAGCCACAGTCCAGAGCCCGGTTGTCAGTCCTCCAAGTTCAAAAAGTTGATACTGTTTTGAGTTCCCAAGGAATTCATTTTAGTTTATGGATAAACTGAAATTAACCAAAGTCACCAAATAAATATAGGTACCAAAGGAGTAAGATAATCAACTCATCTTTCAGCACTTTCTTTCTTTTTATTAAATAGAAAGCAAGTTACAATTAAAAAGCTGTTTGATAAAATGAATCAGGGCAGAAGGAGTCAGATGATGGAGCACTATGTGCAATCCCAGCCCACAGCAATAGGCTGGGATATGATTTGCAGACAGACCCAGAGGGTCAGTCCTTAGGGCACAGCACTGCTCCTTTGGATGCTGCTAGGATGGCAGGCTGACTGCTAGCATCAGCCCAAATCTCCCATGTGGTGCACTGTCCACACCTACACATTTGTTGAGCCAAACACTGTGCTGGGTATACAATAGTGAAAGAAACAGACATAGTCACAGCCCCCACACAGGTACAGCCTATTGGCGAAGACACAGGCAATAAACAAACCTGGACGTGCATAATTCTAAGATGAGAAGGGTGTTTAAAAGGAGATGAACAGGGCTCTGTAATATAGAAAAATGGTGAGTGTCCTGCATTCATGGGGACTCGGGAAGGCCTGTGTGACTAACACGTAGGGGATGTGACAAAGCATAGCTTGAGAAAGGTTAGAGAGGTAAGGAAGGGCCAGAGACCATGCAGGCCTTGGGGAGGAGCTTGCATTTTACTCCAAATGCAATGGGATGCATTAAAGGGTTTTAAGCAAAATGATTAAATTTACATTTACACACATCATTTGATAGCTCGATGGGAATGAATTTCAGGGGACAAAACAGCAAGTAGGCAGTTTCTTGGGTGGTTCTATAACAAGGTGAGTGCGGATTCTCAGGCAGTGGCAATGGACAGATTCTAGATATTTTTAGGAAGTAAAATCTACTGGGCTTACCCCTCACTGGAGATGGAGTTGAGGGACGGGGAGGAATCACACAAAACCTCCAAGGTTCTGGAATGAGCTATTGGGTATGTGGTGGAGTAATGCACTGACTTAGGCAAACAGGAAGAAATAAGTTTTGGGGTTAAAATCGAAAATTTCATGGTGAATGTACTGAAGATTCTTGTACAATATCTACATGCAGATATCACGTAGACAGTAGTGCATAAAAACTGAGGCATGGCTAGCTATGGCTGGAGAGTTGTGAATTCAGTCTACAGTACTGAACTTTCTGAAAATCACTTTTAAATATGGTTTTATTAATAGTGTACTGTTTACATATTTAATGGTTATACTTTGCATATTTTAAACAGAAATTATAATATGGTTCTTATAGTTTAAAGAAATTTAGCATAAGCCTTGCAATTATTGTAACCTAAGCTAATCATAACTTAGGTTTCATGAAGATAATGGACAGCTTGAAGGGCGACTGCAACGTTCAGGCGACAACGTATATCAGAAATCATATATCACATGCATATGTGAAAAATGTGGTATTTATTTTATAGAAAATTATATTAAGTATTTAAAGGATATCTGAGTCTTGTAATTTCTTCCAATTCTCCTATACATATTAAATTATAAAGTAGACCCATTTTTAATGGCCTACTAACAATTCATTTCAAACACACATTGATTTAATAACCAAAGCATTCTAACTTAAGGAAATGATTATTGTAAGAAATGATAAGGCTGGGCACAGTGGCTCACACCTGTAATCCTAGCACTATGGGAGGCTGAGGGAGGCATACTGCTCGAGCCCAGGAGTTTGAGAACAGCCTGGGCAACATAGCAAAACCCTGTCTCTACAAAAAATATGAAAAATTATCTGAGTGTGGTGGTGTGCACCTGTAGTCCCAGGTAGCTGGGAGGCTGAGGTGGGAGGATCACCTGAGCCAGGGGAGGTTGAGGCTGCAGTGAGCCGTGATTGCGCCACTGCACTCCAGTCTGGGTGACAGAGTAAGACTCCATCTCAAAAAAAAAAAAAAAAAAAAAAAAAAGAAATTATAAATATGGGCTACTTTAAAAACTGACATGTATTTGTATACATTCATGCCACAAATATTTATTAAACATCAATAATCAAATTTTAAATCTTAGAAACCCCCAAAAAACTCAACATTCGTGACTTCAATATGTGGCCTCTTATATAATGTAGTTTACAACATAACTACCCAAAGTTTGGCTGTCTGGTTTTTAAATACTCACAGCTTGAGCTTCCTCATTATCAAATGTAAGCAGCTCTAGAGAAGAGTCCCCTTCCAATGGGCGGTCCAGGTCCCACAGTTCACCATTGACTTTGGCTATTACCGTGCTTTCAGCCAGTTCCTGACTAAGAAGACAAAAGCCACTTGGGAGTTAACTTTATCACTGTTACAATGATTCCTTAAAATATTAAAAGAATTTCTAGGGTTTTTTTTTTTTGAAGTGTATAAAAAGTACAAACATAAACTAATAGGACAGATATTTCTTGTTTTGCAATATTTATTTTATGTAGAAAAGTAATATACATTCACTGTTTTTTTTTTTTTTTGAGACGGAGTCTCGCTCTGTCGCCCAGGCTGGAGTGCAGTGGCGGGATCTCGGCTCACTGCAAGCTCCGCCTCCCGGGTTCACGCCATTCTCCTGCCTCAGCCTCCCAAGTAGCTGGGACTACAGGCGCCCGCCACTACGCGCGGCTAATTTTTTGTATTTTTAGTAGAGACGGGGTTTCACCGTTTTAGCCGGGATGGTCTCGATCTCCTGACCTCGTGATCCGCCCGCCTCGGCCTCCCAAAGTGCTGGGATTACAGGCGTGAGCCACCGCGCCCAGCCACATTCACTGTTTAAAAAAAACTTGGAAAACTGAGAAAGCCCACAAGATAAAATAAAAATCACACATAAATATCATAAATCACTACTTATAACATTTTGGTACATTTCTATCCAGTGGTTTTTCTACCTCCATCCACCCCACGCACACATATGTGCTGTCTTTAAAAGCAGCTGCCGACATAATTGTATAGCTTGCATTTTCTGTCATGCCTCAGATTGCCTTCCAAAGCAGTCTGGAAGTATTGTATTTATTAATGAAGCCTCCACTGCTGCACACTGAGGTCGCCTAAGTCTTGCTATCATAGAGTATATCACACAGACATCTGTACACAGGCATCTTGCGACTTCTGTGACTGTTTTCTGGGAATACATCCACAGAATTGGAATTACTAGATCAAAGGGGATGTACCGTTGACAGATTTCTGATGTCAATTGAACGCATCACTTCCACGTACCCCGATTTTTAAAATCTTTATCAATGTGACATTGAAAATTGTTGTTTTGATTTAATTATTAGTTTTGGTTCATGCTTACAAGCTATTTTTACTTTTATGAACTATCCGCTTCCTTTGCCTATTTTCTTTTTTTTTTTGAGACAGTCTCACTTTGTTGCCAGGCTGGAGTGCAGTGGTGCAATCTTGGCTCACCGCAACCCCTGCCTTCTGGGTTCAAGCGATTCTCCTGCCTCGGCCTCCCGAGTAGCTGGGAATACAGGCGCAGGCCACCACACTCAGCTAACTTTTGTATTTTTAGTAGAGATGGGGTTTCACCATATTGGCCAGGATGGTCTTCTAGTGAGGTGTTGATCTCTTTCTTTCTGTTTTTTTGGGTATCTTTTAAATAACATTTATTGTTTGAAAATTGTTGACAAAATTACAAGTTAAGAAAGGAAACCTGGAAAGCACAGAAACACACACACAAAATCACCTATAATTCTACCACCAAGAAATTACCATTGATGTTTTGTTTATATCTTTCCATATTAATATATAGGAATAAAAAATATTTAATAGTATCATAATTATGTGATTTTATAACCTACTTCTTAAACTTCACAATAAATCACAGCATCTTCCCTAACAGGAGACAGATTTCCAAAACGTGATATTTAATAGTCACAGAGGAACCAATATTTGCTAGGCATTTTAATTATTTTTTATGGGTACTTTGGGGGACGAGTAGCAACAAAAAACAATGCTGCAATGAACATTCTTGAACATATATCTTACTCAATTATTTTCTCAGGAAAAATTCTGGAAGTACAACTGCTAGGTCAAGGGAAATGCATTTTCAGTGATTTCTGTCAGAATATATTGCAAAATTTTCCTACTAGCAGAGTTACAAGAGTATCTTGTCTCTGAGTTCTCATAATGTTAGGTACTATTAAATTGTATCAACTCTACAATGTAATTTTTTTTTTTTTTTTTTTGAGACAGGGTCTCACTCTGTCACCCAGGCTGGAGTGCAAAGGTGCAATGTCGGCTCACTGCAACCTCTACCTTCCGGGTTCAAGTGATTCTCCTGACTCAACCTCCCAAGTAGCTGGGATTACAGGCACATGCCACCATGTCCGGCTACTTTTTGTATTTGTAGTAGAGACAGGGTTTCACCCTGTTGGCCAGGCTGGTCTCAAACTCCTGACCCCAAGTGATCTGCCCACCTTCACCTCCCAAAGTGCTGGCATTACAGATGTGAGCCACCGTGCCCAGCCTACAATGTAATCTTTTAATTTACATTTCTGTGATTAACTTGAGCAGCAGTACTGCATTGAGGTTGGGGGCACACAGGTAAGAGGCCAACCTGAGTTTAAATACTGGACAATTTACTCAGCTTCTTTAGGCCTCAGTTTTCTTATCTACAAAATAGGGATTATAGGACCTTCCTCATTCATCTATACTCAGGATTACATAATGTGTACATATGATAACAAGAACTTAATAAATGTTAGATGTTATTAATCAAGTAGAACTTTCTTTTCATTTTTACTGGCTGTCATAGATGGCTAGTGTTTCGCAAACCGATTCTGCCCTTCTTCTCCAGAAGGAGTTTTCCAGCCTTCCTTGCAGCTACATGTGGCCATGTGGCCAGGTTTGGAGCCAATGGATAGAAGGAGAAGTCATGTGTAACACTTCTGTGTCTCATCATTAAAACAGTGGAGGGCACTTCTCCAACCTCTCTCCACCTTCTGTAGATGGGAACCCATGTGCTATTCTTTCTGGACCATGTAGACAACGGCAACATTGTACCAGACAAATCAGCAACAAGATGGGAGAAATCTGGGTCCCCAAAAGACCGTATGGAGACATGTCACCCAGTCAACCTGGCCACCCACGTCTAGACTGCTATATGAAAAACAGACTTTGACCATATTCAAGCGACTTGAGTTTTTTGTGATGTCTTTGTTGTAGCAGCTTAGTATATATCTTAAGTAATACAGAAATAAGGACCTGGAAGTAAAAATCCAAAACAAGTGGCACTGGCTTAACAGACTGGCAGTGAGTAACAAGGAAACAGATTCTAACATATGGAGAGCCAATAACCTTTGTGATAGTATATCAAAATATTTGATAAAACTTGCAGGCAAACCATGTGTCACAGTGCTTGTAGCACACAAGAAAGCAGGTATAAAAGGGGAGAGTAGGGCTGGGCGTGGTGGCTTACATCTGTAATCCCAACATTTTGGGAGGCTGCTGTGGGCAGACCACCTGAGGTTGGAAGTTCGAGACCAGCCTGACTAACATGGAGAAACGCCATCCTTACTAAAAATACAAAATTAGCTGGGTGTGGTGGCGCATGCCTGTAATCTCAACTACTCGGGAGGCTGAGGCAGGAGAATCGCTTGAAACCGGAGGGCGGAGGTTGTGGTGAGCCAAGATCGAGAAAAGGGGCGGGGTGGAGGTGGGGGGACAGTGTTGGTATACCCTGGGTAACTCTTGTTGCTTTCAGCAAGAAGCTACAAGAATGAGTTATCTCAGATGAAAACAATCTAGTTTGCCAGCAGAGGTGGAAGGGATAGGGAGGCTCCCTCTGCCCGTGTCCTGTAATTCAACTGACTAAAAGTTCAGAAACGTGGAGCTATGCAAGATGGGAAAGACAATCTTCTTTCCCAAACCGCAGGAGGGACAGGCATTGATAGCCCTTCTCAAAGGCCACACATAAATCCAGACAATAGAGGCCAGTGGAACTGCAAGGATTAGAGAGCAAGAGTGCCTCCCTCCCACAAGCCTCTGCTTCATATGATCTCAGTCCATTAAACAAGGAGACAGGAGTGAGCCGAATAAAAAAGCCATGCAACAACAGGGTGAGAAGTCTCTATCTAGAAGATTCTTTAAGTGAGATTACTTTCATGTGGAACGGATTAGCTGCAAACAGACCAGAGCCTACTATGGCTAACTGATCATGGTAATTGTATTGCCAAACAAATCATAAGCTCAGCTCACAAATATCTGTGACTATGTGATCCTTAAGGGAACCCTCAGGCCCCAAATGTGCACCACAGAACTGAGCTGTGGAAACTGCACAGATCCCAAGAGGACAAACTCGTGCACTTCAGATGTGACAAGTGAGGGTAATGGACAACTCCGAACTTCCCAAAGTGCAAAATCAGGGCCCATGGAGGATCATGGGATAAGACAGCTGCTTCCAGAGAACAAAGGATGAACAGGTGGGCTGACACAAGCACTAACTGCTGCCAGGCTGTGGGGCCTCAAGGTGGCTTCAAGCAGAATCTGATGACTTCTCTATACCACTCCCTGCTATATTTCTCCTCCTTCTTTTTTCCAAGCACACACTTTGTGATTGTCTTCTGTGTACTGTATGCACGTGTGGTGTGAGCAGACTTGTCTATCAGTTTATTTGTTGCTAGAATACAAGTGGTCAGCCTGATGGGGGGTGTTCTGTACATCACTCAGAAATCCCAGGCTTTGAGCTATGGAACATAAGAGTTGTCTCACTTGGGGAGTGAGTGTGTCAGATGTTGAAAGAAGAGTACCCACAGATATCTGGATGTCAGAGGGGCAGACTGTGGCAGACTCTCTGTTGTTCCATAAACCATTCCTCTCTTCCATGGTATGAATGCTTTAGCTGGACATGTGGCTGGGCGGCCAAGGGAGCTATATTCCAATTCTCTCTTACAGCTAGGCATAGCCATGTGACTAAATGTGAGCTAAGAGGATGTAAGTGGAAACTGAAGCCAGCCACTATGGGGTCTTGGCCTCAAAGCATCATTGCTCTGCAGCTTCTCTTCCTCCTGACTGCAGGCAGGCCCATGCAAGGACCCAGCTTCCACCGCTAGACACAAAGAAACCCTACCTAGGAGACAGCAGATCAACAAGATGGGAGGAAGCTGGGTCCATAAATAACTGCATGGACCAGAGATGTCCACTAGGCTTGACTGGTCACTTCTAGACGGTTAGCTTGCATTAGAAGCCCCTGGAGAGCTCATAAAAACACTGATGGCTGATCAATTCAGGGGGTTTGAGGTGGGATCCCCAAATTTGCTTTTCTAACAAGTTTCCAGGTGATGCCCATGCTGCTGGTCTGGGGACTACACTTTGAGAAATACTGACCCAACACATTTAACATGCAACCTGACTCTCCATGAGAAAACAAACTTATTCTTGCCTCAAAACCTGTTTTCTCCTAGCACATCATTCCTCCTGGAAAACATGAAAACAGGCTGGGAGAGCATTTAACAATATAATAGGATGAATCAGAAATACAATCTTAGCCATAGTTTTCAAAGAAAATCTGAGAATTTCAGTTGTTGAAACAGTTTGCTTTTTAAATGATGAACATTTATTTACATGGCATTAATACAATTGTATAGAAGCTATATAATTGTATTTATACAATAGCTTCTATACAATTGTATTTAATGCTAAGAATTAACATGAGTCAAAACAATATAAGTTCACTAATGTATCTAATTTCTAGAAAAGTCAAAGCACTTTTCCAAGACTGATAATAGCTCTAAAACATTTATCTTCAATCTATACTTAAAAGACCTGTAAAAACTCATGGAAATTACTTGATTGACGAATAAAGTCAGTGTAAAATGGCCTATCAAGAATTACAGATTTTTTTCTCTCCTATATATTTTTATTAGAACAGGAAATGATTGTGTTCTGATATTCAACTACTTATTTACATGGCCCTTGGAGAAGCCAGAGGAAAAAAATTAAATACATTTAATTTATTCAACTGAATAAAAAAAAAATTAGCTGATATGGTTTGGCTGTGTGCCCATCCAAACCTCATCTTGAACTCTAGTTCCCATAATCCCCACGTTTTGTGGAAGGGACCCAGTGGGAGGTAACTGAATCACAGGGGCTGTTACCTCCATGCTGTTCTTTGATAGTGAGTGCATTCTCATGAGATCTGATGGTTTTATAAGGGGTTTTCCCCCCACTTTGCTCTGCACTTCTCCTTGCCGCTGCCATGTGAAGAAGGACATGCTTGCTTCCCCTTCTGCCACGACTGTAAGTTTCCTGAAGCCTCCCCAGCCCTGCGGAACTGTGAGTCAATTAAATCTTCTTCCTTTATAAATAACCCAGTCTCAGACATGTCCTTTTAGTATCGTGAGAATGGAGTAATATATTAGCGGTCCCTAAGAAAACATTTTCACCAGGCTTCAGTATAATTACTTAAGATTGAATATCTTTTCCACACTGCGGTTTACCTAATTTCAGCAGCCACTTGGTAAGGCGTTGTTTTCCAGACTTCCCCTTGCACTGTTTGCCCATCAGCCACTCTTACTGTGATGATGTTGCTTGTATCCCCCTTTTTTCCATAAATGGCAAGTAAGAGCTGATGGTCTTTCTTCAGTATTTCAAAAAGCTTCAATCTTTCTTTTATGAAAATTGGTTGATGCTTCACCTGGAAATTATTAGAACATAATGAGATTAATATATACAGCCTACTGTTTTCCAGCTGCTCAGCTCTGAATCAGGCTCACCCCCTTACTGCCTTCTCAGTTCTACAGATGGTCCCAAGCTTACCATGGTTTGAATTACGATTTTGTTGTTGTTGTTGTTTTTTGGTTTGTTGTTGTTGTTGCTGTTGTTTTGAGATGGAGTCTTGCTTTGTCGCCCAGGCTGGAGTGCAGGGGCACGAAATCAGCTCACTGCAGCCTCTGTCTCCTAGGTTCAAGCGATTTTCCTGCCTCGGCCACCCGAGTAGCTGGGATTACAGGCACGCACCACCCTGCCAGACTAATTTTTGTATTTGTAGTAGAGATGGGGTTTCGCCATGTTGGCCAGGCTGGTCTCGAACTCCTGACCTCAAATGATTTACCTGCCTTGGCCTCCCAAAATGCTGGGATTACAGGCGTGAGTCACCGTATCCAGCCGCAATTTTTCAACTTTAGTGATGTGAAAGTCATATGCATTCAGTAGAAACTGTACTTTGAGTATCCATACAACCATTGTGTTTTTCACTCAGTACAGTATTCAATAAATTACATGAGATATTCAACACTTCATAATAAAATAGGCTTTATGTTAGAGGATTTTGCCCAACTGTAAGCTAATCTAAGTGTTCTGAGCACTTTTAATGTAGGCTAGGCTAAACTACGATGATCACTAGCTTACGTGTATTAAATACATTTTTAACTCACATTGGTTTTATTGGGACATAACCCAACTGTAAGACTAAGAGCATGTGTACTTCCCACCTCCAAAAGGCTCCTCTCTGCCTATCTAACTTCTCCTTAGCTCTAAAGGTCCACCTCAAAGCCTGCCTCCTCTACCTATTTTACCCGCTGGCATCTCCCTTTTTTTTTTTTTTTTCCTTTGAGACAGCCCCACGCCCAGCCCCCATGACACCTCCCTTTTCTACTGTTTACAGAACGTGTACAGAGTCACACATTACAGCACTTACTTGTATACCATCGTACTCTGTTCTCTAGTTGTTTGTCCTGAGTCTGCCTGAATTCCTCAACCAGACTAACTTCTTTGGGCCTAGGTATTCCTTCTTCACTCCTACCAAATGTTGATGCTAGATAAATACTTACTGATTGTTTTAATGCTTTATATACAAAAGCAAAGTAGCTAGTTTCTCGAATACAAAAAAAAAAAAAAGACCGGGGGCGGTGGCTCACGCCTGTAATCCCAGCACTTTGGGAAGCCAAGGTGGGCGGATCATGAGGTCAGGAGATCGAGATCCTCCTGGCTAACACGGTGAAACCCCATCTCTACTAAAAAAAAAAAAAAAAAAAAAAAAAAATTAGCCGGGCTTGGTGGCATGCACCTGTAGTCCCAGCTACTCAGGAGGCTGAGGCAGGAGAATCGCTTGAACCTGGGAGGTGGAGGCTGCAGTAACCGAGATCATGCCATTGCACTCTAGCCTGGGCAACAAGAGCAAACCTCCGCCTTCAAAAAACAAAAAAAAACCAACCAAACAAAAAAAACCAACTCTAGTACTCTAGTAGCACAACTTAAATAGATTAAATACACGTGTTTATTAAACATGGGCAGCTCATTTCTCAAGACATCTCATATTTAAGGCTTGAAAAGTTTTAAATACACTAATGTGACCCAAATAATAATTTAATCAGTAATTTTTATTGGAAATCCTAGGTAATTAACTATATACACATATTTAAAATTACAGGTAGTATTTTATATTGTTTCCACAGCAACAACTTACCTCGCTGTCAGCCTCGCTTTCCTTCATTTTCTTCTTTTTCATGTCCTTGTCTTGGCTTTGACTAGGAGGAGGCTGAAAGATAAATTATAAATGACTCACATCAATGGCAAGAAAAAGCAACACATTTTAAGAAGAGAGTCATGCCAGCAGGCTGCAAGTGCCCCGTGTTTAGAGGCTCATAGCTGGGCTCTCCTGACCACCAGCTACAGCTCTCAGTGGGCAAGTCATTCTCCAGGGTTCAGTCCTTCCTGTCACACTGTTGCTAAGCACATTTAATATATTGTGCTCTTGAAAACCTTTTGTCCTGAACTTTAAACAAATAATGTGGCTGGAAAATGTGTGGTTGCTGCCCGCCACATCAAATGCACTATTTCCTGAAGATGTTGCTAGTTCACCGCAGCTGTCCTTCCTAAAGGACTGCAGAACATCTCAGCCTGAGAAGCTTCAGGACTCAGAAAGTATGATGTTAAAAGAAGATAATTTATCCTTTCTACAAATCATAAAATACTGTATTAAATAAAAATGTTAAATATACAGCTATCCTCTCAAGATGAACCACCAAAACAAGAGCACAAAAAGCGAAAACTTCTCGTCCAAAAAAAACCCAACAACAAAAAAGAACCAGAGGGAATGAGAGTTTACATACGCAGCTGTTAGTCTTTCTGACCAAGGAAAGAATGAGTTTTAAACACTCCAGCATTTTTTCAAACAAATGAAAACACTATTTCTGCTACTGAAAAAGATGCGTGGCAGGCTCTTTAATGGACGAATTGAGAAATCAACAGCATTTGGTTAAGTCTGGCGACTGCTGGAAATCCGGCGGCTCCCCAGGCCACACGGGACCACCGAGCAGGGCAGGGCGGGCCAGCCGCAGGGCACTGGGAGGGCACTCCCCCGGGGCGCCCCCGCACCTGCCCCCGCAGTTGAAAACCTTTCGGTGCGCACCGTCTCGGCCCGCCCCGCCCGCGTCCTCTCCAGTGTCCCCACCGCCCGGTTACCTGTGCGCCGGCCTCCTGCGCCGCCTCTAGCTCCGCGCTCTCCAGCGTGGCCTGGCGGCTCCGCTCCTCGGCGAGGCACAGCCGCAGGCTGCACAGGCGGTGGCGCAGGTCGCAGTTCTCGGCCCGGAGCTGCGCCACCTCCCGCGTGAGGCACGGCCCCTCCGCCTGGCAGCTGTAGGGCGCGTTCAGCTGCTCGTCCCTCAGGCGCTCGACCTCCGACCACAGCCAGCGGATGTCCTCCTCCTGCCGCTCCAGGCGCGACGCCACGGCCTCCGCCGCCAGGGCCTCGGCCGCCATCGCGGCCTCCCTCAGGCACCGACGCCGAGCGGGGTGCCCGCGACTGCGGCGAGGGCGACGCGGACACTCAGCGCACGGCAGAAGACAGGGCTCCCGGGAGGGGCGGGGCGATGGGGCGGGGACGGAGCCATGGGGCCTCGTTGGAGCCGAGGCCTACACGTTGCAGGGGCGGGGCGCTGGGCGGGGAGGGGCGGGGCCTAGGCCAGATACCCTGCAGGGGCGGGGCGGGGCGGGGCGGGGCCTGAGGCCAGATACCCTGCAGGGGCGGGGCGGGGCGGGGCCTGAGGCCAGGCCCACCTTAGGGTCACGGGCAGTGGGGAAATGGGGTCTGAAGGGCCTCCCCTGCCTTTCGAGGCCTGTCTAGAGGCTATTGGCAGTAGTTTTTAGTCCGTTGAAACGAAAATCTTCCAAAACCTTGCAAAAAGGCCATCGTCTGCGTTCTCCAAAAAGGCTTCACCCTTTCTTCCTCTTGAATTCTGGCAGTCACCATTCTTTTGCCTTGCAAACAGGTTCTAAAAAGTGGCCATTCATTATAAATGGACTTTCTGGCCTTTCGTGCCAAACTTGCCCAAGTACTGAGGCCTCTGGGCCAGGGCATATAGAAAATCGCTGTGAAATCTAAATCCGACCAGCACGAAATTACTGGCTCCTTGAGTCTAGGGCAAATGCCACATATATCTTTGTATCCCTCTTAACCATGAGCGTGAAACTTCCTGGAGCAGGAACAGAAATTGATTTTTATCACTATTCTTAGGGCTTAGGATGTGACAAACACTGTTCTAAACTCTGTAACAGTAGTAACTCCTTTAATCTTCATAACAGGAGATACTGTTATATCCGCTTATAGCTGGAGAAATTGAAGCACAGTGAGACTGTGTTACTTGACTAAGGTCACACAGCCACTACATGACAAAGGGGGAATCAAACTCAGATAGTCTGATGCCAGTTTCTACACACTTAACACTAGTACTTTTCAACTTTGGCAGAATTTAATTGAGCATGTCATATAATGTGATACAGGTAATAATGCCCTTATAAGAGTCCTGAAGTGGAAGAGCTTAGCTTGGACTGGTGTGGTTTGAGAAAGGGAGAAAATTTTGAGAAAGGGGAAAAGGTTTATTTTGCTCTGGAAAATAAAGGTTGGGAGATGTTAGCAAGGAGGAAAAGCAGGTAAATTCCACTCCAGGAGCAGAATCAGTGCAGGAGAAGGAGCGGAGGGGGACAAGCTCATTGGATTAAGCTAAGTGGAATCCCAAACAGCACCCAGGAGGAGATTCCATGAAGTATGTTGCTAACCAATATCACTGTATCTTTTTTAGTCCTTCCTCAGGAAGCCTCTGGATACAGTTACATAGGACCCACTGACTCCTCATTATTCATCATTTCTCAATCCACTGCCATGGAGTTTCTGCTTCTGCCATTCTGTCATGACCAACACATCACTGAATGTCATGGACCCACTTAAGCCACCCCAGAATTTCCTCGGGACCCTCTGGAATTTGTCTCTCTTGGGTCTCCATTCCCAATACCTAGGCAACCACCAGTCTGCTTCCTGTCACTATAGGTTAGTTTGCATTTTCTTGATTTTTCTACACATGGAACCACACCGTATGTCCTCCTTTTGTTTAGCTACTTTCAGTCGGCACAATAATTTTGATATTTACCTATGTTTGTGTGTATCTATTGTTCTTTTTTTCTGAGTAGTATTCCATTGTATGGATATACCATAATTTGTTTATTCATTTGTTGATGGAAAATTTGGGTTATTTCCAGGTTTTAGCTAGGATCACACAATACCCAGTGAGCCCATTGGGTTTCCAAACTCACACTGTAGTTATTTCGTCAGTTCCAGAATGCAGAGTTTGAATAGATATACTCCAAACTGGCAGAATCCCTACAGTGTTTCCCTGACCCTCGGACATAAGGCTATTATTCTGGTAGGAAAGGCCAAGCAGAAACCACTAGAACTTTATCAACATACAAAAATAATAAATCAAAAGTAATACTGCATTCCTGAAGGAATTGCACAGATTACTGTTGCCTTCAAGAACTTGAAAGATGCAGGGGTGGAGATTCTCATCACACCCCATTTACCTTACCTTACCATCCCATTTACATTTAGCCTATGTAGAAGACAAATGGATGTTAGAGAATTATAGTAGATTAATATAAATTTAATTAGATGGTGATTCCAGTTGCAGCTGCTCTTCCAGATATGATTTCATTGTTGGAGTAAATCAGCATAACCCCTAGCACCTGATATGCACCTATTGAGCTGGCTAATACTTCTTTCTTTATATCTATTAGTTAAGGGCTATCGAGCACCATTTTATTTCAGCTGACAAGGCTGGCAATACACCTTCACAGGGTATCACCACAAGACAATATAAACTCTTTAGTTTTATGTGATAATCTAGTCCACAAGGACTTTGATTGCTGCTGTATTCCATAGGATATCATGCTGGTGTCCTATCATTGATGATAGCATGCTGATTTTCCCTGATGAGCAGGAAATAGCAAATACTATAGTCACCTTGATAAGGCATGTGGAGGTGGTAGAGAAGGAAATATATCCCCAAATGTAAAAATTCAGAGGGCTGTCACCTCAGTGAAACTTCTAGGCATTAAGTAATTCAGAGCATTTAGAGATGCCACTTTGGAGGCAACATATACCTCATTTGGACATTATTTTTCTAAACCAATTACTATGTAACTCAAGACTGCCAGTGTTAAGTAAGACTGAGAACCTAACAAGATTCTGAAACAGGTAATGCTGCTATGCAAGCTACTTTTCTATGTGGGCCACATGAGCAACAGATCTGATGGTGCTTGAAATGTCTGTGGCAGATAAGAGTTACCCAACCTAGAGTGCAGTGGTAAGATCTTGGCTCATTGCAACCTCGACCTGCTGGGCTCAAGCAACCCTCCCACCTCAGCCTCCTGAGTAACTGGGACTACAGGTGCATACCACCATGCCCAGCTAATTAAAAAAATTTTTGTAGTGATGGGGTCTTGCTACATTGCCCAGGCTGGTCTTGAACTCCTGTCCTCAAGTGATCTTCCCACCTTTGCCTCCCAAAGTGTTGGGATTAACTATTCTGCTTTTGAGAAGCAGCTTCTGGTTTGCTACTGGGCCATAGTAGAGATTGAGTGCTTCATCAGGGACCATCAAATTACCATGCTACCCAAGTTTCCCTCCATGAATTGAATGTTATTTGACCCATCAAGCCTAAGGTTGGGTATATACAGCAGCATCCTATCATTAAATAAAAGAGGTGTATGCCAGATCAGGCTCAAACAGATTATGTACGAGTTTTTGGCATAAACAAGTCACCCAGATGATCACAACTCCTGTGGCCTCATGAAAAGTTTTATATGACCAGTTGACTGAGGAAGGTAAAATTTGGCCATGATTTACAGATGGTTCTGCACTCTTCTGGAGCAGAAGCTTCTTTAAGTTGACGCCTGAGAATTTAATTGCTTCCTTGATTTTTGGTTTGATAAAATGTTTCAGGCTCATCTTATATTCAAGGAATCTATCATTTCTCCAAGGTGGCCTAGTCCATTTTAATGGGAATTGTAATTTAAATCACACAATGTGGGTCCTGGCAGCAGTCTTTGTTTCTAGGACTTTTCTGTATTTAGGATTGCCAGATAAAATACACAGTGCACATTTACATTTGAACTTCAGATAAACAAAAAATAATGTTTATATAAATATGTCCCATGCAATATTTGAGACATATACTAAAAAATTATTCAAGCCAAAAAGCATTAAATAAGACAAAGAAGGACATTTTGTAATGTTAAGTGCCACATTCCACAATGAAAATATAGCAATTATGAATATCTATACACCTGTAATTTGAAAAAAACTACAGGAAACTAAAGGAGAAAGAGAAACACACTAATAAGAGGAAAATAACAAGGCTGGGTGTGGTGGCTCATGCCTGTAATCCCAGCACTTTGGGATGCCGAGGTGGGCAGATCACCTGAGGTCAGAAGTTCGAGACCAGCCTGACCAACATAGAGAAGTCCCATCTCTACTAAAAGTACAAAAAATTAGCTGGGTGTGGTGGCGCATGCCTGTAATCCCAGCTACTTGGGAGGCTGAGGCAGGAGAATTGCTGGAACCTAGGAGGTGGAGTTTGTGGTGAGCTGAGATCATGCCATCGCACTCCAGCTTGGGCAACAACAGCAAAACTCCATCTCAAAAAAAAAAAAAAAAAGGAAAATAACAAACCACTCTCTGAGTACATTCAAGTGCCCCCACAAAAAAGTAAGGATGTAAAAGACCCAAACAATATAATTAAAAAGTAGATATTTTGAATATATTCACATTATCAATATGTATATATAAATATCTATCTATATAAACTATACCCTGAAAATGGAAGATGCACCTTCCTCTTAAACAAATGTATAGATTCTTCATATAAATTAATCATTTGTAGAGCTCAAGAAAGACCTCAGTAGGTTTCATAAAGTAGAAATATTAGGTACAACACTCTCAGCCCCCAATGCAATAAAATTAGAAATTAAAAATAAAACAACAACAAAAAGCCTTTTCACATGGAAATTTTAAAACTCTTAAGCATCTCTTTATTGAAAGGAGAAATGAAAAAGGAAAGTACAGACTTTCTTTAAAATAGTGATAATGAAAATACTACAAATCTATGCAATACACAGATCAGTAATCAGAAAAAAATCATAACTCTAACACCTATATTGATAAAAACAAAAGAATGGAAATAAATTCTCAATTGAAAAATTGAGAAAAATGACAGCAAAATAAAGCAATGACAAAGTTCTAATAACACTAAATATACATTTCTTTTTCAACCCAGCAATCCCACTTCTAGAAATTTATTCTGAAGATACAAGAAGGCAAAAATGCATATGCACACAAATTCAACGGAAGAGTTGTGATTGTAAAGTACCTCATAGGAGATTGGTTCAATAAGCTATAGTACACACAAAAAATGGAGCACTATGAAGCTGTTAAAAAAATAATTAAGAGGATCTCTGAACTGATATGGAACGATTTCCAGGAGATTTTATGAAGCAAAAAAAGTAATGTTCAGGCTGGGCACAGTGGCTCACGCAAGTAATCCCAGCACTTTGAGAGGCCAAGGCAGGCAGATCACAAGGTCAAGAGATTGGGACCATCCTGGCCAACATGGTGAAACCCTGTCTCTGCTAAAAATACAAAAATTAGCTGGGCGTGGTGGTGCACGCCTATAGTCCCAGCTATGCAGGAGACTGAGGCAGGAGAATCTCTTGAACCAGGGAGGTGGAGGTTGGAGTGAGCCAAGATCACGCCACTGCACTCCAGCCTGGCAACAGAGTAAGACTCCGTCAAAACAAACAAACAAACAAAAAAAAAACAGTAATGTACACATGTAGTATGTTACATGTTGTATAAGAAAAAAGAGAAAATGAAAACATGCATATATCTGCTTATCATCACAAAAAGAAACAGAAAATAAACTAGAAAACAATGAATTTGGTTATCTACAAGTAGATAACCAAGAGATAAAGGTCCCGACCTCTAATACCTTTCCTCATTAAAGGGTTCCTGGCAGAAAGGCCTATTCCAGAGCTGGGACATTGACTTAGTCCATTTATGTTGCTACAAGGAAATACCTGAGGCTGGATAATTTACAAAGAAAAGAGGTATATTTGGCTCACACTTCTGCAGGCTGTACAAGAAGCATGGTGCCAGCATCTGCATCTGGTGAGGGTTTCAGGAATCTTCCACTCATGGCAGAAGGCAAAGGGGAGCCCACATGTACAAAAGTCACATGACAGGAAAGCAGAAGCAAGAGAGAGGGGAGAGATGTGAGGCTCTTTTAAATAATTAGTTCTCACAGGTGCTAAGAGTGAGGACTCAATCATTACTGTGAGGACAGCACCAAGCCATTCATAAGGCATCTGTCGAGGACGGCACCAAGCCATTCATAAGGGATCTGTCGAGGATGGCACCAAGCCATTCATAAGGGATCTGTCCAGGACGGCACCAAGCCATTCATAAGGGATCTGTCCAGGACGGCACCAAGCCATTCATAAGGGATCTGTCCAGGACGGCACCAAGCCATTCATAAGGGATCTGTCCAGGACGGCACCAAGCCATTCATAAGGGATCTGTCCAGGACGGCACCAAGCCATTCATAAGGGATCTGTCGAGGACGGCACCAAGCCATTCATAAGGGATCTGTCGAGGACGGCACCAAGCCATTCATAAGGGATCTGTCCTCATGAACCAGACACCTCCCACTAGGCCCCACCTGCAACACTGGGGGTGAAATTTCAACATGAGACTTGGAGGGGACAGATATCCAAATGATATCAGACATGTAAGTTCAAGATAAGCGTAGAGCACTTTGTTTTGCTGGAAATTAACAAAGCGCTCTCCACAAAAATGATGGGAACATGATACAAGGGCACAGGAACCAGCTTGAAGGGATCCCACCAGCCAAACCAATTGAACTTCAAAAATAATTAAGTAATGAATTGTAAACCATTAAAAAATATGGGAACTCACAAGTCCAACCAATAATAGAAAAAAATGGGAAAGAAGCCAGAGCTCAGTTTATAGTCTATGCCATGGACTAAATGGCAAACACAGGTAAATGGGAAATTAGAAAACCATCACTTTGCCACCTTCATAGTAAGGACTGGATCAGACAAGAATCATCATGCTCAATCTAGGGGGCAGTGCTGAAAAGCAGCAGGATACTGGCATGGACATAAAATGTTCCCCCACAGGCTGTTAACCAGTTGCAAGGGAGAAAACAAAAAGTAATTATACAATGGAGAAATCAGGCAATATCTTGATCAGGTGATCAAAATGAACATCACCTATGAGGAACAGGTGGACTTTATGTACCTCCAGATGTGATATTCTAAAGAAGGTATAACACCCCTGTACAGAATTTATACCAAGAATACATAACCCCAATCTAATCACAAGGAAACAGCACATAAACACAAAATGAGGAACGTTTGTTTTTAACGGTGGAGGGGAGAAACTGAATTCTTCAAAAATGTTTATATAATGAAAGACAAAATCTGGAATGCTCCAGATTAAATGGTACTAAAGTCATGATGATTAAATGCAATACCTTACTCCAGATTGGATCCTGGAAGGGGTAAAATTGCTACAAAGAACACTATTAGACAAACTGACAAAATTGGAATACAGATGGTACATTAGATAAAAGTATTGTTCATGTAAATTTATGAAGTTGATAATTGTTCTAAAGCTATATGAGATCTCCATCCTTCGTAAAAATAAGCTAAAGTATTTAGTTATGATGTATGTAACTCATGTTCAAATGGTTCAGAAAAAAAATTATAGAAGGAGAGAGAACAAATGTTAAAGCAAAGGATAAAATGTTTGCCTCAAACATAAGCTTCTTAAAACATCCGTAAGATTATGTTTACTCCCCTGGGTAAAACCATCAGGAGCTTTCTACTGCAAATAAAGTAAAATCCAAATTCTTTATCAGGACCTACCAGGCCAGCAAGATCGAGCCTCTGATGGCCTCTCTTAGATTATACCATGACCCCAAACCCGGCAAACCCCTGTGCTGGTTCATGGAGCTCTCAGATCCTCAGAAACATCCCTCTCTCCTGCCTCTGGGATTTTACACATTCGGTGTCTTGCCTTGATAATATCCTCGTCCACTCTTAACGTCTGACTTCTTTTCATCCTGGCAGTTTTAGCTTAGTGCCACCTCCCCACTCCATTTAAGGTTGGCCTGCCCCCATTCTCTCAGTATCCTTTTCTACTATATTGTAACTGTTACCCAACATCCAGGTGCTTAGGAAGGTTATATAATCTGCAGAGTTCACATATCAACCACTTCAATTGCTGACAAAGCTACAAAACACATTTCAGTAAATAAGCATGTTAAAGAGCCCTTAGAAGACACCAATAATGTTATGACTACTGTAATCAATCCAGTAGGAAATAAAAATGTTTGTTACTGCTCAATTGCAGCTTACAGTTAAAACAATACTCTTCAAAATATTTTCAGGAGCCTCTAGTTTAAGAAAGTTACTATGGCTTGGGTGTACAATCACTACAACTGATACCTAGCAGAATGACAACAATTAAGGCACAGGAAGAAGTTCCAGACATTGTCCAATTTCTCATTGCTACCTTGTTTTCTTAGGAACTTACAACTTCAGACAAGAGAACATTAATGCATTAATGAGGCTACCAAAAAGAAAAAGAAAAAAAACACATAGGCAGTGTTGCTACACATGGATTATAAAATTATACATTCCAGTCATAGTCAGTTAAAAGTACATAAGCAAATGTGATCTAGCAGACAGAGCCTGGGAATCTAGATGACCTTGGATATCGAATCTAATTCCCTGAGTTTGAGTCTCCCCATCTGTAAAACAAAGAAATGAAAACTTTCCCAGAATGGTAAAGATTAACTGAAACCTGTGAAAACACTGGATACTTAGTTGGCTTGTAAGTGTCTGTCTAAAAAATAATAATTCACTAGGAAACTGCAAAGAATAACTGTAAATTTCCAAATTTAAGTCGAAATTGTGTTGTAAGCATATTTACTTTAAGCAAGTAACGTAAACTATGTGCACAAGTATGGTTTTCGTTGTTTAAAATGATTTTCAATGTATAAGGTGACTCAAATGGGATCTAATAAGGCACTCACTTCACTTGGTCAGGAACAATTTCCTGGGTGTCTCTGATCAAGAAAAGAGATGAAGAGAAAGAAGCAGGTTTACAAAGGACAAGGAAAGAAGACACAGGATTAGAATGGGTTAACAAAGCAAAGAATAAGCCTTCCCAAAGTGAGCAATGAAGCAAGTGGAAACAAGGAAAGTTGAACAGTAAATTTGGATCCACCAAAAATCCTCATGCTTAAAAGGAAGCTCGAAGCCCCAGTGTGGATTTGTTATGCACCCAATACGCTGTTTGTGCTAACTACATAATGAAGATGAGGCGGGGTGATCCGGACACAGACCTGGACACTCTGACCTCTGGCACAGAATTGGCTACAGGAGTGCTGGGGGAGAGAGGCAGCAGGGTAGCGGAGTCATATCAAGCAACAAGAAACACAAGTTAGTACATTTTCCACAAATTTCAATTTTACTCCCTTCCCTCATGATACACACATACAAAGCATTTGAAGGATGGGAAGAAGAAGCTGAGATCACAGGGAAAATAGTAAGAGACATTCAGAAGGGCTGGTCTTAGAGATTTACTAGTTTGGGGAGGTCAGAGAACAGTAGCATATGAAAGAACGCTAAGACAGTTCCCAGGGTTAGGCATGGGTGACTAGTTTGATTATATCATTTTGTCCCACTCACAATGACAAGGAGAATTACTGAGGGAACACATGATGGGGCTGATAGAGTGCTAGGAGGTGGATACATGAAAATGTAAATGTCATCATTTTGAACACCCATGGCACTCCAAGTGAGATTCCCTAACATATATGATATACAGACAGATATATGAGTTTGAAACTCTAGAGGTGAATGCGAATTTAGGAATCCCTGGAACACAGGTCATGACTTCAGTAATGGGAGTCAAAGATTACTCAGAGAAAGCACAGAATGAAAAGAGAAGAAAGAAGTAGGCCAAGGAAGAAGAGATTGGAGGAGACCAAGGCAGGGTGATAAGATCAAAACAGAAGAAAGGAATCTGATGGAAGTCCCATTAGATTATCATGTCCCTTCCCAGAGGATAGGGACATGCCTTTTTTGTCTTTTATACTCAATTATCACAGGGCCTGACACAGAAGCCACTCAATGTTTTTTTAAATTGGGTTCTACTATTCACAGTTTGCTGTATCCACCAGGGGAGAAAAAAGTATAAACAAGCACAGATATGGATTTTTTTACACTGTGTACTAAAGGGGCCAGATTATACACAGTATTTTATGCCTTACTTTTTTACTTAATATATCTTAGAAGTTTGCACATGCTTATGGAAGGACTGGCTGCATTTTTTGGTCTACAACAGAATACTCTATTATAAAACTATACACTATAATTTTTATTTAACCAACTGTTTATTGGTGGACATTCAGAATGGAGGAATGTTTCAACAAGGGAACAATCAACAGTATCAAAATACTGCAGAGGGGTCAATTTGGGGACTAAGAGAGGAGACACTGGATTTGGCAACTAGGAGATAAATTTTAGTGCAATGATGAAGGCAGAATCCAGATTATAATGAATTCAATGAAAAAAGCTGAAGACATATAGATTATCTGCTCAAGAAACTAGCTATGGTAAACTGGCAGAGGCTGTAAGAGTGGGAGGTGAGTTTTCTCCTTCATGTAAATATATTTACTTTTATAAACACTAGGCCCAATTTTATATCCTACTTCATTTAACTTTATGAACATGTTTATGTAATGTTTTAGTAAAAAATAACTCATTTTTGCTATTATAAAACTGTTATCTTTAGATGTTCAGAAGCAACTTCCTAAAAGGAGGTAGCAATAACAGAGCTATGTCTATCATTCTTTCCCATCAACCCCCTTGCTGGAGAAGGAAACATGTGTCCATCTAGCTTTTAATTAATTTTTACCTCTTATCTTCATGGCTCTCCATATAAAACTTAACTCTTTTTTTGGTATATGTGTATGTATATCTATAACTAGAGAGAGAGACAGAGAGAGAAGAGGGGGTCTTGCCATGTTGCCCAGGCTGATCTCAAACTCCTGGGCTCAAGCAATCCTTCCACCTTGGCCTCGCAAAGTGCTGGGATTACAGGCATGAACCACTGTGCCCAGCCTCAGCCTTAACTCTTAAAATATCTTCAAATCCCTGTTCTTCATTTCTTAAGAATATATGCGTTTAAACCAACTATAACTTATTTTGACAAAAACTGGAGTTAAGACCCAAACTTCCTCAGATGGTCAGTTCTCCTAAGACTATTTACAGAATAATCTATCTTTTCCCTATTAAGTTAAAATACCACCTTTGTCTTATAAAATTCTCATTAGCATGACTCTGGTTCTAAACTTCTATTGCCTTTATCTGTCTGGCCCAGGGCTATTCCACAATATTTTATTTAATATCTGGTTGAACAAGTCTATTCTTTATTATTTTTTATTATTTACTCTTCTACACAAACTTTAGAGTCATTTTTTCAAGTTCCAAAAATAAATCTGCTGGGTTTTTTTTTTTTTTTTTAAGACAGGGTCTCACTCTGTCACCTAGGCTGGAGTTCAGAGGCATGATCTCAGATCACTGCAATCTTTGTTTCCAAGGCTCAAGTGATCCTCCCACCTCAGCCTCCTGAGTAGTTGAGACTACAAGTGTGTGCCATCACACCCAGCTAATTGTCATCTACCCGCCTCAGCTTCCCAAACTTTTGGGATTACTAGTGTGAGCCACTGTGCCCAGCAGAAATTATATTTATAAATTAATATGAAGACATGGTGATAATTAACATATTTATAATATGAAATCTGCTCATCCAGGGACATAGAATGCAAATCTTTCATTCCACTCAGCAAAATTTTGTCATGTTCTTGATAAAAGTCCTGCACATCTAAGTTTATTCCTAGGTATTTAATTTTTGCTGAAATACTTGAAAAAATACTTTATCACTATATCTCCTATGTGATTATAGCTAATATTGGGGTAGGCTATTGATTTTTCAGTAATGGGGCTTTTAACCAGCAACCTTAAAAATTGTTGTCAGTTGGTTCCTTTGGATATTTTTAGGTAAACAATTATGTCAACTTAAAATAATGATTGTTATTTTTCTATAAAGATTATGACATCATGGGAAAATACGGTAAATGCTTTTTTAAAATTTTTAATTTTTAATTTTTTTAGAGATGGAGTCTCACTCTGTCCCCCAGGCTGGAGTGCAGTGGCATGATCTCGGCTCACTGCAAGCTCCGTCTCCCAGGTTCACGCCATTCTCCTGCCTCAATCTCCCGAGTAGCTGGGACTACAGGTGCACCAGCCACCATACCCGGATAATTTTTATATTTTTAGTAGAGATGGGGTTTCACCGTGTTAGCCAGGATGGTTTCGATCTTCTGACCTCATGATCCGCCTGCCTCGGCCTCCCAAAGTGCTGGGATTACAGATGTAAGCCACCATGCCCAGCCTAGTAAATGCTTTTTAAAAGAATATAAAACTATAGAGAATATGACCTCAACTATTTAAAAATATGTATAAGGGTTATGTATTTTACTAGCAAAGAAAAAATATATACTGGTAGAAAATAGCCATCATGTCAACAGTGATTATATTAGGTAGAAAAATTATGAGAGACTTTAATTTTTTTTCTTTTCTATATTTTACTATTGATTGCTTATGAGTTTTATAAGCTTATGGTTGCTTATGAGTTTTATAATAAAGGTTTTTAAAATTTTTGCAACATGGAAAGTTATACTTCTTTATATACTAAAAACAAAAACAAAACTTTCTATTTAAATACCTTTGACTTTTACTGCAGACTTACAGACCCTTGAAAGAAAAGGCAATTCCCTCGCACTAGTTCTGGTGTGACTCTACCCATCTCTCCCTTCAGTTCCACCTTGGTCTTTTTTCTACCTCCCACCTTGGCTAGTCATCTCTACCCAAAATGCTTGCTTGGCTTAATGGTTAGCATTCAGGAAAAGGAGATCTTGAATTCCTAATCTAAACTAAGGTTATACATGTGGGAAATAATAAAGAGAAACCAGGTAGTAAATAAGATTTGAAGGACTTAAAATACCCAGACTTTAATTCCTCTAAGATTATAGTCATTAATCATGCTTTTATATCATATTATCTCTTAACATTATATCATATTATCTCTTAACATTTAATTTCTAAATATAATGTTCATGAGGAAAAGAGAAAATAGCTTGGCTTCTCTCTTCACTGAATGGTTGTTCTTAGTATCTTCTAGATGTTCCAGAACTGATGTCAGATTTGGCTCGTCAGAGTCCACAAAACATATTGGTGAGAAAGATGAAGAGGATTCCTGTTTAGCACAGAGACACCTATGTTAAACATTTACATACAGACTAACCCAAATATGCAATTAAACCACACCACTAAATGGCAAGATTAACATGGATTTAAACAAAATGTATGGGGGGGAAAAGGCAACACATTAAAACCAATGTGAGGAGTTGGACTTTTGAGGCAGCCATTCTCTTTGCATAGCACTGTCTGCTACTACAGCTCATAGAAGTCAATAATTTTCTTCAGCACTGGTAGGCAGCCTCTAAATGGCCCCAATCACCCTCACCTCCTGGCATTCACACCCTTGTAAAATTCCCACCTCTGGACCTAGTGACTCACTTCTAACAAAGAGAATGCAACAGAAGTAATAACATCACTTCTGAGATGAGGCTACAAGGACAAAACGATGCCTGCCTTGGTCACCCTTCTCCTGCTCTTTCCATTGCTCCCTCTGATGGAAGCCAGTTGCCATGTGATGAGGTGCCCTATGGAGAGGCCCACGTGACAAGGTATTGTAAAAGCCCTCTGACCAATAGTCATCTAGAAACAGAGGCCCAGTACAACAGCCTGTGAGATAAATCCTGCCAACATATACGTGAGTGAGCTTGGAGATGGATTCCCTCCCTATCCTGCCTTGGGATGATCATAGCCGCCACCAACACCTTCACTGCCTGGTGAGAGGCCAAGCAAGTGAACCCAAGGTAAACTGCACAGAATCCTGACCCACAGAAACTGTGAGATAATGTTTGTTGTTTTAAGCTGCTAAATTTGTTACAGAGCAATAGATAACTAATTCAAACACCATAAAATTCTAATATTTTATTCTATCACACAAACCAAGTAATACCAAGAAATGCCATTGCTATACATGTATTTTTGGAACACAATTACATGTGATTTTTTTTAAAAAGCTAATGAACTAAGCATTATGTGCTTTTACCACTAACAGACATTTACTCTGTTACTTTCTACTGTTTCCTATTATAAATTGGGGAGAAGCCATTATTATTATATATTAGCTTCACAACAACTAGGTTCAAGTCATGGAAAACAATTTCGCACAAACTTTAGGAAACACTGCTTTGAAAACTGTAATCTGAATTATAGCTGAAGCCACAGAAACCAATTATTTACCAAAGGTTCTTTTAAGAAAAACAAGTTGGCCGGGCGTGATGGCTCATGCCTGTAATCCCAGCATTCTGGGAGGCCGAGGTGGGTGGATCACGAGGTCAGGAGATCAAGACCATCCTGTCTTGATCAAGAAACCCTGTCTCTACTAAAATAAAAAAAAAATTAGCGGGGCGTGATGGCATGCGCCTGTAGTCCCAGCTACTCAGGAGGCTGACACAGGGGAATCACTTGAACCAGGGAAGCAGAGGTTGCAGTGACCTGAGATTGCACCACTGCACTCCAGCCTGGTGACAGAGAAAGACTCTGTCCACCCCCCAAAAAAAAGAAAAAAGAAAAACAAGTTTTCTGGAAGGAGGACATCATTAACAGTATATCTCTTCAATAATGGTTTATTTTACTATTCTCATTCTTCTCATTCCTCTCTTACTATGTCCCAAATCTCTTTACAGGCTAAAAGAAACTCTTCAGAATTAATCCTATTCATGAAGAACACCACTTACTGAGTATTGCATTTTCTTCTTCAAATTCTTCAACATGCATTGGGAATACACCCTATGGACCATTTTTATGTGTTTAGTTTTGGGTTGTTTTTTTTTTTTTTTTTTTTTGGCTAAAGAAACTGCAACTAGATTTAGGACCTCATTCTATTAGGTTAGTATTTGTCTAGTAAACTTCAGCATAAGCAAAATAAAATACGTGTTGTTATTCTGGACTGAAACCCCTCAAAACCATATTTTAAAAATTATAAAAATAAATGAACTGAAATCATGTTTTTAAAAATCTTGTAGATGAAAAGATATGATATATAGTAGGTTTAACTACCTATTTCAACGGTTCCCAAAGTGGGGCCCTCAGATGCCCAGGTCCAAACTATTTTAACAGGAACACTAACATGGTGACATTTGCTTTAAGGGTGCAAATACAATAGTGGGTAAAAATGCTGGTACTTTAGCACAAACAGAGGCAGTAACACCAAACTAGTCATGGTATTCTTCACTATGCACAGGAAAGGTTTAAAAAGGAAGGGCAGGCTGGGCATGGTGTCTCACGCCTGTAATCCCAGCACTTTGGGAGGTGGAGGCAGGTGGATCACCTGAGGTCAGGAGTTTGAGACCAGCCTGGCCAACATGGTGAAACCCTATCTTTACAAAAAATACAAAATTTAGCTGGACATGGTGGTTGTATGCCTGTAGTCCCAGCTACTTAGAAGGCTGAGGCAGGAGGATTGATTGAGCCCAGAAGGTGGAGGCTACAGTGAGCTGTGATCATGCTACTGCACTCCAGCCTGGGTGACAGAATAAGGCCCTGTCTCAAAAATAAAAAGAATGTCTATGATGAATCAGTGAAAATTTTACTACATTTTTATCCTTGAATATGTCTTTTTAATATTTCAAGTGATGAAATTGGAAGTACACATGAGCATTTCTACAGACTGCCTGAGAAAAAACCCTCGTGTGACTAAGTCGTGAAGTGAATTAACCACTTTAATGGAATACCATTTTTACTTGAAAGGATGACTGACAAACAATGTTATTTCAACTTGGGTTTTTGGGAGACATTTTCTCAAAAAAATGAGATTCTGTCATTTCAAGAAAAACAACAGGCAGGCCATAATAAAATTCAATAATAAAATTGCTAATAATAAAATTCAAGCTTTTGAACAAAAAATTAGTTTTAGAAAACTTATATCCACCATAGCTTTCCAAAAGTATTCTGATGAGATTGATGGTGATATTGATGAATGTATTTTGATATTGTATAATCAAACGTATCAACATGTAGAAGATCTTGAACCATTATTTTCTAAATGACCAATGCATGATGTTGTAATATCATGCAAAGGTAAAAGATCCAAAGTTCAAGAAAAACCAAGTTTTGATGGAGTATCAAAAAAGAAGCCTAGGCAACATGGCAAAACCCTGTCTCTACAAAAAGATACAAAAAATTAGCCAGGTGTGGTGATACACACCTGTAGTCCCAACTACTCTGGAGGCTGAGGTGGGAGGATCACCTGAGTCCCCGGAGACTAAGGCTGCAGTGAGCTGTGATCACACCGCTGCATTCCAGCCTGGGCAACACAGCAAGACCCCATCTCAAAAAAAATTAAAAAAAAATATATATATATATCTCCACAATGATCTAAAATGGCTATCTGTATAAGATTGGACATTGTTCATGTTTTTTAAAGCAAATATCACACAATAAATTGAATGCAGATGAAAATGACATACCAAACATCAAAGAAATTTGCAAAAAATGTAAGACTGTGCTACTTTTGGTTTAGAAATGTTTTCATAAAAGCATTTATAACAATATGTGGTGAGCTTTTAAAGAATAGTTTAAATATTTCTGATTTAATTTCTAGTGATAAATACCAATAGATATAACCTACATAAACCAAAGCTCCTTGGGCCCTCAATATATTTTTAAGAGTATAAAGGAGTCCTGATTCCAAAACTTTGAGAACTGCTGCCTTCCCCTCCACTTTCCTTCCTTCCCTAGAATTTCTTCCTGGGAAGAAACATCCCTTTGCCATTCCATATTAACTTACAGAGTTCCACTGAGGCCAGTTTTGCTACCTCCCTCCCATCTTTCCACCTCCCTCTCTTGACACAAAACCTAACCAAAGGACTTTACCAGCCCACCCCATTTCCAGTGATTAGCTGTCAAGGTGGGCTAAGCCAAGAAAATCTGGGTTTTCTCTGAGACTAGCCCTCTCTTTCTGGGAGATTGGAATCACAGGGGCAAGGCTGGCTACCTTGGGATAGTCAGAATTCATCTTGCCTAAATGGGGAGAGGTTAGGCAAGTTTCTAGAAAGCCAAACTGCTTTCTAGAAAGTCAAAGATAATTATACTTTCTGCCACAACTGTGAGAATGCCCATTTTCTAACATTTTTACCAAACTGATAAATAAAAGCTGGTACCTAGAAGAAAAAAAGGCCGGGTGTGGGGGCTTACATCTGTAATCCCAGCACTTTGAGAGGCCGAGGCAGACAGATCACCTGAGGTCAGGAGTTTGAGACCAGCCTGGCCAATATGGTGAAACCCCGTCTCCACTAAAAATACAAAAATTAGCTGGGTGTGGTGGCAGGCACCTGTAATCCCATCTACTTGGGCAGCTGAGGCAGGAGAATTGCTTGAACCTGGGAGGCAGAGGTTGCAGTGAGCTGAGATCACACCATTGCACGGCAGCCTGGGTGACAAGAGTGAGACTTTGTCTCAAAAAAAAAGTTTCCATATAATATAATTTGTTCCATCTCTAGAAACCAATTCAGCAATGAGAACTGAAAGCCACCACTTGGAAGGTTTCAAGGATTCAGCTCTACCTATTGATGTCTAAAGCATTAGTTAAGGTAGAAACACACACACACACACACACATACAGCCTATGTATTCAGTACCAGGAAACATGACGGGCTAGATGGTATAATCATCCAACAGAAAGCGCACAATAACTGAAGCCACTGCAGAGGAGTAAGTTACGACACGGATCTACAATATTGTTGAGTGAAAAAGCAGATTACAAAAAAAATCTGATTTTTCAAGGGAGAGGGAACATATACAAGCATAGGAGAAAAGAGATGAGCAGATGACTGGAAAAATACAAAATTCTGATAGTGGTACCTTCTGAGTGGTAGAATTATCAGTAATATTTTCTAGTTTTGCCTAAAAATTTTCTAAATTTCTTAAAATAAGGTTTTGTTATCCATATTATAAAAGATCCACCACCCCAGGAAACTTAACCTTCAGCACAAACTCTACAACATGTTCAAAGTTTGTTCAGTTTAATATTTAAGAGACAATCTATTTTGAAAGACATCTAAAATGATGACCAATATTTAAACCTATGCATTAATATTTTTCAATCATATGCTTTAAATTTTGTAATTTTGATAAGGTTAAGCTTTATATCCACCTTGAAAAGGTAAGTTTTCTATTTGTCTTCAAAATATGACCTAAAATAGGCCAGTTTTTAAACAGCGAATGGTGCTCAAAAACCGCAATATAAATTCAGGCAGTGTTCCTTACATAGAATGTTTAAGTGCTTCTAACACTGCTGTTTTTCACCAGTTATGAAAACACATTACAATTATCTAAGCATCTAATTATTCAGGTCCCTTGTTTCTCCTCCATTCTATCAGTTTTATAGTAATTTTAAGGCCTGTGAGGATGAAGTTGTCTGTGATGGCTACCACAAAGGTTACTATAAGTGGACAAATTTCCAACAAGTTTATCTCCACTACCATCCCCACCATAAAACTGTCTTGATCAAGGGCAACACATTTCAAGGTTAACCAAGACAACCTCTTTACCTGTCACTGCTCAAGAAAAGGATTTTTTGGTCTTATTTAGAATTAACTTTCTGTATCTATTTTTCTCCATAAATCCACTGAGGCCAATGTGTGGCTCTATCTCAAGCTCCAGCAAGCAAAACTGCCTGCCAGAAGGTTCAGTTTTTGTATCTTTCCAAATGTAGGACACAGCTCTCTTTTGATATCATAATTATTTGAAAATTGATGCACAAACTTCTTCTTGAAAGTTCAGCCAGGCACAGTGGCTCACGCCTGTAATCCCAGCATTTTAGGAGGCAGAGGCAGGTGGATCACGAGGTCAGGAGTTCAAAACCAGCCTGGCCAAGATGGTGAACCCCGTCTCTACTAAAACCACAAAACTTAGCCAGGTGGGGTGGCAGGTGCCTGTAATCCCAGCTACTCGGGAGGCTGAGGCAGGAGAATCGCTTGAACCTGGGTGGCGGAGGTTGCAGTGAGACCAGATCGTGCCACTGCACTCCAGCCTGGGTGACAGAGTGAGAATCCGTCTTAAAAGAAAAGAAAAGAAAAAGTTCAGATATACAGCAGTTGTAATTCTTCTGAAAGCTAGTTATGGGACACATTACTTTCACACTTTGCTGTTCAATAAATGTGGGGTGGAGAATAAAGTAAACTGACAGAATTACCATATAAAATAAAATTCTAAGTGCTCTGACAACAAAAGAAACTTAAAACACACACACACACACACTCTCTCTCTCACACACAGTTTTCCCTGCTAATCATTTTACAACTAAACAACCAAAGTAGCTAACCCAGAGCCCACAACAGCAGAGTAAAAATTCTAACACTTGGTTAAATAAAAATGCACATATACCGCTGTGAGCTAAAAAAAAATGCTTAAGCATTCAAAGACAGACAGCAATTACAGCTACTGAGAACATCATTGTAAGCAAACTGAGGCAGAGAAAACAAAGGTGCTGATGAGGAATTGAACCACCTAACCTGCAGAAACCCACTGGATGGTTTCCTAGGTTCCGAGTTGGCATTATCTTTCAGAGTGATTTCTAAAAGAGATCACATAATACTGTTACAAAGGATCTGGAGAAAGGGACCCTTGCTTTATCTCTCTGGCTCTCCAGTCATGCTTTACATTTTCACTTCTTACGCTCTCATATGAAATCAATTTACAGACTTCCTTCAAGCCCTTAGAGACCTTTTTGTACTATCCATGACAAGTTCTTGATGTAGCTCTGCACTTTTGACAAATTCTTAGCAGTTAACTTTCAAGGCAGTTAAGATTTCTGTTCAAGCACGATATAGCTAGAATAGGGTCATATACTCAATAAAACAAATATTTACCAAGCATTTACTGACTGGAAGATAAAAAGCACAAAGCATAATTATAAAATATTTTCCCCTGCCACCATAAAAAAAAAATTAAAAAGGCCTACAGAATATAGCATAACATGACCAAAGCAAAAATAGTGAGGACCAAAGAGGGGAGGAAGGGAAAATATCAGCATGAACTGAATATGACCCAGGAGAGCCTTGATGGTCAGACATGTAAAGACAAATTGGGTAGGGTGAAGGGGTGGAGGTCAGGGACGCATCCTACAGGGGAAAAACAGCTCACACAGAAGCCTGAAAGGAAAAGCGGGCAGACACCTGTACGGGACTCTTACCTGCCGCCTTGACTGTACAATGAGCCCTTCCAGAACACAGCAGCGCGCGGCCAGGCCCCGGGGAGAGGGATCGCTCAAACAGCACCAGAGGCTGCATTCCAACTTTTCCTCCGTCAACGAGGCCGTTTTCATTGTTAGTTTCTCCTTAAACACAAACTTAAAAACAACTGGCTTAAATCTACTATCGCATCTTGCGTGATCATGTTTGTGCCTTACAGTGACAGGCTGCAAACGATAGAAATTCAACCCAAACTGTCACAAGAAAAGAAGGAAAGGCTTGTAACTACTTAAACATATTGCTAATTAAAGATGTCTGGAAAATTGACTCAAAAACAAAAACAAAAACAAAACAACAACAAAAAATTGGCCGAACACGCGGGAACAGGGAAAACCTGACTGAAGAATGAGGCCTTAAAACTTAAGGGCCTTGGGTCCCGGCGCGGTGGCTCACGCCTGGAATCCCAGCACTTTGGGAGGCAGAGGTGGGTCATTTGAGGTCAGGAGTTCGAGACCAGCCTGGCCAACACGGTGAAACCCCCTCTCTACTAAAAACACAAAAGTTCACCAGCCTTGGTGGCGGGGCCTGTAATCCAGCTACTGGGGAGGCTGAGGCAGGAGAATCGCTTTAACCCGTGGACTGTCAAGAGACATAGGCTGCAGTGAGCCGAGATCCCACCACTGCACTCCAGCCTGGGCGACAATGAGACTGTCTCAAAAAAAAAAAAGAAAAGAAAAAAAAACTTTTTTTTTTTTTTGAGAGAAGTCTCGCTCTTGTCCCCCAGGTTTGAGTGCAATGGCTTAATCTGGGCTCACTGCAACCTCCGCCTCCCGGGTTCAAACGATTCTCCTGCCTCTGCCTCCCAAGTAGCTGGGATTAAGGCGCCTGCCACCACGCCCGGCTAATTTTTGTAGTTTTTAGTAGAAACGCGGTTTGACCATGTTGGCCACGCTGGTCTCGAACTCCTGACCTCAGGAGATCCGCCCGCCTCGGCCTCCCAAAGTGCTGGGATTACAGGCGTGCGCCACCGCGCCCAGGCAAAAAACGCGAGCATCTCAGAGGCCTTTTCCCTTCCGCGCCTGGGCTCAAACGACGCTGGAGCGCCCCGCCCCGCCCCGTCGCGGTCCCGGGAGCAGTCCCGCTGACTGAGGGCGACCATGGGTCCCAAGAGGGCTCCGGCCGCCGCGGGCTCCCACCTCGGTGCGTGGCGACGGCGGCCAAGAGGGGCCAGCGGCCCCCGAGTCAGCCCCGCGCCAGGAGCCGGAGAGACGCGCCCTCCGCCTCCTCCCACCCAAGCCTCGCGCAGTCCCGGGGGCGGGGCGGGGCCAGCTGAGGGAGGAAGGGGCGGGGACCCGGGGCCTCTACCCGTTAGGCTGCCGTTGGTCCCGAGACTCCCCCATCTGCGCCCCCGCCCTGCCCTGCGAGGCCGCCGCCGCGCGCCCCACCGTCTGTTGCAGTGGAGCGTGAGCCGCGGCTGCGGCTCCTGGTTCTTGTGGAAGGTAGACGCCAGCAACTTCAGCTTGGCCTTAACCCTGACAGGGACATCTTCCCTCATCTCCGGCGGGAGGGGCGCGGAAGGGGAGCCGCTGTCATGGCTGCGACCACCCAGCGGGACCGCCCGGCCGAGCGCTCGCGGCTTCGCCTCTCCCCGCCGCCTCAACCTTCGTGGGAGCGCGGATGGAAAATGGGAAGGGGCACCGAGGCCTCGGCGGGGAGCTGCGCGGCGGCCTCGGGGGCTGCTCCCTTTGCGACCGACGCCACCGATAGGAGGGGCGGCTCCTGTCAAGCCTCAGCTTAAAAGGGCAACAGCGGCCGGGCGCGGGGGCTCCCGCCTGTCATCCCAGCACTTTGGGAGGCCGAGGCGGGCGGATCACGAGGTCAGGAGATCGAGACCATCCCGGCTAACACGGGGAAACCCCGTCTCCACTAAAAATACAAAAAATTAGCCGGGCGCGGTGGCTCACGCCTGTAATCCTAGCACTTTGGGAGGCCGAGGCGGGCGGATCACGAGGTCAGGAGATCGAGACCATCCTGGCTAACACGGGGAAACCCCGTCTCTACTAAAAATACAAAAAATGAGCCGGGCGCGGTGGCGGGCGCCTGTGGTCCCAGCTACTCGGGAGGCTGGGGCAGGAGAATGGCGCGAACCCGGGAGGCGGAGCTTGCAGTGAGCCGAGATCGCGCCACCGCACTCCAGCCTGGGCGACAGAGCGAGACTCCGTCTCAAAAAAAAAAAAAAAGAAAAAGAAAAAGGACAACAGCACCACCGTCCCCGCTACCGCCTGGGAAAGGGCTGCCCCAACCCTGCCACCTTCCCTGTCACCCCTCAACCCGGCGCGCACCCGTTTTGGCGGTTGCACGAGTCCAGAGCGTGCGCGCGCTCCCGGCTGCCCCCTCCTCCCCTTGACCCAGCACCTTTCTGCCCGACCCATCTAGTCCCTACATTCCTCACACTCGCCTACTGGAGGCTCAGGGCGGCACAACCACCAACTGTAGTGTGTGTGTTTCTCCCGAGTGTGTGTGTGTGTGTCTCCCAAGGGAACAGAGCACTGCTGAGTTCAGGTTGATTATTAGGTCGTGGACTGTCAGCAAAATGCAGTCACAAGAAGGCTGTGGGCTGTTTTGTGTTTTGCGGTGACATCATGTTGCTCATGTTTTATGTTTTTCAGAGTTCATTAGTTTCTATTTGTTCTCAGTTAATATCCACCTCAATAGATTGCATAAGTAGAATACCCCCAAACTGAAAGTCACCTACATAAAGTGTAGTGAAAAATATGTCACCCACTTAAACTATAGCTTAAACTATAGTTGAAGTTGTGTACACACTAGTTTTGTGTAGCCAACACTAGGTAATGGGTAAAGGCACAGGATCCTGGGGCTCTACTGCCTGGTTCAATTTCCAACTTTGCCATTTGCTGACTGTGAAATACTAGACAACTTTAAGCCTCAGTTTCTTTCTTTTTTTTAAACTTAATCCCAAATGTGATAGTAAGTCTCAGTTTCTTGATCTGAAAAACAGAAATTATTCAATGAGAGTCTGTGAAAACATTAAAGTTTTTAAAGCCACTGCCTGGCTCAGGAAAGTCCTCAGCTTTAGCCGTTATTAGCTATGATAATTATTGTGTTGGCTACACGTGCATTAATGAGGTAGGAAAATGCTCAAGGATAACAACCAAGTATCCAGATTATCTCATGAGACCGAGAGAGATGCATATGTGTGCATGCTCATGTTTCAGCTCAGAGCGCTTTGTCTAGAAGGCTCTTGAACTCAGAGGCCCAGGCACTATCAACTTGACTTTGCAGTGGAGGCATCACTTTTGTTGATCAATGAAATTGACATAATGCTCATTTTTTTTTTAGCACCGACCATGTGCCGAGAGCTAACTGTGTCAAGAAGAGCATGCTTCAGTTGGCTGGAGTGAGCAATTCAACTTGTGGAGGAGTGAGAAATGTTAGTGTTGAGACAAGAAACGTAAAACCCCAGGGTAAGGTAGGAATCAGTGAAAGGCAGAGGAACTGCCGTCCAGTAATGAGTTAGGCTTTGCTGGCTTCTGGCCCTACAGATGACTCTTTGGAGAGGAAAAAATTAAGCTAGGCCCGAGGGCACAGATCCTAAGGGAATGCTGGCAGCCTAGGCTGTCTATGGAAGAGAAGCAGAGGGTGGCACCTGGTTGAAAGAGGGGGTTGGGGGACAGAGCTTGAGGCTGTGTTTACAGATGGAGTCCTCTGATTCCTGTGACTGGGGAAGGAGATCGTGCTGGATCAGGGCACCTCAAATCAGAACTCTTCCCACCCACACCCCTTCTTTTCAGGGCGTCTTTCATTGCAAACAGTAGATAAACTAGTTGGAAAACTCAGCAGATTCTCACGGTGGTGCCTAGCAGGCCAGGCCTAGCTGCCGTTTAAGCTGTGACTGAGGGTGATGCCACTGGCCTGTAAACACACATTGGACAATCTTTACGTCCGTGGACACGCCATGCCCCACAGAGACAGCTGTGCATGGTTCTTTAGGTTTGGGGTGCTGTGCTGGCAGTTGCCTGATAAATGTGTAGGATTAAAATGGGATGCCCTGGAGCTTAGCTAACCTTTATCCCCCCTCCCCCCTCTAAAATGAAGGGGCTGCTAGTTTTGTTTGCTTTATGAAAGATGGATCTGTTATTGTTTTTAGAACCTTTGGAGAAAGATTTGTTGGGAGGAAGCGATCCTGAACCCCCAGAGATTTTCTCATTTACTGGTGCACCAGCTTTCGAGTCCTAGGTCTTCATCCTGGCTCAGCCACCCTCCAGCTGTGTGACCTTTGAGAAGTTGCTTGACTACACTGAGTCTCATTGTCACCTATGAGTGGAGGTTGCTACATTGCTACTGTGTGGAGCACCTACCCCCAGCCACTCTTACAGGGTGATGGTGACGATTAAATGCAATAATAAGGCTGAAGGAGGAGGATCGCTTGAAGCCAGGAGTTTGAGACTAGCCTGGGCAACAAAGCCAGACCACATTTCTATGAAAATGTTTTTTTAAAAAATTAGCTGGACTTGGTGGCTTGGGCCTACAGTCCAGCTACTCGAGAGGCTGAGGTGAGACCACTTGAGCCCAGGAGCTTGAGGCTGCAGTGAGCTGTGATTGCACCACTGCACTCCCGCCCAGGAAACAGAGAGAGACCCTATCTCAAATAAATGAATAAGTAAATAAATAAAATAATAAAATAATGCATGCAATTAGTACACTAGTACATGATCAGGCACATGATAACTGCTCGATAAATGGTAGCCTCAGTAAACTTTATAATGTTTTAAAGGAGAATGTCCTTTGGACTCAGCCTTTCAAATGACAGAGCATTTGAAAAGACTGATTTGTATGATGGCTATTTCCTACAGATACAAGACTGTACCTCCAGGGACTCAAGGCATTGGCTCAGTGGGGCACCTTGTTCTGTTTACTCTTGTTTTGGTCAGCACCGATTGCCCTAGGGCTAAGCAGGGCTGCCACCACAGACTCAGTTGCCAAGAGTATCCCCCTCCCCAAGCTAGCCATGGGAAAGCCACTCGCATTGTAAGACTACAGGAAATCAAAGGGAATAAAAAGCACAATTTAGTCACCTACTCTCCAGTTGATGGGCAATAGGTTTTTGCTATTTTGAACAGAGCTGTTAGGAACATTCCTTGTCCACATCCCCTGTTTTATATAGGCAAGAATTTCTCTTCCACGTAGAGTAGAATTACTGGGCTAGGAGGAGTGTGAATATTGAACCTTATGAGATGGAGCCAAACTGTTTTCCAAAGTGGTCATACCAGTGTATACTCCCAGCAGCAGTTCTTAAGAGATCTCAGGATGTCTATCTTCTGGTGATTTCACAAGCAGTCAAAAAGAATGAACGCCAGCAATAAACAACAATAAGAACTTTAGCAATATAATATTGTGAGAAAAACAAATTCCAGAAGGATGCATACAGAATACTTTATATAACATGGAAAAGAAAATGTATAGACCCAGCATGGTGGCTCATGCCTGTAATCCTGGCACTTTGGGAGGCCAAGGCAGGAGGATTGCTTGAGGCCAGGAGTTCAAGACCAGCCTGGGCAACATAGCAAAACCCTTTCTCTACAAAAACTAGAAAAATTAGCCAGGTGTGGTGGTGCAGGCATGTAGTCCTAGCTACTCATGAGGCTGAGACGGGAGGATCTCTTGAGTTTAGGTGTTCAAGGTTACAGTGAGCCCATGATTGCACCACTGCACTCCAGCCTGGGCAACAGAATGAGACCCTGTTTGCAAAAGAGAAAAACAAGTAAATAAGTAAAATTTAAAAACAAAATGTGGGCTGGGCACGGATTCTCATGCCTGTAACCCCAGCACTTTGCGGGGCCGAAGTGGGTACCTTATGAGGTCAGGAGTTCAATACCAGCCTGATCAACATGGTGAAACCATGTCTCTACTAAAAATAGAAAAATTACCCAGGGTGGTGGTACGCGCCTGTAATCCCAGCTACTCAGGAGGCTGAGGCAGGAGAATCACTTGAACCTGGGAGGCAGAGGTTGCAGTGAGCCAGGATTGTGCCATTGCACTCCAGCCTGGGTGACAAAGCAAGATTCCATCTCAAAAAAAAAAATTATTTTTTTAAAAAGATAACATTGACAAACAAAAGGAAACATGACAACTGATACCACAAAAACTCAAAGGATCACTAGTGGCTATTATCAGCAACTATATGCAAACAAATGGGAAAACCTACTAAAAATGGATAAATTTCCAGACACATCCAGACTACCAAGACTGAACCGGGATGAAATCCAAAGCCAGAACAGACCAACAACAAATAATGGGATCGAAGCAGTAATGAAAAGTCTCCCAGCAAAGAAAAGCCTGGGACCTGATGATTCACTGCTGAATTCTAGCAAACATTTAAAGAAGAACTAATACCAACCTTACCCAAACGATTCCAAAAATAGAGAAGGAGGGAATACTTCCAAACTCATTCTACAAGGCTAGTATTACCCTGATACCAAAACTAAAGATACATCCAAAAAAGAAAACTACAGGCCAGGATCACTGATGAATATTGATGCAAAAATCCTCAACAAAATATTAGCTAATTGAATTCAACAACACATTAAAGTTGGGGTGCAGTGTCCCAGGTTCACTCAACCCTTCCCGTTTTCTTGTCTGTGTGTGTCTACTTTGCTCTGTTCCCTGGTGGCAGCGGCGGTGGCAATGTTGGTGCATGGGCCTCCTAGGACAAGGGGAAAGTGAGTATGCCCTTTTCTTGCTTCCTGCCAGGCATCTGCAGCCTGGCGCAAGCTCTGGCCAGGTCTTCAAGCAAGGTACCTGGAGATGTTCTTTTCCAATTTCTGGATTGGTAACTTGAGGCAAATTCTGGGCACTAGAGTCAGGACTAAGATGAGACTTGAATCAGGGGAGTCTGGGGTCCTGAGAGGCAGAGGCCTGAAACCATCTAGAGCATGTGGGGACCTGGGTGTGTGTTCAGGCCAGTTGCCTTTCTCTGTGCTTCAATGTTCCAGGTACCCTTGGAGGGACTGAGATCCTAGGGATTGCTGGAGCCTGGCTGCATGGCCTGGCCACCCTGATGCGCTTGCATTCTCCGTGACAGGACAGCAAGGCTGAGGAGAATGGCTCCCACAGCTTCATGCACTCCATGGACCCACAGCTGGAGCGGCAAATGGAAACCACCCAGAACCTGGTGGACTCCTACATGGCCATTGTCAACAAGACCGTGTGGAACCTCATGGTTGGTGCGAAGCCCAAGACCATCATGCACATCATGATCTACAATGTGCATGCACCGCCTCATGGGGGTAGGCGGCTCCTGTGGCACTGGGGATGCAGGTGGCCATGTTGGCCTGGGGGAGATGCTGACCAGCCCTATGGGACCAGGTCCAGGGAGGGAGGCATGGTCCAGACCAGAGCTGTCTCATAGAAATATAACATGGGACTGAGGACAGTGGTCCATGCCTGTAATCCCAGCACTTTGGGAGGCCAAGGCGGGAGGATAGCTTGAGCCCAGGAGTTCGAGACCAGCCTGGGCAACATAGTGAGACCTGGCCTCTACACAAAAATTTTAAAAATAGCTGGGCTTGGTGGTGGCACGTGCCTATAGTCCTAGCTACTCGACAGGCTGACATTAGAGGATCACTTTGAGCCCAAGAGGTTGAGGATGCAGTGAGCGGTGATCTCGCCCTCTATACTCCAGCCTAGCGACAGAGTGAGATCCTATCTCCAAAAAAAATTTGAAAAACCTGAGTAGACAGGTGTCCTGGTAGCATGATAGGTCCAGGGTCCCCTCCCAGATCTGTGACTTGCACAGGCGACCTTTCCTCTGGACCTCAGCGTCCCTATCTGAGTGAGAAAAGGGCAATGGGGAGGCAGATCTTTGAGTTTAAGCTGTGTAGAAGCCACATCTGAAAAGCCATACTCAGGGCTTCAACTCCAGCACACAGTCCCAGCAGGCGCCAGCGGGAGGCCAGGGCAGCACGGGCATCAGGACCCAAACTCCTTCCTTCTTTGCCCACTCTCAGACCAAGGAGTTCATCTTCTCAGAGCTGCTGTCCAACCTGTACTCGCGTGGGAACAAGGAGACACTCCTGGAGGAGTCGGCAGAGCAGGCACAGCGGCGCGACGAGATGCTGCTTCTCAGAGCTGCTGTCCAACCTGCACTCGCGTGGGAACGAGAAGACACTCGTGGAGGCGTCGGCAGAGCAGGCAGACCAAGGAGTTCATCTTCTCAGAGCTGCTGTCCAAACTGCACTTGCGTGGGAACGAGAAGACACTCATGGAGGAGTCGGCAGAGCAGGCACAGCGGTGCGACGAGATGCTGCTTCTCAGAGCTGCTGTCCAACCTGCACTCGCGTGGGAACAAGAAGACACTCGTGGAGGCGTCGGCAGAGCAGGCAGACCAAGGAGTTCATCTTCTCAGAGCTGCTGTCCAACCTGTACTCGCGTGGGAACGAGAAGACACTCGTGGAGGCGTCGGCAGAGCAGGCAGACCAAGGAGTTCATCTTCTCAGAGCTGCTGTCCAACCTGCACTCGCGTGGGAACGAGAAGACACTCGTGGAGGCGTCGGCAGAGCAGGCAGACCAAGGAGTTCATCTTCTCAGAGCTTCTGTCCAACCTGTACTCGCGTGGGAACGAGAAGACACTCGTGGAGGCGTCGGCAGAGCAGGCAGACCAAGGAGTTCATCTTCTCAGAGCTGCTGTCCAACCTGTACTCGCGTGGGAACGAGAAGACACTCGTGGAGGCGTCGGCAGAGCAGGCAGACCAAGGAGTTCATCTTCTCAGAGCTGCTGTCCAACCTGCACTCGCGTGGGAACGAGAAGACACTCGTGGAGGCGTCGGCAGAGCAGGCAGACCAAGGAGTTCATCTTCTCAGAGCTGCTGTCCAACCTGCACTCGCGTGGGAACGAGAAGACACTCATGGAGGAGTCGGCCGAGCAGGCACAGCGGCGTGACGAGACTCGCGTGGGAAGAAGAAGACACTCCTGGAGGAGTCGGCAGAGCAGGCAGACCAAGGAGTTCATCTTCTCGGAGCTGCTGTCCAACCTGTACTCGCGTCGGAACCTGCAGACACTTGTGGAGGAGTCGGCAGAGCAGGCACAGCGGTGCGACGAGATGCTGCTTCTCAGAGCTGCTGTCCAACCTGCACTGGCGTGGGAACGAGAAGACACTCGTGGAGGCGTCGGCAGAGCAGGCAGACCAAGGAGTTCATCTTCTCAGAGCTGCTGTCCAACCTGCACTCGCGTGGGAACGAGAAGACACTCATGGAGGAGTCGGCCGAGCAGGCACAGCGGCGTGACGAGACTCGCGTGGGAAGAAGAAGACACTCCTGGAGGAGTCGGCAGAGCAGGCAGACCAAGGAGTTCATCTTCTCGGAGCTGCTGTCCAACCTGTACTCGCGTCGGAACCTGCAGACACTTGTGGAGGAGTCGGCAGAGCAGGCACAGCGGTGCGACAAGATGCTGCTTCTCAGAGCTGCTGTCCAACCTGCACTGGCGTGGGAACGAGAAGACACTCGTGGAGGCGTCGGCAGAGCAGGCAGACCAAGGAGTTCATCTTCTCAGAGCTGCCGTCCAACCTGTCCTCGCGTGGGAACGAGAAGACACTCGTGGAGGCGTCGGCAGAGCAGGCAGACCAAGGAGTTCATCTTCTCAGAGCTGCTGTCCAACCTGCACTCGCGTGGGAACGAGAAGACACTCGTGGAGGCGTCGGCAGAGCAGGCAGACCAAGGAGTTCATCTTCTCAGAGCTGCTGTCCAAACTGCACTCGCGTGGGAACGAGAAGACACTCATGGAGGAGTCGGCAGAGCAGGCACAGCGGTGTGACGAGACTCGCGTGGGAAGAAGAAGACACTCCTGGAGGAGTCGGCAGAGCAGGCAGACCAAGGAGTTCATCTTCTCGGAGCTGCTGTCCAACCTGTACTCGCGTCGGAACCTGCAGACACTTGTGGAGGAGTCGGCAGAGCAGGCACAGCGGTGCGACGAGATGCTGCTTCTCAGAGCTGCTGTCCAACCTGCACTCGCTTGGGAACAAGAAGACACTCGTGGAGGCGTCGGCAGAGCAGGCAGACCAAGGAGTTCATCTTCTCAGAGCTGCTGTCCAACCTGTACTCGCGTGGGAACGAGAAGACACTCGTGGAGGCGTCGGCAGAGCAGGCAGACCAAGGAGTTCATCTTCTCAGACCTGCTGTCCAACCTGCACTCGCGTGGGAACGAGAAGACACTCATGGAGGAGTCGGCCGAGCAGGCACAGCGGCGTGACGAGACTCGCATGGGAAGAAGAAGACACTCCTGGAGGAGTCGGCAGAGCAGGCAGATCAAGGAGTTCATCTTCTCGGAGCTGCTGTCCAACCTGTACTCGCGTCGGAACCTGCAGACACTTGTGGAGGAGTCGGCAGAGCAGGCACAGCGGTGCGACGAGATGCTGCTTCTCAGAGATGCTGTCCAACCTGCACTGGCTTGGGAACGAGAAGACACTCGTGGAGGCGTCGGCAGAGCAGGCAGACCAAGGAGTTCATCTTCTCAGAGCTGCTGTCCAACCTGTACTCGCGTGGGAACGAGCAGACACTCGTGGAGGCGTTGGCAGAGCAGGCAGACCAAGGAGTTCATCTTCTCAGAGCTGCTGTCCAACCTGCACTCGCGTGGGAACGAGAAGACACTCGTGGAGGCGTCGGCAGAGCAGGCAGACCAAGGAGTTCATCTTCTCAGAGCTGCTGTCCAAACTGCACTCGCGTGGGAACGAGAAGACACTCATGGAGGAGTCGGCAGAGCAGGCACAGAGGTGTGACGAGACTCGCGTGGGAAGAAGAAGACACTCCTGGAGGAGTCGGCAGAGCAGGCAGACCAAGAAGTTCATCTTCTCGGAGCTGCTGTCCAACCTGTACTCGCGTCGGAACCTGCAGACACTCGTGGAGGCGTCGGCAGAGCAGGCACAGCGGTGCGACGAGATGCTGCTTCTCAGAGCTGCTGTCCAACCTGCACTGGCGTGGGAACGAGAAGACACTCGTGGAGGCGTCGGCAGAGCAGGCAGACCAAGGAGTTCATCTTCTCAGAGCTGCTGTCCAACCTGTACTCGCGTGGGAACGAGCAGACACTCGTGGAGGCGTTGGCAGAGCAGGCAGACCAAGGAGTTCATCTTCTCAGAGCTGCTGTCCAACCTGCACTCGCGTGGGAACGAGAAGACACTCGTGGAGGCGTCGGCAGAGCAGGCAGACCAAGGAGTTCATCTTCTCAGAGCTGCTGTCCAAACTGCACTCGCGTGGGAACGAGAAGACACTCATGGAGGAGTCGGCAGAGCAGGCACAGAGGTGTGACGAGACTCGCGTGGGAAGAAGAAGACACTCCTGGAGGAGTCGGCAGAGCAGGCAGACCAAGGAGTTCATCTTCTCGGAGCTGCTGTCCAACCTGTACTCGCGTCGGAACCTGCAGACACTCGTGGAGGCGTCGGCAGAGCAGGCAGACCAAGGAGTTCATCTCAGAGCTGCTGTCCAACCTGCACTCGCGTGGGAACGAGAAGACACTCGTGGAGGCGTCGGCAGAGCAGGCAGACCAAGGAGTTCATCTTCTCAGAGCTGCTGTCCAACCTGCACTCGCGTGGGAACGAGAAGACACTCATGGAGGAGTCGGCCGAGCAGGCACAGCGGCGTGACGAGACTCGCGTGGGAAGAAGAAGACACTCCTGGAGGAGTCGGCAGAGCAGGCAGACCAAGGAGTTCATCTTCTCGGAGCTGCTGTCCAACCTGTACTCGCGTCGGAACCTGCAGACACTTGTGGAGGAGTCGGCAGAGCAGGCACAGCGGTGCGACGAGATGCTGCTTCTCAGAGCTGCTGTCCAACCTGCACTGGCGTGGGAACGAGAAGACACTCGTGGAGGCGTCGGCAGAGCAGGCAGACCAAGGAGTTCATCTTCTCAGAGCTGCTGTCCAACCTGTACTCACGTGGGAACGAGCAGACACTCGTGGAGGCGTCGGCAGAGCAGGCAGACCAAGGAGTTCATCTTCTCAGAGCTGCTGTCCAACCTGCACTCGCGTGGGAATGAGAAGACACTCGTGAAGGCGTCGGCAGAGAAGGCAGACCAAGGAGTTCATCTTCTCAGAGCTGCTGTCCAACCTGCACTCGCGTGGGAACGAGAAGACACTCGTGGAGGCGTCGGCAGAGCAGGCAGACCAAGGAGTTCATCTTCTCAGAGCTGCTGTCCAAACTGCACTCGCGTGGGAACGAGAAGACACTCATGGAGGAGTCGGCAGAGCAGGCACAGAGGTGTGACGAGACTCGCGTGGGAAGAAGAAGACACTCCTGGAGGAGTCGGCAGAGCAGGCAGACCAAGGAGTTCATCTTCTCGGAGCTGCTGTCCAACCTGTACTCGCGTCGGAACCTGCAGACACTTGTGGAGGAGTCGGCAGAGCAGGCACAGCGGTGCGACGAGATGCTGCTTCTCAGAGCTGCTGTCCAACCTGCACTGGCGTGGCAACGAGAAGACACTCGTGGAGGCGTCGGCAGAGCAGGCAGACCAAGGAGTTCATCTTCTCAGAGCTGCTGTCCAACCTGTACTCGCGTGGGAACGAGCAGACACTCGTGGAGGCGTTGGCAGAGCAGGCAGACCAAGGAGTTCATCTTCTCAGAGCTGCTGTCCAACCTGCACTCGCGTGGGAACGAGAAGACACTCGTGGAGGCGTCGGCAGAGCAGGCAGACCAAGGAGTTCATCTTCTCAGAGCTGCTGTCCAAACTGCACTCGCGTGGGAACGAGAAGACACTCATGGAGGAGTCGGCAGAGCAGGCACAGAGGTGTGACGAGACTCGCGTGGGAAGAAGAAGACACTCCTGGAGGAGTCGGCAGAGCAGGCAGACCAAGGAGTTCATCTTCTCGGAGCTGCTGTCCAACCTGTACTCGCGTCGGAACCTGCAGACACTCGTGGAGGCGTCGGCAGAGCAGGCAGACCAAGGAGTTCATCTTCTCAGAGCTTCTGTCCAACCTGTACTCGCGTGGGAACGAGAAGACACTCGTGGAGGCGTCGGCAGAGCAGGCAGACCAAGGAGTTCATCTTCTCAGAGCTGCTGTCCAACCTGTACTCGCGTGGGAACGAGAAGACACTCGTGGAGGCGTCGGCAGAGCAGGCAGACCAAGGAGTTCATCTTCTCAGAGCTGCTGTCCAACCTGCACTCGCGTGGGAACGAGAAGACACTCATGGAGGAGTCGGCCGAGCAGGCACAGCGGCGTGACGAGACTCGCATGGGAAGAAGAAGACACTCCTGGAGGAGTCGGCAGAGCAGGCAGATCAAGGAGTTCATCTTCTCGGAGCTGCTGTCCAACCTATACTCGCGTCGGAACCTGCAGACACTTGTGGAGGAGTCGGCAGAGCAGGCACAGCGGTGCGACGAGATGCTGCTTCTCAGAGATGCTGTCCAACCTGCACTGGCGTGGGAACGAGAAGACACTCGTGGAGGCGTCGGCAGAGCAGGCAGACCAAGGAGTTCATCTTCTCAGAGCTGCTGTCCAACCTGCACTCGCGTGGGAACGAGAAGACACTCGTGGAGGCGTCGGCAGAGCAGGCAGACCAAGGAGTTCATCTTCTCAGAGCTGCTGTCCAACCTGCACTCGCGTGGGAACGAGAAGACACTCATGGAGGAGTCGGCCGAGCAGGCACAGCGGCGTGACGAGACTCGCGTGGGAAGAAGAAGACACTCCTGGAGGAGTCGGCAGAGCAGGCAGACCAAGGAGTTCATCTTCTCGGAGCTGCTGTCCAACCTGTACTCGCGTCGGAACCTGCAGACACTTGTGGAGGAGTCGGCAGAGCAGGCACAGCGGTGCGACGAGATGCTGCTTCTCAGAGCTGCTGTCCAACCTGCACTCGCGTGGGAACAAGAAGACACTCGTGGAGGCGTTGGCAGAGCAGGCAGACCAAAGGAGTTCATCTTCTCAGAGCTGCTGTCCAACCTGTACTCGCGTGGGAACGAGAAGACACTCGTGGAGGCGTCGGCAGAGCAGGCAGACCAAGGAGTTCATCTTCTCAGAGCTGCTGTCCAACCTGCACTCGCGTGGGAACGAGAAGACACTCATGTAGGAGTCGGCAGAGCAGGCACAGCGGCGTGACGAGACTCGCGTGGGAAGAAGAAGACATTCCTGGAGGAGTCGGCAGAGCAGGCAGAGCAAGGAGTTCATCTTCTCGGAGCTGCTGTCCAACCTGTACTCGCGTCGGAACCTGCAGACACTTGTGGAGGAGTCGGCAGAGCAGGCACAGCGGTGCGACGAGATGCTGCTTCTCAGAGCTGCTGTCCAACCTGCACTCGCGTGGGAACCAGAAGACACTCGTGGAGGCGTCGGCAGAGCAGGCAGACCAAGGAGTTCATCTTCTCAGAGCTGCTGTCCAACCTGTACTCGCGTGGGAACGAGAAGACACTCGTGGAGGCGTCGGCAGAGCAGGCAGACCAAGGAGTTCATCTTCTCAGAGCTGCTGTCCAACCTGCACTCGCGTGGGAACGAGAAGACACTCATGGAGGAGTCGGCCGAGCAGGCACAGCGGCGTGACGAGACTCGCGTGGGAAGAAGAAGACACTCCTGGAGGAGTCGGCAGAGCAGGCAGACCAAGGAGTTCATCTTCTCGGAGCTGCTGTCCAACCTGTACTCGCGTCGGAACCTGCAGACACTTGTGGAGGAGTCGGCAGAGCAGGCACAGCGGTGCGACGAGATGCTGCTTCTCAGAGCTGCTGTCCAACCTGCACTGGCGTGGGAACGAGAAGACACTCGTGGAGGCATCGGCAGAGCAGGCAGACCAAGGAGTTCATCTTCTCAGAGCTGCTGTCCAACCTGTACTCGCGTGGGAACGAGCAGACACTCGTGGAGGCGTTGGCAGAGCAGGCAGACCAAGGAATTCATCTTCTCAGAGCTGCTGTCCAACCTGCACTCGCGTGGGAATGAGAAGACACTCGTGAAGGCGTCGGCAGAGAAGGCAGACCAAGGAGTTCATCTTCTCAGAGCTGCTGTCCAACCTGCACTCGCGTGGGAACGAGAAGACACTCGTGGAGGCGTCGGCAGAGCAGGCAGACCAAGGAGTTCATCTTCTCAGAGCTGCTGTCCAAACTGCACTCGCGTGGGAACGAGAAGACACTCATGGAGGAGTCGGCAGAGCAGGCACAGAGGTGTGACGAGACTCGCGTGGGAAGAAGAAGACACTCCTGGAGGAGTCGGCAGAGCAGGCAGACCAAGGAGTTCATCTTCTCGGAGCTGCTGTCCAACCTGTACTCGCGTCGGAACCTGCAGACACTCGTGGAGGCGTCGGCAGAGCAGGCAGACCAAGGAGTTCATCTTCTCAGAGCTGCTGTCCAACCTGTACTCGCGTGGGAACGAGAAGACACTCGTGGAGGCGTCGGCAGAGCAGGCAGACCAAGGAGTTCATCTTCTCAGAGCTGCTGTCCAACCTGCACTCGCGTGGGAACGAGAAGACACTCATGGAGGAGTCGGCAGAGCAGGCACAGCGGTGTGACGAGACTCGCGTGGGAAGAAGAAGACACTCCTGGACTAGTCGGTAGAGCAGGCAGACCAAGGAGTTCATCTTCTCGGAGCTGCTGTCCAACCTGTACTCGCGTCGGAACCTGCAGACACTTGTGGAGGAGTCGGCAGAGCAGGCACAGCGGTGCGACGAGATGCTGCTTCTCAGAGCTGCTGTCCAACCTGCACTCGCGTGGGAACGAGAAGACACTCGTGGAGGCGTTGGCAGAGCAGGCAGACCAAGGAGTTCATCTTCTCAGAGCTGCTGTCCAACCTGTACTCGCGTGGGAACGAGAAGACACTCGTGGAGGCGTCGGCAGAGCAGGCAGACCAAGGAGTTCATCTTCTCAGAGCTGCTGTCCAACCTGCACTCGCGTGGGAACGAGAAGACACTCATGGAGGAGTCGGCCGAGCAGGCACAGCGGCGTGACGAGACTCGCGTGGGAAGAAGAAGACACTCCTGGAGGAGTCGGCAGAGCAGGCAGACCAAGGAGTTCATCTTCTCGGAGCTGCTGTCCAACCTGTACTCGCATCGGAACCTGCAGACACTTGTGGAGGAGTCGGCAGAGCAGGCACAGCGGTGCGACGAGATGCTGCTTCTCAGAGCTGCTGTCCAACCTGCACTGGCGTGGGAACGAGAAGACACTCGTGGAGGCGTCGGCAGAGCAGGCAGACCAAGGAGTTCATCTTCTCAGAGCTGCTGTCCAACCTGTACTCACGTGGGAACGAGCAGACACTCGTGGAGGCGTCGGCAGAGCAGGCAGACCAAGGAGTTCATCTTCTCAGAGCTGCTGTCCAACCTGCACTCGCGTGGGAATGAGAAGACACTCGTGAAGGCGTCGGCAGAGAAGGCAGACCAAGGAGTTCATCTTCTCAGAGCTGCTGTCCAACCTGCACTCGCGTGGGAACGAGAAGACACTCGTGGAGGCGTCGGCAGAGCAGGCAGACCAAGGAGTTCATCTTCTCAGAGCTGCTGTCCAAACTGCACTCGCGTGGGAACGAGAAGACACTCATGGAGGAGTCGGCAGAGCAGGCACAGAGGTGTGACGAGACTCGCGTGGGAAGAAGAAGACACTCCTGGAGGAGTCGGCAGAGCAGGCAGACCAAGGAGTTCATCTTCTCGGAGCTGCTGTCCAACCTGTACTCGCGTCGGAACCTGCAGACACTTGTGGAGGAGTCGGCAGAGCAGGCACAGCGGTGCGACGAGATGCTGCTTCTCAGAGCTGCTGTCCAACCTGCACTCGCGTGGGAACAAGAAGACACTCGTGGAGGCGTTGGCAGAGCAGGCAGACCAAGGAGTTCATCTTCTCAGAGCTGCTGTCCAACCTGTACTCGCGTGGGAACGAGAAGACACTCGTGGAGGCGTCGGCAGAGCAGGCAGACCAAGGAGTTCATCTTCTCAGAGCTGCTGTCCAACCTGCACTCGCGTGGGAACGAGAAGACACTCATGTAGGAGTCGGCAGAGCAGGCACAGCGGCGTGACGAGACTCGCGTGGGAAGAAGAAGACATTCCTGGAGGAGTCGGCAGAGCAGGCAGAGCAAGGAGTTCATCTTCTCGGAGCTGCTGTCCAACCTGTACTCGCGTCGGAACCTGCAGACACTTGTGGAGGAGTCGGCAGAGCAGGCACAGCGGTGCGACGAGATGCTGCTTCTCAGAGCTGCTGTCCAACCTGCACTCGCGTGGGAACCAGAAGACACTCGTGGAGGCGTCGGCAGAGCAGGCAGACCAAGGAGTTCATCTTCTCAGAGCTGCTGTCCAACCTGTACTCGCGTGGGAACGAGAAGACACTCGTGGAGGCGTCGGCAGAGCAGGCAGACCAAGGAGTTCATCTTCTCAGAGCTGCTGTCCAACCTGCACTCGCGTGGGAACGAGAAGACACTCATGGAGGAGTCGGCCGAGCAGGCACAGCGGCGTGACGAGACTCGCGTGGGAAGAAGAAGACACTCCTGGAGGAGTCGGCAGAGCAGGCAGACCAAGGAGTTCATCTTCTCGGAGCTGCTGTCCAACCTGTACTCGCGTCGGAACCTGCAGACACTTGTGGAGGAGTCGGCAGAGCAGGCACAGCGGTGCGACGAGATGCTGCTTCTCAGAGCTGCTGTCCAACCTGCACTGGCGTGGGAACGAGAAGACACTCGTGGAGGCATCGGCAGAGCAGGCAGACCAAGGAGTTCATCTTCTCAGAGCTGCTGTCCAACCTGTACTCGCGTGGGAACGAGCAGACACTCGTGGAGGCGTTGGCAGAGCAGGCAGACCAAGGAATTCATCTTCTCAGAGCTGCTGTCCAACCTGCACTCGCGTGGGAATGAGAAGACACTCGTGAAGGCGTCGGCAGAGAAGGCAGACCAAGGAGTTCATCTTCTCAGAGCTGCTGTCCAACCTGCACTCGCGTGGGAACGAGAAGACACTCGTGGAGGCGTCGGCAGAGCAGGCAGACCAAGGAGTTCATCTTCTCGGAGCTGCTGTCCAAACTGTACTCGCGTCGGAACCTGCAGACACTTGTGGAGGAGTCGGCAGAGCAGGCACAGCGGTGCGACGAGATGCTGCTTCTCAGAGCTGCTGTCCAACCTGCACTCGCGTGGGAACGAGAAGACACTCGTGGAGGCGTTGGCAGAGCAGGCAGACCAAGGAGTTCATCTTCTCAGAGCTGCTGTCCAACCTGTACTCGCGTGGGAACGAGAAGACACTCGTGGAGGCGTCGGCAGAGCAGGCAGACCAAGGAGTTCATCTTCTCAGAGCTGCTGTCCAACCTGCACTCGCGTGGGAACGAGAAGACACTCATGGAGGAGTCGGCCGAGCAGGCACAGCGGCGTGACGAGACTCGCGTGGGAAGAAGAAGACACTCCTGGAGGAGTCGGCAGAGCAGGCAGACCAAGGAGTTCATCTTCTCGGAGCTGCTGTCCAACCTGTACTCGCATCGGAACCTGCAGACACTTGTGGAGGAGTCGGCAGAGCAGGCACACCGGTGCGACGAGATGCTGCTTCTCAGAGCTGCTGTCCAACCTGCACTAGCGTGGGAACGAGAAGACACTCGTGGAGGCGTCGGCAGAGCAGGCAGACCAAGGAGTTCATCTTCTCAGAGCTGCTGTCCAACCTGCACTCGCGTGGGAACGAGAAGACACTCGTGGAGGCGTCGGCAGAGCAGGCAGACCAAGGAGTTCATCTTCTCAGAGCTGCTGTCCAACCTGCACTCGCGTGGGAACGAGAAGACACTCGTGGAGGCGTCAGCAGAGAAGGCAGACCAAGGAGTTCATCTTCTCAGAGCTGCTGCCCAACCTGCACTCGCGTGGGAACAAGAAGACACTCGTGGAGGCGTCGGCAGAGCAGGCAGACCAAGGAGTTCATCTTCTCAGAGCTGCTGTCCAACCTGCACTTGCGTGGGAACGAGAAGACACTCATGGAGGAGTCGGCAGAGCAGGCACAGCGGTGTGACGAGACTCGCGTGGGAAGAAGAAGACACTCCTGGAGGAGTCGGCAGAGCAGGCAGACCAAGGAGTTCATCTTCTCGGAGCTGCTGTCCAACCTGTACTCGCGTCGGAACCTGCAGACACTTGTGGAGGAGTCGGCAGAGCAGGCACAGCGGTGCGACGAGATGCTGCTTCTCAGAGCTGCTGTCCAACCAGCCCTCGCGTGGGAACCAGAAGACACTCGTGGAGGCGTCGGCAGAGCAGGCAGACCAAGGAGTTCATCTTCTCAGAGCTGCTGTCCAACCTGTACTCGCGTGGGAACGAGAAGACACTCGTGGAGGCGTCGGCAGAGTAGGCAGACCAAGGAGTTCATCTTCTCAGAGCTGCTGTCCAACCTGCACTCGCGTGGGAACGAGAAGACACTCATGGAGGAGTCGGCCGAGCAGGCACAGCGGCGTGACGAGACTCGCGTGGGAAGAAGAAGACACTCCTGGAGGAGTCGGCAGAGCAGGCAGACCAAGGAGTTCATCTTCTCGGAGCTGCTGTCCAACCTGTACTCGCGTCGGAACCTGCAGACACTTGTGGAGGAGTCGGCAGAGCAGGCACAGCGGTGCGACGAGATGCTGCTTCTCAGAGCTGCTGTCCAACCTGCACTGGCGTGGGAACGAGAAGACACTCGTGGAGGCGTCGGCAGAGCAGGCAGACCAAGGAGTTCATCTTCTCAGAGCTGCTGTCCAACCTGTACTCGCGTGGGAACGAGAAGACACTCGTGGAGGCGTCGGCAGAGCAGGCAGACCAAGGAGTTCATCTTCTCAGAGCTGCTGTCCAACCTGCACTCGCGTGGGAACGAGAAGACACTCGTGGAGGCGTCGGCAGAGCAGGCAGACCAAGGAGTTCATCTTCTCAGAGCTGCTGTCCAAACTGCACTTGCGTGGGAACGAGAAGACACTCATGGAGGAGTCGGCAGAGCAGGCACAGCGGTGTGACGAGACTCGCGTGGGAAGAAGAAGACACTCCTGGAGGAGTCGGCAGAGCAGGCAGACGAAGGAGTTCATCTTCTCGGAGCTGCTGTCCAACCTGTACTCGCGTCGGAACCTGCAGACACTTGTGGAGGGGTCGGCAGAGCAGGCACAGCGGTGCGACGAGATGCTGCTTCTCAGAGCTGCTGTCCAACCTGCACTCGCGTGGGAACGAGAAGACACTCGTGGAGGAGTCGGCAGAGCAGGCACAGCGGCGTGACGAGACTCGCGTGGGAAGAAGAAGACACTCCTGGAGGAGTCGGCAGAGTAGGCAGAACAAGGAGTTCATCTTCTCGGAGCTGCTGTCCAACCTGTACTCGCGTGGGAACGAGAAGACACTCCTGGAGGAGTCGGCAGAGCAGGCAGACCAAGGAGTTCATCTTCTCAGAGCTGCTGTCCAACCTGCACTCGCGTAGGGACAAGAAGACACTCCTGGAGGAGTCGGCGGAGCAGGCATAGCGGCGCGACGAGATGCTGTGCATGCACCACGTGCTGAAAGAGGCTCTCAGCATCATCGGCGACATCAACATGAACACCATCAGCACAGCTACGGGGGCCCGTGGACGACTCCTAGTTGCAGGTACAGAGCGTCCCGGCTGGACCCAGGTACCAGGGCTGGCCCCCACTAGCCCCAAAGCCCCCCAGCCTCCATGGCTGAGCTTGTGGGCTCTTGGAACAGGCTCTGTGCCCAAGCTGGCAGACATGGGCTCTCTCTGGAGCTGTCAGAGAGCTCGTGGTTTATGGTGTAAGGGCTGAGAGCTTGGAGGGGGTTGTGTGCAGGGCTGTACTCTGAGGCGGCCAGAGGCCTAGGAATGTCATCCTGGGCACGCTGTAGCTGTTGTGAAGTCTGAGTCATGCTGCCAGGGAGGGCATCCAGCTCCCAGCCTGGGAGTGCTTAGAGCCAAATCTACTGCAGAGCAGGGGTGATAGTCAGGGTCCCACCTCCTCTATCTGTTGACAATCCAGTGGTGATCTAAGATAAAACCTTGAGACTCCCATACACACGGTCAACCCACAACACACCTCACAGGCCAGGCAGGGACACACAGTCCCCTTCCCTCCCTCCCAGGTACCATCATAGCTGCTAGCGTGTGGCTGAAGGCAGGGTCCCTGGCCCCCGCTGAAGCACTACCGCCAGCCAGCAGGCTCACGCACCTTGGTCTGTTGCTTCTAGAGGTTGCTTCTGCTATTCAGCCGAGGGGACCATAGTGCATGCTGGCCCGGCTGAGCTCCACCCAGCAAGCCCACCCACCTCCCTTGCCATGGACTCTCCCTCTTCTGCTTTTCCCAGCCCTCACCTTTGTGACCTGCAACCCCCAACAAGCTGAGGCTCCCCTCTTAGACTTATAAGTCTATAGCCAGTGGCATCCAGCTGCCTGTCCTCCCTACCTCCCCCAGGGTCCCTTCAGAGGGTCCTGGGCTTTCTGACTGCCCAAAAGGGGCTCCGGCGATCACTCCAGCCATCCATCCCTTTTAGCTTCATCATCCTGGTTCAAGCAGTGTTCCTTCTCTATCAGGACTGGTGGCTGTTGTTTTGGGTTCCCAAAAGCAAGAGATGGCCCCGGGCCAGTGGGTTCAAAGACAGGGTGACCAGAGAAGAGGGACACTGGAGGGGGCTGAGCATTGCTCTGAACGGTGGGTGCACCGCCCTGGGTGCCCTGAAAGAGGCCAGCGTGTGTGGGGTGGGGAGGGCCGCCGGAGCCCCCAGGCACTAACTGTGGAGCATTGCTCTGAACGGTGGCTGCACCGCCCTGGGTGCCCTGAAAGATGCCAGCGTGTGTGGGGTGGGGAGGGCCGCTGCAACCCCCAGGCACTAACTGTGAAGCTCTGCCTCCCTCCTTCTTCCTCTCCTTTCCTTTCCAGCCCCACTTTCCCAGGAGCCTCGCCATACCCGCACCTGTGCCCTCCCCACCCCTGCCCTCCCACAGCTGCTGTGGCATGCCTGTGCTCTGCACTTGCCTCATCAGCTCTCTGCTCACTTTTCTCTCTCCTGCTTCTCTCTGCTTGCTTTTCTCTCTCCTGCTTCTCTCTGCTTTCTCTCCAACTGCCAGCTGATTGGGTCCGGCAAGACCATCCCATCCTCAGAGCCCCAGCCCCTCCTTCAACGTCTAAACAGATCCCTCCTCTTCTCAGTGACCTCCCTTTCCAAGCCTGCCTGAGCGGCTGTTCTGTGACTTGACAGTGGCTCCCCCAGCCCCAAAGCCAGCCCCCTACATCTGCGACTTAGTCTGTTGTAGTGGTGAGCTGACACATCCAGGTGTGACCACTGCTGAAAACTTGTGCCCCCTTTGTGATATGTCCCGTCCTGCTCTATAAATATCTATAAATACATATATATATATATATATATATATATATACATATACACACACACATGCAGCAACACCTGGCCGACCGCCTCGTCTCTAGCGCTGGGAATCAGTCACCCTGCTGTCCTTTTGGAGTCTTGTGGCCCAACAAGAGAAAGCTGTCCCCTGACATTGCTCCTCCAAAGTGCGCCACCTCCAGTGAGCCTCCCTGTCATGCCCAGCCTGTGGACAGCCAGCCCCTCCATCCCTCCCACCCCCCACCAAGCATGGGGGTGCTGTGCAGGCCTCTGTGTGGCCTGACAGTCTCTACCAGTCCTGCTGTCCCTTGGCTGAGAATCAAACCCATTTCTGGATGGCAGGGAAGTGTGTCCTCTGCTGGCTGTGTTCTGTGTGGAGCTCAGAGGACGGGAAAGGCCAAGCCATTTCTAGGGTGCTGTTGGGAGCTGTGAAAAGGTCACACCCTTTCCAAGGGACACTTTTCCTGGAAAGCCCCTGGAGCTTAGCTGGCTCTTATCCTGTGAAGCCGGCTCTGGCCACCAGGGGGCAGGGCCGTGAACTCAGCCTGGAGGGAGCCTGAGGGGCAGCCGGCACTCTGGAGGGACACAGACATAACAGGCCACCAGGTGCAGACAGGAGAGGGAGGCAAGGGGATGGAACGGAAGACACCTGGGGTGGGTGGAAGGCAGTGCCCTTAGGTGCTGGTACCTGTCTTCCCAGCCATGGCTAGATCACGCTTCTGAGCCTGTTGGCTGTCAGGGCCGGGCTGCGCCCCATAGGTGCCATGGCAGTCCCCGTGGAATCCCCCAGGCGTCACCAGGCAGCATACAGGTAACAGGCCTGGAAGGTCCCCAACAGCCCAGCTGGACACACTCAGACACTCCAGGGCTTCTCGTTCAGTGGCACAAACACCAGGACCCAGTGAGGGAAATGGGAACACACCAGGCTGAGCAGTATGGCTAAATCCGTTTATTCCAAAATAAAAAGCAAAATAAACAGGAGTCGCATCACCAGGAGCCATGACCCCATCCCCGCCTCCTTTCTCTGTCCTGTGCTAGCAATACATAAGTTTCCCAGCCACAAATAATGATCAGACCCTCCTCCCCATGTGCCAGCTCCAACCTCCTCTAGGTATGATACAGGGGCGGCCCTACCCTCTGGAATATACAAAACGTTACATAGATACAATATGTAAACCGGGAAGGGGGGCCACCCCAGCAGCCCGTGCCCTCACCTGGTCCACAGTTAGCCCCACTGTCCCGCCTCAGCTGCCTCTCTGAATAAGAAGATGGGAGCCCCCCCGAGGGAAAAGTTACTATGGTGAGAGTAAGGAGGCCATCAGACCTCCTCCAAACAAACCACCTCTGCCAGCCTCTGGCTCTTAAATAACAATCATCATCATCCAGAAATTTGAGGACTCAGCCCTGGTCAAGGCGGCAAAGGGTCTGTCTTTCCCCATTAGACAGAGGTCTTGTGTGGCTACCCTAATTGTAAAGGGGTGACTGGGAAGGGGTGGTAGGGTCATGGTGGCAGTGGAGACTCCAGCCCTACTTCTCCAGGCTTTGCTGACAGAGGCCTGCTTTTAATTTTTGTTTTTATCCCATGACTTTTTTTAAAATCCCGTAACTTCTTTTTCATAACTTTTTTTGTAACTTTTCATAAAATTTTTTTCTACTTTTTTGCCACAACTTTTTTACATTTTTTATCCCATAACTTTTTCACTCTGTAACATTTTTTAATCCCGTAACTTTTTTATTTTGTGTTCTTTTAACAAACACTTGCATAGCTATATTACAATTTTGTAAAAATGAAACAGATTATCTCATGCCAAGCGTGCCCAGCATTTGCACACTATCAACACCTTTAATACTATAGTTTTTCAAGACATGCAAAACAAAATTTTAAGTCAAAAACAGCGCTTTGCAACATTTAATAATTTATTACATTACAGTAGCATCACACTAGCAGTCAATAATGCCACTTTAGGCAAAAGTTTTTCAGTATTTCCATTATACCTTCTGTTTACAAGAATTCATAAATTGGTAAAATTCATTCTAAGAAAACTTGGCAAATAAAGCTTTGGACTGGAATTGGCATTTCTTTCTCTACTTTTCCTTTCCACCATTTCTTTCTTTTAAACTATAGCATTCATATTTTAAAATGTTTTATTTCAGAACTTTAAGATAGCAGTTACATTTTTTAATAGTTACATTATTTTTAAATGACTCTTTAAGATAAAGTTTTAGAGAAACTGTATTATGGATAGGGCTGATTTACATTTTCAAATTTTCTAAAAATCAGCTTTGGTTTTAGAACTGATTTCTTTTTTTCATTTCTGGAAAACCTATCAGGTTTAATCAAATACTTTAAAAATAATTATTATATATTGCAATCTTTAAATAGGTGTTTTGATTATTCCTGCAGAAATTCAAATTGATTCAGTTGAACTAGCATTTTAAAATTCTATGTTTCTGATGAACTCTAACCTTCCTTCTAAGCAAATCAAAAGCTGCATTGTACTGAATGAGGAAGAGCACAAATACTTGGCTCAATGAGGTATCGCAAAAGACTGTATGCACTTTGAAGAAAGACAAGTTAGTCATATGATTTCCATTCTTTTTAGCTTTCTCTTAAATATATGACAAATACTTACACAAAGAGTGGTATTTCAGTTAATGTAGTAAATTTATTTCCAGACTGACGTTCAGCTTAAATATGCCAGTATGTGATTTAATCCATAGGCACCTGATGAACACATTATTGTCAGATTGGTTACAGATGCTAAACGCTATCTGAAGGTCATTCGTAGTCATTGATATTTATCAGGGTAAAAGTGAAGTGATTTCAACAATAAAAGTACCTTTGAAATAATTTACCAATGTATTAGATAAACCCAGTTTCAGAATGATAAAGAAAAAACGTTAGGCCAAATAGATGTGGCTAATTAACAGTGGTATGATTTCTAGCCTGAGGGTTTAAAATGGACTTAAAGTAACTGTCTTTAAACTGAACTCAAAGAATGCAAAAGCAGCAAGTTCAGAAAATAAAAGGCAAGAACAGAACTTTAGGTCCATTTTAAACCCATGGGCTAGAAATCGTACCATTGTTAATTAGCTGCATTATTTGGTCTAACATTTTTTCTTTGTCATTCTGAAACTGGGTTTATCTAATACATTGATACATTCATACAATTTGGAAGAGTCAGTTGAAGTCACAAGGACCCAATATTTGCGCTCTTGCAGTGAATGCAGGCAAATCTGTTATTCCATCGGTAAAATCATATTGTTGCTCTCCTGTTAATGTCATATTTAGAAAAGTATCATGAGGACGCCAAATGCTAAAAATGGAGATGGTCTAGTAACTAGAAATCCCCACCCCAGGGAGCGCACATACACATCTCCCTACATCCTAATAATGTGATGTGTTTTGGAACACAGACATTAGAACTTCATGAAGTTTGAACTGTTGAGTCTTTCCCAAGCATCATCAAGTTATGATTTAGGCAATGTATGACTGAAATCATTTGTTCATCATGCATAGGCACAATCACATAAATATTGCACAAAATATGTCCCTAACTGAAACCGAGAGGTACAAAAACATATTTCACTCTTAGTAAACAAGTTTGTCAGGAAATATAACTCTGTGATTGTATAGACACATTTCCTGATAATACATTGACATTCACAAACAGTAGATTGCACTGCAGTTTATAAACATTTTAAATTGCATAAACTTCTCCTTGATTTTCAAATATAATATGCTGTCTATAAAATACTGTCTACTAAAACTCCTTTTTATTTCAACTAAGTACTCTCACTTATATTAGTTTATAATAATGTTTGTTATTATTTTTTAAAGTGTTTTCCATTCAAGGAAAAGAAGTAAATTCCTATGTCAGAGTAAGCAAGGTGGTTGAAGAATAGGTATTAGCCACAGAGGTCTAGATGGTAAAAATCAATCTTCAAGCCTCAAAGAAGCTCCATGAACAGAGAGGAATGCCAGGTGTCACAAGCTTTCCTTCACTCTAATTCATTCTTGACTAGAGCCTGTATGCCTGTTCCAGGGACATTTAAACTCCTAAAGGATTTCTTATGATCTTTACTAAATAAGAAGAATGCCAGCCAGCACTCTTTTGTGTACTGGGACATGTGGTCATGTGATTAAAACAGGTAACATCAACTCTGACTTTAAAATGTATTATAGACACAAATGCTCTAAGCTAGGAAATGTTTTCCACATCTACAGTCAACGAAGGGAGCCTTTCGTTCCTCAGAAATGATCGGTTTTTAGGTCATCGAGAAAGAGTACAACTGCTGCAGCTCATGATGCAATATCTTCATGAGCCCAGAGCACATACAAATCCGAAGGGAACTACCATAGTACAGCGCTAACTGTTGGCACCGGAACAAATGAAACACACTCTATCCTGCACATACCTGCCACGGCAGGCCACTTTCCTCTTCTGTGAGATTTTAAAAGCTCCCCCAAAATGTTATTACTCCCATCGCCAATACACAGAAAATAGGGGAAAGGCTGTTTCCAGTTCTCAGCCTTTAAACAACTCTAAATGTCAGTACTCATAGTGCCATATTACAAAGTAATAAAAAGTGCACACTTGGGGGCAAACCACATATTGAGCTAATGAAGAGGTCACTGTGATTAAGATTAGATCAAACAATAGCAGAACATAAGCAAATTTTATCTGAATTCCGTAATGAATATACATGCTGCAATAACATTAAAAAAGCATGGCAGCCTATTCCAAACCAGCAAGAATAATTTTGTGCAAATAGTGGGTCTTTGTGTATTTGAACTCCCACCACATAAGGGCAAACTCGATATGCATGCTAATGACCTACAACTATGAAACTAAAAAAGAAAAATGCTGAAGGATGCCAGAGTGAACATCAGTGAAAGCCACAGAGACCCACTCTCCTTTAACTTTTTACAAATAAACTTAAACTATAAATTACAAACACAAATAATCATGAGTGGCTCTAACATTCAAGTGAAGTAAATGAATTGGGTAGGAGATGAACCCCATAACTTTTTTTCCTTTTTTAAAATTTCTTGAGCAGCTCTTTGATGATGGTGATGTTTATCTCCTTCTTCTCAGCAGCCAAGCCCAGCGAAAGAATGGCATACGGGAGTTGCTGCACAAGCCTGGGTGCTCCACGCTGTCAGTGAGGCTCACCTCACAAAGATCTTTGGAGAGAAGGAGGTGGGGATCCGAGTGCAGTGAGAGCCTCCCCTGCCCCTGCCTGCCCACCCTGCCTGAGGACTCTACTCACCACCATGCTTGTCAGCACCCACAAGCTCCTGGGGGGCTGGGGCTCCTGGACCAGGCTCATCAGCAAGCTTCAGGGCAGTGGCCGGGAAATTTGCTGTGTCCCTCGTTGTAGTCACCACAAGCCACAACATCGTCTCCAGCAGCTCCAGCAGCTTCACCTGGAAGGGAGGGGTGCTCAGCTGTTATGCATCTACCGGCGCCCACCCTCACGCCCACCCCCACCCCTGCAGAGATGTTGCACACCCTACCTTCATCTCTTCCTTGTCCTGGACCAGCCTGATGATGTCCTCCTCCAGTTGCCGCATCTTTGGTACTGCCCCCTGGCTCTGTTCAAAGGTGATGAACTTTCCTGTGGGAGGACAGGACTCTGACGCTGAGGCCCCTCCAACAGCCCTGCAGCTCCCGCTGCCGTGCCCTGGCCTCCCGCTCACTGATGGCTTCTGTCTTTCCAGTACTGGATGAATCAAAGTTCTAGCTTCTCCACTCGCTCCCTCAGGTCCGCCTTCTCCTCCAGGAGGTCCATAAGGCCACTCTGGAGCCAAAATAATGGGTTCACATCTCGGCAGTGACCTGCCCCACCCCTGCCCTTCTTGGTCCATGCCAGGACTCACTCACCTCCAGCTTCTCCATGACCTCCTGCATAGCCTGGTGGGTCTCCCCACTCACAGAGTCACCCCCAGTCACTGGGGCTGGGACCGCTGCCTCTGGCTTCTTCTGGACTGAGGCCACCAGGTGAGCCATGCGCTGGCAGCACACCCTCTGCTCTTTCACCTGCTCTCGTAACCGTGCCTGCTCCTCCTGGGCATTGGCTCCAGCGGAGTTGAAAAATGCAACCTGAGGGCAAGAGGTGAGCATTATTGTAGAGGCATACACAGAACAAACAGGGCAGAGAGGTGGAGTGCAGCCCCTTCCCTTGGGGTCTCAGAGAGTGCATCTGTTGGTCACAGGTGAAATGGTGTCTGACCACTGGCTCCCGGAAAGGGTGAGTGTCCAGAGAAATCAGAAGGCAGGGAAACCAAGAGCATAAAGGGGTCTTGGAGGGACCACAGAGGGAGGTGGCAAAATGGGTACAGGGGGAGTCAGGCTCACCGTGGCCTCCCAGCTCTCCAGGTGCTCCGGGTTGCTCGGCATGGGCCGAGGTGCCTCCTCCTCCTCACTGTCCAGATGTCCTCCTCCATCTCCTGTGGGGGGTGGCCAGAAGGGTCCTCAGACAACCCAACAAGGGGGGTACTGTGGGCCCACCGCTGCCTCCACCCTCACTGTGTAACCCTGAGCCAGCCACTACCCAGAGAGAAATGAGCTGCTGTTCTTTATTTTTACTTTTAAGAACCAAGATCAGGCATAATCCCACTACGGTCAGTGCGGGAGTTCTGACCTGCTCCCTTTCTGACCTGGGCCAGTTCAGCCATCCTTAGGCAACTTGGTGGCCCCCTGCTCCCAGGAGGTCACCATATTGATGCTGAACTTAGTGCGGGCACCCGGTCGGCATAAGGACCAGCTGTTCTAAAGGTCTCTTCCATCTCCTCAATCCTATGCTGCTAACAGTCCCCACTTCCTCCTGGAGCTCTCTCCTCTTCCTCTGGGCAGTCTCCCTTACCTTCCCCAGGGAGAGCCATGAGGCTCAACTGGGCCTGTAGGGGCTGGTTTTGCTGGCTGGCAGCTTCCAGGCACTCCTAAGGGGCCAGGAAAGGGTGAGAAGGCACAGAGTTTGCCAGGTTGTCCCCCTTAGGGCCCCAGCCTCAGCAGCTCCCTCCCCTGGGTCTCCTGCAACTTTTGGCGGGCCAGGTCGGCTATCGCTTTGCCTCGAGCTTCCTGCTGATGCAGCTGGTTCATTAGCTGGGTCTGCTGCAGTAACTGGCTGTGCAGTGCCTCCTCAGAGGTCAGCTGCTGATAGGCGGCCACCTGCTCCTGACAGGTGGCCACATACTGCTGCAGGTGACCCAGGTAATAATCTGGGTGCTGCTGCAGACTCTGAGCCTCTCGGCTCTTCAGCTCCACCTGCAGGAAGACCCTGGGTGTGAGGGCTTGTGGTTGCTGGCTTCCAGATTCTGGGCCCATTAATAGGGTAGTGAGGGCATTGTGGGGCTCTGTCGCCTGCCCAGGCCCCTGGCCCCTTGCTCCAGGCCTAAGTGACTGCCTCCTTTTCCTAGAACCCCATGCCTCCTTCCCCAGCCTCAAATCTCATATCCTCTTCTCACCATTTAAACTGTAGGCCACAGACTGGTGGAAAAGCACTGGGAGCCAACCACCATCTGCTAATGCTTTCCAAGTATTATCTCAGTTAATCCTCAGCACGTCTGTAAGGAAAATGTTAACTTCCTTCTGAAGTTAAGTGAACAGAGACTTAGAGATGCAAAGTACTTGAATGGTGACCAGTGGAACCGAGGCTGGAATCCAGTTTTAACCTAAGAAGCCTTTTTGTTTTGTTTGGAGACAGAATGTCACTCTGTGGCCCAGGCTGGAGTGCAGTGGTGCAATCTCAGCTCACTGCAATCTCCACCTCCTGGCCTCAAGTGATTCTCATGCCTCAGCCTCCTGAGTAGGTGGGATTACAGGTATGTGCCATCATGCCCGGCTAATTTTTTTTTTTTTGGTAATTTTAGTAAAGATGAGGTTTTACCATGTTGGTCAGGCTGATCTCAAACTCCCGACCTCAAGTAATTCTCCTGCCTTAGCCTCCCAAAGTGCTGGGATTATAGGCGTGAGCCACTGCACCTGGCATAAGGAGCCTCTTATACCACTGTCTCTTCCCCTGTGACTGGGGCCTCCATGCCGCTAGCTGAGATGATGATGTCTAGACCTGGGAGGAGCCCAGGGCTACCCACCTCTAAAAGTCAGAAGGCAGGAAGCAAGAAATAGTCACAGGACTGCCCTGGAGGGTGCTGAGGTCACCTGCCCACAGGCTAGTGCTGCCTCTGGCCTGGCACCTCCCCTCCCAACAGGCTGGTGCCCGCCTCCCAGCCCTTCTTGGATGGGGCAGAGGTTACTGTCTCCTTCACCTCGCCAAGCTTCTCCTGCAGCTCCTCTACTTGCTGCTCCAACTGCAGTGCACTTTTGTTCTTGTTCTGGACAGAGAGAAGCAATCAGCAGCCACCCATTGCAGCTGGAGACCCCAGAACTTGGTGTCTGCCTCCCATGGCACCGGGAAGGGTGGAGGCAGGTTAGAAAAATCATCCCGTCTCCCACAGCCACCAGAGCACGGCTCTGGCTCACAGGTGCCTTTAGAAGTAACGTTTCACTTGAGGGCTACACTGCCCCATTTTACAGGTGGGGAAACAAAGGCCTGGAGGGCTAGGGAGGAGGGCAGGCTCCCTAGGTGGGGCAACGCACCAGCTCCTCGAAGCTACTCTGTGGCTCGGCCAGCTGCTGAGGCCTCGCGTCCTGCTCCCGAAGCCTCTCATCCTGCTCCTGAAGCCTCTCCTTTTGCCCCAATATCAGGACACTCATGCGCTTATTGTTGTCCACCTGGGCTTGGAGTTCTGCTGCCACTCTCTCAACCTCCTTCCTCAGGTGCTGCAGCTCCACCTCAGAGGGCACTCCTGGAGGCTCCGGGAGCAGGGGTTCAGCTGAGAAAGGAAGCAGACAATAAAGGCCTCTGGATTCTCAAAAAAACAAACAAAAGAAAAACCCTCCTCTTGGTGCACAGCTCCTCTCAGGCTCCCCGAACTTGGCCTCACTGCTACTGATTCCTCACACCCAGATGGTAGCCAATCTTCCAAGCCACTTTCAGATAGAGAGCACTGTGGGTGGCTGACAACGGGCCCTCTTTGCTGATGGGGACACTGAGGATCATGGAGATGACAAGACTTGCTGTCTCTGGCACAGACCTCTTTCCTTCTGCCTCAAAGCCCTTCCATTGACCCACCTCTCTGGGGCATTCTAAGCCACTCCCACAGCCCTCTGATGCCAGTCCTGCTCCCAGGTCATGCCAGCCCCATCTTACCCATCTGGTTTTTGAGTTTGGACAAGCTCCTCTCCAGCTTCTCTCCCCGATGTGTTTCATACTTCTCCTTCTTCAATGTGTGAACCTGCCCAAACCACAGGGGTAAAGAGCCCTGGAGAGAGGGGCTGGTGGCTGGACAGGCTGCCATCTCCCTCTCTGCCCCCACCTCCACAAAGCCCAGACCCAGGACCACCTCTGGCTGTACTATTCCCATTTTACAGATGCCCAGAAAGATCCAGTGACTTATCTAAGGTGGGGGGTTGAAGGGTCAGATCTCACCTCCTGCGACATTTTCCTCATCCTCTGCTGCTCTGCTGCCACTGGGCCCTCTCTTCTTTTATATGTTGAGCATATTCATCTCTCTCTAGCCGGATTTGTTTAAGCAACTCCTTCAACTGCAAGAATGGGCACAGAAGTTAGGAAGGGCTGTCACTGGTCCTCAGCTGCTCCTGGCCACCTGGCTCATCTTCCTTCCACATCCCTCCCACTGCAAAACCTCACCCATGTAGTGTGTGCATTCAGCAGTGCCTGCTCCTGTATGGACCACTCTAACTACCACTCGATAACTGCTTTACTGCGGCTCAAGGTCTGAAGGTGAAGAGTGAGAAGTTTCGATCTGGAGAGCCCAGGCCATTCCACACAGTGCCCCTTAAAAGGCCTGGGCTAGGCTCAGTATACAACTTTGTCAGTAAAGATCAAGGCCTTTCCAAGCTCGTGGTATGGTTTTTTAAAAGAACTCAGTCAAGTTGGAAGGGACAGGGAAAGAGATTGAATTTACAGCTGGCTAACAGAGGCCCAGAGAGATCAGATAATATTGCTTTGTAATTACTGTTATTGCTACCACTGTTTGAACATTTATGGAGTGCTTCACCAGATACCATGCTGGCAATCCCATTTAATCCTTGCAACCACCATAGGAGACAGTTACTATGATTACCTCTATTGTGTAGATGAAAACACATGGAGTATTCGAGGTTAAGTGCTTGCCTAAGATCACTTAGGCAGAGCTGGGATTTGAACACCCAGGTCTATGCAATTCTCTAAGCCCATTTTTCTTGCTGGGGGTAGGGGCATAGATTGGAAGGGGAAAATTAATCTTTTGTTCACTTTTTGAATGGATGATACATTCGCATAGTCCAAAACTCAGAAGGTACAGAAGGGAAGTATCTCCCAGCCACCCTGTTGCTCTCTCCTGAGTTTTTTATGAACCCTTGCACACATGTTTTATGTATATTATCATAGTACGTGCACACACACACACTCATGTTTCCTCTCTCTACAGAAATGGTAACATATTAAAGGTACTCTTCTGTACCTTCACAGTAGAAGTACCTAATACCCTATGTAGGACTTGGCCAACACCACAGCCAGGTAAGGGCAGGGCAGGCACTTGGCCTCCAAGCTCTGCGTCCAGTGCTTGCTCCCCACAGTGGCCCCCAACTCACCCACAGCAGCTGACTCAGCCCCAGGCTGCTCTAACAACCATACACAAAAGCAGCGGGAAATGGCCATGCTGCATTCTGGGCAGGACAGTCCATCCTGCAGAAGGGAACTTTAGGCTCACTCCTCCATCTAGGAAGCCAAGCTGCCAGGGGATGGGGCAAGTGGCTGAACTCACACTGTCCTCCTTCTTCTCCTGTGTGGTGGTGACAGCAAAGAGAGCCCGCTCTAACTCTGCTATACGCTGCAATGAATGTTGCAGGCGAATGGCCAGACCCTTGGACTCATCTGTAATGAGAGATTTGAGATGGGACCCAAAGGACTCTCCCTAAAGACATGTCAAAGTGCCAGGCGGAAAGGTGACAGGGTGCCCAGATTCCTACCTTCAAAATACTTGAGAGAACGTTTCGTATGATATAGGTCCATATTTAGTTTCCCTTTCTGTGTGTTCAATCTCTGGATTTGAACCTTTGGGAGAAAAGCCAAGCAAGTGCTGAAAGAGAAGGAAAGAAACATTCTCTGGAGGACAGGAGGGAACTGCACACCCTCCACTCACCTCTAGCTCCCTTTCGGCTTTCTGTTTCTCATTGTTTGCTTTCTTTTCCTATAGAAAGAGGAAGACAGAGCTCTTACCAGGGGGAGGCAGAGATGGCACAGCAAGAGACATGCCCCCAGAATGCCACCAATGCCCCAGGACAGGCCCATCTGTGGGACCAGGTTATCAGGGACCCTGTAGAGATGGGGTGGAATCTGAGGGGTGAGCCTTCTTTCCCAGGCTGGGAGTGGACAAGATGAGACTGGGGCCTCTACATCTGAGTGCCCCCCAAACCCAGCAGTCATGTCATGAGCAAACACAGAAATCACGTTACTTCTTCCAGCTGATGTTCCACTTGTTTCTTCTGTTGCTCCTGTGGGGAGAGTCAAATTAAGGTGATGGAGGGTGGCCCCCTCAGCTCTATTCCCCAGACCAGGAAGTGGTAGGCAGGGACCAGGAATGGATTTTAAAGGCAAAGTTCTCAGACCCAATGGGAACATGAACTGGTAAACTCTCTTCAAGCTCCCAAGGACAGAGGATTTGGGTCTTTGTTGGCTTTCACCTACAGCCACAAAACTCAAAGTCGGAATCTGGAATCTCTTGAGAGGAGAGTAACATAAACCTCTAGAGATGGAGTTTGAGAAAGGCCCCTCCTTCTGCCAGCTTGTGATTTAGAAAAGTGCGTTCATTCAATAAATATTTACTGAGCCCGTACGGGCCAGGTACGGTTCTTCACAGCAGATATAGGGTGGAAAAGGACTGACAGGAGCCCTTGGCCCTGAGGTTTCCATTCTAGGGGGCCTTTAAATCTCGGACTTTCAGAGCTGACAGAGACCTTTGATACTCACTACCTCCTCTCAAAACACAAGCCCAAAAAGGAAAGGTGGCTTGTCCAGAATCAAAGAGCAAATTAGGGACTGAGTCATGGCAGAAATACGGGGCCGCTGAAAACCAGTCAGGCTAGCACTTCCCCGAGAGGCAACAACCCCAGGGCGTGTGTAGCAAGGACTCGAGCAGGGGTGTCTGGAGAGGAGAGAGTCGGCAAAGAGGGCAGCAAAAGAAGAGCCATGCTGCATGTTCTGGGGTCCCTCCAGGTGAGGCCTGGATGCCCCAGCTCCCTATTTGCCCTTGGCACCAGGGGCCCCCAGCCCCTTTCTTCAGGGCCCCAAGGGGAAACGAGCCCAGGATTGGCAGCGTGGAATTGGGGGACCCCACTGGACTCTTACCAAAGATTTGATGGTGTTCTTCAGTTGACTGATTTTTACAGACCTGGAGTCTGGGACTACTGCTGGTTCTTGGCATGGGCTCTGAGGCACATGCAGCGAGGAGGAGGTGCAGGAGGAGTGGAGTAGGGGAAGAGGTAGAGAGAACAATCATTAGGGCTGAGGTGTGTGTGGACTGTCTCAGGAGGCAGAGGGGCACCTAGTCCCCGCTGTGGGAGGAGGTTGGAGGGCTGGCCTGCAGGGTCACTGCACCTCCGCCCAGAGCCTCTTACCTCCAGATCCTTCAGGGTAGCAGATGATGTAGGGCCCTCCCCATGGACACCTGGTGCTGACTACAAGAGATGAGAGTGCACGTGGAGATGTTCTTTCCCCCTTAGTGTCTAAGCCCTCTGACTTCCTTTCTTCCCCATCAACTGGCAACATTTTCTTTTCTGCCTATCTTGGACCCTTTCTCCCAAAACTCCTTTGTGCCAACTTCTCTCATGGTTCTTATCTCCCCACCATCCCACCCTGGGGCCCTTTCAGTGACTCCTGATGGCAAGTGGCTGTTCTCATTGTCCTGGCTTCCCCTTGAGACTGGGGATGAGGAAAATCAAACAGCAATGACCATATCCTGGGTGTCCTCAGTGTTTACAGCAGGCCATGTACTAGGGATTAACATAAAAACAACAATAACAAATCTCATTTAAACTTCACAAAAGGAAGTCAAACAATACCACCTCTATCATACAGATGTGAAAAGAGAGGCCCAAAGAGCTCAAGCAACTTGCCCTAGCAGATGGAGAGGCAGGATTCAAACCCAGAATTCTTAACCAGTACCTAACAGTCCATCCACAATCCTAACAATTATCCTCTACTGCCCCTTGGGTCCCCTGTCCCCAGGAGCCTGGCCAGCCAAGACTCACATCCCCAGGTGAGTGGCCACCACCAGAGGTGGCTGTCTCAGGGCCACTGCCATTTGTTTTCCTGTTCCTCTCTGCTCCTGCTGGAACACCAGGGCTGTTTCTCTGCCAATATTCTTTTAACTGTGGGAAAGAAGAGCAGTAATACTCATGAGAACTATCAGCCACATCCTCCTTTATAATTTTTACAAAATACTCTTATACACCATCTGATTTAATGACACCAACAACTGTACAAGGTGTTGTCACAATCATTTAGTGACTGAGAGGGATTGATATCATGGCTAGAAAAAAAAGAAGAAAGGAAGGAAGAGACAGAGAAAGAAAAAGAAAGAAAAAGAAAAAAAGAAAGAAGAAAAGAAAAGAAAGAAGGAAGGAAGGAAAGAAAGAATAAAGAAAAGAAAGAAAGATAGAAAGAAAGAAAGAGAAAAAGAAAGAAAGAAAGAAAAAGGCAATACTGGAACTTTGAAACTCAGCCTTCTGACTCCATGCTCTGGGGTTTTGCCAAGAATTAGCAGCTGCCAGAGACCAAAACCAGAGGCAGAGGTAGAAAAGTAAACATTAAGTAGGCAGGAACTGTATGCCATGTGGTTTAGAGTCATACATCCTCACACGTCTGTTAGTGTGAAGAAGTGCACCAGTACCTCTCAAACTTTTATATCAATGTGTCCTCATGGCAGAAGGCAGCCTTTCTGTTAAATCTGGGAATTTATCAGAAAGAGGACAGCCCAACCCTCATTTAAGAGAGAAATCTGGTATATTCTTAGAAACCTATGTGACTGTCATCCATAAGTACATTAATGCTTTTTCTCATGATCTCAGGAGAATCAAGGGAAACTGATGCTTCAGGAAGATGTCCCACAATTATCCTGTGGCACTCAAAGTACCCCAGGTTGAGATAATATGAGGAAGATTCAAGCTGTCATGTTCATTTTACCAAGATCTATTCCACAGAAGATGAGCCAATCTCACTTCGGAGACCACTGAATGAAGGGCAGTCTGGTCCCAGAACCATGGAGAATTAGAATATGAGGTGGAGAATTCAGGAAAAAAATGTTAAAATCTCTCTGGAAAGTAGAAGCCTGGGAGAAAAACCAAACCCAACCCATTCCCCCACTGCCAACCAGAGATACTGTGAACATTTTATGCTCATGGGGAAAGTGTAGGCTTTTCCCACTGTCAATGTCTATGTTAAGAGAGTAAGGCAGCCTGAAACCTCTTGCTCCTAGGTCCCATAGTCCATTCCCCTTCCAGCTGGAAATTTGTGCTGTGACCAGAGGAACCAGAAATGGGGAAAGAATGCTTAGGGGCTGGGTCATAAGATCAAATGCTGGTCTTGCAGTAATGACAGTTCCTAGGCAGACTGTGACATCACTACATTCCACTCCTCCTGGTGGGGTGGAGGGACCACATCAGCACGATGTCTGAGTTGCCGCTCTACAACAGGGGAGGGAAACACAGGGTTGGGACCCAGGTCTTTGGAGACACCAGCGCAAAGAGCCCAGGGAGGTCGACCTTGAGGCAGCAGGAGGGGAGGGCACAGTCTGCAGCAGGGAGCCCCAGGAGTCACCAGCCCAAAGTCACCCAGGGATGACTGACGAGGGTGGGGCCAGGGGCTGGGGGACCCAGGTCCTTGGAGATGCAAGCCCAAAGAGCCCAGGGAGGTTGAGCTTGGGGCGTCTGGAGGTGAGGGCCCAGTAATGGAGTGGGGATCCCCAGGACTCACCCGCCCAAAGTCAACCTGGGGCAATTGGTGAGGGCAGGGACTGGGCTGCTTGCTGAAGGAGTGGGGCTGACTGACAAGACTTTGTTGGGGGAACCCCAGAGGTGCCACAGTTGGGGGGCCCAGTCCAGTGTGCCTCAGGAGTGGTATGGACTCTGGCAGTGGTCTTGTCGTCAGAGGGGATCTGTGGTTGGGTTGGCGGGCCGTGATCTGGTGCGTTTTTACCTTTTTCTTTGCTGCGGCCAATTTGCTCTGTTGAGTTTCTTCTGCCATCGCGGGGTGGGGAGGGAGGTGGGGTGGGGAGGGAGGCGGGGTTGGGGCCACGTGAGCGAAATCCCAGGGAGCACTGATGAACACCTCCACTTGCCTACCAGGCAGCTGTGTGACTGAGCCAGAGGAGGTGTAACCAGGGCCCCAATAGAATGCAGAACAGGGGCGTGGCCTTAATGCTCCAAGCCCATTGGTCAGTGACAAAGATGAAAGGGAAAGGGGGCTTGGCCAGGCAGCAGTATGTCCAGAGGGCCCTGTGGCTCACAAGGAAAGCTGCCCATGCAACTGCTGTCCCCGCCCACTCTAAGAGAGTGGAGGGACCACCCACTCTGGGACAGGGGAGGGGCTGGCTTTTGCTTTAAAAGTTTTAAAACTTTAAAAAATGTATGTGTGCATACTTTATATATATGTGTGTCTGTGTGTGTGTATCTATGTGTTCCTCCAGAGCTGTCTTCATTATCCAGCTTCTATGCAAGGTCTATGATTTTGGCCTATATTTTTCACCTTCAAACACAGTACAAAAATTACCAGTATTACCATAAATGAGATAAAGATCCTATAAAAATGAAAAATTCATAGCACGCTTGATGATTAATGAAGCAGACTATATTATCCAACATTCCAGTAAGATAAAATAATCACAATAGTTTCTCTTTTTTGGAAAAACGTTTCTCTTATTCTCCTATGTTACTGTTAAAAAGTTTTTTCTTAAACAAGAAACATGTCTAATATCTGTAACAACATAAAGATTTTGGGCCAGATGCGGTGGCTTGCGCCTGTAATCCCAGCACTTTGGGAGCCTGAGGCGGGTGGATCACCTGAGGTCAGGAGTTCGAGACCAGCCTGGCCAACATGGTGAAACCCCATCTCTACTAAAAATACAAAAACTAGCCAGGCATGGTAGTGGGTGCCTGTAATCCCAGCTGTTCAGGAGCTGAGGCAGGAGAATCACTTGAACCTGGGAGACGGAGTTTGCAGTGAGCCAAGCTCACACCACTGCAGTCCAGCCTGGGTGACAGAGTGAAACTTCATCTCAAAAGAAATAAAATAAAATAAAATACAAAATAAATTTAAAGAGCTTTCAATTTAATAAGCACTCAAAGCTCTTTACCGGTTTAAAACAAATACAAGGCCCATTTTTCTAGAATCACCTGGCCTTTCTAAGCCTTGCAAATGAAACTGAATTTCTCACTTGATACTTGCCTGTGACTTGCAATCATGAAAACCAAGAATTGTGTTATGTCACTGTGTACTGCTTGTTACCTGAAATCCACACTAGGCTGGGATCAAGGGTTGAATCTTTCAGATTTGCTCCATAACCTGTGTGCTTCTTATCCCAGACCAAACCAAGTTTTTGTCTAGAGTTCTGCAATTTATAGTTAGTAGAGAAGAGTAATGTAGTCTCTGGACTAGCAGCACCAGCAGCACCTGAGAACTCTTTATAAGTGCAAATTCCCAGGCCCTACCCTGGACCTGGTGAATCAGAAACTCTGGAGTAGGGATCAGCAATCTTTGCTGCAGTAATCCCTCCAGCTGTTTAAGAACCTCTGCCATACAGCAGGTAGAAAAATGTGTTTCCTTCTGTAGGTCCAAAGCCAGGGATACCATATGTTCTGTCTTGATACGAAACAATGACATCCAATTAAAACATATAACACATAACTCTCCTTCCTACTCCCACCCTCCATCCAATGTGTTTTATTTTTATGAGTTCCATAAGAAAACAAGTGGCAATCAGAGGTTTACTCTAAAAAGTATGTTTACAAGTATCAGTTCTCATCCAGCCTGATCTCATACAAAACCATTTACATCCTCTTACTGCTAAAGCTTTAAAAAAGTATCTTCACAATGTAAGACTCAGGCACACTAGGAGTTCTGTAATAAAACACCAAGTAGAATGGAATGTCCAAACTTACTAGAGAAGAAAAGTGGAATCATTGGCTGTATTTTCAAATTGCATTCAAAGGAAATTTAAGTTCTGAATTTGTTCACCTTCATACTTCCAAGTTAATAGAATTCAACCAGAACACTCCATTCCTTCAAAGCCTCTAGCCTGGCAAAGTTTTACTGTATTACTTCTTACTTTCAATGGATATAAAGCAGAGTCCTGGTAGGCACATTTTGTATACCTGCAAAGATGCAGAACTAAACAGTTCCATCTCTTCCATATTAAAACAAAAGTCCTGTAAACCTTGGGTGTTGAGTGTAATACTTCAGCACTAGCACCAAAGCCTCAAATAAGAAAAGATACCAAGAACACCACTAGTGAACAAAACTAAACTCTCGGCTGGGAGCAGTAGTTCGCACCTGTAATCCCAGCACTTTGACAAGCCAAGGTGGGAGGATTACTTGAAGTCAGGAGTTCAAGACAAGCCTAGGCAGCATAGCGAATTCACATATCCACAGAAAATTTTAAAAAATAGCTAGGTGTGGTGGCGCACATCTGTAGTCCTAGCTACTCGGCAGGCTGAGGTGGGAAAATTGCTTCTGCCCAGGAATTTGAGGCTGCAGTAGCTAAGACTATGGCACTGCACTCCAGCCTGGGTGACAGAGCAAGACCTAGATAATTACATTATCTCCTGCTCCTGTTTACATTAAAATCACCAAGTTAAAATGCTTTGAAATTTGACAGGATAAAAATTAAGTGAAATGTGACTCTGGAGTTTGGAGAGAGAAAGAAAGAAGGAAGGAAGGAAGGAAGAAAGGAAGGAAGGAAGGGAGGGAGGGAGGGAAGGAGGGAGGGAAGGAGGGAGGGAGGGAAAGAAAGAAGGAAGGAAGGAAGAAGGGAGGGAAGGGAGGGAGGGAGGGAAAGAAAGAAGGAAGGAAGGACAAAAGGAAAAGGAAAAAGGAAAGGAAGAAGGAAGGAAGGAAAAGGAAAGAAAGGAAGGAAACGAAGGAAAGGAAGGAAACAAAGAAAAAAGAAAAGAAAGGAAAGGAAAAAAAGGAAAGGAAAGGAAAAAAAGGAAAGGAAAGGAAATGAATTAATATACATCCAACCATTAAAAATGATGACGCCAGAAAATACTGCCACAGAAATATGCCCAAAATATAGTAAGTGACAAAAGGCTATCTATTAAGATTCTACTTTTTAAAATGTTTACATGCATAAAAAAGTATAAAAAGCAACAAACCAGAATGTTTTGAGCGGCAGAGATTTTTCTAATATTTGTCATCCAAATTATTATAATCAGGGAGAAGTGTTTTCATTTATTTATATTTAAATCTCTTTTCTTTTTCTTATTTTTTCTCCCATATGTATCCCATGTAGGCTAGAATCCCCGCCTCTTGAGGGAAACCAGCCCATTTTTGGAAAGTGCCCTACATAAAGCTGCCCATCTTCCTTTGAAGAGATCTGGAGACATTTTTGTTTCAAATTGTTTTATTGTTCTCAGTATATATATGTTTTTAATATATGAAATTGAGGAAAAGAGAAAGGAAAGGCTGACTCCCTACCACCCTCTTGGGGCTACTCTTCCAATTTTTGCTGCTATTATTATGTATTAATATTCACTGGGTACTAAGAAGATGGGCAACCCCTTAGATCCTTTTTTCTTATCTCTTTCTCATAATCCTACTTCATTCCTTCATTCACTTATTTTTAAAAGGGTCATATGTACAAATATATAGTCCAGAAAAATTTTAAATATAACTATCTATAAAAGTATGTGACAAAATCCCATTCACAGTCTTATTCTCCTTCCACAGCCACTTTTAATTCATTTCTTGTATATCATTTCAGAATTTATCTTTGCAAATACACATGTATATTCTTATTCTACCCTTCTCTCTCAACACAAAAAGTAGCATACCACACATACGATACCATTCCTTCTCCCTTTTAAAAAAACACACAGAATACATCCAAGTTCTAGGTGAGTACAGAGTCTTTCTCATTCTTCTTTTCAGCTACACAGTATGCATCATTTGGATGTACCTCAGTTTACTTAACCAATTCCCTTTTGGCAGACACTGAAATCATCCCTATCATACTATTACAGGCAATAATGCCAAGCATAACCACCTACACACACCAAGTTCATTGCTGAATCTGCCTTTGATGAAGCCTCTGTTTGAATCACCATAACGTCACAAGGCTGAAAAGTTAGCCCCTTTTTTAGTTTTCATTATGTACAGCAGTATGTAGCAAAAGACTCCCTCGGGCAAAGGAAATGTACTCTTTGGGGATTTACTTCATAACAATAAATGGATAAACAGAACACCAAGGAGAACTGTTTATATTTAACCATGAACATGTATGTATACAATACATGCATACGCATAGAAAGTATAAAATAAATAAATTCATCAAAGCATTAAGCATTGTCTCAGTATGGTGGATCTAGGGAGTGCTTTGTAGACCGCCCTCTTTGCCTATCCTTTCTAATTTCACAACGGTAAATACGTATACTTTTGCAATATAAAATTTCAAAAAATGTTAACTCAAATTAAGCTGCATGTAGCCCTTCGGTCTGTCCTACATTTGTATGATGCTCCAGAGTGCTCAAATAACACTTCATAAAAAAATTTATTTCTTCAAAAACTTACTTTTGTGAAGATTTCTGTGAATGTCTATGTGTTAGATATTCACTATGTGAACATCAAAGTGAAGAAGCTCAGGCATTTGCATGCTTGACTCATAAGGAGACTCGAAATGTGGAGCTGGAGGGTGAAATAAGGGCTCACCTGTTCCCAGACTTGCCACAATAGGTGGTTCTGTTTTTACAGAAAGTGAGTGATGCAGAAATATTTTGACAGCTCATTTGTTCAATCATTGTGTTCCTTTGGACTTAGATTCCAGATAATTGGGACCCTCTTAGCTGGTGGCTAGCATGAATGAAGTATTGTTGTAAAAATGCGAACGAAGGTACATATATGAATGGAAGCGTATTTTGCCCAGAAACCATCGGTTTGGGATTCTGAAAGATCAGGAATGAAATGCTAGGCCCATAACTTCCTCCAGTGTGATCTTGGACATATTACTCCTTCTGTATTTATTTTAGATTTTTCAACCTTAAAATGAGTACAATAATATCATCTTAATCTTTCCTTTCACTTCTATCCGCTTCTCTTTCTAGGAATATTTATTGGAAGTTTGTTCTCTTTCCACTTGGCTGGCTGCTTTAAGATACAAGTTGAGTAAAACCAGTGCTACTCCTGGTCTGCTGGGAATTTCAGGCTAGTAAGGTTGTTATGAAGATTAAATAAGATAACATAAGTAAGTTAGTTCATGTGCAGTGTTTCAATAAGTATTGAGACCCTTTCTTCTTCTGAAAGGTTTATGAATCTCTTAGGGCATTCTATTCAGAAGATCCAAATACCTCTTGCCAGTTGCCCAAATAGAACAACTTGTTCAGAGCCTAGGAGAGCAGGGTCAATAGATGAATACTTTACAACACCTAAGAAGTTTAACAGACACTTAATTCTGGTCTTTAAATGACTTTATTTTGTTGCTTATTTGTAGATGACTATATAGAGTGACAAAAAAGTGGAATACACTATCCGAGCTATAATAAGATAGATCTTGTAAGTGTAAGCATTTTAGACATCAACTCAGTATAAATTTTGACTTGAATGGAAATGTTATGTCTGAGGGTTCCCAGTTTTGCTAATGACACACTTAATTGACAATATAATTGTGACACTGAAGAGTGTGAAATTAAAATCTTAAGAAGTATGCAAACTAATAGCATGATTCTCTGTGTGAACAAAGCGGTTTAACTGAATAGTACCTTATTTATGATTGGCTTTTCATACCTAGATAATTCTGTCTGGTATCTAATGGAAAAACTGATCTAAAAATGATTAACGACCATTTGCCACTTTAATAAAAATTGTCAAAAACAGATATTGATGATATTTCTAAAAATTATTAAGGGGAATAGAGCAGCATTTCACAACTAGATTCCAAGGATTGTGGTCTGGACAGCACAAACCACATATTTTCATCCATTGTCTAGATCTTTATTAGGTCTAATGCATTTATAATATTTTTGCAAGCTTATATTTTTAATTATTGCTAGTACCTCAATGCCCAATACAGATGATACAACTAACCAGTAACCAATAAGATACAGACTTTGAGTTTTGTGTTTCAGGAGTTATGGGTTGCAGTGTTTTTATTTATACTCGGTGACACTGTTTCTCTTCAGCTCCAGTGTAGTGATTGAAGCCTTCTACCAGGCAGAGGACTAGGTGACTAAGTATGTATGGCATGGGCCGCAGAATAGACAAGACTTAGTCCTGTGCTTTTGGACTAATGGTCTGGTGTGCTGACCAAATAAGCATTTCAACACAAGTGATTCTCATCAGTATCATGATGTGTTCTCTTAACAGATTGAGAATTTTATTTTTCAAATAGGAAATGGCTAATTTATTTTAAACTATGTATCATATTATACTTTCAAATTCCAAACAGTATCTTAAAATGATATGAATAATTAAGTTTATAATTTAGCTTTAAAAAGCTATGTAAATTTTATATTGACACTGATGGGATAGAAATCTACATTGGAACTTTTAATTCCTTTATGTTTTTATAGTGTCATCATAATACAATAAAATTACTGCTCTATTGCATTGGAAGTATATGCTCATTAAGGAAATGGCCAGGAAAAAAATATTCACGTACTCAGGGAAATTTTAACATGAGATATTTTGCCTTAGTGTGTATATCACTTGAACTTCCTTTGAACTCTGTGCACTACTTGCTATTTATGACAAAGAAAGCCATTGCTCACAAAGTATTGGGTTTGCCTTTGAAGCGGTATCAGGAGATCATTGACAAAAGGCAGGGCTGAGATTAGATGTTGAGGGTTATTGCCTTGCTATAGTCCCAAAGCTATGTGAAATGTCAGCTAATTGAAAATGGTAATTATTCTAAATAACAGCATAAACTGTTTCTTTCTAGGATATGTGTTGCTTTCAAATTAATAGCCATTGATCTGTGTTTTTTTTTTTTTTTTTTTTTTTTCACCATCCTTCTCTGTCCTTTTGTCAAATTATCTAGCCATCGGTCCTTGGGACAAAACCCGTTGCACCATTTATATTGACCATGGTTTAATGAGTGACCTGGTCTTCCTGTTTGCATAGATTGTAATAGGCCCACCCACCTGAGAGTCTGTCAGCCAGACTGAGATGTGTAACCTCTATGTATAACTTAGTTTCTAAGTGGAAAGACTTTAAAATGGAAACCAAGTAATTGTGTTACAGTGGCCATTTGCATTTATTTCAGATACTGGTCGGGAGAAGTCCTATTAATCACAGTCATAATAGATCTTCAAATTATGACCTACTGAGCAAGGTCATCCTGTATGAGATGAATAATATATATTCAAAATGTTCAGCTTGCTTCTAATGGGCAGTACTTTGTACCAAATGGTTTTGAGGGAAATACGTACAGTATAATTTTTCAGACAAAGAATTAAAATTCCTAGTTGTGATGGTTAAAAAAAAAACCCTCTAAAGTAGAAATTAGAAATACATATTCTCCATAGCTATAAAATGAGCCACAAGTACACTTTGATTCTGTAAAATTGAGTTACTTTGGAAAATATTTCAGAGTAACCTAATCCCAAATCAAGGCTCTCTATTGGAATTGGTAGACAACCCAAAAATACTTGGGCTTGATCTGTTTCAACAAAGTGAAGAAGACAGGAAGAGTATGAGAAATTATTCAAATATATTCAGAAAAAATATCTGCTGAGGTTGGAAAACTAATATACAGTGATTACAGAAAAGTTATACTCCATCCGTAGATCAAGCCTTGCCACAAAATCATAAAACCAATTTTCTTTTTGAGTGTGAAGGAAATGAGTACCTGTCTTTCTAATTGTAGTAAAAATAGTACCATTAGTGCTTCCTCTAACTTTTTTTTTTTTTGAGATGGAGTCTCGCTCTGTCACCCAGGCTGGAGTGCAGTGTCACGATCTCGGCTCACTGCAAGCTCTGCCTCCTGAGTTCATGCCTTTCTCCTGCCTCAGCCTCCCGAGTAGCTGGGACTACAGGTGCCTGCCACTGCGCCCGGCTAATTTTTTGTGTTTTTAGTAAAGACGGGGTTTCACTGTGTTAGCCAGGATGGTCTCAATCTCCTGACCTCGTGATCTGCCCGCCTCAGCCTCCCAAAGTGCTAGGATTACAGGTGTGAGCCACCATGCCAGGCCAACTTTACTTTTAACTAGTAAATTGTAACCAGGAAGTATACTCACAAACTGTGGAGCAAGGACACAGGAACAAATGTAGCATTGAAAATAAACAGTAGAAGATAGTGAATCTGACACATTTAATAATGAGCAAATGCTGTTGTGTTCCACAATATTTAGGCACACCTATGCAAAAAATCACTTCAGGAAACCACGGCTTTACATCTTAGGAAGCAAAAGTGGAGGGAAAGGGTTGGCAGTGAAGAACAACTTGTACACATGCCTTGTTAAAGCAATTCCACATAATCTTATTCCATTTCAAACCAAGACTGTTTAGAATCTTACGTCCTGTTGCCACAAGAACTGAGCTCAATACTTTAGAATCCTAAGCCCAATATCTGAGAGTGGTGAAGGCATTTTTGGAAGAACCCAGGCATGTATCTGTAGGACCTTAGTAAACCTCCTGTTTTGCATAATTCTCTCCTGCCTCCCCAGTCTGTCTGAGGGCTATGCTTTCTTCTTCCCTCTCCCAAGTGAAGGTAATTGACTGATGCTTAATTGTTATTTCTTTCTAAAATTGATAACATAAAATGAGGGCATTAGGTTTCTTCCTTGAAAATCTTCTGTTTTTATAATAAAAGTAGCTGTAGCCAAAACCTGCCCCATGTAAAAAAGTATCTGCTAACAATTACAGAAATTGTCATATGCATCTGTTTTTTGAACTCAGTGAAGTCCCAGAAATCTTTTTAGTGCTCTGATACCTTGTAATAAAGGACCTCTAGAGGTTACTGAAATGAAAGCATGCAGAGTTACTGTAGCGGTATGTTGTTACAGGGGAAAAGAAAACCAGCAGCCATTCACTGTACAGCCTACACTGCTGTAACCGGTGTTGCCCAGTAAACTATCTGGCATGCAAAATGCTAAGTATTCAAAGTACCTGGCATTCATGATCATTGTGATAGCAAACTGTTGACATTTGGTTTATTTCCCAAAGCCGGACCATTCGTACTTCTCTTAAATATTTTGGCTTTAGAGCTTTGTTGTTGATACAGATAATGTATCTCCTTGTTGCCCTGTTTCCCTTCTTGCTGCCCTGCATTTAGCTGCAATTTGCTTTAATGGAGTCATCCCCATGATCATGGAGAAATTGTTCAGTATTTTGATGTTTAGCTTTCATCTCATTTTGGATCGTTTATCTTGATAATTAACATTATTGCATGAAGACCCAGTTGAGAAAAAATATTCTGTAGGAAATTCATTCTTTAATAGTTAATATAAGCCTTCACATGCTGAGTGTCAAAACCTGCAATTCCTCTTGATCCTTAAAAGGCTTGTAAATAAAGACAGTTCAGTTGAAGAAACTATACTGTTAAAGTCAAATATTTTTGGAAATCAGCTTTGAGTCTTGGGGATTTAGAAATTTACGTAAATGATCTGACTCTCAGCAAGCTCTAAATAAACAATAACTATTTGATGGGGTAATTGAAAGAGAGCCTCCCATCAAGTGATCACTATCTGCAAAAGTGATAATTCACTAAAAACTTATGCCTCACTTTGTAATAACAATATCACAGTGGGAATTTTTAATCAATAAACTGGAATATAATCAGATTGGGGAATATGTAAATCTATATCAGTCCAGTGAAACCTACCAGCAGGGAGAGAAAAGATAAAAATGTAAAAATCAGATTGAATTTTGGGGGAAAGCTTAAAAGAAATGCAGTTATGCCTCGGCTGCCATACTCAGCATGGGACATAAAGAGCCCCACCACAGGGCTTGAATTTACAGGAGTCTGTCCAGCACAGCTTTATCCGACACTGAAGCTTCCTAACAAACAGAAAGAAATCTTACACTCTTGCTTGTTAGTATTTAATACATGCATTATGTGCTTTTTAATTTTTTGGTCCTACTAAGGAGTAGCTGATAGCGCTGTTTTGAAGGCATATCTACTGTGCCTCTGACTAGCAATAGGAAACCGGTTAAGTTATTCAACCTCTCTACATTTCAGTTTCAGGAAATGAAGTGGACAAAGAAGATCATCATTAGGCAATATGTACCTCCAATATTCTGTATTATGTGGAGATATCAAGTCCGTATGTGATTACACAAATCATAGTCCAAAAGAGTTCAGAATGAGACATATAGAATTGAAAGTCCTATTTATACAGATACTGGTTAAAGCCCAGGGATTAGATGGGTTTAAAATGCTTTACCGGCCGGGCGCGGTGGCTCACGCCTGTAATCCCAGCACTTTGGGAGGCCGAGGCGGGCGGATCACGAGGTCAGGAGATCGAGACCATCCCGGCTAAAACGGTGAAACCCCGTCTCTACTAAAAATACAAAAAATTAGCCGGGCGTAGTGGCGGGCGCCTGTAGTCCCAGCTACTTGGGAGGCTGAGGCAGGAGAATGGCGTGAACCCGGGAGGCGGAGCTTGCAGTGAGCCGAGATCGCGCCACTGCACTCCAGCCTGGGCGAAAGAGCAAGACTCCGTCTCAAAAAAAAAAAAAAAAAAAAAAAAAATGCTTTACCTCTATATAGAAAGGAGTACAGGACCAGGAAAGGGCCCAGGGGCATACCATGATTGAGCCGAGGAGACAGTAAGAGAGTTTCAGTGACAAAGGAGATGCAAGGAGACGATGGGGTTTCTGAAACCAGGAGAAGAAAGCCTTCATCATAGAAGCAAGTGATAAACTTCACTGAACACTTCTAAGACATTTCGGACAAGAATAGAAGAGCGACCTTTGGATTTCACTGCACGTAGCTTAACAAACGTTCATAAAGGCAGTGAAAACGGAAGCTCGGTTAGGGTGGTCTTAGGAGAGAATCCAGGTGATGACGTAGAGAATGCGACTATAGATGGCTCTCTCTAGAAGTTTTACTTTTAAGGGTAGCAGAGAACTAGAGTAGAGCTGCAGACATAGTTCCCCCTCCTCCCTCTCCTCCATCTCCAGTTTCTTCTTCTTTCCATGAGTGTAACAGAATGAAATTTAGGGCATAATCCTGTAGAAGGTAAGAAATTAACGATGCAGGAAAGAGATTGGATAATTGTCCAAAATAAATAAGTTCTCAGATGATGCAAGGCAGTGGGCTCTAGCACACAAAGGGGCTGACATCTGATAGGAATTTAGTTGTTTTATCCACATAACAGTTATTTTTTCAGAGAAAAATCGAATTGTGAAAATATAGCTGAAAACCAAACATTACCCCTATGTGTGTGGTAACTTGTGATGTAAAATGCATTTCTCAATAAAGGTCCTGGTCATAAATTTTAAAAGTAAAATACCTTGAGGGAGCTACAGTTAGAGGACAGCAGGATGAAGGATAATCATCAGAAAGAATACAAAGTGGGCCAGGCATGGTGGTTCATGCCTGTAAACCCAGAGCTTTAGGAGGTGTTGTTGGGAGGATCACCTGAGATCAGGAGTTTGAGACCAGCCTGGGCAACCCAGACCCCCATCTCTACAAAAATAATAATTAAAAAAAGACTACAGAGTAGAAAAAGCAGAGTGAAACAGAATCTTCAATACAAACAGTAGGGGGATTTTAGCAAAGAGTAGCTGACTTAGATGGTGCTAAGATTTGTATGGAGTTCAGTGCTGAGAAGTCTTTTTAACAAGTGATTTAAATGGGAATATTGCCTTGTTTACATAGCTCAAATAAAATGCAGTATAATGTGCAGAAAACAAAAAAAAACAGTAAAAAGCTTAAATAATCTTTATTCTTAGGACAATGTTTTTCAAATAAGGATTATGGCTCACTATTTGGTCATAACATAAAATACATTTCTTATTGTGGATGGCTCCAAGAAAAAGAAAACCCAAGTTTAAGAAGGCTCACCAATAGAGAGTTTACCTATGTCATATAAGAAGTCCCAGTTATACATCCACTAGTAATAGCTCCATGGCCAGGTACATGCTAGTATTTGCATTTTGGAACGGTTTTTCTCTCCCGTTTGTTGTCTCTTGGTCACAAGATGACAGATTATCCCAGGCCTCACGTTTACATTCGAAGACTAAAAACCACTGTGGTGAGTAGGAAATGCCCCTCCCCAGAGATGACTCCCAAGCCCTCATTCCCAGACCTGTGACTGTGTTGCCTTACATTGCAGATGTACTCCGCAGATGTGATTAAATTCAGGAGCTCGACATGAAGGGATTAACCTGTCTTATCTGGGTGAGTTCAATGGAATCATAAGAGTCGAGTGAGCCAGGAGATTCAGATAGGGAGGGGTGACCATGGAAGCAGAATAATGTGGAGTGAGAAAGACTATTCATGGGCTTATGAAGTTAACTGAGCAGAATGTAGGGTTTTCAGGATATTGGCAATGAGAAAATGATAGCGGTGAGTGAAATCATCTGGATGTTCCAGGGGAGAACCTGAATAGTTTTCTTTGCAGTTGGTCAGCTGTTCATTTTACTCAGAAACTGAGACATTATGCTACCTTTTTGCACATCCCTCCCCTGCCTTTCTTGTTCAACAGATGGCCGCCTGTACTAATGCTTTCAGGAATGTGAGGTTACTGGACACGAAAGCCATCAGCTCCTCCAAACTCATATATATATATATATATATGCTATCTATCTATCTATCTATCTATCTATCTATCTATCTATCTATCATCTATAGCTCACTGAAACCTTTGCCTCCCTTTTCAAGCAACTCTCCTGCTTCAGCTTCCTGGGTAACTGAGATTACAGGTGTGCACCATCACGCCCAGCTATTTTTTGTATTTTTTTGTAGAGACATCATGTTGGCCAGGCTGGTCTCAAACTCCTGACCTCAAGTGATCCTCCCACCTTGGCTTCCCAAAGTACTGGGATTACAGGCATGAGCCACCTTGCCTGGCCTCCATTATATTTTTAATCCTTCCCACCCCCACAAATCCTCTTGCACTTTGTCAGTCATTTGTCTCTCCTGAGTCTTTAATGTCTCTCGTTCTAATGATGCTTTCCCCTTAGATCAAGTCATACTCAACATTCTCTGTCTGTCTCCCTTTCTAAATCTACTGTGCTTAACCCTTAAATGCAAAGTGTTCCCAGATTTTCATCTTATCTAAACTCTCTCTTCACACTTTAATTAGGTGATCTTTTCTCTCACCTACAACTCTCAAATCTGTATCTCCAGCTCTGACAATACCCATGAATCCCAGGTATGTATACCTGACTGCCTGCTGGATAGTCACCTGAAGTTAAAAAAAAAGAATATTTATAATTGAAATTATTCCCACTCTTCTTTCATCCCACCCAAAACATGTGCATTTTCTTTGTTCCTTCTCTCTAGGACCATCTCCACTCTGCAGCCGACAACTGAAGCCAGACATTAGGGCACCATGGTTAACTCTCATTAGCTGGAAACATTATTGTTATTTGTTTAGCATAACTTAAATATGATGTATTTTATATATTTAAAAATATAATTTGTGACCCCACATAGGGTCCTGAAGTTGATGCAGATGCTTGAGGTATTGTATTGCATATGTTTATTTTCAGCTGACTTAGTCACTGGAGGCAGATGTGTGAAGGAAGTCTCCTTCAGTGACTCATCAGAGAAACTCAAAATGAGTTGCCAGGAATAAAACAGCATAATTTTAAAGGAATTCTCTGCTTAGACATTGTGCATCTGTCAAACTCAGACTGGATAAATTAATTACGCTCTGATAGGATAGCCCCAGAGAGCCAGCCTTTCAAGATCTATTCTTCTCTATAATCAATATAGTAATTTAACATTTGAACCTGCCTCCAAGCAAAAGGGCATACAACCAACTGTGAAAAGTCTTTGTATTCTACTCAGAATTCTTTGTTGGTAATGGGAAATTATTTTTAGTTAAAAAATCAAAAATTAAAAAGAAAAATTATTATTATGGCTACTATTCTTTTCAAGTTGAACATAAAAGTTGAGATCAGCCTGTAAACTTCTACGTTCAGGCAAAGAACACAAAAATTGATGAAGATAAAAAATGTGGTTGGTTTATTGGGAATAATAGTCATTTTTAATTAAAGAAAATAAAATATTAAAAGTAAATATACCAAGCAAGAATTATAGAATTAATGTTATCAAAATGACATGAATGGTCTCATATACTAGGCAATACCTCCGCCTCCCAGGTTCAAGTGATTTTTGTGCCTCAGCCTCCCATGTAGTTGGGACTACAGGTGCAAGCCACCAATGTCTGGTTAATTTTTGTATTTTTAGTAGAAGCGGGGTTTCGCCATGTTTGCCAGACTGATCTTGAACTCCTGACCTCAAATAATCCACCTGCCTTGGATTCCCAAAGTGCTGGGATTACAGACGTGAGCCACTGTGCCCGGATTGGGGGTGGGAAACCCCAGCCTCCCTCTGTGCTCTTTGATAACAAGCTGGTCTGTGATTTTTGAGCATATCTTCTCTCATTAGTCCAAGGCACACATGGTTATCCAGGAAACCTCATCTCCCTTTGCAAACCACAGCCCTCCCATGCACAAACTGCTAGTAAACACCTGAGCATGCTATGCTACTTCAGATTTTTGCATTTCTGCATATGCAGCTTTGTCTACCACAGCTCAAAGCCAAGCTATCATTCAGCTGTCACCTCTTTGGTAAAGCCTCTTTACATTTTCCAGTCATATTTTATTACTTTGTCTTTTATGTGGACCTTTCAATACTATACTTATCACTCTATTTAAAAATATTTCTTTACCTTTCTCTCATCTGCACTGTGAATTCTTTGAGGGATAGTCCATGACTCTTCTTCCTCGTCTTCCTTCTTCTTTTTTATGATCATCTTCTATATAATAGAACTTGGTATATTACAATTCCAATTAGTGTTTGTAGAAGTGATTTGAACCCTGGTCATCTCCTCCTTTTCCCTACCATCTTACTCAATAACGTATAACATTAAAAAATTTTGTCAAGAGAATTAATTAGACACTGCAAAGGGCATAACTGAAACAGAAAATATACCCCAAACCTAGAAATGCAAATCAAAACCATGTGGACCAAGCAAATAAATGTGATACCTCCTTATTCCTGCAAGAATGGCCATAATCAAAACATTAAAAAAACCAGATGTTGGTGTGGATGTGTTGATCAGGGAGCACTTATACACTGCTGGTGGGCATGTAAACTAGTACAGCCACTATGAAAATCAGTGTGGAGATTCCTTAAAGAGCTAAATGTAGAACTACCATTTGATCCAGCAATTCCACTACTGGGCACATAGAGATAAAGGTGTCATTATATGAGAAAGATACTTGTACATGCATGTTTATAGCAGCATAATTCGTAATGGCAAAATCATGGAATCAACCCAAATGCCCATCAACAACAAGTGGATAAAGAAACTGTGGTATATATATGTGATGGAATACTACTCAGCTATAAAAAGTATTGAATTAATGGCATTTGCAGTGACCTGGATGAGACTGGGAACTATTATTTTAAGTGAAGTAAACTCGGGAATGGAAAACCAAACATCATATGTTCTCACTGATATGTGGGAGCTACGCTATGAGGATGCAAAGGCGTAAGAATAATACAGTGAACTCGGGAACTTGGGGGAAAGGATGGGAGAGGGGCGAGGGATAAAAATCTACAAATAGGGTGCAGTGTATACTGCCCGGGTGATGGGTGCACCAAAATCTCACAAATCACCACTAAAGAACTTACTCATGTAACCAGATACCACCTGTACCCCAATAACATCTGGAAAAAAAAAAAAGAAATCATAAGCTGAACTTGTGGCAGCCTGACAAACTTGCCTAAACCAGTTCATACAAAACTTGATACACTGCTTCTTGATTCTATACCATTAGACATGTCCGAAGTACTCCAACAAAAGCTTAAAGAAAAAAACACTAAGCTTCAAGCACAGCTCTTTCTGGTGTATATAAAACGCTTCCTCCTTAGCTAGTATATTTAACCAGTAGGGCTTCTCTCCTCCTTTCGGCTACCATTTATTAAGTGCTGTGTGCCAGGCACTATCTAATGTATACATAAAAATTATATGGAGCAGGCATTGTTATGCCCTCATTTAGAAAAGAAAATCTGGAGAGGTAAAACGATTTCCTATCATTTTGCCTAAAGTTTCCCTGTTGCATCTTTTAGGTGCTGTGTAGAGTATGATCCGAGACACAGTCATCCTTGTGCTAAGGTCAGCCTGTTTGCAGCAGCAAAACCCAGATCTGTGGTGATGTCAACTGCATGAATCCTGCCATTGGGTAATTTTAAAGACCTTGTGTAACTTCGAAGACCTTGCGTACTACTCCTAATGTGAGGATGAAGTTATTCTGTTCCAACTCCAGTGCTAGAATCATAATGTTGCTTCTTATGGAAAGTACAATTTAAGAACTGTGTCTTAGGTTAAATAAACAGAATCTAGGATACCTTTATAGACTATCTATGATAGGTTACTGGGTGAGCTTTTATTTTTTAACTGTCTGGAGATGGGGTAGGGAACAGAAACAGAGATAGGGATGATTGGCAGGGACCTTGGGGAAGAGACAGTGATTTGGCAGCCTTGTATGGAAACGTCCTCTTGTATTATGCCTCAGTTTTTGTTATGCCTTATGTATTCCCAGATTTCCAAAGGAGCTTAAAACTTCTCTATACTCCTCTACAACCATTTTTGATGGTGAGATTTTCTTTAGTATCCATTTCCAAGTGAAGTGCTTATCACAATTAACTATCAAATAAACTATTTGGGCAGAGCTTTCTGCTTTCCTCAAGTTACCCCTAGGGAATGGCCAGGGGAACTAACAGTAACCAAATATCTACTATACTTCAGGGCCTTCATATGTATTCTCATTAAAAACACATAAAACCTATGAGGTAGGTTTTGCTATCCCTGCTTCATAAATGAGAAAGCCTCAGCCTAGAAGTCACACACCTAGAAAGTGATTGATTTGGGGTTCAAACCAAATTCTGTCAGTTTCTTAGTCACAGCTTCTTGTTGCAAGTAACAGATATGAGAAGAGGAGACATCTTCACACAGAAGTATTTGGTGGAATTCTAGAGCAGAACCACCAGGAACTGCACCATGAATGGGAGAAGGAGAAGGAACTAAACCCACTATTTCTTCCAATGCTCGAGGTCGCGGGCCTCTCATTTGTATTTCTTTCTGTGTCCCATCCCTGTAGCTACATCACTTTAGTTTAAGGGACCAGCAGAATCTGACCAGCATTTATGAACCCCAAATTTCAAATTTCCAGGAGGGAGAATATGATTGGTTAGGTGAAGGCAGGATCCCCAGGATGCAGGGCCCTTTCTGTGGTTGAGTTATAGATCTCATCCTCTGCCACCTCTTCAGGACTTTTGCTCTTTCAGTTACTCCCTCCCCCTGCTATATTTTTAAACCATCCTTTCTTTTGGTTTGTTTATATCAGTATTCAAACATGGCCACATCTCTTCTAAGCTTGAAAACATAAAACAAATAAATATAATCTCTTTCTTGAATCCACTTTACTTCTAACGACAGATTAATCTCTGTATTAGTTTCCAAAGGCTGTCATATCAAATTAGTACGAATGTGATGACTTAAAAATATGTCGATGCCCAGTGCCATCAGCAGTGGATTGGCTAAAGAAAATGTGGTACATGTACACTGTGGGATACTATGAAGCCATGAAGGACAAAATCATGTTCTTTGCAGCAACATGGATGCAGCTGGAAGCCATTATCCTAAGTGAATGACTGCAGAAACAGAAAACCAAATACCACATGTTCTCACTTGTGAGTGGGAGCTAAACATTGTGTACACATGGTTATAAAAATGGGAACAATAAAGTTGGGTGAGGTAGCTCATGACTGTAATCCTGGCACTTTCAGAGGCCAAGGCAGGGGGAGGTCAAGAATTCGAGACCAGCCTGGCCAACATGGTGAAACCCTTCTTTACTAAAAATACAAAAATTAGCCAGGCCTAGTGGTACACACCTGTAACCCCAGCTACTCAGGAGGCAGAGGCAGGAAAATTGCTTGAACCCGGGAGGCAGAGGTTCAGTAACCCGAGATTGCACCATTGCACTACAGCCTGGGTGACAGAGTGAGTCTCTGTCACACACACACACACACACACACACACACACACACAATAGCCACTGAAGAATGCAAGAGTGGGGATGGAGAGAACAGGGTGAGGGCTGAAAAAAACTATTGGGTAGATGCTTACCTCCTGGGTGATGGATTCCTTTATACTCCAAACCTCAGCACCATGCAATATACCTGTGTAACAAACTGCACATGTACCCCCTTATTTTAAAGTAAAAGTTGAAAAAAGCAGCACAGAAGATAATATAGTCAGGCAACATATGGAAAAATGTATATGAAATTTTAGTTACTATTTGTAAACAGCAACAAAAAAAGGATATCAGCAAACCATAAAAAAGAAAACAAAAGTTGATGAATTCAGCATACATTTTGGAAGAATAGACAAGCTTTCTGTGAATTTGCTTTGGTTACAATAGAATCCTCTCTTATTAAGTGAGCCAATTGGCAAGTGAACTAATTGGGAAATAAGCTTTTTCTGAAACCCTAATGACTTCTTATGGCCGCAATTAATAAACATAGATGCCATATGTAATAGCAGACACTAACCATGCATCTGTGCTGTATAAGGCACCAGTAGGTGGAATACGCAAGATCTAAAATCAGCAGATATTGGTATGCTTTCTTCATGGGCATTCAAATTAAGAGATTTGTAAGTAAAACCTTCCTCATATTGGCAAATTCATTTTGTAGATGTAACCCTTGGCTAGTAAAGATAATAGTATTTGGAGTAAGTAAAATATTTATCTTGGCATTCAATATTTTAATAAATGACATCACATGCTAATCAACAGATGCACACTGGAATAATAACATCACACGCCAATCAACAGACGCACACTGGAATCAAGTTAAAATAATAAAATTAAGACAATCAAAACACCAGGCTGCAAGACCTGCTGAATACAAATGTGTCACACTTACACAATATTCTTCCCAGTCTCATTTCTCTGCCCTGCTTGATAAGCAGAATTTTAATCTTTTCTGGGATTCTTCTTCCCAACTGTTCTCTCTAGAGTATTAGGATGGGAGCCACTCTGTGGCACACAGCTATCTGCTTGAGCCACTGTTCATCTCTCCTGAATTGCTTATCTCTGCATAGCCTGCATGCCACTGCCTGAAACTGTAGGAATCTGGGGACTGTGTGGGGAGGGGTAGAGAGGCTGTGTTAGAGTGTGTTCATGTACATCCCTGCTCAGTTGCTGCCCATGCAGTCACCAGGACTTGCTGCTTTGTCTGGTCTATTCTGCTAGATATCTTTTGCTTTTGTAATGATTTTATTTGAGATGCATCGGACTGCCCTCCTTTGGACAACTCAAGTTCATCAAATCATTCTGTATATGTTTGATCTCATTTGTTGATGGTGAAAAGTTTCTTTCCACAGGGCCTCTAGACTTCTTTCAAGTAATGTGACTGTGCCTCTACCTCAGTGTTCTTGAACCTTCTTTGACAAGTAGGAGGCTGGACTGTCCTTGGTGGTGAAGACTCTAGAAGGTCATGTGACTTAACTGAAGTTTTGTATCGGGATATAAACTCATTAAGAAAATAACTATAAAAATTACTTATTACAAATCTGTTGAATCTAAGACAAAAGCAGGAGTGGGAGAGAGCTGATGTTCCTTTGAGTTAGTGAAAGTTGGAGTAACAGCACCTTAGAGCCCTGGATAGGATGTGTATCACGTGCCTATATAAAAAATATTTCTAAATGAAACTTAGTCAATCGATACAACTGAGAATTGTTAGCTATGGAGTATTTAGCTGATTGAAAATCATGGCTACAATATTTTGTAGCTCCTCCTGCGAAGAGGTGGAGTCTATTTCCCCACCTTCAATCTGGCCTGGCGTTATGCTTGCTTTGATGAAGGAAATATGACAAAATGTATGTTGCATGAGTTCCAGAACTTAGGCATAAGTTGCTTTGTAGCTTCTCTCTTTGCCCACCCACTCATAGCATCCTCCACCACCATGTAAGGAAGCTTGGGCAAGACTAATGAATGATAAAAGACCCTGTGAGAGAGAGGCCCAGTCTATAGCCCGCATTAGGCTTCAGACAGGTGAGTAAGGCCATCATAGACCCTCCAACCCCAGTCAAGCTGCCAGATAACTAACGTCTCATGAGAAAGCCCAGGCGAGACCAGCAGAAGAACTGCCCAGCTGAGCTTAGCCTGAATTGCAGACACATGAGCAAGTAAAATGTTATTGATTTAAGCTACTTTGTTGTGCAGCAATAGATAAGTGATATAGTATACTCTGTATAATTAGAATTTATCAGTGGCCCTTTCACTGACTCTCTGCATATTTTTGATGTAAAGAAATAAAACATAACCAGAGGTTTTCTGTTTTGTTGATTTTGTTTTATAAATAAAAAAAACTTAATCTATGAGAGGTTAAATCCATTACTGATTTTCTCTATTTCAGCTGCACTAGCATTTTGAGTCCATCCTCGTGTGCTGCTTTTATAACACCTTATTCATCTCCCCATATCACACACACAATTAAGAACTAACCAAATGTTGACTACACAACTGTACCTATTATTACCTGTAATTTAGTTATCCTTCCTAGTGGGGCATGGATCACATTTTAGATGCCACATTGGAGGCCTCTTTCCCTTCCTCTCTCCCTCCCTCCCTCCCCCCACTTCCTTCCTTCCTTCCTTCCTTCCTTCCTTCCTTCCTTCCTTCCCTCCTTCCGCAATGGTAAACTTGATTTCACCCTTTGTAAAGTATATATTTTCCTTCTTACGGAGTTTCTTCCCTCATAAATAAGGAAAACAAGCAGGTAAAAAGATAAAACAGGAGGGCGCGATGGCTCACGCCTGTAATCCCAGCACTTTGGGAGGCGGAAGCGGGTGGATCACGAGGTCAGGAGATCGAGACCATCCTGGCTAACACGGTGAAACCCCGTCTCTACTAAAAACACAAAAAATTAGCCGGGCGTGGCAGGCACCTGTAGTCCCACCTGCTCAGGAGGCTGAGGCAGGAGAATGGTGTGAACCTGGGAGGCGGAGCTTGCAGTGAGCCGAGATCGTGCCACCGCACTCCAGCCTGAGCGAAAGGGCAGACTCCGTGTCAAAAAAAAAAAAAAAAAATTCTGTAATTTTTATACACAAAAGGTCCCTAGTTTCTCCTCTTCCTTCCCTTCAAGTGACCCATTGCCAGCTTTCCCCTTTAATTGCTGTGGCCAAGGTTCCGTGGATGGCACAGAATGAATTCCCTTGGCCAAATGTACTCAGGATGGCAATCCCAGGTCTCTATAGCAACATTTCAGTAACTGTTCTGTGCTGCTAATTAGCTCCCTTTCCCCCTGTGGAGGTATTACACATGACTTTTTATGCCAAGTGATGATCATAACATCAGGGAGCTCTGCATTTTGTGATCCTCTATTTCAACACTGGTCCAGGTAGGTTAAATGGAAAGAAACTGTCTTTGATGGAGATCAGAACTTTAAATGGAAACACACAGGACAGTGAGAGGGAGAATTTAATCAACCAGGAGTCATGAATTATCTGCTATTCAACACGAAAATTGCAGCAGATTAACTAACAACTGAAATATAGAAGGCAGCAGAATGAGTAGAGTCAAGTCATGATTTCATGTTCAATATTGGAAAGGTTATTCCAGTGACATTTGCACAGACGTGTTGCGTGTGGGTCTCCAGGCAGAGAATAAAGTCGGAGTGGAAAATTTGAGTCCAGTGCAAGTAAAATGTGAGGAATTTTAGACAATGCTAAACAAACTAGTTTTGGTATGTTACGGTTTCCTGGGCCACAGACAGCACACAAAGATCATCACAAAAGAAGAAACATGATGTAGTGGAAATAACCTGTACAGAGGAAACCAAAAGTCAAACATATTCTGGATTTGCCACCAACTTGTTCTGGAGCTTTAGCCGAGTCATTTACCCTCTTTGTACCTTGGTTTTCTTAACCCTAAAATGAAAGAATTTTACAATCGTTAGCAAAGTTTCATTCAGGTCATAACAACAGACTTCTATAAGGCTTGCTGTATTGTTGATGGCAGTAGGAACAGTAATTTGGGGAGCATGCAACTCCAGTGTCCATTCCTGTCCCTCTTTTTCATATTTTAAGTGGTGTCCTGAGCCCTTTCTACCCATCTTTATCGGAGTGACTTCAAACAATGATCTACATTTAAAAAACCTTAGAATTATCATCCTCATTTGGATTGGTGATAAGCTCACATGACTTTAATTCATTTCCCATTTCTGTTGGGCAGCACAGGGCTGAGCAACCTGAGCAGAGGACAGAGTGAGTTGATCAGTAGATGATCTCTGGAGTATCTTTTTTTGTTACATTCTAGGCTTAATAGTAGGAGTGTGGGAGAGGTCTGTGCTCTGTGTTAAACACAATCATGAGCTTCAGAACACTGCAAAGGCACACTGGGATTGAGTTGCTTATCACCACTGATAATCTTTTTTCCTTTTGTAAGAGTGAGCTAAGTGGAGAGCTTAATTCTGTCTTCATGGAAAAGATCAGATTTAAACAACTATTCTGCCCTGCTTAAAAAAGTGTTCAGTGGGGACTAATACAAAGTGTGGTACATAAAGACCTTAAGTTTTAAATAGAGATAGAACATGAAAGACTGGCTGGAAGGCAGTAGTACCAACAATGAGTGGACAAACCTGTTTTCCAAATTTTTAGCAACACTAGGAATAATCTAATATAAATCTTTGCTAACCTTATATATAAAAATAAAGTGTTATTTTAAAGATAAAACAAAAGTCTTGTGTAAAAATTAAAACAGTTTTAGGAGTAAGTGGAAATTGGAGACATTGATAGAGTAACTTTCAGCTTCTAGGGAGCAATTTAGAATTTAATCATTCACTTAAATAAATTGCTTCAGTAGGAAGGTTGCTGATGATAATCAGTGTGAAAGGAACTTAAGTTATTCCAAGCTGAGTTGCCCTTTATGAATGTAAATGCCATTTATACTATTATCATGCAAAAGTCTAAAAAGGATAATTTGAAGACATGTTGAAGAAACATGATTTACAATGACCAGAAATTCAATAGTGTTCTTTGTTAGATCACTCTTAGAACACTATTAACACTATTAGTATAAAGGTTTTTGGTTTGGTTACCACAGTATAAACAAGATTTATTTCCACTTAGTGTATATAAAGGTAAGGGTATCAAAGAGGACTTCATGGAGAAAGGAATTAGACAGAGTGGGTACTGAAGAAAATGGGAAGAATTAGAGAGATGTAATGATGACAAAGGCATGTAGGCTGAGTGAAGAATGTGGAGTGAAGACATGAGCTGAAGTGTGTGTGTGTGTCTGTGTGTGTGTATAAAACAAAGGTATCCATTCAAGTAAGTAAAGGAGTTCTTATTCTGTGCAACGTATTTTCTGGTGACAAAATTTACAATAGAGGAATATGAGTTGCTTTGTGACTGAAATTGTCTCTAAAGGCATATATTAGCCCTTGTCTAGTTTTCTGACAACATATGAATTGCTCATGATTTTGCCAACATCAATGCTTTTTGTCCTAAATCAAAGTTTCTCCTTACTCTCCTCTTTCAGTTAGCATGAGAGTTGTCACAGCCGACAGAGGCAATGGATGAAGCCAATCACTCTGTGGTCTCTGAGTTTGTGTTCCTGGGACTCTCTGACTCGCGGAAGATCCAGCTCCTCCTCTTCCTCTTTTTCTCAGTGTTCTATGTGTCAAGCCTGATGGGAAATCTCCTCATTGTGCTAACTGTGACCTCTGACCCTCGTTTACAGTCCCCCATGTACTTCCTGCTGGCCAACCTTTCCATCATCAATTTGGTATTTTGTTCCTCCACAGCTCCCAAGATGATTTATGACCTTTTCAGGAAGCACAAGACCATCTCTTTTGGGGGCTGTGTAGTTCAGATCTTCTTTATCCATGCAGTTGGGGGAACTGAGATGGTGCTGCTCATAGCCATGGCTTTTGACCGATATGTGGCCATATGTAAGCCTCTCCACTACCTGACCATCATGAACCCACAAAGGTGCATTTTGTTTTTAGTCATTTCCTGGATTATAGGTATTATTCACTCAGTGATTCAGTTGGCTTTTGTTGTAGACCTGCTGTTCTGTGGCCCTAATGAATTAGATAGTTTCTTTTGTGATCTTCCTCGATTTATCAAACTGGCTTGCATAGAGACCTACACATTGGGATTCATGGTTACTGCCAATAGTGGATTTATTTCTCTGGCTTCTTTTTTAATTCTCATAATCTCTTACATCTTTATTTTGGTGACTGTTCAGAAAAAATCTTCAGGTGGTATATTCAAGGCTTTCTCTATGCTGTCAGCTCATGTCATTGTGGTGGTTTTGGTCTTTGGGCCATTAATCTTTTTCTATATTTTTCCATTTCCCACATCACATCTTGATAAATTCCTTGCCATCTTTGATGCAGTTATCACTCCCGTTTTGAATCCAGTCATCTATACTTTTAGAAATAAAGAGATGATGGTGGCAATGAGAAGACGATGCTCTCAGTTTGTGAATTACAGTAAAATCTTTTAAATATATTGAGAATATACAAAAAGGCAAATTATACTAGAATTTCAGACAGATATGTGTTAAGTAAGCTATGTTAAATTTAACCAGAATATCACTTTCTACTAGTATGTATTGTGTTGTCTTTTTTTTCTTCCCAAATTGAATTGTGGTATCAATCTCTTGCTTATATAGGAGATTTAAAGATTAAACAGTGTGGCTACTTTATTTCACCAACATTATTACCTATATATAATGTCAAATAGAATTACTCTAAATGTTAAACAATCCATTTTGAATGTCGGTGTGTGGTTTATTGCCCATTTTCTATTTTTTCCATTTAAGGTAGATTATCTTGCTTTAAAGATAAAGGTTAATTTTTACTAGACTTACTGATTTGTCTTACTATGTAGCTAAGTTTTTTTTTTATTTTTTCAGCTCATTATCTGTTAGCTATTTATTTGTTTATCTTTTTTCAAAGTCCATAAAGAGAAACTACACTTTTTTTTTTAAAGAGGAATTTTGGTATAAAGAATTAACTAAGTATTAAATTGTGTTAAATAAATTTTGTGGGAGCTACTGTTTTGGGCTAGCCTCCTGTATTAGGCCCCAGCCAACCAGGTGATATAGTTTGGCTCTGTGTCCCCACCCAAATCTCATCTTGAATTATAATACTCATGTGTCAAGGGAAGAACCTGAGGGGAGGTGATTGGGTTATGGGAACAACATGGTTTCCCCCCGTTGTTCTCGTGATAGTGAGTGAGTCTCACGAGATCTGATGGTTTTATAAGCTACTGGCATTTCCCCTGCTTGCACTCACTCCTTCCCGCCGCCTTATGAAGAAGATGCCTGCTCCTCTTTGCCTTCTACCGTGTTTATAAGTTTCCTGAGGCCTCTCCAGCCATGCAGAACTGTGAGTCAATTAAATCTCTTTCCGTTATAAATTACCAAGTCATGGGTATTTCTTTATAGCAGTGTAGAATGAACTAATACAGCAGGCAAACCAGAACAGAGTCATTTGTGCTAGGTGCCACGTAATCAGACTGAACTTCAAAATTAGCCATTTTCAACCACCCCCCAACCCCCCCCCCCCAAAAAAAACCCACATTACAGTCAGGCTGAGTCACTATAATACAAAAGTCCCTTCTGTTTAAAGTATCTTTGAAAAGGCCAATCCATTTTTTGTCTCTGATTCTGCTGTCTTCAGCCTTTTTCTGCCTACAAAGCCAAGCTCTTCTGCTCAGCTCATTGAGAACGTTTATTCTATTTGATAGAACGAGGTATTGCCCAATTCTAGAATCACTAATAAAAGCCAATTGATCTTTAAAATTGTAACTTCATAATTTTGACAGTTGTTAACTAGTTATTTGAAAAAAGTGAACTTTAATATAAAAATGTAGCATTTGTAGGAAGTAGCTTTCACCCCTAGAAAGGGGGAGATAAAGGAAAGAGGTTAGAACTACTAGGACTTAAATAAATAAAACACCCCAAACTCTTAAAGCTTGGAGGAAGAACCTGTGGAGGTGAAACTCAAATATCTCAGCAGAGGCGGTTGCTGCCTGGCTGGTGCTAGTGTCTCTGAGCTTAGAGGAGGCCCTCTGTGTCATAACACCCCTGAGGAAGAGGCACCGCTGGCTGGTGCAGGTGTTCCTGAGGAGGGTGTGAAGAGCAGAGCTCCTCTAGCATCGGAAAAACTAACTGGATTCAGCTGCTGCTTTGGAAAACAACCAAGGTTGCTGAGGTGATGAGTGTGGTTGGGTGATGCTGACAGGCACAGCAGGCAGAGAGGAGGCAAACAGGAAGAAGAAAGTCCCTTTTTCTATCTCCAGCCTTGCAACTTCCCTCTAGTATCCCTAATGGTGAATCCAAGCAAGGAGAAGCTGAAAAGAAAAAAGAGAAAGTTGGCAGAGCCCCAGCTCCTGCATCATACAGAGTGTAGACAGACATGTTGGCACTGAAAGTACATGTGGTTACTTAGTAGGATCATAGAGTTTTTGAATTTTAAAGTAAATTATAAATAATTTCAGTCCTTCCTCATTTTGGAAACTCTCGACTACTAGAAAAGAAAGTAATTAGTTCAAGATGATAAAAGTAGTGTATGGAAGATCCAAATCCAGATCCTAGAACCCAGACTGACAGACTCCTGGTCTTCTGCTGTCTTCTATCATTTTAGAACATATTTGCATAGTTGATAAATCTGGTGTTCCCACTGGACTGTTAATTTTTTTACTTACATAAGATATGATTCACCTTGTATCTTGAGTGACTGTCAAATAGCAGAGTTTCAACAGATGTTCAAGCATGATTTTCACTTAATCTATTCAGTCCTATTTTACATTTCTTTTTCTGATTCTTTGGATAGTTTTAAAATGAAGCTTTTATTTTGGAATAATTTTAGATGTACAGAAAAGTTACAGAGATAGTCCAGAGGGTGCCCATATGCCCCTTACCAAGTTTCAGGTTCCCCTAATGTTATCACCTTATATTTCCATGGTACATTTTCCAAAACTGAGAAATCATCACTGGTATAATACATTACTGTAAACTAAACTCTAGACTTTATTCAAATTTCACCAATTTTTTCCATTAATGTCTTTTTATGTTTCAGAATCCAATCTGAATATCACATTACATTTAGCTATTAGGTCTCTTTAATCTCCTCTGAGGTTTGTGACAATTTCTCAGTCTTACCTTGCTTTTCATGGTGTCACATCTTAGAGGAATATTGGTCAGATATTTTGTAGAATGTCCCTCAATTTGAGTTTGTCTGACATTTTTTATTATAGTTATACATGGGTTCTGGATTTTTTAAAAGAATACCCAAAAGATGAAAAGATCTTCTAATCACGTGATAACAGGGAGTACATAATATCCACACAGCATCGCTGGTGATGTTAAATTTGCTTAATTGGTTTATTATTTGATCTTGATACAAGAGAAGTGACTTCTTAGATGTTACATATGGCATCTGCATTCTTTCTTCCTAATTAAGCTCCCCCAAGTTATCTATGGGATAGATGATGGTTTGTTGTAATTTGAGTATGTAACAGATTTTTCTTGGGGGTATGACTGGGGTAGAGATTTTCTTGGCATATAGATTTTTCTTGGGGTTCATTTCAACTCCATCCCACCACGGTAGGATTGTAAAGGCAAGCTGTGTACATGATTGTTCTACGTCCTCTTCTCTTGCTCCTTCTTTGATTCAGTTACGTTTTGCTTCTATACAGATGGAACTCTTGGCCTCTCTCTTTTTGAGTTTCCTAGTCTTATGACTTCAGAACTGATGTTTGTATTTCAAATCTTTGTCTATTTATGCTTAGTTTTCCCTAGGAGTTCTCACTGGAGAATCTTTGGCAGTATAACCATCTTAGCCGGTTCCTAGTGCCTCTATATTTCACCCTCTGGCCTAATTCTGTATGAGTGGGCATTTGAATATTTTGTCATGAATTTCTGATGTGTAATTGCTAGCACAGCAACATGGATGAATTAATGACTGCTCTTTAAAACCCTAAGTCTAGGGTCAGGACTATGGAGAAGAACATGATATTTGTGCCCCCACTTTGATATAATTTCTGGGGTTGGAACTATTCATTAATTTAGATCAGTCATTGGCTTTATTTGCAGTTTTTCCCATACCACAAAACAGTGGTTAATAAAATAATTCTCACTACTTCAAAAGATCAATGCCTCATAATGCTTTAAAAGACATGATCCTTGTCATTGCTGATCTCTAGGGAGACAATGTCGAAGGTGTCCACGGCAGTGTTGGTTTTGGTATAGGGAAGATATGATCTTCAAAATATTAAACAACTGCATTGATCAGAACAGATGCTGGTCCCAGAGTTGGAGCAAGATCCTGGAGACTCCTGCTGTTCCAGGCATTAACTTTTAGTAGCTGATTCATAAGGAGTTCTGAGGAAGCAACTTGGAAGCGGTTGGAACCTTAAGAGGCTTGTGACAGTGGCTATATTCTAACCAGTGTGCAAGTATTTTAATTTTTTACAACTGGTATTATTACATTGGTGTCTTCTAGCTAAATATTAACATTGTTGGTATGTGAGGGTTGAAGTTAGAAGCAAGGTCCAATACTTGCTTAATCCAATCAGTGACCCTGAAAAACTTGGGGGTGATCTGAGTACTCAGAAAGGCAGAATGTGGTGCATACCCACCATGGAGTGCTCTGCAGTATTTAGAAGTGATATACTAGATGTACATATAGCAACATGAGACAAGTGGAAAAAAAGAATCAGAATGAGATATAGAATACCATTTTCTATGTATATGCATACAAACAATACTACATGTTTCACGATAACACAAAAGCAAGACACACTTAAAAACACCAGAATGACTGTCTTTGAGAGAAAGGGATTGAGAACGGAAATTAAAGGGGATAAACAAGAAAAACAAGAGTGCTTGTTGTAACCCAGTGATCATTGCTTGTTGATCAATTGATCAATGCTTGTTGTAAACCAATGATCATTAAGCACCATGGACAGAGACACATGATTACACCTAAGGTTAGAAAACCACACAAGTCCCGTTGCTTCCTCTTAATATTTTGAAATCAATCCTTATTCATATTATTCCTGCTTCCTGATGACAGACACAGTAAAAGATAATGGAATTACTTCAACAGCTGGATTCTTTTATTAAATTCAATGAATATAGTCTTCTTTGATTACAGGAAACTGCAAGTTGCTTTGGAAAAAATGAATGTGAATTAGATAAAGCCTATATCTTCAAAGTGCTTGGTACAATATGCTACATTTATAACTTATAAAAGTCACATTATAAGATACTAAAATTTTTTATAGCTTACTCTTTTACTTGCCTACTTTATTCATTATAGATAAAATTTAAAAGGATTCCATATGATTTTTATGAATATCTTGGGAAGTGGATATTATTAGATTATCTAGAGACACTTTCATTTATCATGATAGGATTTAAATTGTTAAAGATTGTGTCCTTTGCAGGGACATGGATGGCGCTGGAGGCCATTATCTTTAGCATACTAACTCAGGAATAGAAAACCAAAAACCACATGTTCTCACTTATAAGTGGGAGCTAAATGATGAGAACACATGGACACATAGAGGGAAGCAACACAAACTAGGGCCTATTGGAGGTTGGGAGGAGGGAGAGGATCAGGAAAAATAACTAATGGGTACTAAGCCTAATACCTGAGTGATTAATCTGCACAATAAACCCACATGACACACCTTTACCTATGTAACAAACCTGCACATGTACCCCTGACCTTAAAATAAAAGTGAAAAAGAAAAATAATCCAGAAAAATATAAAGTGGTGGAGATTGATTTTTCTTAGAGATTCTAGAGTCATTCCTTTCTCCTGTGACTCATTATCAACATTTCTTCTTTGTTGCTTTGCATGTATTTCTAGGAGACAATTTCTTGGCTCATTGACTTTAGAGTTGCAGTCCCAGGTCATTATAGCTTTATTAGGTCACTATCCTCCAGTGCAGTTAATTAGCTATTTTTCCATTTATATAAAGATTTTAAATACCTCTGTGTGCTTGAGATGATAGTCTGTAAATAGCTACAAGGTAAGGATGGCATGAAGTTCACAATGGGAGCATGATAAACTAGATAAACTTCAGCTGCAAGAAAGACTCAGGTAACAGTTTGTTAGCCTGGGGCAGAAAGAAACAGGTGGTTGTGGTGGGGAAATGGTGATCACAGGAAAGGCATAAATATGAATTACCTGGAAAGGGAGAACAAGAATTAACCTTAGTTTTTAACTAAAACTTAGAAATGACTTGGAGATCCAAAGGTGCAAAGGAGTACACTACAGAGTCTGGAGTCTGCACTGTGGCTTGGTTCAGGGCAGGACTAGGATGCATGTAAAGTTGTTTGTGGTATCCAGAGACTTTTGGGGAAATCTATTAGCCCTGAAAATGAAGACAAACATGCTTGTTGTCTTCCTAACAAGCTTGTTGTTTACTTCTATTTCTAGAGAAGACCCAAGATATAAAAAGGAGAAAGTTCATCAGATACTAGTCATAAGTGAAGCTTTAAAAGATGAAATTCCAGTTTCATGGACTCAAGATGGAGAAGGAATAATTGAAAACATTTGGAAGAAAAACATCTGGGTTTTTAACTCACCCTGAACTAAAAAAATGTAGTGTCTGTTAAAATTAGTTGATTGAAGAATGGAGGAAAAAAAAGTAGGAAACTAAATGTGTAATGTTTAACAACCTGCAATAAATCCTCCTATACTTGTTCATGTTTTCAAAACATTTATGATAAATTTTTAGGTCTATATAATGAGAAGTTTAGGTAGTGAAATGGAGTGATTAGACAAAAGTGACAAGATAAAGAGGTAGAAGATGGATCCTTTGAGGAAGGCTAAAGCAAATTGAGGTGAATAAAACTAGAGGGTACAGATGAGTGATCTTTATTTGCTTTTACCAACATCAAGGATATTAAGCACTTATCTGACAGAGTACCTGACAACTTCTTTATATCCACAGGGGATGAATTAAGTGGATATCAGCTTAGTTGAAAGGATGGAGATTTCCTTTTTGTAAGAGAACATTTGGACTTTTATGTTAATGAGAAGCAGGACACAGCCGGGCACGGTGGCTCATCACCTGTAATCCCAGCACTTTGGGAGGCCGAGGTGGACAGATCAGTTGAGTGCAGGAGTTCGAGACCAGCCTGGCCAACATGGTGAAACCTCATCTCTATTAAAAATACAAAAATTAGCCAGATGTGGTGGTGCATGAATGTAAATCCAGCTACTCGGGAGGCTGAGGCTACAGAATCGCTTAAACCTAGGAGGTGGAGGTTGCAGTGAACCGAGATTGTGCCATGGCAATCCAGCCTGGGTGACAGAGTGAGAATCTGTCTCAAAAAAAAAAAAAAAAAATGCATGATACCTGTTCATAATAGCTAAGAAATATATTTTTGAACCTTGAAAACTGAGGGAAAAACTGACATTTCCTGGATGGGTAAATAAAGGAACTGGTTCAGAACGTAGTCTCAGATCTTTTCCAGCTCATTGAGTTTATTGATTGAGAATAATGAACATCTTTTTAAGAAAATTTTAAAATGTAGTGATCATAAATCTATTCTAAGAAGTTGCCCAATTCCGATCCCATGCAATTCCAGTTAGGTGAATTTAAATTTAAATGATTCCATCAAATGCTAGACTATCTGTATTTGTCACACTATCACAATTGTTTAGTGTAAATAGATGATAACTATAATTCATGTCATTGTAATTATTGAGAGCAATAGCCAGGCCAGAACTAGGGAACTCAAAGCAGGATATCTCCTAATGGCAATGGCCTTAGGAGAGAACACATTCTTTCCATGGAGGGTTTGGGATGCATCAAAATAATCAAACACTTATAACCCAATGTGTCATCCTGGAAGCCATTCAGCGACCCAAAGATGAATACTTAATACTTAAGAAATGTGAAGACAAGAGGACAAAAGCTGAGTAAATTTTTAGATCTGCTGCCATTTGCTCTTTGTATTATTTTCTCATCTTTGCTTTATGAGGGATTGTGAAGTAGGTAAATTTTGTGTTTAGCTCAATTTATTCTTTTACTCAGTTCTGGCTTCATTCCTGCGACTCTTATTCTCCTACCCAGCCCTTCAGCTATTACTCTGTCTCCTGAAGCAACCAGCCCTTGATAATCCTTCTTGGGTAATGACTCAGCTTAAAAATGGATCACTTATTTCTTCATCATTAAGAGTCTCATGTCTTGCATGCATGCGATCTCCACTAAGGAAAGCCAGCTGTTATTTTTTTTGTCTGCAATGCTCAATGGAGTATCCTTCCTGTAGCAATGTAAGCAAAACAAGGGACTTTAGTATCTTAACCTAAAGGAAAACAACTCTAATGCTGCAGTTTTTTAACCTAAAAGAAAGCAGCTCTAATGTTAAAGGAAATATTTTGGGGCACTGGAGCTTTTAATATTGCACATCTACACAAACTCCTACTTTGCTATTTCTTCCCCTTTATCACAATTTTCCACTTAATGAACCATCTTAGTCTCCTGTTGAATTCAATAATTCAATTTCCCCTTTTCTTTTTTTCTCATCTCTTTCCTTTCTGATTTAAAAAATGTATTTAACTTAAAAAAATCCACCTTGCCCTCTGTGTAGGCTCTGTCTTTGAGTAAACTTTACACAGAATCTCATATTTTTTGAATGACCTAATAACCCTCTTTTAGTTTTGTCTTTTCCTTGTAAATTCATTAAAAGTGAAGTTTACCACTATTTCTTTTGTTATTCTGAGTTGTCAGTTTTTGCTATTCAAATTTCAGTTTGGAGGAAGCACCACATATATTTCTACTTCACAGCATATTTTTATTATTCCTACTTCATGGAAGCCTTAATAGCATCTTTGCTAGAAGGCTGTTTTTTCTCTTAGTGATCAGAAGGATTTATTTTTGTCTTTGTTACCCATTTCTAGACAAGTGTTTGTCAGTTTATAGTTCAGGTCATGAGGATTTAGATGTAAATCACAGAATGGTTTGCACAACTCTTACTTAAAATTGCTCTGATAACCTTAGATTCTCATTTTATCTATGTTCAATTTCTTATTAAACATAATGTATATATTTTCACCTTTATATCATCTCTAAGGTTTAGTGCATTGTTAGGCACTTGATAGATACAGCATAAATACTTGTCGAATGAATGAGTGAATAAGCCAACAAATCTCCCCAGCATTGTTTTTGAGTTGCTTTACAGTCAATACAAAGAATCATGGTATGTGAAACATGACCCCACCAGTTTTATATATATATATATGTGGGGAGATAAAACCAATCGTATTTATTGGATAAAACCCACTGGAAAATAGTGTAATAGAAGTTATAGTGGTAAGAATTCAGATAAAGGAAGAAGTCAGAAAACAGATCTCCTGAAAGTAGAAATTAGAGTGAGACTCCCCAGGTAGTTGATAAATTATAGACTTTCTTCAAATGTTCTTACCCTTTCTGTAGAATGAAAATCTGTATGTGACACAAAAATTGCATTTGCTGTGGTGAATATGGATTCCACAAAAGCAAGAATTCTTGTCAATGCTATATGCCCAACCTCTGGAATTGTATCTGGAATCCTGGGCACTGAAGATATTTTTTGAATTAATGAACAAAAATCATTCGGAGAACCACTCAGGAGATAATTATATACCTAGAATAACTATTTTTTAAAGAACATGTTGGTTGACTAATGATCATTGTTTCCTTATTGATAGTCATTAGTGGCCATGCTTGGTCCTACATGTAACTGGAGTCAGAAGTCACTAATGTGTAGTTACAGAGCAAAAGTCAGGATGCACCATCTGTCCCCATTCCCTCAATATCTCTTCCACCTTCCTGACAGGCTACTTGAAATCCCTCTGTCAGATTCATTACTTTAAGATTTTCCTTTTCCCCCTAAAACACCTGTTCACAGTAAGAAAGCTGTGCTGTATAGAATAATGGCCTTCAAAAATGTTCATGTCCTAATTCCTGGATCTGGCAAAAAGGTACAGATATGAATAATTTAAGAATCTTGATTTACTTGGATTATCTGGAACTTCCCAATGAATTACAAGGGTCCTTATAAGAGGAAGAGTCAGAGGAGATGCGATGACAGAAGTTGAGGTTGGAGTGATGAACTTTTAAGAGGCAGAATGTCATGAGCCAAGCAAGGGATGGAGGCATCCTCTAGAAGCTGGAAAAGGCAAGAAACGGATTCTTTTCTAGAAGCTCCAGGAGGAATGCAGCTCTGTTGACACCTTGATTTTAGCTCTGAAAACTCATTTTATTGATTTTAGCTCTGAAAACTCATCTTAGGCTTCTTTACTTTAGAACAGTAAGAATATAACGTGTGTGTGTGTGTGTGTGTGTGGTAAGCCACTAGATTTGTAGTAGCTTGTTACAACAGCAATAGTAAACTAATGTAACAAGTATTTACTGTAAAGAACTTTGAATGGGAGTAAAAAGTTCTTGGTCCCAGTATAAATTTTCCCACCAATTACCTTTGTGAGGCTGAGTAGATTGCTTCCTATATTTCTTTCTTTATGAATTATTTATAAAACATAAATGTTGGACTAAATCAGGAACACTTCATTGAACAATGAAACTCTAATGGTTTATTTCGGGCAGTTGTTCTTCATCCTTAAAGAATCATAATATTGTCACACCTCCCCATGCTGGGACCTGGCCACCATTCTTTAGTTTATTTTCTGGACTTAATCTCCATTACTCAATCATCATCTTCTTCCAGAGTGCAGATACAGACACTGTCTGGTTCTTTTCGGTCCATATTTTATTTCTGTCCCTTTTATTCGCTCCAAATGTATTTTGATAAAAAAGAGAGACTGCCTTTATGTGACATGGTTTTTATCTTATGGTATCCTCTAGGGGTGTATTATCTACATTAGAGGAGATTATTTGTTTCAGCTCATTACATATTTTATATAAAAATTGAGATTGAAAATCATTTATAAAATGAAGTGGTTTCTTCCATTTTGAACCATATTAGAAGCCTTTTATTGACTATTTAAAATGAATAATAAGACCCCATATTTATTTTTATGACATCTTATGCAAATGTTTCTTTGAGTGGTTAAATAAGTACAGGATTGAAATAGGGATACTGTGATAATTCCTGACTGGCATGCTGTTAATATACTATTAATATAAACCTTACTGAATTATGAGGTACTCTCTTGACTCCAGTGTCATTCTTCAGTCTCATTAATTTACGCCTTCATTCAACAAGTGTGAAACACTTATTATGTGACTGATTGTGTTGGTCACAAGTGGTGATTGTGATGATGGTGGGAGCTACCGTTGTGGATCAGTTACGGCTTCTATACCCAAGAGTCTACATTTTAATTGGAGAAATGGACATTTATATAACTGTGAGAAGCAGAGTAAAATAAATGCTAATGGTGCGATGAGAATACAGAGTCTGGGGCACATTGGGAAGATTTCACACATAAGCGAGAATTTGGCTGGGATTTTGAGAATTAGATTTTGTGAACTGGAGAATAGAATAAAAGAAATTTTGAAATTTAAAAAAGGAAGGGAAACTTCTAAAGTCTAATCAAGCAATATAAATAATAGAATAGAGACTTTGAAAGCTGTATGCTGTGCATGAGTAATTGTTAGGTGGCTCATGTGACTGGCTGAAATCATATCCATTGATAAGAAATCATAGTGAAAAGTATTTAAAGATGACCTTATATCTCACCCAAATAGAACATCCTGGGAAGGATCAAATAGGAAATATTCATGTAACACAAAAGCAGAGGAGAGCTAGGTCTAAGGATGGAATTAATTTAGTAGTAGTAGTTTTGAAAACCATAATGCCAAATAGCAGCCAGCTGACCCCTCTAAGTGGAAGTCCAGGGTGCATGTGATGAGGGTTATTTGGCTGTGTAAGATGTTAATATGATAGTTATTTTCATGGCTGGAGGCTTTCTTTCTTGAACATGAATACTTGCCTAGGTAATTCTTTCTCATTTTCTTTCTTCCTTCAGGTAAGTAACATGAAAACTGATCTTGGAGTCTGAGGCAATGAATGGAATGAATCACTCTGTGGTATCAGAATTTGTATTCATGGGACTCACCAACTCACGGGAGATTCAGCTTCTACTTTTTGTTTTCTCTTTGTTGTTCTACTTTGCGAGCATGATGGGAAACCTTGTCATTGTATTCACTGTAACCATGGATGCTCATCTGCACTCCCCCATGTATTTCCTCCTGGCTAACCTCTCAATCATTGATATGGCATTTTGCTCAATTACAGCCCCTAAGATGATTTGTGATATTTTCAAGAAGCACAAGGCCATCTCCTTTCGGGGATGTATTACTCAGATCTTCTTTAGCCATGCTCTTGGGGGCACTGAGATGGTGCTGCTCATAGCCATGGCCTTTGACAGATACATGGCCATATGTAAACCTCTCCACTACCTGACCATCATGAGCCCAAGAATGTGTCTATACTTTTTAGCCACTTCCTCTATCATTGGCCTTATCCACTCATTGGTCCAATTAGTTTTTGTGGTAGATTTACCTTTTTGTGGTCCTAATATCTTTGACAGTTTTTACTGTGATCTCCCTCGGCTCCTCAGACTTGCCTGTACCAACACCCAAGAACTGGAGTTCATGGTCACTGTCAATAGTGGACTCATTTCTGTGGGCTCCTTTGTCTTGCTGGTAATTTCCTACATCTTCATTCTGTTCACTGTTTGGAAACATTCTTCTGGTGGTCTAGCCAAGGCCCTCTCTACCCTGTCAGCTCATGTCACTGTGGTCATCTTGTTCTTTGGGCCACTGATGTTTTTCTACACATGGCCTTCTCCCACATCACACCTGGATAAATATCTTGCTATTTTTGATGCATTTATTACTCCTTTTCTGAATCCAGTTATCTACACATTCAGGAACAAAGACATGAAAGTGGCAATGAGGAGACTGTGCAGTCGTCTTGCGCATTTTACAAAGATTTTGTAAATGGCTTGGCTGTCAAGATGTGTAACTATGGATTACTCCTCATGCTGATTGCATAAAAGAAACTGCAATTTCAGAGAAATACTGAAGACTCAGGCCATACTATATGCCTGAAAATTTATGAAATCATGGTAACAATTTCACCATTAAATTAGAAGTGATGTTATCCTTTGGCACAGTGTGCATCAAAGTGCTAAATATTAAATCTTAATGTCTTTTGTAACCTACCACTTTGAAAGACCTTGTTCTAGGTGAGTGCCATGTAATTGAACAAATAACAATACTATGTCTTTTATTTTTTCTACTGGACAGATTATTCTATTGATAGACAAACTACACATTCAATCTGTTTACCACCTAACTCCTATTTATTTATTTATTTAGTTAGTTAGTTACTTATTTGAGTTGGAGTCTCGCTCTGTCACCCAGGCTAGAGTGCAATGGCATGATTTCAGCTCACTGCAACCTCTGCCTCTCCGGTTCAAGGGTTCGAGTAATTCTCCTGCCTCAGCCTCCTGAGGGCTGGGATTACAGGCGCCCATCACAACCCCTGGCTAATTTTTGTATTTTTAGTAGAGATGGAGTTTCACCATGTTGGCCAGGCTGGTCTGGAACCCCTGACCTCTAGTGATCCACCTGCCTCGGCCTCCCAAAGTGCTGGGATTATAGGCATGAGCCACCGCGCCTGGCCTGTTTAGTATCTAGCTCTCTTGATTTTAATTCTTTTTGTTCCTAAAGTGTTTGCTTTCTATTGCTCCAGTCTCTACATATTTTTGCCACCTTATCAGGCTTCTTTGGCCATCTACAAAATTGTTAGTCCTATATTTAGAATATTCAAATTTAAAGTTAGAGTGGATTACCAACACCATCTGTTCCAATCCCCTCAAATTACACGTACTAAAATCCAAGAATTGAGCAGTGACTAGTTTGCCCAAAGGCACATAGCTGGAAACCATCAAAGAGAGCCAGGCACCAGAAACCATGACTCTGATTGCTAGGTCAGTGCCCTTTCACTTTCAGATCAATTTTGTTTTTGATTTGATGTTCATATTCCACTCTTCCATCTTTATCATTTCTGAATCCTTCCCTACTTCTACCACCACCACATATTTCTTGTTCAAGTCCTACCAAAGCTGAATTTTAAATCATTCCTTTAATTATGAAAACAATTCTTGAACTTTATTATTAAACAGTGTTCTTTTGTCTATGGTAGTATTCACAGAGACCCTTGATTCAATTCTATTTTATAGGTTTGAAGTTCATTCCATTACTTACAGCGGATGATGTTTCTTCTCTTGGGAAACAAAAATGTGATTGGTGAATTACATAAGTTACACTAAGATATTTATGCCTCTTTCTCAGAAGGATAAATTTCAAATATTTTAGCAAAAAATTGAAAGATTTATAAAAGATGTGTGAAAATTCTGTTTCCCAAAATTCTGTGGCTTTTAATCTAACATGGTTACTAAAATATAGAAACAAACCTATTAATTGAGGTTTCCATCGTGAGGTAATGAAGCTCTGATCATCTCTCATCGTTTGTGTCCTAGGGGAGATAATAATTGATGTTACCCATCCAGTGCTTCTAATTGTCTAGGTACTGTTCTAGGTGCTTTATTTGAATCTTATGATGCAGATTCATTATCTCACTATCCCCATTTTAGAGAGGAGGTGTCTGGGGCACAGAGTTGCTAAATATCATCAAGGTTATGAAGTAGTAAGTGTGGACGCAAAGTCTGCTAGTTTGAATTCAGAGTTGGTTCTCAAAACCCGTGCACTACAGTGCATCTCTGGCAATAAAACGTATCAGGATAGCTCCTTTACTTAAAAGCAGTCCCTATTTGTGGGCCCTCTACTGGGTGACGTCATTACCACCAAACCCAGCATTTATGGGGTCAATTAATTTACAAAAATTTTTTGTATATGTATACCCATTCAGCCGTTTTGTTGTAGGCTGTCACTACAATCAGGGAAGTTGAAATGCCAGAATTTCTCCGATATAGAGGAAAATGTCTAAAGTCTCCAGAAGATATTAAATAATTCCTAACTCTACCTTTCTTGGAGGGGGTGGGAGGACATAGCATCACCATGGCTGATTTAATAAATGGTAGAAGGAAGGACTGTGCAACAACTCTAAGTACACATACACATAGTAATGATCTACCAGTACTTTGCTCAAACTTACCTATGACCATTTATTTGTAGAATTAAACACCAGGAAAAATAAGGAATATCACAATATTTAAAGGACTGTTGGACTCAGAGTTGACATTTACTCCCAGATTCCTGAAGGGTCATCACTGCTGTTTTGAGTGGACACATTTGGTAGTATGTAGAGTCCTAGTTCAGATCAGGTGCATGTTGGGTTCACCAAATGACAACCTCCCAGTGATCCTTACATCATTTCCTCAATGTATAATTGGAAAAGATATACTTGGTAGTTTGTACAACTCCACACTTCTTCCTTGTCCTGTGGGTTACAGTTATTATGGTAGGGAAGTCACCAAAACTGTCCTATCCCCCAGTATAAAATAGTATTTTTCTTTTTTTTCTTTTTTTGAGACAGGGTCTCGCTCTGTTGCCTAGGCTGGAGTGCAGGGGCACGACCTGCAGCCTCCACCTCCTGGGTTCAAGCGATTCTCCTGGCTCAGCCTCCCAAGTAGCTGGAATTACAGGCGCATGCCGCCACACCCAACTAATTTTTGTATTCTTATTAGAGACAGGTTTTCGCCATGCTGATGAGGCTGGTCTTGAACCCCTGACCTCAAGTCATCCACATGCCTTGGCCTCCCAACATGCTGGGATTACAGGTGTGAGCTGCCATGCCCAGCCTAAAATAGTATTTCAAAAATTATACTTCATTATGAAGGGGTAAAAATATCCCAGAGATACAGAAATAGTTCCCATTCTATCTCCATTTAATTCACCAGTGTGTCACCTATGAAAGCTAGTCACTTCCTGGAGAATGCCAATGGACTATTGTAAACTTATCCCAGTAGTAATCTAAATTGCAGCTACTGTGCCAAAGGTGGTACCTTTGCTAGAGCAGATTAACATAGACCTGGGTATATAATATGTGATCATTGATCTGGTAAATTTTCTCTTCCATCTCTTTCACAAAGTAGAATTAGAAACAGCATTCACTTGGAATGGACAACATATACGTTTGCTGTCTTACTGTACCATAAAATAGCCTGAAGAGACTTGAACCATTTGGATATTTTATAGATTGTCTTAATGGTCGATTATATTAATAACACTATGCTGTCAAACCAGATGAAGGAGTGGCAAGTATTAGATACTTTAGTAGTACACATATGCTCTCAAGAGAAGGAATAAACTCTATAGAGAACTGTGAAATTGTCACATCATTAAAATTTTGAGTTTGATGGCCCAGTCCATGCTAGGAGGTCCTTTTCAAAGCAAAGGAAAATGTTTTTTCCTTCTTTAAAATTTTTTTTATTTCAAGTAAGTTTTGGGGTACAAGGGGTTTTTTTTTGTTATATGGATGAATTATATAGTGGTGAATTCTGATATCTTTGTGCACCCATCACCTGAGTAGTGTGCATTGTACCTGACGTGTAGATTTTTACCCCTAGCCTCCCTCCCACACTCCCACTTCTGATTTTCTAAAGTCTATTATATCACCCTGTCTGACTTTGTTTACTCATAGCTTAGCTACAACTTATAAGTGAGAACATAAAGATTTGGTTTTCCACTCCTGTGTTACTTCACTTAGAATAATGGCCTCTAGCTTCATCCAAGTTGCCGCAAAAGACATTACTTCATTCCTTTTAATGGCGGAGTAGTATTCCGTGGTATATATATTTTTTATCCACTCATGAGTCGATGGGGGCTTAGGTTGGTTTTCCACATCTTTGCAATTACGAATTCTGCTGCTATCAATATACATGTGCAAGTATCTTTTTCATATAATGACTTATTTTCCTTTGGGTAGATACCCAGTAATGCGATTGCTGGATCAAATGTTAGATCTACTTTTAGCATTTTAAGGAATTTCCTTACTGTTTTCCATAGAGGTTGTACTGATTTACATTCTCACCAGCAGTGTATAAGTCTTCCCTTTCCCCCACAACCGTGCCAACATCTATTGTTTTTTGACTTTTTAATAATGGCCATTCTTGCAAGAGTAAGGTGGTGTCTCGTGGTTTTGATTTTCATTTCCCTGATGATTAGTAATGTTGAGCATTTTTCATGTATTTGTTGGCCATTTGTATATCTTTTTTTGAGAAATATCTATTCATGTGCTTTGCCCATTTTTTGATGGGATTATTTTAGTTTCTGCTGACTTGAGTTTCTTGTAGATTGTGGATACTAGTCCTTTGTCAGATGCATAGGTTGCAAATATTTTCTCCCATTCTGTAGGTTGTCTATTTACTCTGATTATTATTTCTTTTGCTGTGTAGAAGCTTTTTAGTTTAACTAGGTCCTATTTATTTTTGTTCTTGTCGCATTAGATTTTGAAGTCTGAGTCATGAATTCTTTGTCTAGGCTGATGTCTAGAAAAGTTTTTCTGATGTTGTCTTCTAGAATTTTTATAGTTTCAGGTCTTATATTTTAGTCTTTGATTTACCTTGAGTTGATTTTTTATAAGGTGAGAGACACAGATCCAGTTTCATTCATCTACACATGGCTTACCAGTTTTCTCAGAACCATTTATTGAATAGGTTGTCCATTCCCTAATTTATGTTTTTGTATGCTTTGTCAAAGATCAGTTGGCTGTACATATTTGACTTTATTTCTGGGTTCTTTATTCAGTTCCATTGGTCGACATGCCTACTTGTATATAAGCACCATACTGTTTTGGTAACTATCGCCTTGTAGTATAATTTGAAGTCTGGTAATGTGATGCCTCCAGGTTTGTTCTTTTAATCAAAGGAAAATTATTGCATCTTGCACCTTCTGTCACTAATAAGAAAGAACTATACCTGGTAGATTTCTTCCATTTCTGGAGGAAGCATAGGCTATAATCAGGAATACTACCACAACCCATATGCTGAAAGCCATGAAAGTCTGTCAGCTTTGAGCAGGGCGCAAATATGAAAAAGATTTTGCTGTAAAAGATCTAGACTTTGTGCAGATAGCCTTACTTCTTTGGCCATACTACCTGGCATACCCAGGTATTAGAAAAATTGGTGGTGAAAAGAGAAAAAATGAGTTTCATAGCAAGCACCAGTTGGATAATTACAACACAAAGCTTCAGGGGCTTAAGCAATCATTTTTCTAAAGATTACAGAGTAATTAACACATGACATGTAGTTCCACAAGATGTCATATTATACCACATTAAAGATATGGAGGTATGAGAGTTAGGACATGACCATTAGATCTACTGGCCTCTTCACATACTGCACCACCCAGAATCTGCTCATCTAATGAAGCAATGAAATGGCTGTTATCAAAATAGTCCTCATGGTGAGCTACAGGAAAGAGGATTTCAACAGCCATGTTTCATGTTAATCACCTTTTTCTTCCCCTCCATTCCCGCTAAGTGATTCATGTGAAATACACTGGCGGAGGCTGCCATTTTGGGTTTAGATTACTCTGCAAAGATATAACAGCTTATTTCTTCTATGTTGCCAACTTTCTTCTGCCCTGATGTTATTTGTCCTGCCCTGTTTGTCCCCCGGATAAAAAATGAGTGGGTTCAGACAACAATAGCCCAGTTTCCATTTGTCTCTCCAGTGTCACTCTTGACCCTTCTCCACCCAGTTTTGTGCCTTTATTAAGCTCTTCTTCAGTTACCTAACTTGAGTGTCGCGTCTCTTGTCCTGGCAGGATCCTGACTGACACAAGTGTACAAAATTGAAAGTAAAAATACCTTGTTTTCTTGCACAACAATCTCACTGTCAAAAGTGCTTATTGCAAAAAGTTTATTGTCTACTTGTTCCGATTTGTATGCACAGCGGCATAGTGTGTGCTGCATTGGTATCCACTGTTTCACTCAATGGTGTGTCGTGGTTGTCTTTAACTGTATAGATATCAAACTTGCTTTACAGTGGCTTTAGAGAATTCGATTGTATGGATGTAGAATACTCTTTTAAATTTATCATCAACTGCTGGATGTTTTAGTTGTTTCATTTTCTATTAAGCTCTAAACACCGGAATGAATTTCTGTACAGCTAAATCTTGGTACATATCCATAACTACACAGCATATGACTATGTAAAAATGAAGTGTTGTATACATTCTTCTACCATTTAAACTGTAATAAAAATTTGGCACAGTGGCTTTTCTAGAGATGATAAAATGATTAGAGTTAATTTTTGAGTTAACATTTACTTATTTTCAGGGATTAGTTATAATGAGTAGTTATCACTATTGCCAACAAAACAGCACAAATATACTAAACAAAAATATTCCACTTTTGTTTCCCTCTTTTTCTCTAGTGTCTTATTATGAACTTTTGTATCTTTTGGTTGCACTGATCAAAGCAAATAGTTCTCTAGTGGCAAAGCCCATGACCCATAAGCTCCTTTAAACTATCATGTTTTTGCAGTATCACTTGGTCACTGTCCTCTTGAGGTATATGTAATTAGCCTTCTGTTTCCTGTGGTAGGGTATTATATGGCACTTCACGTTAGAGAACACAGGAAACTCCCAGAGTACCTGAACATGTTGTTCTCTCTATACAGGTAAAGTGGAAGGATGCAAATAAATTTAACAATGGGATATTGGCTTTAGTTTTAGATAAGGTTCTGTTGTGGGAATTGCTATGCACACAAGTCATATTCTAAAGCAAAGTAGATAGGGTCCAGGATAAGGAATTGACTAAAATGAGAGAATAATTGTGAAAAGTTTATTGACATTTTAGAAGTTAATTGGCATTGGCTTTTGAGCTAGGATTACACTGTGCCTAAGGAAAGGTGAAAGACATTAGAAAAAGTCTGATTTTGCAATATTTTAAATTCAGCATAGGTTGCAATTAATCACTCTCTGTGATTATAGGAATGATTCTCATCCTTTGTCATGTGATAAATAGGCAAGAAAAATTGACACATGAAGATAGAAAAACATAGGTTATTATATTTTTCTCTCAATTTTCTTTTCAAAAGAGATGGGTATAAACTGATCCTCTTCCATAACAAGGGAAGCAAATTTCTTGAGAATTTGTCAAGTTTGCAAGATGGAAGAGTCTCATAGACACTTTATTAGAAATGAAAGACATGGAGACCAAAAGACCCAAAGCTTAGTAAATAATTTCCAATGTAATGTCATTTAAAAATGTGATGTGAAAAGTTTAAAAATAAAATAATACATAAACCACCAGGAGCTTGATTTTGTTTTACTGGTCTCTTATATGATTTAGAATTACAGTGTTTGTATTACTTATGTCTTTGAACTGTAGGTAGAATGAAGAAGGATTTAGAGAATGCTTATAAATAAAAATTTTTTAGGAATCACTGTGAGAAAACATTCTAAGTGTAAATATAAAAGGTATTGAGTTTGTTGAATCTTGGAAACAGAAAGATAGGGGCTAACTTTGTTGCATTTATGTATATGAAAGTTAATTTGACTGGACACATGGTTATAAAACTTTATTTGATCCTCACAATTTACCTTGTAAAGTTAGTATCATTAATTGCAATTTGGTAGACCGAGACTCAGAAATTTAAACAACTTGCCCAATACCAACTTGTAAGAAGCTGAAAAATTATATAAATCTTTGTTTCTGAAGCCCATATTCTTTCCAACATGCTAGGTTGCTTCTCTAAATAAAACTGAAATTACAATAAAATGTGATAAATCTTTGTATAGAGGTTTGAACAAAATGCTTCCCACTGTACCAAAATGCTCTTTGTAGTTTAAGCTTTTTAGATCATGTGCTACTAGGGCAGTGATTCTCCAATTATCTTCTCAAATTATTTTAGTTACATATTTTTTCCCGCAGTGCTTCTTGGACTTCTACTTTGGTAGAATACAAAATCAAACACTTGGATTTTGCTGTAATGTTAAATTATTAGAGACATTTCTAAACACTCTGAATTTCAGTATCTAACATAATACAAACCAGTAACCGTTTGTGGACCTGCTCTTCTCTGTAGACCACTTTTTTGTTGCTTCAGAGAATCCCAATGTGAATAAGTACTAATCCCTGCCTTTCAGACATGTCAACTTGGTGAGTTAGACTTGTACCCAGTTTACTACAACATAAGGGATAGTAAAATGAGTACTTGTGATATAAAGCAAGACCTCACAGCTATGGTAAACATTTCTTAAACCTTGAAATACTTTCCAGATGTGGCGAGTGAGGAACGTTTCTGCCAGAATATGGCTGTGGTCTTGGAAATGGATGTAATGGTTGAGAAAACGTAAATAGTTCTGTGTGACTAGAGCCAGGCTATATTAGTCTTGAAGCAAAAATTAAAAGAATTTGGAGTCAAATTCCTGTTACCCATGTTGACCAGTCTTGTATTTCACGAGGAACATCACGGCCACTACTCTGGGAGAAGCAGAGGGATATTAAAGCAGAGAAGGTTTTCTCCTTCACACTTGGTTGTCACACCGTGTTAACACAATTTCAGAACCTATCAGGATATTAGATTCTTCTCTCAACTCTCTGCAAGTTTTATTAAAGTGTAGTTAACAAATAAAAATTATATATATGGTGAACAATGTGATACTTTGATACATGTATATGTATGAAATAAATCAAGCTAATTAACATTCATCTCCTACACTTATTTCTTTGTGGTAAAAACATTGAAGATCTATTCTCCTAGAAATTGTAAGTATGAAGTACATTATTATCAACTGTAGTTACCACGCTTCACAAGAAGCCTCCAGAATTTATTTGTCTTGTTTAACTGAAACACGGTACTGGTGCGTAACATGTCATTCTCTACCCGCTTCATCAACCCTTGTCAGCTGCTAATTCTAATCTCTAGTTCTATGAGTTTGACTTATGTAGATTCCACATATAAGTGAGATTTTACAGTATTTGTAATTCTGTGTCTGTCTTACTTCAATTAGCATAATGTCCTCCAGGTTCATCCATGTTGTTGCAAATGACAGAATTTCCCTTTTTTTTTTGGTAAGGCGGAAGAGTATTCGATTGTATAGGTACACACACACACACACAAACACACATTTTCTCCATCCACTTATGTCTCAATGAACACTGCATCTTAGCTATTGTGAATAATGCTGTGATGAACATAGGTGTACAGATATTTCCTTGAGGTATGTATTTCAATTCCTTTGAATATACACCTAGAATAAGATTTCTAGATTATATGGTAGTTCTTTTTTTTTGGAAACTCCATAGTGTGTTTCATAATGGCTAAACAAATTACATTCCCAACAACAGTGTACAAGAGTTCCTTCACTTCACAGCCTTGTCAAGACTTGTTACCTGTTGTCTTTTTGGTAATAGCTATTCTGACAGGCCTGAGATAAGGTCTCATTGTCATTTTAATCTATATCCTTAATGATTAGTGATAAGATTTTTATATACCTGTTGGTCATTAGGTTAGTTTTAACGCTAAAGTGGAAATAGACTTTTATAACTTTGACTTCTTTCCTTCTCGTTCATTAATATGATTATAATTTACATTTTTGGCTGTTGTTCTCTAGCTATCACTGCTAACAAAGCCAATGGTTGGGGCAAATCACTCCGTGGTGTCAGAGTTTGTGTTCCTGGGACTCACCAATTCCTGGGAGATCCGACTTCTCCTCCTTGTGTTCTCCTCCATGTTTTACATGGCCAGTATGATGGGAAACTCTCTCATTTTGCTCACTGTGACTTCTGACCCTCACTTGCACTCCCCCATGTATTTTCTGTTAGCCAACCTCTCCTTCATTGACCTGGGTGTTTCCTCTGTCACTTCTCCCAAAATGATTTATGACCTGTTCAGAAAGCACGAAGTCATCTCCTTTGGAGGCTGCATCGCTCAAATCTTCTTCATCCACGTCATTGGCGGTGTGGAGATGGTGCTGCTCATAGCCATGGCCTTTGACAGATATGTGGCCATATGTAAGCCCCTCCAGTACCTGACCATTATGAGCCCAAGAATGTGCATGTTCTTCTTAGTGGCTGCCTGGGTGACCGGCCTTATCCACTCTGTAGTTCAATTGGTTTTTGTAGTAAACTTGCCCTTCTGTGGTCCTAATGTATCGGACAGCTTTTACTGTGACCTTCCTCGGTTCATCAAACTTGCCTGCACAGACAGCTACCGACTGGAGTTCATGGTTACAGCCAACAGTGGATTCATCTCTCTGGGCTCCTTCTTCATACTGATCATTTCCTATGTGGTCATCATTCTCACTGTTCTGAAACACTCTTCAGCTGGTTTATCCAAGGCTCTGTCCACCCTTTCAGCTCACGTCAGTGTGGTAGTTTTGTTCTTTGGTCCTTTGATTTTTGTCTATACGTGGCCATCTCCCTCCACACACCTGGATAAGTTTCTGGCCATCTTTGATGCAGTTCTCACTCCTGTTTTAAATCCTATCATCTACACATTCAGGAATTGAGAAATGAAGGTGGCAATGAGAAAAGTATGCCGACAACTAGTAAATCACAGGAAGATCTCCTAAGTCATGGCTTGTTTTGTGAGTGTCTTCATTAACTATTGAAGTTTATTGCTGAAGCTTCTCTTTGTCCTACCTTAATTTGATCATCCACATGGATATTGGGTCTATTTTGTTTGTCATTTAGGAGGGAGGGAAATTTGCTTCTGAAAAGAGAAAAGAGTTACATATAAATTATTTAGAAACCAAATATTATACTTTTGAGCTTAATTCCTAAGGGTAATTATTAGACATATGTAAATCGGAAGGCTATCTGAAGGCCTTCTGAAAAGGGAGAAATATCTCCTTCATCCACTGTAATTCAGTATGACCTTAAATTGACTATATCTGCAAAGACAAACATTTGCAAAGAAGGGCACATTGACAGTACTCAGTGTTAGAACTTTAACATGTCTATTTGGTGAACACAAATCAAACCACAACCGTAGTATAGGTAGTACAGATACATGTGAATAGAAATGATTAGAATATAGTTACCTATGTATCAGAGTAAAGCTATTTTTAAAACAAAGTTAGTAGAAGTAACTTTTGCTCTTTCATAGGCAATCAACTATGTTTTTTAAAACAACGGAGCAGGTAAAGTCAGCAAAAAGCACAAAAAGTGATTCCTATGTACTACAGAATTTTTATCTACTGGCAAGGACGTTTACAAAGAAGGCAAAGAATAACATTTACTGTTTTTTTTTAAAAAAAGAAGAAAGAATACATTTGTTATGTCAAACAGAGCGAAAGCCAAATTCTAGTCTTACTTTAATGTAATATTTGGCAATAAAGCATTCTTGAGATTAAAAAAAATAGATCCATGAAAGCTGAGCTGTGAAAAACTTTGCCAAAATTTTAACATGTATCATTGCTTCTATTCAGCAGCATTATTTGTAGTTACATATATGTAACAAAACAGAATTTACTTCCTCACACTTCTACAGCTTTCTGTATCCTTTGGGTTTTGTCTTTCACTATTGTTCTTCACATATTGAAATAACTAGACATTTTATCTTAGAATGAATCTACCCCTTTGTCCCTCTTGATAAACAAAACCAGATCCTATTACATTGCATAGCCTGTCGTATTTTTTGGTTATTATTACTTCTAGTTTCAATCACTCATAGTAATTATGACTTTAACCAAAGAAACTGACTTTTATTTCATAGAGAGTATTTGCTAAAGGAAACTAAAACCTGATAATATTTAATGTGGTAAAAACATTAATTGATTTTTGAGGAACCATGTATTGAGGAATTATTATAATAGTAGAAAAGAGACCTTGGTAAAAGTTTGGGCTCAGTTCCTAGTACAACAAAAACAAGTGGGAATTTATGGCTATGGAGCAGGTTGTAGTTTCTGTGGGTGGAAAATTTTAAAAAGTGACATCAAAGGTAGGGAGAATTCTTGCTAAACTGACCTAATAGGATTCTGGCTGCAGGGAGGCAAGAACATATCAAGGATGGAGAGGAGGAATTAGATCAGATATCAAGGTATAACCAGATATCAAGGCTGGAAGATTCTCTCTAAACTGTCTTAGCAGAATTCTTGCTAAAACTGGGCTATGCAGGTTCAGTAGAGAAGCGGGCCAAGGTTGAGGCTTATTCGGGAAGTGGGATAAGAAGAGTCTGACTAAATTTTGGTCAAGGGGAGAGTCTTTGTCAACTCAAAGATGGAAAATTGAGTATTGTCTGACATACACAATTACTTTAGTAACCAGTAAAGCTCATGAGCACTCAAAATATAACCATTTACCACCACAATTATTCTATTTACATCTTCTTAAAGGAAGTAAATGTTTTTCTTAAAGTAGGAAAAAAGAAAACATTTACTAAGATGATTTGAACACTCTATAAAGGTATGAATAAAGTGACACAAACGCATCACACACACACACACACACACACACACAACATTCTCCATGACCACTGCCCCTTAGCATTAGAAACAGTAATGGCTTCCTGCTGTAGCTAGTCCTGGATACTTAACCATTCCTTGTTGGTTTTCTTTAATATCGCTTGCACTGTCGGAAATTAAATTTCCTCGTTTACTCCATTTGAATATTGTACTTTTTCTTGGTGTGACCCTGATATACGTATTTGTGCACAGAAAAGCCCCAGGAAAGAGCACCTCAAAATGATTTCTGGGATTAGCTGGCTCACATATTTAAGGAGTACCTGTATAACTTCCTTATCTCAGGAGTACTAGACTTTGATCACACAGGGGTTCTTCTACAAGTTCATGGAAAGTGCTTATTATGAAAAAAACTATGCATGGGTTTCAAACTCTTTTTGCACCAAAATAAACTCATACTAACTTGTGATAACATGTCTAAAAGGAATCTAGTTTGAGGCACTAGGAAGGACAGGACATCAGTTTGAAAAGAGCTCATATCAGAGCAACATGATTTCTTCTAAAATTGAAGCAAGAACAAACATCAAATTTATGGTGAAGCTTGGGCAGAAAAGTGGTGAAATCATTGATGCTTTACAGAAAGTTTGTGGAGACAATTCTCCAAAGAAATTATCAGTTTAAAATTGTATAACTCATTTTAAAAAGGGATAAGACTATGTTCTATGTTGAAGATAAAGCTTGCAACAGCAGGGCATTCACATAAATTTTTGAGGAAAAAAATTAATCTTGTTTATACCCTAATTGAAGAGGACCACTGATTAACAGCACAAACAATAGCCAACTCCATATACATTTTAATTGGTTTAGCTTACACAATTCTTACTGAAAAAGGTGAGCAAACTTTTTACTCGACAGGTGCCAAAACTGTTGCATCTAGATCAACAGCAGAGAAGAGCAGAGCTTTCCGTGGAAATTTAAAACAAGTGGGAGCTATCCTCAAACATTTCTTTGAAGAATTGTAATAGGACATGAAGCATGGCTTTACCAGTATGATCCTGAAAACAAAGCACAATCAAAGCAATGGCTACCAAGAAGTGGAAGTGGTCCAGTCAAAGCAAAAGTGGGCCAGTAAGAGCAAAGATAATGACCACAATTTCTTTGAGGATTCTCAAGGAATTTTGCTTTTTGACTTTCTAAAGGGCCAAAGGACAATAACATTTGCTTATTATGAGAGTGTTTTGAGAAAGTTAGCCAAAGCTTTAGCAGAAAAACATCCAGGAAAGCTTTACCAGAGAGTTCTTCTCCACCAAAGCAAAGCTCCTCCTGCTTATTTCTCTCATCAAACAAGGGCAATTTTGTGAGAGTTTTGATGGGAAATCATTAGGCATCTACACTGAAGTCCTCATTTGGCTTCTTCTGACTTCTTTTTGTTTCCTAATCTTAAAAAAAAATCCCTAAATGAGACTTCTTCTTCATTTAATAGTGTAAAAATCTGCATTGACATGGTTCAATTTCCTAGGACCCTCAGTTCTGTAGACATACACTAAATGGCTGATATCATTGCTCACAAAAGTGTCTTGAACTTGATGGAGCTTATGGTGAGAAATAAAAGTTTATATTTATATTTTTATCTTTTAATTCCATTTTTTCCACATACTTTTGGAAGTCCTCCTTGTATGTAGAATAAAGATAGACTTATTATTCAAGTTTTCACTTGTGTTTGTATAGAATGAAATGCAGGTCAAGGCAAGGCACTATAATCTCCATTACAACTAAATGTCACAGCCACTTGATCTCCCAATCCCTTACCCTTTTTGCTGGTAGAGCTACTCTTTCATCCAAGTCTGAATAAACCAGCCTTTCCTTGCATTAAAAAAATTTATTTTTGATTGGCTTTATCTGGACCAGTTGCCCATAGGACTACAACAAGAATTAGGTCCCACTACAACTTATATAGAGAAGTACAAAGCCTGCTCTGAAAAATATAGTTTAAAAGAGTTATAGGATTTTCTAAATATTTGCTGGGGTCTGAGGAAAAGACATATGAGTGAAGTCAATGGTTAGGCTGAAAAAGACTAATGAGACAAAAATCAGACAGAAATCAATATGGTATATCACCTGAGATTTAGGCATTAATAATTGATTTGAGCACCTGGATAAGTGCTAACAGCCTGCTAGGTTGGTTAATGCAATCCTGTACTCAGTGAAGATGTTCCAGTATAAATGTCCATCAAAGGTCATCCATTTTGGAGGAGGCACTTAAATGTCATATGGATTAGAAATCATCCAGCAAACCTGAGGCATGTGATTAAAGTTAAGTTATCAGCTTAAAATAGACTAGTATAACTTTATGATAAACACAAAGCAGAACCTATAGTTGATTTGCAAAAGATAAAGAGAAAGGAGGGGCTGGGTGTGGTGGCTCACGCCTGCAATCCCAGCACTTTGGGAGGCCGAGGCGGGTGGATCACGAGGTCAGGAGATCGAGACCATCCTGACTCACACGGAGAAACCCCTTCTCTACTAAAAAAATACAAAAAATTAGCCGAGCATGGTGGCAGGTGCCTGTAGTCCCACCTACTCGGGAGGCTGAGGCAGGAGAATGGCGTGAACCTGGGAGGCAGAGCTTGCAGAGAGCAGAGATCGTGCCAATGCACTCCAGCCTGGGCAACAGAGCCAGACTCCATCTAAAAAAAGAAAAAAAAAAAAGGAATCAAAACATACCACTACAGAAAAGCATCAGATCACAAAGGAAGGCAGCAAGGGACAAATAAAGGAACAAAGGCTCCACAAACAGCCATAAAACCATTAAGTAACTGTAAATAGTAAATTCTTATTTATTGGTAATTACTTTAGATGTTAATAGTCAAAGTTTGGCAATAAAAAGACAGAATGACTAATAAACCAATTCAGTAAAGTTGCATGTATAAAATCAACATACAAAAATTGATAGCATTTCTACACACTAACAGCAGATTCAATGCAATCTCTGTCAACATTCCCATGGCATTTTAAACAGAAATTTAAAATTCTCAATTTTGTATGGAACCACAAAAGACCCCAAATAGCCAAAGCAATCTTAAGAAAAAAAAAATAAAGTTGGAGGCATCACACTACCTGATTTCAAATTATAGTGCAAAGTTATATTAATCAAAACTGTATGGTATTGACATGAAAACAGATATATAGACCAATGGAATAGAATAGAAATCCAAAAGATAAACCCAAGCATATATGATTATCTAATTTTTAACATGGACACTGAGAAGACCCAATGGGGAAATGAAAGTCTTTTCAATAGATGGCACAGGAAAACTGGAACTCTACATGCAAAATAATTAAATTGGACTCTTATCTGTATACTTTTTCAACATAGCTAAACCAGAACTATGATTCCCAGAATTCCCCTCCATGTATGTTTCCATGTTAGGGCTTACCATAAGAAAAGTTTGTGTAAGATTTGGAAGGTGGAAGTGAAGCAGTAGTTACTTTTGATGTGAAGTTGGTGGAGAGAAGGTACTGCTGCAGCTCACACATACTGTCACTGGTATGCTGGCTCACCTTGCTGATGTCTCTCCCTTAGATCCTCCGAGTCCTGAACCAGGTGCAAGTACATCAGAGTTGGAAGCACTCAAGGAGACACTGTTCTAATTTGTCCTTGGCCTCCTCTACTTCGTGTCCATTTTCCCTTCCATAGTACTGGCTCTACTGGCTTTAGGCCCAGCATGAGATTCAATGGAAACAGACATACATAGATCGCTTAATGGCTTCCACAATTGCGTAAGGTCTAATGCCTATAAGAAATTTCTTACTCTATATCAGTTATAGTGGTTCTACTTCTCTGATCAACCCCTGAGTGATACACTCTCAACAGATCACAACAACCCAATCATTTATGGGCCTATAGAATACCTTATTGATCACCATGATATTGACACAATATTGCATCTGACCAGGTATATTTTACAGCAAATGAATATATTTTACAGCAAATGATATATTTTACAGCAAATGAAGTATAATGATAAGCTCACACACATGGAACTCACTAGTCTACTGACATGCGCCATCACTTACAAGCATCTGATTTGATAAATTGGTGGAATGCCTGCTTCTGCTAAGGTGTAGTTACAATGCCAGTTGGGAACCACATTTTGTGATGACGAGGTGCTCTCCTACAGGATGCAGGAGAAGCCTATGATGAGCTACTAAAGCAGGCTGTACTACTGGTCACAGCTCCTGTTCCTCATGCTCTTCTGCAGCCTTGGCTTTTATTTGTGATTCTTGAAACCCCTCCCTCATTAGACCCCCATAGCCCTAGGGATTATAAGAGCTCACTGCCCTTGCCAGCCCTGGGTTCCTTTCCATTTCTTCCTGGTTCTTATAACCCTTGCCCAAATTCTTGTATATAATTCCTTCAATCGATTATTTTCAATCACGCATTTTAGTGTGATATATTTTCTTATCTTGACCTTGATTATTTTCTACAATATCTGTAAAACTGAGAAAGAAAGTAGAGCAATATGGATTTACAGAAGTAAATGCACGTAACTGTCAAGCATAAAAAGGGTCTGGAAGAATACATACTACATGATAGTTACTCTAGAGAGGAGGGCAGGAGCCTTGGATTAAGGGTCATTAAAAGGTCTTTGTCTTTATTTGTGATGGTCTAGTTTTTAAAATGAGAACAAATTCATGTACTCTGTATGCAATTACAAATTATTAAAAATTTAAAGTATCAGTTGAAGATCTTTGCTGATATCAAGTCGTTCTGTGATACTTTAAACTGGATTTCAAATTTTCAGAGTATCATTTGCTTATAATTAAATTAAGATTTAATGAACTCTAATATATTAGATATATATTTTTCCAACTAAAACAAAACAGATAATTACATTGTTTGAAATTTCCATTTCAGACTACTCTGGGGGTTAAGGATAATGTACCCCTGAGCCGCCTGATTATAGGCCTGTTCTATAAAACATATTCTTTTGGACTTTATGGGCACTTGCAAGGGAGTCTGTGGGCCATAGATATGAATGACTGTCAGAGAAATGTTCAAGTGGTTTGCTTTTTCCTGGCTTTGCTGCTCTGAAGAGAGTCTGTCTTGGGAGGCAGTTTCAACCTAGAAGTTAGTCTTAAGAATTCAGTTATTTGCCTGTATTTCAAACTAATTTTTAACTTCTTAGCTCTGAAATTCATGATCATTGAGCCATTCTACCCTTATTTATGTTCCCTTTTAGTCATTGCCTATAATTCTATTTTGAAACTATTTTTTCTCTTTTTTTTTTTTTTACATTTTTGATTTGGCCTAATTTTATTCTTTAGATTTTAGTTTTGTTCAGTTAAACCAATATTTATAGAGTTCCTAATATGTGCCAGAAAATGTAAAAGGCATTATAGAGACAGAGAAAAATAAGCTAGACATCCTGGCTAGCTTCCATTCTGCAGGACATAGAGAAATAGTTTCAATGTCACCAGGTAAGTACAGTGATAGAGTTATGCATAAGATGGTATGGGAGTACAAAGAGGAGCAGAGGGTGCAGCAGTGTTTTCAACAACAGTTGTACATCAGAATTACCTGAGACACTTTTAAAAAATAATGAGACTCTTGGCTGACCTCCCAGAGAGTTTGATTCAATTGGTTTGGTTGGATACATTATTCCTATTATTATTTTACAATTAAGACTCTATTTTCCTTTCTAGTTTTCTTCTGTGTTTTTTTTAAAAATGTAAAGAATTAATTTTTTTAATTTTTAATTTTTTTAAATTATAGATACATAATTGAACATATTTGTGGGGTTCATGTGGTATTGCGATACAAGCATACAGTGTGTAATGATCAAATCAGAGTAGTCAATCCATCTCCTTCAATATTTATCATTTCTTTGTGGTAGGAACATTCTAATTCCACTCTTCTAGTTATTTTGAAATTTATAACAAATTATTAATTATAGTCACCCTATTGTGCTACCAAAACTAGATCTTAATCCTCCATGTAACCGTATTTTTGTACTCATTAACCATCCTCACTTTCTCTCCTGCATACCACTACCATTCTCAGCCTACAGTAATCATGATTCCACTCTCTAGCTCCATGAGATCTACAATTTTAGCTTCCATCGATGAATGAGAACCTGTGATCTTTGTCTTTTTTCACCTGGCTTATTTCACTTAATGTCCTCCAGGTCCATCCATGTTGTTTCAAAGGACAGGATTTTACTTTTTTGTGGCCAAATAATATTCCATTGTGTATATGTAACACATTTTCTTTATTTATCCATTGATGGGCACTTAGGTTGATTCTACATCCTGGCTATTGTGAGTAGTGCTGCAATAAACATGAGAATGCAGACTATCTTCAATATGCGGCTTTTTCTTTTCTTTTAAATATACGTCCAGCAGTGGGACTGCTGGATCATATGGTAATTTTACTTTTAGGTTTTTGAGAAGCCTCTATATTGTTATCCATAGTGATTGTATTAATTTACATTCCCTCCAACAGTGTATGCGGGTTCCCCTTTCTCCATATCCTCACCAGCATCCATTATTGCCCGTCTTTTGGATAAGAGCCATTTTAACTGGGGTGAGAGTATGTCTCATTGTAGTTTTATTTTACATTTCTCTGATAATTAGTAACGTTGAGCATTTTTCATATACTTGTTTCCCATTTGTGTCTTCTGAGAAATGTCTATTGAAATCTTTTACCCATTTTTTAATCAGTTTTTTTTTTGCTATTGAATTATTTGAGCTCCCTACATATTCTGGTTATTAATCACTTGTCAGATGGGTAGTTTGCAAATATTTTCTCTGATTCTGTGGATTGTCTCTGCACTTTGTTGACTTTTTCCTGTACTGTGCAGAAGTTTTAGCCATTTTTTAATTGAATTATTAGATTTAGTTTTTTTTTCCTATTGTTTTTGAGCTCTTTATATGTTCTGGTTATTAATCTCTCGTCAGATGGGTAGTTTGCAAGTATTTTCTCCCATTCTGTGAGTTGTCTCTTTGTTGACTCTTTCCTTCACTGCACAGAAGCTTTTTAGCTTGATATGTTCCCATTTGTCCATTTTTGCTTTGGCTGTCTGTGCTTTTGAGGTCTAGCTCAAGAAATCTTTGCCTACTTCAATGTCCTGGAGAGCTTACCCAATGTTTTTTTTTTTTTCAGCAGTTTCATAGTTTGAGGTCTTAGATTTAAGTTTTTAGTTCATTTTGATTTGATTTTTGTATGTGGTGAGAGATAGGGGTTTACACTCACTTTTCTGCATATGAATATCCAATTATCGCAGCACCACTTATTGAAGAAACTGTCCTTTTCCCAATGTATGTTCTTGGCACCTTTGTCAAAAATGAGTTCACTGTAGATGTATAGATTTATTTTTGGGTTCTCTATTCTGTTCCACTGGTCTATGTGTCTGTTTTTATGCCAGTACTGTACAGTTTGGTTTACTATAGCTCTGCAGTATAATTTGAAGTCAGGTAATGTAATTCCTCCAGTTTTGTTCTTTTTGCTTAGGATAACTTTGACTTTTCTGGGTCTTTTATAGTTCCATATACATTTTAAGATTTTTGTTTCTATTTCTGTGAAGAATGTCATTGATATTTTGACCTGGATTGCACTGAATCTGTAGATTGCTTTTGGTAGTATAAACATTTTAACAATATTAATTCTTTCAATTGCTAGTATTTTTAAAGGATTTTTCATCAATATTCATCAGCAATATTGGGCTCTAGTTTTCTGTTCTTGCTGTGTCTTTCTCTGGCTTTGTTATCAGGGTAATACTGGCCTTGTAGAAGGAGTTTGGAAGTATTCCCTCTTTCTCCATTTTTTAAATTTATTATTTTTTTATTATACTTTAAGTTCTAGGGTACATGTGCACAATGTGCAGGTTTGTTACATATGTATACATGTGCCATGTTGGTGTGCTGCACCCATTAACTTGTCATTTACATTAGGTATATCTCCTAACGCTATCCCTCCCCCTCCCCCCACCCCACAACAGTCCCCAGAGTATGTTGTTTCCCTTCCTGTGTCCATGTGTTCTCATTGTTCAATTCCCACCTATAAGTGAGAACATGCGGTGTCTGGTTTTTTGCCTTGCGACAGTTTGTAGTTTGAGTAGGATTGGTACTGGTTATTCTATTTATTTATTTATTTTTTTATTATTATACTTTAAGTTTTAGGGTACATGTGCACATTGTGCAGGTTAGTTACATACGTATACATGTGCCATGCTGGTGTGCTGCACCCACTAACTCGTCATCTAGCATTAGGTATGTCTCCCAATGCTATCCCTCCCCCCTCCCCCCACCCCACAGCAGTCCCCAGAGTGTGATGTTCCCCTTCCTGTGTCCAAGTGTTCTCATTGTTCAATTCCGACCTATGAGTGAGAACATGCGGTATTTGGTTTTTTGTCCTTGCAATAGTTTGTAGTTTGAGTAGGATTGGTATTAGTTATTCTTTAAATGTTTGGTAGAATTTGGAAATGAAGCCATTGGGTCCCAGGCTTTTTTAGTCCATTTAAATTTAATGTTATTATTGATAAGTAAGGATTTACCGCTGCCCTTTTAAAATTTGTGTTCTGGTTGTTTTGTGGCCTTCCTTCCATCCTTCCATCCTTTCTTCTTTCCATCTTCCTTTTGGTGAAGGTCATTTTCTCTGGTGGTATGATTTAATTTATTGCTTTTTATTTTTTATGTATCTGTTGTATGTTTTTTGATTTGAGATTTCCATCAGACAGTAAACCCTATCTTATAATAATCCATTGTTTTAAGTTGATAACAACTTAAAACTGCTTGTATAAACAAACACACAAACTAACACGCAAAAAGAAAACTAATAAAAGCTCTGAACATCATCCTCCCAGTTTTTAACTTTTTGTTGTTGCTATTTATATATATCTCTCTCTTTAAAGTAAATACAGGGTTTTGCCATGTTGGCCAGGTTGGACTTGAACTCCTGACCTCAAGTGATCCATCTGCTTTGACCTCTGAAAGTGCTGGGATTACAGGTGTGAGCCACGGCACCTGGCCTGTTTCTATTTATGTCTTATTGTACAGTCTATGTCTTGAAGAGTTGTTGTAGTTGTTATTTTTGATTGGTTCATCTTTTAGTTTTCCTACTTAAGAGTAGTTTACACACTACATAGTGTTATAATATTCTGTGTTTCAGAAATATTTTAAATAATTTTAAAGTAATACTATTATCGGTGAATTTTGTACCTTCAGAGGATTTTTTATTGCTTATTAACATCCTTTTCTTTCTGATTGAGTGCTCCCTTTGTCATTTCTTGTGGGACAGGTCTCACCTTTTGTTTGTCTGGGAAAGCCTTTATTTCTCCTTCATGTTTGAAGGATAATTTCACCAGATGTACTATTCTAGGGTACAAGTTTTTCTTTCAGCACTTTAAATATGTCATGCCACTTTCTCCTGGCCTGTAAGGTCTCCACTGAAAAGTCTGCTGCCAAACATATTGGATCTCCATTGTTTATTTTCTCATTTCTCTTGCTGATTTTAGGATCCTTTCTTTATCCTTTACCTCTGGGAGTTTGCTTATTAAATGCCTTGAAGTAGTCAGACGTGAAGCTAGTACAGCACTGGGTCTCACTCAAGGTCTGCTATACCCACTTCCTGGCTATGGCCCATGTTCCTTAAGGGTCCCAGGGCTCTTCAGTCAGCCTGTGGTGAATGAGGCCTGGGACTCACCCTTCAGGACAGTGGGCTCCCCTCTGGCCCAGAGTAAGTCCGGAAATGCCATCCCAGAGCCAAGGCCTGGAACTGAGGACCCCAAAAGTCCGCTTGGTGTTTTACCCCTCTGTGGCTGAGCTGATAGCTGAGGTGCAAGACAAAGTCCCCTTTACTTTTTCCTGTACTTTTCTCAAGCAGAAGAATCTCTCTCCATAGCCACCACAGCTGGGAATGTGCCAGTTCACACCTGAAGCCAGCACATCTCTGAGTCTCACCCAAGGCCTGCAGCATACTACCTGGATATGGCTGCTGCTGCTTCCGGGCCGAAGGGCTTTTTAAGCAGTAGGTTGTGGATCCTGCTGGGACTGGGTTCTTCCCTTCAAGGCAGTGGGTTCCTTTCTGGCCCAAGGTATGTCTAGAAATGTTGTTCGAGAGTTAGGGCCAGATGACGCTGACCGTTGTGTCCTATCCTACTATGGCTGAGCTGGTATTTAAGATGCAAGAGAAAAGTCCTCTTCACCCTTCTCTCCTCTCATCAAACATAAGGAAAAGGTCTCTTTTGGAGAGGTGCATTGTTCTGCCTGTGGTTGGGGAAGGGATAATGTAAGCACTCCCTCAGCTGCCCCAGCTGGTGTCTCAAAGGTCACGTGCCCCCCACCTCCTCAGTCGGCTGGCTCTGAGCCCAGCTCAGGACTAGGACTTGCCTAGGAATTGCAGTCTTTGCGTCCTATACTGCCTTTCAAGTTAATATGGGGCCCCACAGCCCTCCAGCCCTGGGTGGTGAGGCTGGCTGGAACTCATCCTCCCACTGAAGGGATGGGTGATGTCCTCTGGCTAGTTAGTGCTGGTTGTTTTTTTTTTTAATTTTATGTATATATATATATTATACTTTAAGTTCTAGGGTACCTGTGCCATGCTGGTGTGCTGCACCCATTAACTCGTCATTTACATTAGGTATATCTTCTAATGCTATCCCTGCCCCCAACCCCAGCCCCACAACAGGCCCCAGTGTGTGATGTTCCCCTTCCTGTGTCCAAGTGTTCTCATGGTTCAGTTTTTAAACGCACCCTCCGTGGTGAGTGTCAGCTGAGTTCAGCTCTGTTCTGCTTTCTGTGGGACAGGGCAGCACTGAGTTCCATGCAAAGCCTCACAGTTGCTGTGCTATGCCTATCTCCACCACCCAGTGCTGTGGGTGGTCGGGGGGAGCGGTGGCGTCACAACTCAAGACTGAATTCAATATTTCAAGAGGATAGAAAAGACATCTTCTATCCTCTTCAGTGCCTCTTTTAGTGATATTAAGTCAAAAACAGGCACTACGAGTGCTTACCTGATCTTTGGTTCCTATGAAGCTACTCCTTTTGTGTAGATAGTTGTCAGACGTGGTGTTCTTGTGTGTGTGTGTGTGGCAGGGGTGGTGATCGGTGGAGACTTCTATTCAGCCATTCTGCCCCTCCCCCTCTTCCTAATTTTAAACCACCAATGAGCAAGTTGGACTTAGCAGATAAAATCTCCAAGGGTGAGGGTCTTAAAATATCCAGTCTCAGTTTTGTTTCCTCTCCAGGACTCATTACAAGACTTTTCTTTTGGTGGTTCTTACCAAGCCAATCAGGTTCCAGGGACAATTCCCCTGGCCACATGAACAAAGCTGGCAAATCCAGGTTTCTGCAAAAGCAGCTAGTCAGTATTCTTCAGTGCTGTTAATTCACTACTTTTTGTGATTCTCTTAGCTTTTTATATAATAGAAGTGGCACAAGCAGAAGCTCAGTTACCTGTATTCTAATTACCTGAAGATCATGTGGTCTGGGAACAGGTAAGTGGAAAGATGGAAAGTCAAGATAACAGCAGGAAAAAAATTTAAATTGATTTATGAAATTTAGTTTCAGCAAAATAGTGTAGTGGCAGAATCTCTCTTTGCATTTATCAAATAAGATTTTGGTGTGGTCAAGTAGGTTATAACGTAGGGAAGAAGGAACAGATCACATTAGGGCATACATAAGGGGCTACAGATCATGAAGAAAGGCAAATAACTGACTTTCACTTTTACCTGGTAGTAGAAATGTATCATGGGTATCCACAGTAAAAGGAAGGCTATGAAGGAGAGTTGGACTCAGCACAATGCAGTGTCTTTAGCAGAGGCAAGAGATTTGGGAGTTCAAATGGTGACTTAGAAAATGATTTATTATTTAAAAATCTTCTTAACCTGTTTGATAGGCGTGAAGGGAAATTAATAACCTATAGAAGTTAAAAGTGAAGACCACTTGCTCTATCTCTGTCTTTGCAGAAAAGTTTAAAAAGGAAGTCTGCTAGAGACTCATGTTCTGTGGCACTTCTTGGGACCAAATTAAATGAAATAAACAGAATTTGGAGAAGAATTGACCGGTAAACTGTCTTTCTGAGAGCCCACCTGCCCTTACCTGCATGCCTTACTACACACTTAATATCATTTTCAACTGTGAAGAAGAAAAACTGTTATAATGGTACTAATGGAGGAATAAATTATTCTGCTATGATAGTTCGTTGGACGTTTAGTTGTTTTTTTCTTCTTCCTCTCTAGTTTTGGCCATTACAATGTAAAATAGAGGTAGATACATTTCAGGTAAAATAACAAATTTTTGGAATCCAGGAATCCAGGGACATGAAAATTGACCGTAAGAGGAAAGATGAAAGGAAGGAGTAATTTAGTTTGATTACTTAATTCAAGCATGGTAATGATTTATATGAGAGGATATAAGGACACCTGTATTTTTACTTTTAAAAAGAAACAGACAAGTGAACATAGGCTTAAAACAAATAACCAGAAAGTTCAGCTGGGAGCAGGGAAGAAGTTTTGGGCTGTTGAAATGATAAAGCACAGGAATGGCCAAAAAAGAGAAATATTGAATTCTTAAGTAGTATGACTTAGATAATTTAGAAATGCCACTGATGTGGACTGGACTGGACAGAAATTCTCCCTCAATGCTTTATTTCTATGCCTTTATTAGTAGGATACTAATTTTATCTATTTTCTTCAACTATAAATTTTAACATGGCTAAGAATTTCTTCTGGGAGACTGACCAAATTCATATAAATATGCAAATCAAATGATGTTGTTTGGAGAGCAAATATTAAAAAGTTATGATTTGTAACTTTTATAGTCTTGAATTAATAAAAAAGAAAAAAAAAGCATGGTGGAGGAAAGTCCTGGAGAACCAAAGATTGAAAGTATTCTTTTAGAACAAGCTCAGTTTACTGAGAGCAAAGAATGGCTCAGAGAGCACTGAACACCCTTCAGGGGGCAGTGGGATACCTTTCTCTAGCCTTGTGTATTCCACCAGGAGCAACTTTTGCCTTTGAGACTCTGAAGACACAAGTTAAATACACTGTAAATATCTTGTGATATACAATTATTTGCTTTGCTTCTTTTCCAGTTTTAGGCTATCTGGCCCATTTCTAAAATTCATTTTTTCCTGTTTCCTTGTCCAATTTCTCCATCATTTGTATCACATTCAGGCTCATTACATTTGGATAATATCAGATATTCTAAACTTGTGTTTTTTCTCTCCAAACTCCATTTGCTTAAATACCTGCTGCTGCTTCCAGAAGGAGATCAGAAAAAATAATCTACACAAAACTATGAAAGACTTGTTATTTCTTATTATCTGAACCTTTGGGACATTAGTACATATTTCTCAGATTTATTGCTTGTGCATCTAGAAAAATTCTGATTTTATCTATCAAATCGTGGGATACATTAGGTATATAGCCAAGTTTTTTTGTTTAACGATGATGCATTCTTTCATTTTTTGTAAAGTGTTGTCATTATAGACTTCCGGTGTCCCTAGCAATAACTAGTCTGCGTTGTTTAGAGACCTTTCTTCTTTTGAGTTGCATTTAAGCTTCCCTTTTGACTGTCTATTCATCTATTCATCTTTCATCATCCTTCCTTCCCTCAATGCATCCATTCTCCCATCCAGCTACTCATCCACTTACTCATTCACTGCCGCACCAAACACTCATTAGAGCACACCATGTGACGGGAATGATGGTGAGGAATAAATTGATATAAAAACTGAATTTTACATAGAGAAGCTCATAGTTTAATGCAGGGGTTTTCTACTTTGGCGCCATTGACATTTGGGGCTGGTCAGTTTTTGCTGTGGGGTCTATCCTGTGCAGTGTAGGATATTTAGTAGTATCCCTGGTTTATACACACCAGATGCCAGTAGTATTCTTCCCCCCATTATCCCTCATTGGGGAAACTAAAAACGTTTTCAGACATTGCTAAATGTCCCCTGGGAGGTAAAATGCCCTGGATGAGAACCACTGGATTAATAAGACTGACATAATTTCTCTGTATTGTGGTATTTCCTACAATAAATATGCACATTGGAGATATATTCTGGATATATTATATCTGTACTCCCCACCTCTGATCGTTACTAACATACTTCTGTAAAGTAGTTCTTAGTTTAATCATGAAAGAAGAACTTATGTTTGAGGAAATTATTCACAGTTTAATTGTTTTGCTCTGCAGCAACTTTAGTTATTCTACGTGATAGCTTTCATGTAAATTCATCTAAATAGCTAAACAAACTTTATCACTGTTTTTTCTTCCATGCAGTCTCTGTTGAAGTAACTTTCAGAGGATATTTAATAGAAATGCTCTTCATAAAAAGTTTTCATTAAATGCCAAATTATTGAAAATGTGCCACTATATAGAACAGGATGAGAACTGGAATTTGTGATCAACTCAGTAAAATGAATTTTTCTTTTCTGTTTGCCCATATTTCTGTTTTTTAAAACATATATTTTATCACATTTAATTGAAGTTGATTACTTCTGTATTAGTAGTGTTTTAAGCACAGACTTTTAATGGTATATGTCTCACACAAAAATGGTTGACAATAGTTAAATGATATTACATGAAATCTAACTGGATATGACATTATTATCCTGAACAGATTTTCCTGGCTAGAAGTAGAACCTCATCTTTCTATTAATCTAGTATTTTTCTGTTTATTTGCATCTTAGATGTTTTTTTGCGCTGATGATTTCATCCTGTCTTATAGAGAAGTCGATGTGATAGCCCTTAAAAAAGTCCTGATAATGTGGAGCTTAAGTGACAAAAGGAAAGATTATTCTTGCTTTCTTGGTTTCAGAAACAGCCTTACTTAGGAAAACAAGTTCAAAGAGTTCAGTGTAATTGGTCTGAAAACCAAAACAGTTATTTAAAAGGAGAAATGGCGCATTTAAATTCTCATTTAGAGAATATGGCAGAGTAAATAGAGAATATTTTGTTTTTTTCACTTAAAAATTCCTACTTGGTTATAACAACATTTTCAGCCTATATAATTGCTTGTGGTATTGAGTTTCGTAGCTTTCTACTTGCTTTGAAAGAGATTACAGTTGACCCTCAGTATCTGTGGGGAATTTATTCCAGGACCTCCCACCCGCCGCCCTTGGATAACAAAATCCTTGGATGCACAAGTTCCCTACATAAAATGGCATAGTGTTTACATATAACCTGAACATATTCTTCTTTATACTTTAATCTCTAGGTTACTTATAATATCTAATACAATGTAAATGCTATGCATGTAGTTGTTATACTGTATTGTTTTCTTATTTTTTAAATAAAAAAATTGTGGCTACATAGTAGGTACATATTTCTACTTTTTGTTATTTTTCATTTTACTTTATTTTTCCCAAATATTGTTGATCTGAAGCTGATTAAATCTGCAGGTGCAGAACCTGTGGATATGAAGGAATTATACCTTTTGTTTGCCTCAGACTCCCTTCTCAAAACTCCAAATGTTTCCTTATTCTAGAGTCCTTATTAGATTTGGTGACCAAATATATGTTTACCAGAACTGTTTGTGTTTTTACAGATTTGAGATCTCATGTATTTTCGTATGAAAACTCTCTAATAAGATGCAGTGTTTTATAGTCTCCAAAAGGTCAGGGTTATCTATAGCCTGAAAATTTCACCATGTATCATTTCAGTGTCTCCAGAATCTAGTACCTCTCATTGGCTCGACTTCTACCACCCTGATCTAAGCCAACATTATCTCTTGGATTTTTGCTAGTGATAAAAATGTGTTTCTAGCCAATCTCTCTGCTTCTATCCTTGAGACTCTGAAGCATATTCACAATGCAACAGACAGAGTAACCCTTTAACAATGTAAGCTATATTTTGTTGTTTCTCTGTTCAAAACCTAGTTGCTTGTTATCTCATTCAGAGTAATGATAAAAGTACTTACAATGGCTTATAAGGACCTACATGATCTGTGCACCTGTTACCTCTCAAACCTCATCTACTCTACCCTCCTTGCACACTCAGGTTCAGCCTTTTGGACCTCCTTGTAGTTCTTTGCAGATGTCAAGTGAGTTTACATTTCAGAGCTTTTGCTCTTGCTGTTATTTCTGCCTGAAGTACTCTTTCCCCAAACACCCTCATGACTTGTTCATCCATCTTCTTAGATTTCTGCTCAGTCAACTCATCAGCAAGAATGTTATTGTTAATCCTGTTTTATAATAGCACTCCCCTTAGTGCCCTATTCTTCTTCCTTGCTTAATTGTTATCCACAGTGAAATAATTGTCTGACACTGTGTATATCTTTATTTATTTATTTAATTGTCTGACTCTTTCTGTCAAAATGTAAATCTGTGAGGACAGGGACTTTTACCTATTTTGTTCTTGGCTATATTCCTAGTGCTTAGTTCCTGGCTCATAATACAAGAAATTATTAGGTAAGAACTACTTCAGCCTAATCATTTATTTACTCAAAAACCTTTTTTTTGTCACCTAGTATTTGCAACACATTGTATGGGCAAACTATTGAAATAAAAAATTAAAGGAGTGATGATTTATAACCTTGAGCAGTTTATAATTCTATAGGGGAATAGACATGTGACCAACAAGCATTTGGGTATATTGGTGGGTCCTAAGGAAGGTTTGATAAATGAGGTGCTATTTGATCTGGATATTAAAGAACAAATTATATTTTGAGAAGTGTAAAATAGGGAAAGAAAATTTGTGGCTTGAACAAAGAAATCTGAGTCACAAGATCTTAAAAGTCTATGTCACAGAATAGCCCTCTTTGTCTGTCTCGTATCATCATTAGTTATTACTCCTCCAGGGAGAGGGTGGTGAATATTGATTTTACTGATACAGCAATTTGACATCAAATGCACTTTCTTTGTGATTTCCACAGGTAAACACAGGTACCAATCTACCAGACTATTTCACCATCCCTTAAATTAGCAAGCTCATGTGGCAGCTTCGTTACTGTCACATGTAACTGCAGCAGTAGTGGCCAAAAGAATGTCATTTGTTATTCATGAGGTGCTCAGGTAATATTTGACTTTCATGGTTATATACTTTTTCATAGAGGCTATTAATATAATACTATTAATTAGAAATTTCTCATTTTTTTTTCTCTTTAGGTAACGTGAAAGTGAACTTATCAAATGAATAGGGACAACCAGTCTGTGGTGTCTGAATTCGTGTTGCTGGGACTCTCAAATTCTTGGGAGACTCAAGATTTTTCTTTTTTGCTTTTCTTGTCTTTTCTATGTGTCCGGTGTGATGGCAAACCTCATTGTAGTGGTCACTGTAACCTCTGACCCTTACTTGCACTCCTCCTTGTATATTTTGCTGGCCAACCTCTCTGTCATTGATCTCACATTTTGCTCCATTGCAGCACGCAAGATGATTTGTGATATTTTCAGGAAACAGAAAGTCATTTCCTTTTGGGGCTGTGTAGCTCAGATCTTCTTTAGCCATGCTGTTGGGGGCACTGAGATGGTGCTGCTCATAGCCATGGCCTTTGACAGATATGTTGCCGTATGTAAGCCCCTTCACTACCTGACCATCATGCATCCAAGAATGTGCATTTTGATTCTAGTGGCTTCCTGGGCCATTGGTCTCATTCACTCATTGGTCCAATTGTCTTTTGTAGTAAACTTGCCCTTCTGTGGCCCTAATGTGTTGGACAGCTTTTACTGTGACATACCTCAGCTCATCAAACTTGCTTGCACAAATACCTATAAACTGCAGTTCATGGTTACTGCTAATAGTGGGTTCATTTCCTTGAGTGCTTTCTTCTTGCTCATCCTCTCTTACATCTTCATTCTGGCCACTCTTCAGAAACACTCCTCAGGAGGCTCATCCAAGGCTGTCTCTACTCTGTCAGCTCATATTACTGTTGTGGTTTTATTCTTTGGTCCACTGATTTTTTTCTATGTATGGCCCTCTCCTCCAACACATCTGAATAAATTTCTAGCCATATTTGATGCCATTTTCACTCCTTTTCTGAATCCAGTCATCTACACATTCAGGAACAGGGAAATGAAGATTGCAATAAGGAGAGTGTTCGGTCAATTTATGGGTTTTAGAAAAACTACTTAAGTGGCTTTATTAAAACACAGAATTTCCAAGTGACTATTGAAAGTCCACAGTAGGCAGTCCTCATAGCAATGAGAACACTTGGACACAGGAAGGGGAACATCACACACTGAGGCCTGTCATGGGGTTGGGGGAGGGATAGCATTAGGAGATATACCCAATGTTAAATGACGAGTTAATGGGTGCAGCACACCCACATGGCACATGTGTACATATGTAACAAAGCTGCACATTGTGCACATGTACCCTAGAACTTACAGTATTTTATATATATATATGAAGAGACTTTATACTGTGCATCACTTTGAGTTCTCACAGACCTTCATTGCCCATATGGAGGGTCTATTTTGTTCCCACTGAAGAATGAATGACATTTGTCCTCGAAGAGAAAGAGACTTTATATGTAATATATAGAAATCAAAGATTATATTCATTCTTATTTTTTAGTTCCCAAAGAATCATGTCATTAATAATATTCACATGGATTAAATAATGGTGTAAATAAGTTTGTTTCTCAGAATAACTGTATTGCTGTTTTCAAGCTGTCCTGCCCTCTAATTGGAATATTTGTTAACATCATGCTTTATTATCTGTGTACATCTCATATCTCCATTTTTATTTGTTCTGCCTTGTTATCTCAGTCTTTTGGTTATTTGTTCCGCCTTGTTATCTCAGTTTTTTGGTTATGAGTAAACAGTAGTAAACATCTTTAGGATTTGTGGTCATGTACACATTTTAATCCACAGAGCTTGCTTTTGTGTTTTTTTGTTCCATATGTTGAAGAATGTTTTTTACTTTATTTTCAGTCAAGTAGATCAGGTGTTGGCAAACTTTTCTGTAAAGGGCCAGATTAGAAATGGTTTTTGCTCTGTGGGCTATGTGGCCTCTGTTGTAACCACTTAATTCTGTTGTAAGATGGAAATAGCCATAAACAACACATAAATGAATAGGCATGGCCAAGTTCCAATAAAACTTTACAAAAACAAGAGGCAGGCCAGATTTGATCCAATGGCTATAGTTTGCCAATTCCAGAAGTAAATTTTGTCCACCGAGTTCCAGTAAAACTTCACAAAAACAGGAGGCAGGCCGGATTTGACCCAATGGCTATAGTTTGCCAACTCCAGAAGTAAATTTTGTCCAATATACAGATTTGCCTATTTCCTCAAATATCACAGTGTTTGTCTTATAACAAGAGTATAAAATGAAAGACAATATAGTACAGAACAAAATTTGTGGCTAAAATATATAAATTCTCATCTCAATAACATCAACTCACTTACTGTGTAATCTTACTTAAATCATTTAACACTTCCAAAATTCAGAGGTGGCAAATAGAACTCACAGGTTTATGATGATGATTAAATCAGATATTTGAAAAGGCTTTATCAATTTAAAAGCTAGCCTGGTTTTCTTTCCTGGACTATAACCATTTGCTTGCAGACTATCAACTTACAAATAAAATCCATTTTATCTTCTAATTTATCCATCACATATTAAAGTTACCTTCCATATTATATTCTTTCTGTCCTATACACTCACAAAAATATCTTGTGATGTATCTCCATGATCTTGTCTTTTCATTGCATTCTGGTGTGTACTTTCATTGCTTTGTGTCACCTGTAGAACTGAAGATTTAATAGTTTACTACTTTCTTCTTTAGGTCATTGGTTAAAAAAAGGCTAACATTTACAGAGTACATACTATATGTTAGGCACTCATAATTAACTCATTTAATCCTCACAGTAGTCCTTGAGATAGACACTTTTATCAGCCTCATTGTACAATTTGAGAGATGAGATGGAGAAACAGAGGGGTCAAGTAACTTGTTTAATGTTAGTAAGTGGTAGAGTTAGGTTTAAACAGACAGTATGGCTCCAGAGGCTAATTTCTTAAATGTTGTGTGATTTTTCTTCTCATAAAATTGGTTTAATATGGATCTCTGGTGAATTTTAGCTGATATTTCTTCATGTAAGGCCAATTATTCTATACCTTTCTCTGTTGCCTGTATTTATATCAATTCCATGTGGATGGTAAAATAATTTTAAATTAAATGAATTATTTTATGAAACCACTGTGGAATTATGTACATACAGTTTAGCTATTATATAATAATATTTAATAACAGAGTTGCTAAAGATAGATTATTAAGTAAAAAGGGAGGTAATAAAACAAGATTTGAAATTTTGTTTATTTTAAAATTAATTTGTGTATGTACACCAAAATGTTAATAGTGGTATTTCTCCAGGGGAAGAATATAGGTGGTTTTTACTATCATCTCATACTTGCCTATACATTTTATTTTTGCATTATATTTTTTGCGTTACAGTCTATGTGTCTGTTTTTTATGCCAGTTTTGTGCTGTTGTGATTACTATAGCTTTGTAGTATATTTTGAAGTTAAACAGTATGATGCCTTTAGATTTGTTCTTTTTGCTCAAGATTGTTTTGGCTGTCTGGGGTCTTTTGTTGTTCCACATGAATTTTAGAATTGTGTTCTCTATTTCTGTTAAAAATGTCATTGGAATTATGATAGGGATTACACTGAATCTGTTGATCACTTTGGGTAGTATGAACATCTTAACAACAGTGAATTCTTCAATCCATTGACACAGGATGTTTTGTCACTTATTTATGTCTTCTTCAATTTCTTTTATTAATGTTTTATAGTTTTCAGTGTGCAGATTTTTCAGTTCCTTAGTTAAATTTATTCCTAGGTATTTTGGTTTTTGTATCAATTGTAAAAGGGATTCTTTTCTTGACTTCTTTTTCACACAGTTCAGTAGTATATAGAAACATTACTGAATTTTGTATGTTAATATTATATTTTGAGACTTAATTGAATTTGTTAATCAGTTCTAATAGTTTTTCAGTGGAGTCTTTAGAATTTACTATGTATAACATCATGCCATCTGCAAACAAATAATATAACTTCTCCTTTTCCAATTTGGATGCCTTCCATTTCATTTTATTGCATAATTGCTCTGGCTAGAAATTCCAGTATTATATTGAACAGAGAGATGAGATCAGTCTTGTTCCTGATCTCAGAGAAAAAGCTTTCAGCTTTTCACCCTTAAGAACGATGGCAGCAGTTGGTTTGTCATATATTGCCTTTATTGTGTTGAAGTACATTTCTATACCTAGATTGTTGTGAGTTTTTGTCATGAAAGTATGTGAATGTTGTCAAATGCTTTTTCTGCATCTATTTAGATGATCATATGGTTTTTGTATTATATTCTGTTAATGTGGCATATCACATTTTTTGATTTGAGTATGTTGACCATCCTTGGATCACCAAGTCACCAAGTCCAACTTGATCGTGGTGAATAATTTTCTTAATGTGGTGTTGAATTAGGTTTGCTGGTATTGTTTTTGAGGATTTTCACATCTATGTTCATTAGGGATATTGACTTGTAATTTTCCTTTCTTGTAATGCTCTTGTTTGGATTTGGTATCGGGGTAATGTTGGGTTTACGAAATGAGTTTAGAAGCATTCTTTCCTCTTGAATTTTTTGGAAGAGTCTGAGAGGGATTGGCATTAATTCTTTTTATTTATTATTATTTTTTTGAGACAGAGGCTTGCTCTGTCACCCAGGCTGGAGTGTGATGGTGCGATCTCAGCTCACTGCAACCTCTGCCTCCCAGGTTCAAGTAATTCTCCTGCCTCAGCCTCCTGAGTAGCTGGGCCTACCATGCCCGGCTGATTTTTTAATTTTAAGTAGAGATGGGGTTTCACCATGTTGGCCAGGCTGGTCTTGAAATCCTGACCTCAAGTGAGCCATCCATCTCGGCCTCCCAAAGTGCTGGAATTACAGGCGTGAGCCACTGATCCCGGCCCATTAATTCTTTCTTAAATGTTTGGTAGAATTTACTAGAGGAGCTATTTTGTCTTGCCCTGAGATTTTCTCTGATGGGAGACATTTTTTGTTTATTACTGATTCAATGTTCTAAATGGTTTTTATTCTGTTTAGATTTTCTGTTTCTTTGTGATTTAATCTTGACAGGATGTACATACCTAGGAATTTATTTCGTTCTTTTTGATTATCCAATTGGCTGGTGTATAATTGTTCGTAGTAGTCGGTTTTGTTTATCTTTTTAAAACACCATCTCTTAAGTTTTTGTAGATCTCTTCTGTTTTTCTTATCTTTATTTTATTTCTGCTCTGATCTTTATTACTTTCTTCTTTCTACTAACTTTAGACCTAGTTTGTTCTTCTTTGTCTGGTTCCTTGATATGTAATGTTAGATTGTTGAGTTGACATCTTTCCTCTTTTTTCATGTAGGCATTTATTGCTACAAATTTCACTCTTAGAACTGCTTTTGCTGCTTTCCATATGTTTTGGTATGTTGTGTTTCCAGTTTAATTGTCTCAAAATATTTTTAAATTTACCTTTTGATTTCTTCATTTACCCATTAGTTACTCAGGGGTATGTGTAATTTCTACATATTTGTGAATTTTCCGGTTTTTCTCCCATTGAGTAGTAGATTCATACTGTAGTGGTTGTAAAAGATACTTCACATGATTGTAATTAAAAAATCTGTGAAGGCTTGTTTTATAGCCTAATATATGATCCATCCTAGAGAATGTTTCATGTGCACTTGAAAAGAGTGTGTATTGTGCTGCTGTTGGGTGGAATATTCTCTATATGTCTGTTGTATCCATTTAGTCTGGAGTGTTGTTCAAGTCTACAGTTTATTTATTTTCTGTCTAAATGATCTGTCCATTGTTGAAGGTGGGGTACTTAAGTCTCCTACTATTATCTTATGGTCATATTTTAGAGACCTTTACCTTGAACTCATGCTTTATTTACTAAATTTAGACTAGATCTGTACCTTCAAACCATATATACATTTTTTTTTGCAGAATCTTTTCTGAAATTGGCTGAAGATAATAAATAGTTTCCTGCTTTTCTGAGATCACACAGTGAGAAATAAATTATCAAAAGCTGAAACAAGAAAGGCACTGCACACCAACTTCTAGTTGGTACTCTGGCAGGCTTCATGTATAACATATGTACTATACTTATATATGTTATACCTATACATACTTAGGTAGGTGTATGTTATACCTACCTATGTATGTAGCCTATACTTACAAGTATCTCCATAAATGGGAGGGGTTACTAAGGGAGATTTCATACTAAAATGGCCAAAATTATTATTCTCAAACATTAAGGCATGCCAGGTTTTCTGGGACTCTAGGAAGCTACATATTGTATCTTGTTCTTGTACAAATTTTTAAACTGGTGAGCAAATTACTTAAAATTCAGAACTCAAATGGCCAATATTGCTGCAACTATAGAGTTAACACATAAAGTCTTCTAAGTTCTCTAACTCTCTAGTTTTTTCCCTACCTAATTTGAATGTGATGACTTTTCTACTGGTGTGTGATAAAATTCACTATTTTGGGTATTAGTAATTCAAGGTTACTTGGAGATTTTTTCTTATACAATTCAGCCAGTTCCAGCTAAACTGTACACATTGAAAATTTAACCGTAAACTTACTTGAAATTGAAGTGAAAAGAGGAATAAAATGTTTTTAAAAACAAAAAACCACACAAACTACTTTATTCAAAATTTTGTCTATAGTCTTCATTAGATTGCCCATCAGGGAAAATAAAGTTCAGCCATGTGAATATGTCTTCATTTTGTCAGAAATGTAATTTGTATCCAATCATCTTTTATAAGCCAGTGAGTCTGTATTCCTATCTCATGACAGAAATTCTAAACTGAAAGCTATTAATGTAAGATTTGTGTGTGTGTGTGTGTGTGTGTGTGTGTGTGTGTGTGTGTGTTTAAATGGATGTATATGTACATGTGTTACATGTTGTGGCTGCGGCAGGGTACCAAATTGACTTATAAATTAATGAGCATGCATAAATTAATAAGCCCAAATAATTTCCAATTTCACATGACAAGAAAATCTTTAATAAATAGTATGGTTTAAAATTATTGGTAAAAATGGAAATGTCTTCAAAGTTGTTAGCATTCATTTTTGCTTAAATTTCTGATAAAACAGCTTTGTAGTTTTCTCTGCTAAATATTTTTAAATATCAGAGTTTGACATGAAGGTTACAAAATTATAAACCTATCCTAAAACAGGATGATCTTTCTTCATGTGTTTTTTTTTGGTAAGCAAAACAAATTTAATACTGGTGGTTTAATAAAAACAGCTGTGTCTTCTGAGTTATCAGCACAATATATATTTAATTTTGAGATTCTTAGGTGAACATCTGCTATTCACAGATTATAAAATGGTTTACAGGGAAATAAAATGACTAACATTTTCTAACATCTTAGTTCTCATAAGTAATCTAGGCAAACTGTTAAAAAACAAATAAACCAGGTAAATGTAAATAAAATAAATGTCTATAAATAAAAATTTTATGTAATTTGAAATCTTAAAGTTATGTTAAATGACATAATGATACTAATTAAATATCTGAATGATTTCGAATTAAAATCATTAAACTGTTATACAAAAACATGTTTCTAAAAATTATAAAATGGTTTCATCCATAAAATAGTGATATATGACAGACAATTCAAAATTTATTCTTATTTTTAGGGATGGGATCTTACTCAGTAACCAAGGCTGAGGTGCAGTGGCATGATCATAACTCACTGTAACCTGAACTCCTGTCCTCAAGTGATCCTCCTGCCTCAACCTCCTGAGTAGCTCAGACTACAGGTGTGCTCCACCAAGCCCAGATAATGTTTTTAAAAACTTTTGTGGAGATAGCATTTCACAATGATGCCTAGGACACTCTCAAACTTCTGGCCTTGAGTAATCCTCCTATCTTAGCCTTCCAATGGACTGGAATTAAAGGTGTAAACCACTGCTCCTAGCCTCAATTTAAGATTTCTTGATTCCTAGGTTTTCAATAAAATTTAAAGTTACTGAGAGTTAAAATTTTTAATTCTCAGTGTAAAAAATGTGCAAATATTATCAAAAAGGCATAAAGTGTGCTTGAATAATTTTGTGTAATTCAGTTTTTTTAAAAGATTCTTTCAAAATATAGATTTAGGAATAAAATATAAAACAAAATAGAAAATAGGAAGTAGAAGAGAGAGATATAAAAAAGGTATAGATATGAAGATATATTTCTGGTAAGAAAGTTTAAAAAATATAAATAACTTTATATGAGAAGGAATCTTGTATGGTAAATTTTTGTCATAAAGTAAAATGACTGGTTATTTCAGGAACAGAAAGTATAGGATAAAGTCGAAATTCAAGCATGTTGCAAATAGTTTGTGTAACTTCTGTGTAATAAGTTTTGTGAAAAGGAAAGTTATAAAAATTTTTTGTGTATAGTTAAGTTTGCTATAATTAAAAGAAAATTATTTCTAAAGATTGAACTTTGACATTAAAATACACTAACATAAAACTGGAAATTTTCATTTGCTATATTAAAACAACAAGGTTTTTAAACTCTTGATCTGCTCTTGTTAACATTGCAAGAAGTTTTGATATTTAATTCTGTAATCCATTTTTTTAAAACTTCTCAGATTTGTATATCAGAAGTTAGACTTTTGCTGTACCTTATTGCATGGGATTTGTAAGTCATACGTGATTACCTCCTGATAGAGTTTGGATGATTGTCCCTACAAATCTCATATTGGAATGTAATTCCCAGTGTTAGAGGTGGGACCTGGTGGGAAGTGTTTGGGTCATGAATGTGTTGGTGCTCTTCCTGTGGTGATGAGTTACTGTGAGATCTGGTTGTTAAAAAGAGTCTGGGATCTCTCCCTTCTCTCTTACTCCCTCTGTCACTATATGACATGGTGGCTCCCCCTTTTCCTTCTGCCATATTTGTAAGCTTCCTGAGGCCTCCCTAGAAGCAGATGCTGGTGCAATGCTTCTCATACAGCCTGCAGAAACCCTGGGCCGAATAAACCTCTTTTCTTTATAAATTGCCCAGTCTCAGGTATTCCTTTACAGCAATGCAAAGTGGACTAATACACCTTCTGTTCTTTCTTCTCTTGAATAGGTATATCTTTTTGCTTGGCTGGGATGATAACTCTGTCCTTCAACCTTTTCATTGACTTATAACTTCTTTCCTCATTTCAGACATGGCTGTTGTGGCCTGATGCTGCAGTGTTTATCTTGAAGTCTAAAGAAGCAATGTGTTCCTCCAGTGTAACTTGATTCTGTACTCCAGGCATTTCTTGATGTATCTGAATTGTTCAATGTAATCAGAAAACTTCTCATGTTTTTACTAAGAGCCATGTATTCCCCTGCTCAAGGTACTAGTTTTATTGTTTATATTCCTTTATAACATACGTATTCTCATAATCCTGAAAACACTCTCCCTGTGTGTGGTTAAATATAAGCATTCTTTTTATCAGGGTTGACTTCCTGGTTATCTACATAGACTTTGCATAAGGAGAAGAAATCACACAACAGTAGGTTTTTATTTATTTATTTGATAGGTGGCTGAAAAAAACACAGATTTTACATTTTACCAAGATAATTTCTTTTTCTTTTTCTTTTTTTGGAAACAGAGTCACCCATGCTGGAGTACAGTGGTGTTATCTCAGCTCATTGCAACCTCTGCCTCCTGGGGCTTCAACAATCCTCCCACCTCAGCCTCCTGAATAGCTGGGACACCTGGCTAATTTTTGTATTTTTTTGTAGAGCTGGGGCTTTGCCATGTTGCCTAGGCTGGTTTTGAACTCTGGGCTCAAGTGATCCACCCCCTTCAGTTTCCCAAAGTGCTGGGATTATCGGCTTGAGCCACCACACCTGGCCTTCACATTGTCTTTATTACATTTTTGACTTCTTAGAAAACTGAGTTTTAAAATGTTCACTTTTTTTTTCTTTTTTTTCCCATCAATATGACTTTCTATACTGCTTTTGAGGTCTTTTGATTATCACCTTGGTTAAATGAATAACTTTTATTTTGCAATAACCTTTGATTCTGGTTAGACCAAGTGTTTTAAACTTTTGACATCTGTGATAAGTTCCCTTACGGTTCAAATCCTAAATTAAGTCTTTTTGAACTAAATAATTATACTTTTTTTGTAAATTGTATCAGAGGCATTGTCAAATGACAAATGATAATAGATCTTCTTTCAGTTAGATTTATGTGTATGTTATTGATACAAATATTCCAAAAATTACATAAGGCTGGGGACAGTAGCTCATACTTATAATACCAGTGCTTTGGGAGGCCAAAGTGGGAGAATCACTCGAGGCCAGAAGTTTGAGACCAGCCTGAGCAACATGTTTTCTGTCTCTACAGAAAACAAAGTAGCTAAGCATGGTGGCATGTGCCTGTAGTCCTAGGTACTTGGGAGGCTGAGGCAAGAGGATCCCTTAAGCCCAGGAGTTTGAGTTTACAGTAAGCTATCATCATGCCACTGCAGTCCAGCCTGGTTGACACAGCAAGACTTTAATATATATACATTCTCTCTCTCTCTCTCTCTCTATATATATATATATCTATGTGTGTGTATATATATATATATAGTGTGTGTATATATATATAGTGTGTATATATATAGTGTGTATATATAGTGTGTATATATATAGTGTGTATATAGTGTGTATATATATATAGTGTGTATATATATAGTGTATATATATAGTGTGTATATATATATAGTGTGTATATATATATAATATAATATATGTGAAATTGAATACGTTATCAGTTAGAATTTTGATTGTTGATTTTTTCCTAAAATTATATTTGTATAGATATTTTATTAATTTGAGTATTCCAAAGATTATATAAAATTTATAAATGCTTTGTGGTCTCAAAATGGCACTATCAGTCATAATTCTCATTATCTTAAAATGTTGGATGTAATAAAAATAACTAAATTTACTTGTCAACGAAAAACTTTGATTAAGTTTTAATCATGGCTACTGTACTTATTATAGCAATGGTTATTCTAGATTATACTAATAAAAAAATAGATGTGATCAAAGCATGTTTTCCAATAAATAGGCAAGTGTGCATGCTGAGCTTGATGCTCGTGTCTTCATAACTACAAATAAAGACTATATCAACTTTTCCAGGAAAGAGTCTTCCTAGCTGCATGGGACAATCAGTGTTGGTCCTGTAAATGCAGTCAGACCTGGTTTATGTCAACTGATTTATGACCAAAAGGGGGAACTTATGAAACAGAGCAGCAAATGTAAGAAATCGTGTTTGCTGTGTATACTTGTCAGCATAATGTCACACATTCCCTGACTCCGTGATGAAGTGCAGCTCTCCAAAAAACGCTTTGAAGACAAAACAGGATAGAATATATGTTCCCCATGTCTCTTGTCTGAGCCTCTATATTCCTTAAAATATAAATGATCCTAATCCTGACCCTTTTCTACACAAAAGATAATGTCTGACAGGGTTCGTGATTATGCCCGTGTAATCTGTAAGCAGATGTATCGATGTAGGGGTGGGTTGCCCCTCCACACCTGTGGGTGTTTCTCGTAAGGTGGAACGAGAGACTTAGGAAAGAAAAAGACACAGAGACAAAGTATAGAGAAAGAAGTAAGGGGACCCGGGGAACCAGCGTTCAGCATATGGAGGATCCCGCCAGCCTCTGAGTTCCCTTAGTATTTATTGATCATTCGTGGGTGTTTCTCAAAGAGGGGGATGTGTCAGGGTCACAAGACAATTGTGGGGAGAGGGTCAGCAGACAAACACGTGAACAAAGGTCTTTGCATCATAGACAATGTAAAGGATTAAGTGCTGTGCTTTTAGATATGCATACACATAAACATCTCAATGCTTTACAAAGCAGTATTGCTGCCCGCAGGTCCCACCTCCAGCCCTAAGGCGGTTTTTCCCTATCTCAGTAGATGGAGCATACAATCGGGTTTTATACCGAGACATTCCATTGCCCAGGGACAGGCAGGAGACAGATGCCTTCCTCTTGTCTCAACTGCAAGAGGCATTCCTTCCTCTTTTACTAATCCTCCTCAGCACAGACCCTTTACGGGTGTCGGGCTGGGGGACGGTCAGGTCTTTCCCTTCCCACGAGGCCATATTTCAGACTATCACATGGGGAGAAACCTTGGACAATACCTGGCTTTCCTAGGCAGAGGTCCCTGCGGCCTTCCGCAGTTTTTGTGTCCCTGGGTACTTGAGATTAGGGAGTGGTGATGACTCTTAAGGAGCATGCTGCCTTCAAGCATCTGTTTAACAAAGCACATCTTGCACCGCCCTTAATCCATTTAACTCTGAGTTGACCCAGCACATGTTTCAGAGAGCACGGGGTTGGGGGTAAGGTTATAGATCAACAGCATCCCAAGGCAGAAGAATTTTTCTTAGTACATAACAAAATGGAGTCTCCCATGTCTATTTCTTTCTACACAGACACAGTGACAATCTGATCTCTCTTGCTTTTCCCCACATATCTACACCCACACATTGATGTGATTCTGCTTTAATGTAGCTTCTAAGCAAGTCCAATATGATTCTGCACTTACTGGATCTTCACAGCTTGTATATAAACTGTGGGCTAAAGACCTGCACCAGAGCAGTCTGACAGAACCTCTCTGAAAGACTTCTCCTAGGCTGTAATCCTCAGTCTCTTGTTCTCAGACCCCTAAATAAATCTAACTTTAATTTCTTAAAAGCTTAATTTTTTTCTTTAGTTGACACCAAAAATCTCCCCAGCCAGATCCACAAAGTTTTCGGTATTTTTCCTATATTTTATATCATTCCAGGCAAGGGTTTTCTAACTCTCCCATCAGAATACGACTTTGGTGCGTTTTCCTCAGCCTCCACTGATGATTTTTTCTCATTATCCTTAAAGCCCTTTCCAGTAGACTTCTTAAGCTCTTTCAAGTTTTCAGTCTCCTTAAGGACCATTCAGTGTTTACTGTCAGTTCCCAGAATGCTTTTACAGGTTTTGCTGTCATTTTCCTTGAAGTCTGTTCACTTTTCACTAACAGTCTTTGTGAAATCCTTCTAGCTTCTATCCATTGTCTGATTCCAAAGCCAATGCCACATAGTTTAAGTTTATATTATATTAGAGTGACATCTTATTCCACGTACCACAAACCACCTCAGAACTTAGCAGCTTAAAACAACAAACTTAAAAAAATTGTGGACTTGTATTAGCGCAAGCAGGGCTTAGCTACGTGATTCTGCTCCGTGTGGTATTAACTGTAGCCATCTGTGGTATTCAGCTGGCAGCTGGGTAGTCTGGAGAGTTGAAGGTGGCTTCAGTGATGTGCCTGTTTTATTAGTGGATTGGATGAAATGTTGTGGTAAGGTGGGCCTCTCTTGCTCTCCGTGTAGTTTGAGAGCCTGTCTACATGATCTATTCAGCAGCAATATGGTTTGGCTGTGTCCCCACCCAAATCTCATCTTGAATTGTAGCTCCCATAATTTCCGTGTCTTGTGGGAGGGATCCAACGGGAGATAACTGAATCACAGGAGTATTTCCCCCATACTGTTCTCGTGGTCTTGAATAAGTCTCACAAGAGCTGATGATTTTATAAGGGGGTTCCCCTTTCACTCAGCTCTCATTCTGTCTTGTCTGCCATCATGTAGAGATGTGCCTTTTGCCTTCCACCATGATTGTGAGGCCTCCCCATCCACCTGGAAATGTGAGTCCATTAAGTGTCTTTTTCTTCATAAATCACTCAGTCTCAGGTATGTCTTTATCAGCAGCATGAAAACAGACTAATACAGTACATTGGTACTGGTAGAGTGGGGTGCTGTTGTAAAGATAACCCAAAAATGTGGAAGCGACTTTGGAACTGGGTAACAGGCAGGGGTTGAAACAGTTTGGAGGGCTCAGAAAACGACAGGAAAATGTGGGAAAGTTTGGAACTTCCTAGAGACTTGTTGAATGGCTTTGACTAAAATGTCAAATAATGATATAGACAATGAAATCCATGCTGAGATGGTCTCAGATGGAGATGAGGAACTCACTGGGAACTGGAGTAAAGGTGTCTCTTGCTATCGAGAGAGACTGGCAGGATTTTGTCCCCGCCCTAGAGATTTGTGGAACTTTGAACTTGAGGGAGATGAGTTAGGGTATCTTGCAGAAGAAATTTCTAAGCAGCAAAGCATTCAAGCGTGACCTGGGTGTGTTAAAAGCACTCAGTTTTAACAGGAAAACAGCATAAACGTTCAGAAAATTTGCAGCATGACACTGTGATAGAAAAGAAAAATCCATTTTCTGAGGAGAAATTCAAGCTGGCTGCAGAAATTTGCATAAGTAACAAGGAGCCAAATGTTAATCGCTAAGTCTTCAGGCCATGTCAGAGATCTTTGTGGCAGCCCCTTCCATCACACACCCAGAGGCCTAGGAGGAAAAAACGGTTTCATAGGCTGGGCCCAGGGCCTCCCTGCTGTTTGCCTGTGTACAGCCTAGGGACTTGGTGCTCTGTGTCCCAGCTGCTCCAGCCACAGCTAAAAGGGATCAAGGTACAGCTCAGGCCATGGCTTCAGAGGGTGCAAGCCGTGCAAGCCTCAAGCTTTGGCAGCTTCCATGTGGTGTTGAGCCTGTGGATTTACAGAAGTCCAGAATCGAGGTATGGGAACCTCCACCTAGATTTCAGAGAATGTATGGCAACGCCTGGATCTCCAGACAGAAGTTTGCTGCAGGGGTGAGGTCCTCATGGAGAACCTCTGCTAAGGCGGTGGGGAATGGAAATGTGGGGTTGAAGCCCCCCAACACAGAGTCCCCACTAGGGTACTGCCTAGTGGAGCTGTGAGAAGAGGGCTGCTGTCCTCCAGACCCCAGAATGGTAGATCCACCGACAGCTTGCACTGTGTGCCTGGAAAAGCTGCATACAATGCCAGCCTGTGAAAGCAACCAGGAGGAAGGCTCTCCCCTGCAAAACCACAGGGGTGGAGCTGCCTGAGACCATGGGAACCCACCACTTGCATGAGTATGACCTGGATGTGAGACATAGAGTCAAAGGAGATCATTTTGGAGCTTTAAGATTTGACTGTCCCACTGGATTTCGGACTTGCTTGGAGCCTTTAGTCCCTTTGTTTTGGGTAAATTTTACCATTTGGAACAGCTGCATTTACCCAATGCCTGTACTCCTATCGTATCTAGAAAATAACTAAATTGCTTTTGATTTTACAGGCTTATATGTGGAAGAGACTTGCCCTGTCTCAGGTGAGACTTTGGACTGCCAACTTTTGAGTTAATGCTGAAGTGAGTTAAGACTTTTGGGGACTATTGGGAAGGCATGATTGGTTTTGAAATGTGAGGACATGAGATTTGGGAGGTGCCAGAGGCAGAATGAGGTGGTTTGGCTGTGTCCTTTCCCAAATCTCATCTTGAATTGTAGCTCCCATAATTCCCATGTGTTGTGGAGGGACCTGGTGAGAGATAATTGAATGATGGGGTGGCTCCCCCATACTGTTCTTATGGTCGTGAATAAGTCTCATGAGAGCTGATGACTTTACAAGGGGCTTCCCCTTTCACTCAGCTCTCATTGTCTCTTGTCTGCTCCCATGTAATGCATACTTTTCACCTTCTGCCATGATTGTGAGGCCTCCCCATCCACATGGAACTGTGATTCCATGAAACTCTTTTTATTCATAAATTACCCGGTCTTGGATATGTCTTTATCAGCAGCATGAAAATGGACTAATGCAAGCAGAATAAGCAGAATTCTTCGATACTGACTCAGCACCCCACACACGTTGGTTCCAAGATGTAGAAATGGAAGCTTCAAGGCTTTTAACATCTGGACATCAAAACTGGAAGTTTTACTTTCACTGTATTTTATTGGTCAAAGCAGTCAAAGAGCCCACCCAGGTTCAAGGAGAAAGAATATGTCCCCACGTTTTCAACGGGATGGTGCCACAAAATTTCTAGTCATCTTAATTCACCACAGATAGAAATATGAAGAGCTCATTTGTTATGTTATTTGTGAATGCAGACTAAACATATTTGTTGGTTTATATAGTAGTGGGAAAGTGAGAACTTTTAAAATATTCAACTTTTAGCCCTTGACATGCAAAATGAGTTCATTACATGGTAAGGATGAGGGAGAAAGAAAAGATCTGAAAAAGTAGAAGAGTGATGGATTCAGAAAGCATAGGATGATTGTCAGTGTGATTGTTTTATCTAGCCACATATAGCTGTGTGGTATCAAGATGTAGAAGGCAGAGAGTTGGATTTATCAGGATTGTTGTTTGGAAGAGTGAGTACAATCATTACGAGGGAGCAAGGTATTGATCATGGAATATAAAGTGGGAAAAGAGGTAAGGTAAGAAGGATATCAGTAAAGTGAATGACAGCATAAATATGGTAGAACCATTGGATTGGTGGCTCTGGAGGAACTGAATAATTATTAGACTTGAAGCATTAGATGGTGCACTAGTGAGGGCATCTCCAACTAAGTCTACCATCAAGTCCTGGTGATTTATTATCTCAAATATATGACAAATTTATCTACTTATTTCCAAAACTCCCATATCTAGTTTAAGTAAGCAAATTTCTTGCCTTGGCAAGCATGTTGCTTTCTAATTGACTCACCTGTATCCAATTTGAATTCCTTAAAATCCATTCTATACATTGTAACCTTAGTGATATTTACAAATGTGAAATCTGGTCAAATCATTCTTCTGCTTAGTAGTCTTGGATTTCTCATTCTCTTAGGAAGCATCTTCCACTACTTATTTCAGCATTATCTGCACAATGCTTCCCCTCACTTCCTCACAATGTGGTTTCAGGCACAACTCCCAAGGCCCCACTCTGGCCTCGGGGAGCAGATTGTTCCCCCTGCAGGAAAACCTTTGTTCTCCACTCAGTTAACTGCTGTTTACCCTTTAGATCTCAGCTTCAGTGTTGCTTTCTTAGGGGAAACTTCTCTGACTCACATCAAATCCCTCTCTTATAGTAATTTTCATTGTATTTCAGAGTAATTTTTATGGTTGCAATTTTACATTTGTGTGATTGTTTGATTAATCTCTGTCTCCTCCACGAAAACTCCAAGATGCAGGAACTATATCTTACTGGCATTCAGCACAATACCTGGCACATAGGTGTTCAAAAAATACTAATAGGGTAAATAAATGAATTAATTTTATGCTTTTATTTTAATATTTTCATGGTATTAATATTTCTCTCTATGTGATATTTTGTATGTACATATTTTCTTTTAATTTGAAGATTTATAGTTTATTTTAGTTATGTGCTGTATAAATTATATTTAGTTCTTTAATTTTTGTGTTATTTCCAAGGGTCCTCTCCATTGACTCTTTTAATATAGTTCCACTTTACCCCTTAAACCCACTTTCCTCTCCCACCGTCGTCATTCAACTTTATTTGATTTTGTTATTTTTAATTTTTCTAAGAATGACCTTTATCTTTTAAAATAATATTTAATCACCCATAACATAATTTGTTGATTCTCTCCCACTGTGAAAGTTGAATGGACCAGAATATATTTCTACTATCTTTCTCTTCTTATTTTTGTTATGAATATAATTAGTCTTTATACAGTTATGGTTTGTAACATCTGCATTCTGTTCTTTAACCGCAAACCCCAGAACATTTTGATATTAGGCTTCAGAATGCTCACTTGTATCATGTTATCTCTATTCATTTTTAGTGGATAGTTTTCTTTTTCAAGTTTTTCTGATAGAGATGGGGTCTTGCTATGTTGCCCAGGCTGGTCTTATCTTGAACTCCTGGGCTCAAGTGATTCTCCTGCCTTGGCCTTTCAAAGTGTTGGGACTGTAGGTGTTAGCCCCTGCGCCTGGCCTCTAATAGTTGTCTTCATTAAAGCCTCATGGGGACTCTATTTTTTTGTGTGTGTGGGTTGTTTATTTTGTGTTTGTGAAGTCCGGTAAATTCAGTTGCATCTGCCTTGATGTGGTCATACTATAACACATTTTTTCTGGATAAAGATAAGCCCTTTAACCATTAGATTCAATGTTTTCTTCATTTCAGAAAAGTTTTCTTTTATCTTTGAATTTTTTAACCAGATATTGTGAGCTCTTTCACACTAATTTCTCATTTGTTGGACCTGACTTTAATGTTACATTTCACCTTCTTGTGTTTTCTATTTCGTTTTGCTCAGGATATATTTAAGCCTGTCATTTATATTCTTATCTGTGTTTTTAGCAGCATTATTCTCTCCACTTCCCACTTTTTCTCCTGCTTTTATTGATCTTCATTTCTTTCATGGTTGTCTTTACTCATTACATCCTGAATTTTGCCAGATTATTTTTTATCACTTTATTTTGTATTTATTTTCAATTATGTCTTCTAAATATCATTTCAGAGAGAAAACATTTTAGAGAAGGCATATTTTTAAAAAACAGAAAATTTGATCCTATTTTTTACTGCTTCATGGTATAATTTGTATGTTCTGTACCTTATGTAATTTTCCCTTTTTCTTCTAGTATTTTTATAAAGGTCATCAAGTTTTATTTTTGTAATACAATTATTATAAATAATTATATAATATTATTAGTCTTTGAATATTCTAGATACTTGTGAAAGGATATTGTGGAGGAGGAGCTGGGGGTAGTAAGTATGATGGAAGGCAGACGAGTTTTGGAATCTTGTCTCCAAAACACTCTCATCTGTTAGAATGACTCCTTGGCTATAGGATTGACTATGGCTTAGAGTGGATTCATAGTTGTTAATTTGGTCATGTGACTTGTGACTTATCCTTTTCTTTTCATAATAGAATGAAAATTGCCATCTGTCTGGCTTCTTCCCCATCTTTTTGCCTTCTTTCATTACACCACACACGTGTCCTAATTATTCCAAAGGTGATACATTTGCATGTTTCCCTTTAAACTCCTTTCCCTCTGTCACTCTGTGGAGGGTTCACATGCTGCAATATTTCTGTTCCAAGTAAAGATCACAGGTTTTGATCCTCAGTCCTCAGTATACACACCTCTTTTAGGGATTTCTGGGCTTCTTGACTAGCTCAAGCTCTTCAGAGGCATGCACTTTATCTTGGTGTTCAGTCTTGACTGGTTTAAACTTTTGATGTCCAGAAGGTTTTCTTCATTTGTTGTTGTGTGGAATTGGAAATATTTTCTAGCTTTTGTAAGGTTGTGGCTCATATTTATATTTCTCCTGGTTTGAAAGAAGAGAGAGAAAGAAGTATCTCAAATTGAGACTCTTAGATTGGAAATCTGAATTTATTTACACGATTGAGATTGATCTAGAGTTTTATTTTTTCTGCTGTAACTGAAATTTGGATTCAAGATTATATGTGTTTTGTGAATATGTTTGGTAACATTGTGACTTTTCTATAATTTAGGGAAGTTTGATGTAGGAGAAAGAGAAAAAATTTTTGAGAGAATCCTAAATTCATATATGGCCTAACCTTTTAATATCTATGTAATTTTAGATAATAAATAATTTGTTTGAGATTATGTGGCTCTAACAACACCTGCTTCACAGTGTAATTATGAGGATTTCATAGAATTTGTATAGTGAGCGTTAGTTTTGATGTTACTTTAAACCTCTTTGCCTTATACATTCTATTTTTTCCATGGAATATTATATGATTTCATGTCCACATATTAATCTCATACTTTCAATTACATTTTATGTTTAAATTGAATATTATGGTAATCGTTATGTAAATGATTAAAAATTTAAAGGGACAACATTTAATGTTGCTCTGGAATTCACTTTTAGTCATAAAATAAAGATTTAAAGTATCATCTGTAGACAATGGCAAAAGGCCTTTTTTGTCATAAGAAAATCAAATATGCTTTATTTCACCCAATTAACAGTTTCTGGGCTTGGCCATCCCGGGAAAACCAAAATGACCATAGGCGGTAATTCCCCAGGCCGTGTGATCTCAGTCTGGCATTCTCGGATCTCCAAGGCATCACTTTGGCCACTACCCTCTGGGGCTGTGATTAGCAGCTCTCTTCCTGTTTTATGCAGCTCTGTGTGTATGTCTGCAGTGATGCCGTACTGGATCTGGTTCATCTTGAGAGAACTATACCTATCTGAATTTTTGATGATGCTGTTTTCTTAGTTCCCTTGGCAAAACAGGTAGGTGAGGGATAGAAATAAAATCTATACTTAGTAAATCGGTGAGCCAAGGTCTGTGACTGGCAATGAGTGAATTACATTCTCCTCAGTTGGGTGCAATGTCTGCCTTCTGTGTGGCCATTTGCTGTTGCCACTAGAGAAGGAGGATGCAGCAGGGATCAGGCACCGTGGAGAAAAGTCGCCGTGTGTAGGCAGCTAAGAATGTAGGAAAATGAACATCTCGGCTCCCAAAGGACGAGAATAAAGCTGTAGAAGAATGTCAGGGAGGAATCTGAGTTGATAGTATGACTATTCATCCTTCTTCCCACATTTTCCCGACTGTTTAGCCCTACTTTTCTTCGCGTTGGGTCTCATTTTCCTTCCTGTGTGGCCTGTGCCTTATGGTCAGCTCGGACGTCCATCAGTCTATCAAATGCCTAGAAACCTTTCGCCCTTTGTCACCTTCTGTGTCACCCAGCATTCCCCTTCTCAGCCCTTTTCATTCTCATGGTGGAATCCTTTTGGTTTGATTTCAAGGGTCCAGCACTGTTGATGTCACAACAGAGTGGCATGGAAAGTTTCTGAAAATTTTGTCATCTAACCTCTCGTGGGGACTTTTAATTAATTCAGCTTTTGACAACTCCATCACATTCATTATATTATCCATTCATTCATTCATTAATACATTTGACATTTATAATGTGTGCCAACAATGTGCCAGGTCAAAACTGCCCACTTACAATGTAGAACATTTCTGTAAATTTTATTTCAATTTTCTTGTATTTCTTCTCCTTTATTCTACCATCCCACTTGATCTTCTGCCACAGAAGTTCTCTTCTCTCTCTCTTTGTTCTCTCTTCTCCTCCTTTATTCTTGATACCTGCTTCTGTGTTGGCTCCTCTAGGCCAGCACTTGTCCTCCTACCTCTGTGATGTTCTGTCTAGTTTATTGGTTCCTTTTCCTACTTTACATAATCAATGTGGATAGTTTCTATAGTTGGGTCTTTGCTTTTTAATCTTTTTTCCTGTATATTATTTCCTTCAGGGACCTTATGCAGTCTTACACATCCGTCCATTATTTTTATATGGATTACTATACAATTACATGTTGAATTTGTACTTTTCCCCCATATATCCTGTCATATGTTTTCACCTGAGCATCTCAATATCTAATACTCTTATTTGCTTAAAATACACGTGATTATTTTCTCCACCTGACATATTTTATGTTCAACTTTCTAATTTCTAAAAATGGACCTACCATTGTCCTATGTATTCGTGCTTAAATCTTGATATTTTCTTTGAGTTCATGCTCCTTCGTATTCACTCCAGCTGTGATAAGTCACCAATCCTTTGGGTTTTTACTTACCAGTATTTCTATTTCTGTTTCCATAGCCTTAAAGCTGGAACTGTGTAGTCCCAGTTCCTCTGTGTAGCCCCCCAAGTCTGCTCTATTTCAATCTTCTCTTAAGGGAACTCCTTCCCTCCGTTTTTCTTTTCCTCCATTTGATACATCGCATTTATAGATGGGGCATCTTCCCTAATTACTGGCTTCATCCTCAATTCCCGGGACCCATACCTTCACTGGCTCCCTAAATTTATTTAATAATTCTCATATACCTTTGAGAAGTTTCTAATGATAGGCAACAAATGAATCTTGACTACCTTTCTTATTTTCCTTTCTTCACCAAAATGATTTTTAGGATGTAGACAATCTGTATGCTTCAACATACACCAAACTTACCATTTTTGAAATATTTTACAATCTACTTGAAAAGACTTCTTTAGACCCTATATTCATGTATTGTAATATTTATCCTCTTTTATGGCTATACTCAAATGCCACATCACTATAGTGCCTTCCCTCATCACTGTAGCTATCTCTTTTCACTCTACTTATATTGTAGAGGATTTGTTACACTTCTTGAACTGCTGATCTCAAGCGATTTGCTTGCTTTGACCTCCCAAAGTGCTGGGCTGACAGGCGTGAGCCACTGCACCTGGCCTGATTTGTTCCACTTCTACTATATGCATCACACATGCCTGATGCATATTTTAATGCACGTTGGATAAGGATCGGCTTTGTACGACTTCAGTCTTTCTTGATGTGTGACACCCACTTCTATTTTGGCTCCACTTTAACAAAATGAATAAGTGAGAAGGTAATACTGGAAACAGAACATAACTGTGACTAGGAATTTGGTCTTGACTCGCCATTTAATTTTCTGATGTGCATGACTGTTTTCTTCACATGTGAAATTTAACATGAGGTTGAAACTGGAGAATTTTATATTTTTCATGAAAAAGGCAATTTGGGAGAAAAGTCCATTTTCCTGAGGATAAGGTATTGTATGGTTTGACTGCTTTGCCTTGGCTGGTCAACACATTTGTACACCTGAATAGGCACAGTTTTCAGAAATCCTTTCAAGCATCTACCAATTCTCCTGTCTACAAATTTACCTTCCTCCCATTTCTCATTCCTAATGACAAGGGAAATATCCAGTGTTATCTGAAGTGGTCATAAAAGACTTTTTTTTTCTTTTTATGTGAGGAATTGAAACTTATGGCTTTAGATTATGGGGCTTACCATCAAGGAAAGGGCGTAGCGTGGTCAGAGGACAAAACTTCTTCCTGCATTTCTCAGGAAGTCTTTGATTAGTGTGTCCACCTAGGAGCAATTTTTTTTTGCGGGGGGTGCTGGGAAATATACTTAAGTGATTAAATCCAAGTGTAGACATGAGAGCTTTACCTAAAGCCAGGTCTAATTACCATACCTGAGAATCAGGGAGTATTTAAAATTTGAGAAATAATTTTCTATACTTGAAAGTCACTTATGTAGGTAGCCCTCAGATTATAATAAATAACGTTTATTGTGCTATACTATGTGGTAGGTATGAGGTTAAGTATTTTTACCTATATTATATCACTTATTTCTTACAAATGGAGCAAGGGAGCAAGCAAGCAAGGGAGGTATTATTATCCCTATTTTATGTATTTATGTATTTATTTTTGATTTCTATTCTTTTGGTTTTTTTGTTGTTTTTTATTGATGTATCATAGTTGTACATGTTTTGGGGTACATGTGATATTTTTGATACATGTATACAATGTGTAATGATCAAATCAGAGTAATTTGGATATTCATCACCTCGAATATTTATCTTTTCTTTGTGTTGGGAACATTATAATTTTTCTCTGCTAGCTATTTTAGAATATATAATAAATTATTGTTCCCTATGATTTCTCCATTGTACAATTGAATACTAGAATTTATTATGTCTATCTACATATCCCCAGTTCAATAACTATAATTTCTCTGCTGTGCAATCAAATACTAGAACTTCTTCCTTTGAACGCTATATCCCTAATTCAATAACAAGTAAACTGAAGCTCAGCATGGTCTAGGAACTTTGTTACGTTAACACAGCAAGTGAGTGTTGCAGCCTGGATCCAAAAATCAGGCCTGGTCGACCTCAAAGTCCAGATTATTGACCTTTCTACCATAATGTATGGAGGTAAGTTTGTGAATTTATTCAAAAATCAGGCCTGGTCAACCTCAAAGTCCAAATTATTAACCTTTCTACCATAATGTATGGAGCTAAGTTTGTGAATTTTCATAGTTTTAGGATTTGAAGATAAAAGAGGTGAAAATTTGGAAACGGTTTCTGGACTTTTGAATTTTGGCAAACAGCTATGTGATAAGTCCACCCTGCAGACCCACAACTTTTGGAAATAACTCTACTGTGACCTTCAGTAGCAGAAGCTGCTCCTGGGGTGGTAGAACACAAGGAAAACACACACTAGTAAAAATTTCATGTGGCTTCTTTGTTCTGTACATGTGTTTCTCTTGATTAGTATATGGTAGTATCCTCAAATCATAGTAACAAGTATACTTTTTCCAGTGAATTGCATGTGTATATTATTGTATAGTATAAAAGGCAATATTTCCATTTATTATCATCTGTGCTTTTCAAAGAAACTCTGTGAGTCCAACAGGGCAGATAATAGAAGCAACTGCCCTTTCTCTCCCCCGTTAAATGCAACCCAATGTCAAAGTCCGTAGCATCCCCAAATGAGTGTGTTAAAGGTGAGAAATTCCCAGAGTCAAACTCAGTAGCATCCTTGAATGAGTGTATTAAAGGTGATAAATTTATTTTATTTATGTTCTTTTTAACCTGTGTTCTCAGAAACAGAGACTACTGTATTTCATCCTACCTTAGTCTTGCTTAGCAGTTTCTCTTCTCCTTTGAGGCTCTTTTATTTTTAAATCATTATTTATATCTTCTAATTTCCCCTTTCTCCCATTCTTCCCATATTTTTAATCTTTTTTTAACTTTATCTCTCTTCTACTTTTTCTGTATTTCAAATTGATCCATAGACTTTAGAAAAATGAGTTGAATGCTGGCTGTAGGCTGTCTTATCCCCAGCAAGAAACATGTTGTAAAGTCTTAGTACCTTCCCACTGGAAGATCATTAGTCATGGCTACTATGTTTTTAAATGAGAATTGTTTTAATTATGCATTTTAAAATTATTGGAAAACATGAGGGAGAGGAATGAACCATAAGTAATAAAGATTATTGACTTGAAGTTAAGACCTTACTATGATCTGGGATTATTAGTCTTACTTGTCAATCAAGAACTATCCACTTTCTATTTGTTTGTGGGTATCTAATATGGTTATATACACAGAAGTAATGATAATTGATATGAAAAGGTCTCCTCCTGTTATATCAATTTAGGTATTTTTCACACATTGTGTACCTCATTCTTCTCCTATTCAATTTTCACTAATTCCTAAAGGGTCAGGTCAATGTCCTTGGCATAACCTCCTCCACCTGTTCTTAATGGCAATTGTATCTTCTGCCCTCCAATATCTATAACACTTTTTTCTTTAAAACTCTTTGAATGTTTATCTTAATACTCATTTGATATATATTGTATACCACATATGATTGTTTGTTATATGTACAATACATGTTTTTTCAACTTTTTTTGGTTCTTTCCATTTACAGGAATTAGAGAAAGAACTAATCAGTGTGAAGGAGAATTGTCAGTAAAATTACAAGAAAAGATTGAGATCATAATTGACCTTTGAGGATAATAAAATTTAAAGACCAAAAGGATGGACTTCACAGAAACATGAACTTAGGTTGTTTTTGCAGTTGTAGTAACTGGTTATATGACCAACAAAATATGAAGAATGGGTACAAATTCTGATAGTAATGATCAGTCACTTTGCAAATATAAAGTTACTATTTACTACTGTATTGTACAGGTTCAATAATCTTTGTGTACACATTTTATGTATTTATTGTCAGGCTGCTATATAATTCAGTATTTATAATAGATACTATGTATAGCAATCTATGGTTAGTTTTGGTCTTAACCAGGAAAAATCACTCTTTTGAGTTTTGCTGTTTTTACCAGATTATTTTTACTGGATGATTGCTCATATTATTTGATTATTATTGCAATTTGTCTTTCTGGAATAGGAAGCAAGAGGCCTGAATTCTGGTTCCTATTCTATCAATTGTGTGAATTCTGGAAACTCAGTTTACTTTTCTGGGCCTCATGTTTTTCATCTGAATGATGACCAACTTGGATTAAATGGTTTTTATATAATTCCGTAGGCATTTCCCTTCCCAAGGGCTTGAGTCTTTTTCAACAGTTATAGAGTTTTCCGGTCCCTCTTCCCAGTGCCTCGGCACCTTGCTATTCATGTTCATCTGATCAGTTGTTTGCACGCTGACTTACATTACCCTGATGGGCAGTACCTGTGGCTGTTTCTGCTCCCTCACCCAGTCCATAGGCTTCTGGTTGTAAAAAGTGTGCATCTTGAGACTGTGGACAGTTAGCTCCAGAGGTGACAGTATAATCACTTCACGTAGAAGAGGATAGAGAGAGACTCATGCCAGTGGTGGTGAGCAAGTATTAGAGAGATGATGTGTGCCTCTGTGAGTTTTGGGGTCTAAGATAAATTATGGCACTAGGAAGATGGTCCTTTGTGTCAGAAGAACTGGAGTTGTTGGTGCAAAAAAGTATGATGTCAGCATAGCAGTTTTATTTGTACCTCAGCAACTTCTAAAATAATCTCTATTAAGTGTTTTCAGGAACTACTTTCTACTATAGGAAAATGATTGAGGTGAGTATCCATCTGGACACAGAGAAATATAACACTGTTTTCTGCTCACCGTCCACTTCACATATAAATACAATATGTGTTAAAGGACTAAATTTCTAGTGTCACAGTTTGTACTTTATAGTTTGAAGTCAATAAGAAAGCTCATATACCTTCCTAAAAGTCACTTGTTAATGTTTGATATTAATCTAATTTTATCATAAATTAAAAGTATAAAACTACAAATTTCTTAAAGATAAAATATCCAAATGGATTCAGTCAAATTAAGCATGATAATATCAAATATCAGAATAGGTTACCATGCAGGAGGTACTGAGTACTTAAAAGGGTGGGGAATGCAATGAACATAAAAGCTGGTACCAAGGGGAGGAGGAGACAGTGATGAATTAAAACATTATCTTAACTAATCCAAGTGCTGGTCTTCAATACTTTCATGTGTATAGACAAAGAGAAACTGCAGAGATTTCTCACAACCTCTGTGGCCATTTTATGCATGTATCTTAGCAGAAACACTGGTGAAATCCCTCCAAAACATATTTATTAGGCATGGAAAAAGCCTTACATGACAGGTGGCATAGGCTCCTTATGAAATCATTGCAGGATGGGAAGCCATTTAGGGCTTTGTAATTGTGAAAGATTTATAGAAACTGAGGCACTTAAATAGCAGTAAGCATGAGAAAATGTGGTAGATAATGGTGGTGATTCTATTTCTTGTGAAAGTCCACTTACTCTGTTCTGCTACAGTTGTGGGCTTTCCGATTTCACATACCCCGGTCTCTATATTCTCTCAATCCACAGCCTACCTCAACTAAGTCCGTCCCAGGCACCTCTTACTGCAGTGATAATCCATCTGTTAATCATGTTTTCCTCTTATGTCTACTTTCTGTCAGAGAATTGTGGGTGCAAACTGGGAAGGGAAGGAAATTATAAGAATATGTATAAGTACAAATGGAATATGTTGGAAATGAGGAATAGTTAATATCACAGGTCATTTAAACACCTGATGAATTTCATGGATAGTCAGGAATCTTGTTCTTACCTAATCTGTTAATTTTAGATCAGACATTACACTGAAAGTATTGATGATGGGTTTAAATCAGGTTGCAGCTCACATGTTGTGATAATATTATGTTGATTTTTTGTTTTTAATATGTGAGGAACAGAATAACTGTATACTATTTATTCATAGTGACATTGCAATATTAATGATTTTAGTACATATTATTATCTTCATAATCACAATTTCCTCCCCATTTTCTTAGTTCTCATAATTTTAGCCACAGCCCAGTTGGCTGGACCAATGGATGGAGAGAATCACTCAGTGGTATCTGAGTTTTTGTTTCTGGGACTCACTCATTCATGGGAGATCCAGCTCCTCCTCCTAGTGTTTTCCTCTGTGCTCTATGTGGCAAGCATTACTGGAAACATCCTCATTGTGTTTTCTGTGACCACTGACCCTCACTTACACTCCCCCATGTACTTTCTACTGGCCAGTCTCTCCTTCATTGACTTAGGAGCCTGCTCTGTCACTTCTCCCAAGACGATTTATGACCTGTTCAGAAAGCGCAAAGTCATCTCCTTTGGAGGCTGCATCGCTCAAATCTTCTTCATCCACGTCATTGGTGGTGTGGAGATGGTGCTGCTCATAGCCATGGCCTTTGACAGATATGTGGCCCTATTAAGCCCCTCCACTATCTGACCATTATGAGCCCAAGAATGTGCCTTTCATTTCTGGCTGTTGCCTGGACCCTTGGTGTCAGTCACTCCCTGTTCCAACTGGCATTTCTTGTTAATTTACCCTTCTGTGGCCCTAATGTGTTGGACAGCTTCTACTGTGACCTTCCTCGGCTTCTCAGACTAGCCTGTACCGACACCTACAGATTGCAGTTCACGGTCACTGTTAACAGTGGGTTTATCTGTGTGGGTACTTTCTTCATACTTCTAATCTCCTACGTCTTCATCCTGTTTACTGTTTGGAAACATTCCTCAGGTGGTTCATCCAAGGCCCTTTCCACTCTTTCAGCTCACAGCACAGTGGTCCTTTTGTTCTTTGGTCCACCCATGTTTGTGTATACACGGCCACACCCTAATTCACAGATGGACAAGTTTCTGGCTATTTTTGATGCAGTTCTCACTCCTTTTCTGAATCCAGTTGTCTATACATTCAGGAATAAGGAGATGAAGGCAGCACTAAAGAGAGTATGCAAACAGCTAGTGATTTACAAGAAGATCTCATAAATGATATAATAAGCCCTTCTCATTAAACATGATATGGCTTTATGTTTCTTTCTTTGATATTTTAGATTCAGGAACTATGAGACATTATGTATTGATTTGAATGTTATTAGACCTGTAACATAATTCTTAACTGATGAATATATGATGAATATATTCCTTGTTCAAAATGAGTCATAAATTCAACACATCTCTACATCTATATTATGCCCATTTAATTTCTTTCAGCAATGTTTTGTAGTTTTTGGTGAACAGGTACTTTATGCATATGTACTTTATATTTATCTCTAAGTTTTATATTTCTGATGCCCTTTTAAGTGACATTTTTATTTCAATTTACAATTGTTTATTCTTAGCTTATGGGCACATAATAGATCTTTGTTTGACATTATATCCTGTAAACTTGCAAAACTTATTAGTTCCATCAGTTTTTTATAGGTTATGTAGGATTTTCTTTATAGATGATTATGTTGGCAGTGAATAAAGACATTTGCTTTTAAAATTCTAGTATGAATTCACTATATTCATTTTGTTGAATGCTGAGTAGAATTAGAGCAGACATCTTTGACTTGTTCCTGTTATGAAATATATTAAATATTTCATCATTAAGTATAATGTTAGCTATAATTTTTTTCATAGGTACTCTTTAACAGGCTGAGAAAGTTTTCTGTATTCACAGTTTGCTGAAAATTTCTTTTATCTTTAGTCAGGAATGGATCTTGGATTTTGTAAAGCTTTTTCGTTTCAGAATCAGGGTAATGCTGGCCCTTTAGAATGAGTTGGGAAGCATCTGCTCTTCTTAAATTTTCTGCCATAATTTTGTAGAATTCATATAATTTTTTTCTTTAAAAAGGGAAGTACTTAAGTATTTTCTCCCATAAGTTACCCATAAGTAAATCTAAAGGAAAGTGGGAAACTTTGATACGCATTGGTTGCCCCCTGGTGGAGATTTCTGGGTTCTTGATTATTTTAACACTGGAGATAGAATCTGGTGGAATGATGTCAATGCTACCGTGATTAAGAGGCGTGTAGGAAATGCTTCATGTAAGAGAGAAAATAGTCTTTATGAGAATCTGCCTGGTGGAAAGGAGTTGGTGCAACAACAATATAAATTAGTGAAAAATTTTAAATTGACAAATAATAATTGTATCTATTTATGGGGTACAATGTAATGTTTTGATACATGTTTAAATTGTGGAAAGATTAGGTCTATCTTATTGACATACATATCTTTTTTGTGGTGAAAACATTTAAAATCTACTCTGTTAGTCATTTTGAAACATACAATACCTTGTTATTTATTACAGTCACCATTCTGTGCAATAGTTCACTGAAACTTTGTCTAACTGAAACTTTGAACCCTTTTATCAACATCTACCTTTTCCATGTCTATCCCCAACTCCTAGCCTCTGATAATCACCATTCCATTCTCTACTTCTATGAATTCAACTTTTTTAGATTCCACATATCAGTGAGATCATGTGATATTTGTCTTTTCATGCCTGGCTTATTTCACTTAGCATGATATCTTCTGGGTTAATTCATGTTGTCACATATATCAGGTTTTCCTTCCTATTAAGGCTGAGTAGTATTCCATTGTATATATACACTACATTTTCTTCATCCATTTGTCAGTTGATAGACACCTGTGTTGATTTCATATTTGGGTATTGTGAATAATGCTGCAATGAACATGAGCCTGGAGATATCTCTTCAGCATATTGACTTAAATTCCTTTGGATATATACAAGGAAGTGGGATTGCTGGATCATATAGTAATTCTAGTTTTAGTTTTTTGAGTAACTTTTATCTATTTTTCATAATAGTATTAATTTACATTTCCACCAACAGTGTACGAGGGTTCCCTTTTCTCTGTATCCTCTTCAACACTTGTCATCTTTTATGATTTTGATAGTAGCCATTCTAACAGGTATGAAGTGGCATCTCACTGTCATTTTAATTTGCATTTCCCTGATAATTAGGATGACAAACTTTTTTTATGTTAGTCATTTGTATTTTTTTTGAGAAATGTCTATTTAGGACCTTGCCCATTTTTTGACTTGGTTATTTGTTTTCTTGATATTGAGTTGAGTCCCTTATATATTTGGAGATTAGCCTTTCATCAGATGTATGCTCTGCAAATATTTTCTCACAACTTGTAGGTTGTCTCTTCACCATATTGTTTCCTTTGCTGTGCAGAAGCTTTTTAGTTTGATGCAATCCCATATATTTTTGCTTTTGTTGCCTGTGCTTTGGGGGTTATATCCAAGAAATCTTTGACCAAACCAACATTGTGGAACTTTTCCCCTATGTTTTCATCTAGTAGTTTTACAGTTTTATGTTTAAACCTTTAATCCATTTTGAATTGATTTTTGTGTATGGTGTGAGATAAGGATACACACCATACACATTCGTGTTCTTCTGCATGTGGATATCTAGTTTTCTTAACACCATTTATTGAAACAAATGTCTATACTTCATTACGTTTTCTGGGCACCTTTGTCAAAAATTTATTGGTCATAAATGCATGAGTTTATTTCTGGGCTCCTTATTCTGTTCCCCTGGTCAATGTGTCTGTTTTTGTGCAAGTGTCATGTTGTTTTGATTACTATGGTTTTGTGATACGTATTTGTTTTGGGGGGGGATCGATTTTTATTTGGGTTTCTCACAGTGGTTAGAGAACAACCACAGCACAGGAAATGCATCGCCAAGATTGCCCAGAAAACTGACCAGCTGCATCTTATTGCTTAAAAATACACATATTCACAATAACTGACAAATGGTGATGTGCCTCACACAGGAATGTGTTCACATTTGCAATGCTGTGTACAGACTTCACTTCGTTCAACATAGATTTTGGTTTAATGGAATTCAAATGCGGATGCTTGTTCACAGCCTTGGATTTGTCTGTTTTTGGAAAGATACAACCTCCATGAGTATATCTGCATGAAAACCACAGACAATGAAGGTATTTCTTCGTTGACTTATTTATTCTTTTGACTGTAGCAACAAACCCTGGATGACACCCTTCCTTTTAATTCACCTGGAAACCAGACTCAATCAAATCTCCCTGGTCCCCTCACTATTCCTTCAAATTCCCTATTTCTATCTCTTCCTGAGGAGGGTAACCTCCTGTAGCAGGGGTCACACTGTGACTTGGGAATCAAGCCTAGGTCTGCAGGTTGCCTTTTCATCTTCTTGTAAAATATGGTAGGACATTGCAGTGAATCCAACAGTTAACACTCAGAGCAGTTCCCTGCTCTAACTCAGGAAAGAGACTTCAGAGGGTCAGGATTCATCCATTTGATCAGTTAACTGAGAAGGATTCATTTTGGTAAAACTTGTTCAGCTTTGAGACACTTCAGTGAGTTGTTTGAGATTTTTTTTTAAATTATACTTTAAGTTCTGGGGTACATGTGCAGAACGTGCAGGATTGTTACATAGATATACACGTGCCATGGTGGTTTGCTGCACCCATCAACCCATCATCTGCATTAGGTATTTAACCCAATGCTAACCTTCCCCCAGCCCCTACCCCCAGACAGGCCCCGGTGTGTTGTGTTCCCCTCCCTCTGTCCATGTGTTCTTTGTTCAACTCCCATTTATGAGTGAGAACATTGGGTGTTTGGTTTTCTGTTCTTGGATTAGTTTGCTGAGAATGATGGTTTCCTGCTTCATCCATGTCCCTGAAAAGGATATGAACTCACCCTTCTTTATGGCTGCATAGTATCCATGGTGTATATGTGCCACATTTTCTTTATGCAATCTATCATTGAATGGGCATTTTGGTTGGTTCCAAGTCTTTGCTATTGTGAACAGTGCCACAATAAACATATGTGTGCATGTGTCTTTATAGTAGAATGATTTATAATCCTTTGGATATATACCCAGTAATGCGATTGCTGGGTCATATCATATTTCTAGTTCTAGAACCTTGAGGAATCACCACACTGTCTTCCACAATGGTTGAACTAATTTACACTCCCACCAACAGTGTAAAAGCATTCTTATTTCTCCACATCCTCTCCAGCATCTGTTGTTTCCTGACTTTTTAATGATCGCCATTCTATCTGGCGTGAGATGGTATCTCATTGTGGTATTGATATGCATTTCTCTGATGACCAGTGATGATGAGCTTTTTTTCATATGTTTGTTGGCTGCATAAATGTCTTCCTTAGAGAAATGTCAGTTCATATCCTTCACCCACTGATGGGTTTGTTTGTTATTTTCTTGTAAATTGTTTAAGTTCTTTGTAGATTCTGGATATTAGCCCTTTGTCAGATGGATAGATTGCAAAAATTTTCACCCATTCTGTAGGTTGCCTGTTCACTCTGATGATAGTTTCTTTTGCTGTGCAGGAGCTCTTTAGTTTAATTAGATCCCATTTGTCTATTTTGGTTTTTGTTGCAATTGCTTTTGGTGTTTTAGTCATGAAGTTTTTGTCCATGCCTATGTACTGAATGGTATTGCCTAGGTTTTCTTCTAGGGTTTTTTATGGTTTTAGATCTTATGTTTAAGTCTTTAATACATTGTGAGTTAATTTTTGTGTAAAGTGTAAGAAAGGGATCCAGTTTCAGTTTTCTGCATATGGCTAGCCAGTTTTCCCAACCCCATTTATTAAATAGGGAATCGTTTCCCCATTGCTTGTTTTTGTCAGGTTTGTCAAAGATCAGATGGTTGTAGATGTGTGGCGTTATTTCTGAGGCCTCTGTTCTGTTCCATTGGTCTACATATCTGTTTTGGTACCAGTACCATGCTGTTTTGGTTACTGAAGGCTTGTAGTATAGTTCGAAGTCAGACAGCGTGATGCCTCCAGATTTGTTCTACTTACTTAGGACTGTGCTAGCTCTGTGGGCTCATTTTTGGTTCCATATGAAATTTAAAGTAGTTTTTTCCAATTCTGTGCACAAGGTCAATGGTAGCTTGATGGGGATAGCATTGAGTCTATAAAAACTTTGGGCAGTATGTCCATTTTCATGATATTGATTCTTCCTATCCATGAGCATGGAATGTTTTTCCATTTGTTTGTGTCCTCTCTTATTTCCTTGAGCAGTGGTTTGTAGTTCTCCTTGAAGAGGTCCTTCACATCCCTTGTAAGTTGGATTCCTAGGTATTTTATTCTCTTAGTAGCAATTGTGAATGGGAGAGTTCACTCATGATTTGGCTCTCTGTTTGTCTGTTTTTTGCATATAGGAATGCTTGATTTTTGCACATTGATTTTGTATCCTGAGACTTTTCTGAAGTTGCTTATTAGCTTAAGGAGATTTTGGGCTGAGACCGTGGGGTTTTCTAAATACACAATCATGTCATCTGCAAACAGAGACAATTTCTTTCTCTTGCTTGATTGCCCTGGCCAGAACTTCCAATACTACATTGAATAGGAGTGGTGAGATAGGGCATCCTTGTCTTGTGCTGGTTTTCAAAGGGAATGCTTCCAGTGTTTCACCATTCAGTATTGGCTGTGGGTTTTTCATAAATAGGTCTTATTATTTTGAGATACGTTCCATCAGTACCTAGTTTATTGAGAGTTTTTAGCATGAAGGGCTGTTGAATTTTGTCGAAGGCCTTTTCTGCATCTATTGAGAGAAGCATGTGGTTTTTGCCATTGGTTCTATTTATATGATGAATTATGTTTATTGATTTGCGTATGTTGAACTAGCCTTGCATCCCAGGGATGAAGCCGATTTGATTGTGATGGACAAGCTTTTGATGTGCTGCTGGATTTGGTTTGCCAGTATTTTATTGAGGATTTTTGCATCGATGTTCATCAGGGATATTGGCTTGAAATTTTCTTTTTTTTGTTGTGTCTCTGCCAAATTTTGGTACCAGAATGATTCTGGCCTCATAAAATGAGTTAGGGAGGATTCCCTCTTTTTCTGTTGTTTGGAATAGTTTCAGAAGGAATGGTACCAGTTCCTCTTTGTACCTCTGGTAGAGTTCAGCTGTGAATCCATCTGGTCCTGGACTGTTTTTTGGTTGGTAGGCTATTAATTACTGCCACAATTTCAGACCTTGTTATTGGTCTATTCAGGGATTCAACTTCTTCATGGTTTAGCCTTGGGAGGGTGTATGTGTCCAGGAATTTGTCCATTTCTTCTAGATTTTCTAGTTTGTGTAGAGGTGTTTATAGTATTCTCTGATAGTAGTTTGTATTTCTGTGGGATCAGTGGTGGTATCTCCTTTATCATTTTTTATTGCATCTGTTTGATTCTTCTCTCTTTTCTTCTTTATGAGTCTGGCTAGTGGTCTGTTTATTTTATTGATCTTTTCAAAAACCAGCTCCTGGATTCATTGATTTTTTTTGAAGGTTTTTTTGTGTTTCTATCTCCTTCAGTTCTGCTCTGATCTTAGTTATTTATTGTCTTCTGCTAGCTTTTTGTATGCTCCTGCCTCTTGAGTTCTTTTAATTGAGATGTTAGGGTGTCAATTTTAGATCTTTCCTGCTTTCTCTTGTGGGCATTTAGTGCTATAAATTTCCCTCTACACACTGCTATAATTGTGTACCAGAGATTCTGGTATGTTATGTCTTTGTTCTCATTGGTTTCAAATAACTTATTTATTTCTGCCTTAATATCTTTATTTACCCAGTAGTTGTTCAGGAGCAGGTTGTTCAGTTTACATGTAGTTGTGTGGGTTTGAGTCAGTTTCTTAATCCTGAGTTCTAATTTAATTGCACTGCGATCTGAGAGACTGTTATAATTCTCATTTTTTTTTTTGCATTTGCTGAGGAGTGTTTTACTTCCAAATATGTGGTCAATTTTAGAATAAGTGCAATGTGATGCTGAGAAGAATGTATATTCTGTTGATTTGGGGTGGAGAGTTCTGTAGATGTCTATTGGATCCACTTGGTCTAGAGCTGAGTTCAAGTCCTGGATATCCTTGTTAACTTTCTGTTTCGTTGATCTGTCTAGTATTGACAGTGGGATGTTAAAGTCTCCCACTATTATTGTGTGAGGGTCTAAGTCTCTTTTTAAGTCTCTAAGAGCTTACTTTATGCATCTGGGTGCTCCTGTATTGGGTGCATATATATTTAGGATAATTAGCTCTTCTTGTTGCATTGATCCTTTTCCATTATGCAATGCCCTTATTTGTCTCTTTTGATCTTTGTTGGTTTAAAGTCTGTTTTATCAGAGACTAGGGTTACAACCCCTGCTTTTTTTTGCCTTCCATTTGCTTGGTAAGTATTCCTCCATCCCTTTATTTTGAGCCTATTTGTGTCTGTGCACGTGAGATGGGTCTCCTGAATACAGAACACTGATGGGTCTTGACTCTTTAGCCAATTTGCCAGTCTGTGTTTTTTAATTGGAGCATTTAGCCCATTTACATTTAAGGTTGATATTGTTATGTGTGAATTTGATCCTGTCATTATGATGCTAGCTGGTTATTTTGCTGTTAGTTAATGCAGTTTCTTCATAGTGTCAATGGTCTTTACGATTTGGTATGTTTGTGCAGTGGCTGATACCAGTTGTTCCTTTCCATGTTTAGTGCTTCCTTCAGGAGCTCCTTTAAGGCAGGCCTGGTGGTGACAAAATCTGTCAGCATTTGCTTGTCTGTAAAGGATTTTATTTCTCCTTCACTTATGAAGCTTAGTTTGGCTGGATATGAAATCCTGGGTGGAAAATTCTTTTCTTTAAGAATGTTGAATATTGGCCCCCATTCTCTTCTGGCTTGTAGAGTTTCTGCTGATAGATCTGCTGTTAGTCTGATGGGCTTCCCTTTGTGGGTAACCTGACCTTTCTCTCTGGCTGCCCTTAACATTTTTTCCTTCATTTCAACCTTGCTCAATCTGACGACTTTGTGTCTTGGGGTTGCTTTTCTTGAGGAGTGTCTTTGTGATGTTCTTCGTATTTCTGAATTTGAATATTGGCCTGCCTTGCTAGGTTAGGGAAGTTCTCCTGGATAATATCCTGAAGAGTGTTTTCTAACTTGGTTCCATTCTCCCCAACACTTTCAGGTACAGCAATCAAACGTAGATTTGGTCGTTTCACATAGTCCCATATTTCTTGGAGGCTTTGTTCATTTCTTTTCATTCTTTTTTCTCTAATCTTGTCTTCTTGATTTATTTCATTAAGCTGATATTCAATCTCTGATATCTTTTCTTCCGCTTGATCGAATCAGTGCTTCATCCTTGTGCATGCTGCATGAAGTTCTCATGGCGTGTTTTTCAGCTCCATCAGGTCATTTATGTTCTTCTCTAAACTGGTTATTCTAGTTAGCAATTGGTCTAGCCTTTTTTCCAGGTCCTTAGCTTCCTTACATTGGGTTAGGACATGCTCCTTTAGCTTGGAGGAGTTTGTTATTACCTACCTTCTGAAACCTACTTCTCTTAATTCGTCAAACTCATTCTCCATCCAGTTTTCTTTTGTTCCCTTGCTGGTGAGGAGTTGTGATCCTTTGGAGGAGAAGAGGCGTTCTGGTTTTCGGAATTTTCAGCCTTTTTGCTCTGGTTTCTCTCCATCTTCGTGGATTTATCTACCTGTGGTTTCTGATGTTGGTGACCTTCTGATGGGGTCACTGAGTGGCTGTCCTTTTTGTTGATGTTGATGCTATTCCTTTTTGTTTGTTAGTTTTCCTTCTAACAGTCAGGCCCCTCTGCTGCAGGTCTGTTGGGGTTTGCCGTAGGTCTACTCTAGACCCTGTTTGCCTGGGTATCACCAGCGGAGGCTGGAGAACAGCAAAGATTGCTGCCTGTTTCTTCCTCTGGAAGTTTTGTCCCAGAGGGGCACCCACCAGATGCCAGCCAGAGCTCTCCTGTATGAGGTGCCTGTTGGCACCTACTGGGAGGTGTCTCCCAGTCAGGATACACGGGGTCAGGGACCCACTTGAGGAGGCAGTCTGACCCTTATCAGAGCTCGAATGCTGTGCTGGGAGATCTGCTGCTCTCTTCAGAGCCATCAGGCTTTTCAAGGATGCTCAAAGTCTGCTGAAGCTGTGCCCACAGGCGCCCTTTCCCCTAGGTGCTCTGTTCCGGGGAGATGGGGGTTTTATCTATAGGTCTCTGACTGGGGCTGCTGCCCTTTTTTCAGAGATGCCTTGCCCAGAGAGGAGAAATCTAGAGAGGCAGTCTGGCTGCTGTGGCCTTGCTGAGTTGTGGTGGGCTCCACCCAGTTCAAACTTTCTGGTGGCTTTGTTTACACTGTGGGGGTAAAACTGCCTACTCAAGCCTTGGCAATGTGGAAGCCCCTCCCCCCACCAAGCTCGAGTGTCCTAGGTCAACCTCAGACTGCTGTGCAAGAATTTCAAGCCAGTGGATCTTAGCTTCTGGGCTCTGTAGGGGTGGGACCCGCCGAGCCAGACCACTTGGCTCCCTGGCTTCAGCCCCCTTTCCAGGAGAGAGAATGGTTCTGTCTTGTTGGCATTCCAGTTGCCACTGCGGCATGAAAAAAAAAAAACTCCTGCAGCTAGCTCGGTGTCTGCCCAAACAGCTGCCTAGTTTTCTGCTTGAAACCTAGGGCCTTGGTGGCAGAGGCACTGGAGGGAATCTCCTGGTCTGTGGATTGTGAAGACCGTGAGAAAAGCATAGTTTCTGGGTGGAGTGCACCGTTCCTCATGGTACAGTCCCTCGGGGCTTCCCTTGGCTAGGGGAGGGAATTCCCCCAACCCCTTGCACTTCCCGGGTGAGGCGAAGCCCCATTCTGCTTTGGCTCACCCTCCGTGGGCTGCACCCACTGTCCAACCAGTCCCAGTGAGATGAACCAGGTACCTCAGTTGGAAATGCAGAAATCACCTGCATTCTGCATTGATCTCACTGGGAGCTGCAGACTGGAGCTGTTCCTATTTGGCCATGTTGCCAGCAAATTCTGAGATTTTTTTTAAAAGTGCAAAGAAGGACATCTGAGGGGTGCTGACATATTCGGGTCACCTCAAGCCACATGCCAGCTTGCTTGCCCCTGTTGGATTCAGCGGAGGGAGATAGGCCTTGCTATACCTGTGGTGTCTGCCAAAGCTTCCTCCTGGCAATTCTTGGGAGTGCTGATACCTGGGCCACAGTTAGTCCAAGTTTATCACTGAAGATCCTATCAAAGTTTTGTCTGAAATTCCACTTTTGCCTTTTGTCCTAAGTGGTTGTGGACATCTCCAGGGGCTGATACCAAGGACTAGGAACAGCTGAGGGAGGCAGAAAGGTTCAGAGTACATTTCTATTTACAGGGAACAGAACACCGGCCTCCGAGAGTCCATGGAGCAATGGGAAAATTGCAGTGATTGCTCATCACTGTGAAACTTCTACTTTGAATACAGTATCTTCTGGCAAGCACTGGGGACTGCAGTCGACAATGCTGCTGAATATACCTGAGTACATAGTAAGACATTTGTTTGGTAAACAGTCAATGCATACAATAAATTACCTTGAGAGGGCCATCTGTGCTCCAGATGTGAGAGTTCATGTGAATAGAATGGCCACAATTCAAAGAATCTTCACAGGAAAACGGCTCAGAGCTCATCTACAATGGACAGACAGGGAGGGAAACAGGTGAAGATTAGTTCACCACTTCCTCATAAGAAGGTAATAAATAGTTTGGTGAAATAAAATGGTAGCACTGAGTAATTGCGGGCTTCTGGATAGGCAGTCAGGTTGATTTCATGTTGCTACTGCTAGACTTGAGGGCTGGCTTGGCTGTGGTGGCAGACACAGCAGCAGCTCAGGATGATGGTGATGGTCCATGCCAACCAGAACCATCAATGTTTATAGTAGTAGTTACAACACTGAGACTGCCCATAGCAGTGTCCTGTTGTGTCACAGATGTAGCTTTGATTGTTGGTACACACACAGGCTTCCTTATCCTGTGGGGGTTCAGCCCTGGCTGACACAGGGCTGGGCAGTGCCTAGAGGTGCAAGAGCTTCATGCCACCCAGGAGTCTTCCCTCCATACTCCTCCTGCTCCTCCGACCCAGCGCGGGCACCTCCCTCCACCCTTGCTGCACTTCTCCTCTACCCTCTTCTTCCTTCTTTTGTTCTTTTCCTGTAATATGTTTTGAAGTCAGATTGTGAGGCCTTCAGCTTTGTTCTTATTGCTCAAGAGTCCTTTAGTTATTCAGGGTCCTTTGTGGTTCCATATAAATTTTCAAATTGTTTTTTCTATTTCTGTGAAGAATGACATTGAAATTTTGATAAATATTGCATTAAACCTATAAATCACTTTGGGCAGTAAGGACATTTTAAGAATATTAATTCTTCCTACCCATGAACATAAAATATCTTTCCATGTATTCATGTCATCTACAATTTTTTCATCAATGTTTTATAGTGTTCAGAATACAGATCTTTCACCTCCTTGGTTAAATGTACTCCTAAGTACAATCCTAAATGTGCTCCTAAACAAAAAAAAATACGGTTTTTTTGATGCTACCGTGAATGAGATTGATTTCTTTATTTTTGTCATATAGTTTGTTGTCAGTGTAAAGAAACTACTGAGTTTTATACATTGATTTTGAATTCTGCAATTTTATTGAATTCATTTATCATTTCTAATAGCTTTTTGGTGGAGTTTTTAGGGTTTCCTATATATAATATGTCATCAAACAGAGACAATTTTACTTCTTCCTTTTCAATTTGAATATCTTTTATTTCTTTATTTGGCTTAATTGCTCTGGCTAGGACTTCCAGAAATAAGTTGAATAGAAGTAGTGAGAATAAATATCCTTGTCTTGTTCTTGATCTTAGCAGAAAAGATTTCACTTTTTCATTGTTGGGTATGATGTGAGCTGTGAGCTTGTTATATATGTCCTGTTTTGTGTTAAGGTACATGCCTTCTACGCCCAATTTGTTGAGAGATTTTGTCATGAGAGGATTTTGAATTTAGTCAAATGCTTTTTCTGCATATATAGAGATAGCTATTTTTTTTATCCTTCATTCTGTTAATGTGGTTTATCACATTTGATTTGTGTATGCTGAACCATCTGGAGGATAAATCCACTTTATCATGGTAAATGTTCTCCTAATGTGTTGCTAAATTCTGTTTGCTAGCACTTTTTTTTGAGGACTTTTGTATCTATGTTCATCAGGGATATTGGTTGACCCATACTTTTCTTATAGTGTCCTTGTTTGCCTTTTTATTTTTGTTTTTATTTTTTCGTTTTTGTTTTTTTATTATACTTCAAGTTTTAGGGTACATGTGCACAACGTGCAGGTTAGTTACATATGTATACATGTGCCATGCTGGTGTGCTGCTCCCATTAACTCATCATTTAACATTAGGTATATCTCCTAATGCTATCCCTCCCCCCTCCCCCCACCCCACAACAGGCCCCAGTGCTAATATCCAGAATCTACAATGAATTCAAACAAATTTACAAGAAAAAAACAAACAACCCCATCAAAAAGTGGGCAAAGGATATGAACAGACACTTCTCAAAAGAAGACATTTATGCAGCCAACAGACGCATGAAGAAATGCTCATCATCACTGGCCATCAGAGAAATGCAAATCAAAACCACAATGAGATATCATCTAACACCAGTTAGAATGGCCATCATTAAAAAGTCAGGAAACAACAGGTGCTGGAGAGGATGTGGAGAAATAGGAACATTTTTACACTGTTGGTGGGACTGTAAACTAGTTCAACCATTGTGGAAGACAGTGTGGCGATTCCTCAAGGATCTAGAACTAGAAATACCATTTGACCCAGCCATCCCATTACTGGGTATATACCCAAAGGATTACAAATCATGCTGCTATAAAGACACATGCACACATATGTTTATTGTGGCACTGTTCACAATAGCAAAGACTTGGAACCAATCCAAATGTCCAACAATGATAGACTGGATTAAGAAAATGTGGCACATATACACCATGGAATACTATGCAGCCATAAAAAAGGATGAGTTCATGTCCTTTGTAGGGACATGGATGAAGCTGGAAACCATCATTCTCAGCAAACTATTGCAACGACAAAAAACCAAACACCACATGTTCTCACTCATAGGTGGGAATTGGACAATGAGAACACATGGACACAGGAAGGGGAACATCACTTTAAAAAAAAAAACAATAATGCTGATCTTTTAAAATGAGTTTGGAAATACTCTTTCTCCTTCAAGTTTTTGGAAGAATTTCAGAAGGATTGTATTATTATTTTTTAAAATGTTAGAATTCAGCAATGAAGTTTTCTGGTCCTGGGATGTTCTTTGATGGGAGATGTTTTATTATTGATATACTCTCCATACTCAGTATTGTTCTGTTCAGATTTTATCTTTCTTCTTGACTTTCTCTAGGTAAGTTGCATTTTTCTAGAAATTTATCTGCTTTTTCTAGGTTATCCAATTTGTTGGCTTGTAATTGTTTATAGTGGCCTCTTATGATCCTCTGTATTTCTGTGGTATTAGTTGCAATATTTCCTCTTTCATTTCTGATTTTATTGCTTTGAGTATTCTCTCGTTTTTCTAGTCTAGCTAATGGTTTGTCAGTTTTGTTTATCTTTTCAAAGAACAAATTCTTAGTTTCATTGATCTGTTCTATTTTCTTTCACAGTCTTTTTTGTATTTGAAGGACTCGTATTTGTTAACTGGCTCAAGCCTGGAAATTTGTTGAGGTGCTATGAGTCTCTATTGCTCTCATTTCTCTTCACTAGACATAGAAATTTTCTGATTACACGAATCAAATAAGACTAATAAGCTTCCCAGGGATGAATCCCACTTAAGCATGGTGAATTCTTTTGCTGTGTTTTTTTAAAAATAATATTTGCTAATATTTGGCTGAGGGTTTTTCCATCTAAGTTCATCAGGAGTATTGGTCTGCAATTTATTTTTATTATAGTGTCCTTCTCTGGTTTTGGTATCAGGGTAATGCTGGTTTTGAAAAATGAATTTGGAAGTATTCCTCTTCTTCATGTTTCTGGAAGCGTTTGAGAAGGATTGGTGTTAGTTATCTAAGTGTTTGTTAGAATCCAGCCACCGAGCCATTCAATCCTGGGTCTTTCTTTTATGAGAGACCTTTCATTGGTGATTTAATTTCCTTATTCACGATTTGTTCTAAATTTTGAATTCTTCATGATTCAGTTTTGGTACGAGTTTATCAATTTCTTCTAGGTTATCTAATTTGCTGGTGAATAATTATTTATAGTAGTATGTTATGATTTTTTAACTTCTGTGGTATCAGTTGTAATGTCTCTTCTTTCATTTCTGAGTTTGTTTTCTTTTTTCTTAGTCTATGTAAGAATTTGTTAATTTTGTTTATCTTTTCAAAAAACAATTCTTATTTTTATTGAAATTTTCAGTTTCTATTATATTATTTCTGCTCTGATCTTTGTTATTTGTTTCCTTCTGCTATCTTTGGGCTTGTATTGTTCTCTAATTTTCTCGCTCCTTTAGGCATAATATTAGGTTGCTTATTTGAGATCTTTTTTTCTTTTTTGATGTAGGCATTTATTGCTATAAATGTCCCTCTTATAACTGCTTTTGTTGCATCCCATATGTTTTAGTATGTTATGTTTCCATTTTCATGCTACCTGATTTTAGAATATATTTCAAAGCATGGTGTACAGTGCTTTTAAAAAGAGGCTATATATAGGTATATATAAAAACAATACACACATTGTATATAAACTATGACATGCTTGTAAAGAAAAGAGAACATAAAGTTTCTGAGGAAATAATTAGAAGAACAAGAGGATGCAAAGGGGTCTGTCAAAGATTCAGTGAAATGAGGGTTTTTGGATATTCACAGCTAATAGATTAATGCATTAGGAATGAGCAAAAAAATTGATGGTAGTCAAACAGAGGGAGGGAGGTAGATTTTGAATGATTCAAAGCAGGAGTGTTTTGAAGATAAACAGAATAACTAAAAAGAAAGACTCATATGAAAAGCCTAGATTTAAAGCATTTGAATCAAGAGGTGGTAATCTAGGAATTAGGTTGATTTCTTTTTTTTTTTAATTTGTGTAGCTTTTTATTTTATTTTTTATTATACTTTAAGTTTTAGGGTACATGTGCACAAAGTGCAGGTTTGTTACATATGTATACATGTGCCATGTTGGTGTGCTGCACCCAGAAGACTGGTTAATTTCAATAACCTAAAAATCCACAAGGTGGGAGCGTTTCACTGAAGCCAGTTGTTAGAGAAACGTTAGAACCAACTTCCTTTTTTTCTCTGTCCCTTCTTCTCTGCTTTCTTCTTTTCTCCTCCTCCTCCTCCTCCCTTTACTCTCCTTCTTCTCTCTCTGTTTTTCTAATCATGAAAACAAACGAAAAAAACTATGAGCAAGAGCACAGAAAAAAGACTAGCAAAGACTGCAGTTATTGAAAGTATCAGATACAGAAAATAAAATAACTATATTTAGTATGTTTAAAGTAAAACAAAAAATTAAAAATATCATAATGGAACAGGAAACTCTAGAGAATGGCCAAGAAGATTAAAAGAAAACAAATAGAATGTCCATAGAGAATAACATAATTGAAATTTAAACCCAAATGAATGGTTTCAACAGAATATTAGTATGTTAGAAGCAGTTAAAGAGTGAACTAGTAAACTGTAATATAGGTCAGAAGGGGCTATCCAAAATGAACACAGGAATAAGGAAATGGAAAATAAGAAACATGTAGTTAGGAGACATGGAAGACAGAGGGGGAAATGCTAAAAAGTTTTAAAGAGTGTTTCAGAAGGAGAGAAAGGAGATCATGAATCAGTGTATATATTTTTTAAATTTTATTTTATGTTCTGGGATACACGTGCAGAAAGTGTAGGTTTGATACATAGGTAAATGTGTGCCATGGTGGTTTCCTGCACCCATCAACCCATCACCTAGGTATGAGGCCCTGCATGCATTAGCTATTTGTCCTGATGGTCTCCTACCCCCGTCCCCCTGAGAGGCCCTGGTGTGTGTTGTTCCCCTCCATGTACCCACGTGTTTGTCCTGATGGTCTCCTACCCCCTGTCCCCCTGAGAGGCCCTGGTGTGTGTTGTTCCCCTCCATGTACCCACGTGTTTGTCTTGATGGTCTCCTACCCCCTGTCCCCCTGAGAGGCCCTGGTGTGTGTTGTTCCCCTCCATGTACCCACGTGTTTGTCCTGATGGTCTCCTACCCCCCGTCCCCCTGAGAGGCCCTGGTGTGTGTTGTTCCCCTCCATGTATCCACGTGTTTGTCCTGATGGTCTCCTACCCCCTGTCCCCCTGAGAGGTCCTGGTGTGTGTTGTTCCCCTCCATGTACCCACGTGTTTGTCCTGATGGTCTCCTACCCCTGTCCCCCTGAGAGGCCCTGGTGTGTGTTGTTCCCCTCCATGTACCCACGTGTTTGTCTTGATGGTCTCCTACCCCCCGTCCCCCTGAGAGGCCCTGGTGTGTGTTGTTCCCCTCCATGTATCCACGTGTTTGTCCTGATGGTCTCCTACCCCCTGTCCCCCTGAGAGGCCCTGGTGTGTGTTGTTCCCCTCCATGTACCCACGTGTTTGTCTTGATGGTCTCCTACCCCCTGTCCCCCTGAGAGGCCCTGGTGTGTGTTGTTCCCCTCCATGTACCCACGTGTTTGTCTTGATGGTCTCCTACCCCCTGTCCCCCTGAGAGGTCCTGGTGTGTGTTGTTCCCCTCCATGTACCCACGTGTTTGTCCTGATGGTCTCCTACCCCCCGTCCCCCTGAGAGGCCCTGGTGTGTGTTGTTCCCCTCCATGTACCCACGTGTTTGTCCTGATGGTCTCCTACCCCCTGTCCCCCTGAGAGGCCCTGGTGTGTGTTGTTCCCCTCCATGTACCCACGTGTTTGTCCTGATGGTCTCCTACCCCCTGTCCCCCTGAGAGGCCCTGGTGTGTGTTGTTCCCCTCCATGTACCCACGTGTTTGTCTTGATGGTCTCCTACCCCCCGTCCCCCTGAGAGGCCCTGGTGTGTGTTGTTCCCCTCCATGTACCCACGTGTTTGTCCTGATGGTCTCCTACCCCCCGTCCCCCTGAGAGGCCCTGGTGTGTGTTGTTCCCCTCCATGTATCCACGTGTTTGTCTTGATAGTCTCCTACCCCCTGTCCCCCTGAGAGGCCCTGGTGTGTGTTGTTCCCCTCCATGTACCCACGTGTTTGTGCTGATGGTCTCCTACCCCCTGTCCCCCTGAGAGGCCCTGGTGTGTGTTGTTCCCCTCCATGTACCCACGTGTGTGTCCTGATGGTCTCCTACCCCCTGTCCCCCTGAGAGGCCCTGGTGTGTGTTTTTCCCCTCCATGTATCCACGTGTTTGTCCTGATGGTCTCCTACCCCCTGTCCCCCTGAGAGGCCCTGGTGTGTGTTGTTCCCCTCCATGTATCCACGTGTTTGTCTTGATGGTCTCCTACCCCCTGTCCCCCTGAGAGGCCCTGGTGTGTGTTGTTCCCCTCCATGTACCCACGTGTGTGTCCTGATGGTCTCCTACCCCCTGTCCCCCTGAGAGGCCCTGGTGTGTGTTTTTCCCCTCCATGTACCCACGTGTTTGTCCTGATGGTCTCCTACCCCCGTCCCCCTGAGAGGCCCTGGTGTGTGTTGTTCCCCTCCATGTATCCACGTGTTTGTCTTGATGGTCTCCTACCCCCTGTCCCCCTGAGAGGCCCTGGTGTGTGTTGTTCCCCTCCATGTATCCACGTGTTTGTCCTGATGGTCTCCTACCCCCCGTCCCCCTGAGAGGCCCTGGTGTGTGTTGTTCCCCTCCATGTACCCACGTGTTTGTCCTGATGGTCTCCTACCCCCTGTCCCGCTGAGAGGCCCTGGTGTGTGTTGTTCCCCTCCATGTATCCACGTGTTTGTCCTGATGGTCTCCTAACCCCTGTCCCCCTGAGAGGCCCTGGTATGTGTTGTTCCCCTCCATGTATCCATGTGTTTGCTCTCATTGTTCAACTCCCTCTTACGACTGAGAACATGTGGTGTTTGGTTTTCTGTTCCTGTGTTAGTTTGCTGACGGTGATGGCTTCCAGCTTCATCCATGTCCCTGCAAAGAACATGATCTCATTTATTTTAATGGCTGCAGAGTATTCCATGGTGAATATATATCACATTTTCTTTATCCAATATATCATTGATGGGCATTTGGGTTGATTCCATGTATTTTCTATCGTAAATAGTGCTGCAATAAACATATGTGTGCATGTATATGTATGTGTGTGTGTATATATATGTAGTTATAATATGTATATATATGTGTATATATATGTGTGTATATATATACACATATATATACATTTACATATATAATATATGTATATATGTATATATATGTGTATATATATGTATATATATGTGTATATATATGTATATATATGTATGTATATGTATATATATATATTTTTTTGAGATGGAGTTTTGCTCTTGTTGCCCAGGCTGGAGTGCAATGGTATGATCTTGGCTCACTTTGACCTCTGCCTCCTGGGTTCCAGCGATTCTCCTGCCTCAGCCTCCAAAGTAGCTGGTATTACAGGTGTGCACCACTATACCTGGCTAATTTTTGTATTTTTAGTAGAGATGGAGTTTCCCCATGTTGGCTAGGCTGGTCTCAAACTCCTGTCCTCAGGTGATCCACCGGCCTTGGCCTCCCAAAGTGCTGGGATTACAGGTGTGAGCCACTGCACCCAGCCCTGTGCATGTATCTTTATAATAGAGTGATTTATATTCCTTTGGGCATATACCCAGTAAAGGGATTGCTGGGGCAAATGGCATTTCTGGTTCTAGATCTTTGAGGAATTGTCACACTGTCTTCCACAGTGAATGAACTAATTTACATTCCCACAAACAGTGTAAAAGCATTCCTATTTCTCCACAGCCTTACCAGCAACTGTTGTTTCTGGAGTTTTTGATAATCACCATTAAGACTGGTTTGAGATAGTATCTCATTGTGCTTTTGAGTTGCATTTCTCTAATGATCAGTGATTTGAGCTTTTTTTCATATGTTTGTTGGCCACATCCATGTCTTCTTTTGAGAATTGTCTGTTCATGTCCTTTGGCCAATTTTTGATGGTTTTTTTTCTTGTAAATTTAAGTTCTCCATAGGAGCAGGTGCTCTAATTGCTTGGAGGTCTGCCTATGTGTGGAGATGAGAGGGCCTCACTGCACTATAATCTCAGCACAGGAAGGTTGGGGAAGCTCAGGCTGCTGATCCAGTCAAGTGGGTGCTCCACATACCTGGAAATCTGCCTGGCCATAGACTGGAGAGGGCCCCACTGCACCACAACCTATGTTTACAAACGGTGGGGTAGCTCAGGATGCTGGTCCAGGTAGACAGGTGCTCCAATGCCTGAATTTCTGCCTGGGGGTGAAGCAGAGAAAGCCCTGCTGTATCACATTGTCAGGGGAACAGGCTGGGGCACCCAGCAATGACACCTGCAGACTGGTTGTAGGTCTCCAAGCTGGCCCTGGCTGCAAGTTTCATCACCTGGGAGAAATTACAGCTGTAGCAGCTTTTCTGTTGCCCCGAGGCTGCGATGGGGGAAAGCACAATTCCAGCACATACTGCTGAGGTGTTTCCCACAATATGGCTGTGAAGGTCCCTACCAAGACCCAAAGCAGTTGTTCCAATCTTTGGCCTGAGACTAAAATGCCTGTGCAGGCATTCTGCTGGGTCACAAAAAGAAAAAAAAAAGCTGACTTTGCATGCATCCAGATTGAAAATGGCATCTTGCTCTTACTTCCTGGTCTGGGAAAATGTCTGCAGCTGTTCCCAGTGTCTTTGCTTCACAGCATCTCCAAGCCTCTCCCCATGTTGACTCCAGGCCTTGGGAGAAACAAAATGCAACAACTTGGCTGGGGTTGCTCAGATTCACAGTGAAAATGTCAGTTACAGAGGGAGGCTCTCTGCCTCTCTCACATACTAGGACTTCGCTCACTTTTATAAGCTGGTTGCTGTCATGTTGACTGTTTGCTCACATTCTCCTTCTTGGGATCTATGATGTCCTTCATGATTCTGGTGGATTCCCATTTTCCTTCTTGACTTAGAGCTCACAGAGTTGACCTTTGTGCACTCTCTTGCTATTTCTAAGTGGCCGAGGCACACTAAAAGCCTCTAATTTATCATCTTGGGAAAAAAACAAAACAGGGAAGTTTGCTTTTGCAAATTGTTGTTTGTGGGGGTCTGTCCTGCAGACCCCAGCTGCACGAGGGATGAATAATGTACTCAGACACCAATTATTCAGTGAAAGAGCCGCTAGGGGGCTGGGCCGTGCACAGAAAGAGTTCTGGCAGCCACGAGCCCTGACTAGCTAGCCCTGCCAGCATTTATTGAAAAAACATTAAATGACAGGGGCTTTTAGTCAACACAAATAGAGGGTAATTAACCTGGTCACCCTCCCCCGAGAGAGAGCCATCCTGCCTGTGAATGATCAAAGGTTGGCTTCAGGACCACATGAGTAAACAAGTTATTTAGATAAACTCCCTTACATTCCTTTGCACCTACTTTAAGCTATTTACTCAAGGAAGGATTAGGCCGCCTTCATTCAGATCTATTACTGAAGCTATACAACACCCCCAGCCTTCCATGAAGGTTTGTGTCGATTTCTTATAACTATCTTTAAAATTTTTCCCACCAGCCTGACTGAACTCCCACAGTTGTTGCTACTTTTTGAAATTGAAATACTTCTAGGAAGACTGATTAAGAACAATATAGAGAAAAGACATATTTTTCAAACTCCTGATGAAGAAGAAACATCCGTATTAATATATAGCTAATAAAAAGATAAGAGATGTTGTGGAAAATTTCATACAAGGGTGCCCACTCTCAGAACTTCTATTCAACATAGTACTGGATGTCCTAGCCAGAGCAATTAGGCAAAAGAAAGAAATAAAAGGCATGAAAATTGGAAAGGAAGAAGTTAAATTGTTTCTGTTTGCAGTTGACATGATCTTATATATAGAAAACACCAATAACTCTGCCAAAAAATTTAGAATTCATAAATGAATTTAGTAAAGTTGCAGGATACAATGTGAACATACAAAATTCAGTAGCATTTCTACACATCAACAACAAACTATACAAAAAAAGAAATCAAGAAAACAATCCTATTTATAATAGCAACAAAAAATACTTAGATGTAAATTTAAACAAAGAGGTGAATGATCTTTACACTGAAAACTACAAAACATTGATGAAAGCAATTGAAGAAGCCACAAATAAATGGAAAGATATCTCATGTTCATGGATTGGAAAAAGTAATATGTTTGAAATGTTCATACTATCCAAAGTGATGTACATATTGAATGCAATCTCTACCAAATTCCTATGACATTTTCCCACAGAAATAGAAAAACAACTCTCAAATCTGTATGGAATCACAAAAAACTCTGAAAAGCCAAAAGAATCTTGATCAAAAAAAGCAAGGCAGGAGATATCACATTACCTGACTTCAAATTATACTACATAGCTATAGCAATCGAAACACCATGGTACTGGCATAAACGCAGACACATAGACCAATTACACAGAATAAAGAGCCCATAAATAAATCTACATATTATAGTCAATTGACTTTCAACAAAGGTGCCAGGAACACACATGGGGAAAGAACAGTCTCTTCAAAAAAATGGTGTTGAGAAAACTGAATGTCCACAAGATTGATATTAGGCCCTTATTTCATACCATATAAAAATATAAACTCAAAATAAGTTAGACTTAAATGTAAGACCTAGCACTATAGAACTCCTAGAAGAAAACAGGGGAATAACTCCAAGACATTGGTCTGGGCAATAATATTTTATGATATGACTCTAAAGCACAGGCAAGAAAAGCAACAAAACACAAATGGAATAGCATCAACCTAAAAAGCTTCTGCACAGCAAAAGAAAGTCAACAGAGTGAAGTGATAACCTACAAAATGGGAGAAATTATCTGCAAACTATACATTTGATAAGAGGCTAATGTCCAAAATATCTTAGGAACACAAACAACTCAATAATAAGAAAACAGGGAACCCTAATGAAAAATTGACAAAGGATCTAAATAGACATTTCTCAAAAGAAGACATACAAATGGCCAACAGATATATAAAAATGCTAATTATCACTGATCATCAGAGAAATGCATATTAAAACTACAATAAAATGCCATTTCACATCCGTTAGAATGGCTGTTACAGAAAAGGCAGAAGATACCAAGTGTTGGAGAGGATGTGGAGAAAAGGAAAACCTTGTAATTGTTGAGAATGTAAATTATTTCAGCCATTGTAAAAGACAGTATAAATGATTCTGTAAAAATAGAATTACCATATGATCCAGTAATGCTATTTCTGGGCATATATTAAAAAGATATCAAATCAGTGTGTCAATGAGTTATCTGTACTCCCATATTTATTGTAGCATTATTCACAACAGCCAAGATGTGGAATTAACTTAAGTATCCATCGACACATGAGTGGATGAAGAAAACGTGGTACACATACACAATAGAATAGTATACAACCTTAAAAAATAAAAAAAGTATCATTTGTGACAACATGAATGAACCGGGAGGACATTATACTGAGTAAAATAATCCAGGCACAGAAAGCCAGATACTGCATAGTCTCACTTGTATGTGGAGGTCTAAGAAGGCTGAACACATAGAAGTACAGAGTAGAATGATGGTTACCAGGAGGATTGGGTAGATGTTGGTCGAAGGGTACAAAATTGCATTGTACAGGAGGAATGAATTCAACAGATCTATTGTGCAATATGGTGACTATAGTGGATAACAATGTATTGTTTTTAAATTTAATTTTTGTGGGTACATAGCAGGTGTATACATTTATGGGGTACATGAAATATTTTGGTACAGGCATGCAATGTACAATAAGTACATAATGGAAAATTGGATATTCATCCCCTCAAGCATTTATTATTTGTGTTATAAACAATCCAGTTATACTCTTTCAGTTATTTTTAAATGTATAATTGAATTTTAGACTGCAATCCCCCTGTTGTGCTATCAAATACTAGGTCTTATTAAATCTTTCTTTTTTTGTACCCATTAACCATCCCCCACCTCTCCCAACCCCCACTACCCTTCACAGCCTCTGGTATACTTCCTTCTACTCTCTATCTCCATGAGTTCAGTTGTTTGCTTTTTGGATTCCACATATAAGTGATAACACATAGTATTTGTCTTTTTGTGCCTGGCTTATTTCACTTAACATAATGACCTCCAGTTTCATCTATGTTGTTGCAAATGACAGGGTCTCATTCCTTTTTATGGCTGAATAGTACTTCATTGTATATAAGTACCACATTTTCTTTATTCATTCATCTGTTGATGGACACTTAGGTTGACTCCATAACTTCGCTATTGTAAATAGTGCTGCAACAAATACGGGAGTGCAGATATCTCTTCGATATACTGATTTCTTTTTTGGGGGGTATATATGCAGCAGTGGGATTGCTGGACCACATGGTAGCTCTATTTTTACTTTTTTGAGGAGCCTTCAAACTGTTCTCCATAGGGGATGTACTTGTATTCTTCAAAATTGCTAAGAGTAGATTTTTAAGTGTTCTCATAAAAAAAGATAAGCATGTAAGGTAATGCATATGTTAGCTTAACATGGCTATTTTACAATGAATATATATTTCAAAACATATAATTTTATTTATCTGATAAAATAAATATAAAATATGAAACTTTATATTAATAAATTTGACAATCATAAGGAATGGTCAAGTTCCTATGAAAAACACCTACTTTTATGAAATGATCAGAAAAAAACTAGAAAAACTGAGTAGTTTTTTTTTCATTGTAGAAATTTTATTTAGAAAATTTTTTTTTCCTGTAGAAAGAACTCCAGGGCTAGGTGGATGCAATATTTAATAAAGAAATATTACCAAATATTTAATAAAGAAATAATGCCAATGTTACATGAATATTTTTAGAGAATTGGGAAGACATAACACTTTCCAACTTGTTTTATATGGTGGTACCTCCATGATAATAAAACCATACAAGGATATTAAAAGAAATGAAATTACAGACTAATATACTACATAATAATTCTAAACAAAAATGTTTGCAAATATCCAACAATATACTCCAAAGAAAAATACATCGTGACTAAGTGCAGTAATTTCAAGAATGTATGGTTTAAAATTAGAAAACCAAACAATGAAATTAACCACATTAACTGAATAAAAGAAAAAAATATGGTTATTTCAATAGCTGCGGGTAAAGCACTTGTTCACATTTGAAACTATTTGTAATAATAACAAGCTAGGAATAGAAGAGAACTGATGTAAATATCTTAATATATACACAAAAACTACTCTCAACATTATAAATAATCATGACATATTAAACAGTTTCATTCTAACACGAGGAACAAGGTACACATGTCCAGCTCAACACTTTATTCATCATTAAAATAATACTGTGCAGTAAAATTAACAAGGAAAATTTTTAAAAAGAACACAAAAGAAAACTACAAATCCTTATCCCTGATCAACACAGATGTAAAAATACTCAACAAAATTCTAGCAAACTGAAGCTAACAGCACATCAAAAAGATAATTCATCATGATCAAGTGGGCTTTATTCCAGGGGTGCTTGAATGGTTCAAAATAGACAAATCAATAAACATGATTCACCACATAAATGGAACTGAGAACAAAAACCCTATGATCATCTCATTAGATGCAGAATAAGCATTTGATAAAATCCAACATCTGTTTATGATAAAAACCCTCAACAATATAGGTATAGATGGAGTATACCTCAAAAAATGAGTCATCTATGACAAAGCCACAGCCAACATCATCCTGGATGGGCAAAAGTTGGAAGTGTTGCTTCTAGAAACTGGAAAAAAGCAAGGATGTTCACCTTCATCATTCCTATTCAATACATTACTGGAAGTGCTAGCCAGAACTATCAGAAAGGAGAAAGAAATAAAAGGTATACAAATTAGAAAAGAAGTCAAATGATCTCTGCTCACTGATGACATGACTGTAGGCCTGGAAAACCCTAAAGTCTTCAGAAGACTCCTAGACTTGATACACGACTTCAGTAAAGTCTTGGGATAAACAAGCCACAAAAATCAGTTGTATTTCTATACACCAAAAACATTCAAGCTGTTTGAATGTTTGTTGAGATTAATTTGTTGAGAACCAAATTAAGAACTCAACTGAATTTACAATAGCCATGAAAAATACCTAGGAATGCATAACTATATAAATGAAAGATCTCTACAAGGAGAACTACAAAATACTAATGAAAGAAATTATAGATGACATAAACAAATGGAAAAACATCCCATGCTCATGGATTAGAAAAATCAATAGCTAAAGTGACCATATCACCCATACAATCTATAGAGTTAATGCAATTCCCATCAAATTATCAACGTTATTTTTCACAAAATTAAAAAAAAATCCTAAAGTTCACATGGAGCCAAAAAAGATCCCAAATAGCCAAAGCACTTCTAAGCAAAAAACAAAGCAAAACAAAACAAAGCCCCCAGAGCAAAAGACAAATATGGTTCCTACAAATGAAGACCAATGGTAATGCTTATCTGTTCGTGGTAGAAGTGTGAATTGGTAGGATTGTTAAAAAAAATAGTGTAGCATTTCATGGTAATGTTGAATAACTCAATAATTTTACTTTTAAATATATACCCCAGAGGATATCTTGCACATATGAACCAGGTGATTTACAAAAGAATGTTCATAGCAGCATTGTTTGTAATGGTTAAAAACTGGAAAAATTTCAAGTGTTCATCAACAATAGATCTGAGGAATGAAGTCCGACATATTCATGTAGTGGAATATCATATAGCAATATGAATGGATGAATTACAGCAACATTCAACAAGGTTGTAATATGCAAACTTATTGAATCAAGGTGAAAGTACCTTCTGATAAAGGTGAAAGAACTTCTACAAAATAATTTCATTTATATAAGTTTCAAAGAACCAAACTAAATAATGCATCACTTGAGAACCATTAAAGTCTATTAAAAAACACATACAATGCAATGGAAGGACAGTGGTCATATCCAGCAGGAAATAAAGGAGAACACAATTGGCAAGGAGCACCCAATGGGTGTCTAAGGCACTAGTAAAGTTCTATTTTGTTTCCAATCCTCCAAGACATCTAGTTTTTTTATTTTTCTGAGACATGGTGGCCCAGGCTGGAGTACGATAGTGTGATCTTGGCTCACTGCAACCTGTGTCCTGGGCTTAAGTGATCCTCCCACCTCGGCCTCCCAAAGTACTGGGATTACAGGTGTGAGCAACCATGGCCGGCAAATGTTCTATTTCATATCCTGTATGGTGGACACATAGATGTTCTCTTTTTTATTATTCCTTGAACACTAAGTATATGTTTTTTTATATTCTCTGTGGAATACCTCCTTATTTCTCAGTCAATTCAGGATACCTCCTTACCCCCATCCCCTTTTTACTTTTCGTCATGTCATATAGTTTCTGAGATATAGAAAAGCTTACATATTATCCTGTCATCAGAGCGGCATGGAGGCATTTGGTAGAATAAATATTATTTGTTGATTATTCATCCTTTCACTTTACAGAGTCAATCAAACACCAGGTCATGTTAATTTTACTGTCACACACATTTCTTGAATTTGCCTCCTTATCTCTATTTCCACTATTCAGTTCAGACCTTGATCATCACTCATCTGCATTGTAGTTGCATTTTTCTAATTATTCTGTTTCTAGTCTTGTTCTAAAATCTTTTTTCCTCCCACAATGCAGCTAGAGTGGTCAATTTAAAGCATCATCTATCTCAAGAACAAAAAACCAAACACCGCATGTTTTCACTCATAGGTGGGACTTGAACAATGAGAACACGGACACAGGAAGGGGAATATCACACACCGGGGCCTGTTGTGGGGTGGGGGGAGGGGGGAGGGATAGCGTTAGGAGACATACCTAATGTAAATGATGAGTTAATGGGTGCAGCACACCAACATGGCACATGTATACATATGTAACAAACCTGCATGTTGTGCACATGTACCCTAGAACTTAAAGTATAATAAAAATAAATATTAAAAAAAGAAGCATCATCTTTATTAAAACATTTAATGGTCCGACTATTCCTTATGCTATAAATTTCTTATAATTTAATAAATATTTTTCCGTAATTGTGACTCTCTTCTATAGCTCTTGTTACTCCCGATATTCTTCTAATTATCAGGCAGCAGTACAAAGCTGCTTACACCTCTTTACACATCTCTTTATTTTAGGCCTCCTTGCATTTGCTCATGCTGTTCCTTTTTGTTTGAAAAGCTTACACATTTCTTCATTTGGTTAATCCTTGCACACTTTCAAGACTCATTTGAGGCCTCATTGACTTTGGAAACCTTCCCTGTAATCTTGTATTATTAACTTATCTTAGTTTTCACTTATTAGCTCTTATTAGATTACTGTCCTTACGTGTGTAACTCTCCCACTAGACAGTAAGCTTTTGGACGGCAGAGATGATGTCTCATTCATCTTTGCATCTTTAGCGCCCAGCCTGGTTTCTGGTTTCCTATAGTCACTCAGTGTTGAGCTAAACCATATTTTTGGGGCAATGACTTGACAATGCAGTATCATGATGGAACTATCACAGATGGACAGAATGAGTCTCTTGATTCCTACATTTATTTTTCTATTGATATAGCTGATTTAAAAAGAAACCTCTGTTAATTATATAATCATGTAATTACCCTGACATAACATCAAACTCCATAAATTACTTTCCATCTCTGCCTCTCTCTCTTTCTATATATATAACATATACATGTTACAAAAATGCACAGGGAATAAATATGAGCAAAATGGTAAGAAGTGCAGGTTCTAGGTCAGATTTCCTGCATTTACTTGCAGGCTACGCCAACTTTAGAGAAAAGATTTAGTGAAAAATAAAAATGAATCATTAATACACCACTTGGCACCGATAAGTTATTCAGTAAACATTAACATATGTGCATTTATGTTTAACCAGGGGCTTAAGTGATTATCCAGAAATCTCCCTCTCTTTGACTATGTTTGAATATTAGATACTTCTTAATTTATGTTTGCTCTGAATTTGTTTTTTTTCACTCGTTGTATACTCATGGACCATTTTATGTGTTTCAGGAATTGAAATTTTATTTAAAAACTGTTACTATAGAAATTAACTTTTGGATAGTCCTGTTCAGACTAAAACTATCATTTGTAAGATCTGTATTACTGCAATCATTGGTGTTAATACTTTGCATTAATTAAAATTTTTTATGGACATATAATAAGTATTTCTCCCACCTCGATTTTTGTGGCTATCATTTTATTCATTCCATTGCTTTTTTCTCCCAGTTTGCTATGAGGAAGTTGATAAGTACGTAGGCAAAACGATAGATTGTTTTGGCAGCTTCAGTGTATTTAAGTGCCTGTGATGAGGCTATGGTTTATTTTTCTAATGTAGAATTCATAATGTAGAATAAATTTTAAAAACATAAATTTTTTTTCCTGCACATTGTGCACATGTACCCTAGAACTTAAAGTATGATAAAAATATACATATATAACAAATTAATAACATAAATTTCTTTGCACAGCTTTTTCTTTCTGCTATTTTTATTCAATGATTATTTGCTTCCCTTGTTATTTAAGAGCTGACTTCTGGCTTCATGGCCAAAAATAAAATTCTTAGTAGGAGAAAGTAAATGTAATTTACTGATGAAGATGCCACCCCCAAGTGACCCATTAACCACTTTCCCTACGTTACCCTGGGACAACCAAAGTGATTCCAGGAGGCAATTCCCGTGACAAGTGATTTCTGGCTGGCAATGCCAGGTCTCTGAAGTTCCACTTGGCCACTGCCCAAGAACAATTAGTGCCGTTAGTTAACTACCTTTACTATGACAGCATTTTGTGTAACTCTTTGCACAGGGGAGTTTTATGCAACAGACAGAAACTTTCTGAGTTGTTCTGATTGCCTGAAGATGCCCTGTTTTAGAGGAGCAAAATTTTCCCTGTTTACTGTGTTTCAGTGTTAAAAATATGAATGCATTGTCAGGATTAGCTCTGGCAATGGTAGTTAAATGCAGATATCCAGACAAAGGAGGTTATAGATTGGAGACTTTGTGCTACTTGATAATGAAGCCTTGGTTTTGATTTTATTTATTTTTAAGTTGAAAAACAAAACACACACACACACAATACAAAACATGGCACAAAACAAACTTATAGTTTGATTTTTGTAAACATCCCTGTAATCATCACATAAGTCAAGATATAGGACTTTGCCAGCCCTGAAGCATGTGACTCTCCTCAGTTGCAGCCACCTTTCTCCTGAAAAGTAACGATAAACATGACTGTTCCAGTAGAGGTGTCCTTGCATTTTCACGGCTGTGTCCTTCCTGCATGCATTCCAAGACACTATGATTTAGTCTTGCCCATTTGTTTTCATTTGTCGTGTTTTTAAAATCCCTTCTAACATACAGGTTTCTTTTCAAAGTTTTCTTTCCCATACAATATATTTGTTGAAAAATTTGGGATTTTTGTCACTTGGTGTCCACACTGTGAAATTTGCTGGTGAGACTCTCAGTGAAGATCGACATTTTCACTATCCTTTGCGTTTTATCCAAATGACAGTTGAATCCAGAGGTTTGACTAGGACACGTGCTTGGTTCTATTTTTGGTAAGATTGTAGGTGATGGTGTGTTCATTCACCAGGAGGTTTAATTATGGCTTTTATCTTAGCACCTACTACTACTTTCTACTAACACCTGTTAATACAAAGAAAGTTAATATTTTCTACTAGCACCTGTTAATTTTGTTGATCTCTGTATAATTTTTTAATTCTCAATTTCATTTATCTCTGCTCTAATCTTCATTTCCTTCCTTCTGCTAGCTCTGGATTTTGTTTGCTCTTCCTTTTACGGTTTATTGAGTAAAGTTTGGTTATTGATTTGACATGTTTCTTTTTTAAAATGTAGGTGTTACAACTCTGAGCACTGCTTTTGATATATCACACCCATCTTGTTATATATTTGTTTTCAATCATCTCTAAACATTTTCTAATTTCCCTCATGATTTGTTCTTTGATTCATTGGTTGGTAAATACTGTGTTGTTTAATTTCCAAATATTTGTAAATTTTCTAGTTTTTCTTTTGTTATTGATATCTTATTTCATTCCATTGTGGCCAGTGAAGATACTTTGCATGATTTCAATCTTTTTAAGTTTATTGAGCTTATCTTATGGCCTAACGTATCATCTGTGCTGGAGAATGTTCCATGTTCACTTGAGAAGAATGTGTATTCTGCAGTTTTTGAGAGAAGTGTTATCTATAGTTATTGCTTATAGTTTTATTCAAATCCTCTAATTCCTCCCTTGATATTTGCTCTGGATGTTTTATCTTTTATTTAAAGTTGGGTTTTCAAATGCCCAACAATTTTCGTGGAATTGTCTGTCTCTCCCTTTAATTCTCTCAATGGTTACATTATATATTTTGGAGCCCTGTTAGTTGGTGTACATATATTTATAATTGTTATATCTTCTTAATTAATTTTGAAATCAATATATACTGTTCTTTGTATTTTGTAACAGTTTTTGACTTAAAGTCTATTTTGTCTGATATAAGTATATTTGCCTCAGATCTCCTTTGGTTATTACTTACATGGAATATTTTCTCCCATCTTTTCATTTCAACTCATTGTGTATTTTGATCTAAAGTGAGTATCTTGTGGACAATATAGTTGGATCATTTTTAAAAAATCCATTCTGTCAATCTCTTTCTTTGGATTGGAGAGTTTAATTCATTTGTATTTAATGTAATTACTGATAAAGAGGGGCTTACTCCTACCATTTTGCTTTTGTTTTCTGTATGTCTTATACCTCCTTTGTTCCTAATTTCCTCAATTATCGCCTTCTTTTGTGTTTAGTTGCTATTTTGTAGCATATCACTGTGTTTACCCTCTGCTTTCCTTTTCTGTATTTTCAAAAGATATTAACTTAGTGGTTACCATGGGGATTTACAATTAACATTCTTAATTTGGAACAATTTAGAGTAAATTGAAACAACTTCAATAGTATACAAAATCTCTATTATTATTTAGTTTCCTATGAATTTCTTTATGTTGGTAATTTCACAAACCACATCTTTATACATCATGCTTCATTAACATAGATTTATAGTCATTATTTTACACATTTGTTTTAAAACATATAGAATATTAAAAAAGACTTACAAAAATGTGATAATTGCTTTTATATTTACCTATGTAGTTATCTTTACTGGAGTTATTTCTTTATGTGGTTTTGAGTTACTTTCTAGTGTTTTTTAGTTTGTATGTGAAGGAGTCTTTTTTTTTAAAGTGTATCTTGAAGTACAGCCTACCAAACATGAACTTTTAAAGCTTGCTTGCTTTTCTTTCTTTCTTTCTTTCTCTTTCTTTCTTTCTTTTTTCTTTCTTTCTTTCTTTCTTTCTTTCTTTCTTTCTTTCCTTCTTTTTCTCTCTCTCTCTCTCTCTCTTTCTCTCTCTTTCTTCCTTTCTTTCTCTTTCTTCTTTCTCTTCTTTCTTTCTTTCTTTCTTTCTTTCTTTCTTTCTTTCTTTCTCTTTCTCTCTCTCTCTCTTTCTTTTTTTTTAATCTGGGAATGTGTAATTTATCCTTAATACTTGAAGGGGCATCTTCCAAGTTATAGAATTTTTGGTTGACAGTGTTTTTTTCTTTCAGAACTTTAAAATGTCATCCTAAGCTCTTCTGGCACCCATGGTTTATAATGAGCTCTCTGCTGTCAAACTTACTGAGGATCCTTTGTAAATGACGCGTTGCCTTTTTCCTAAGCTCTTCTGGCATCCATGGCTTATAATGCACTATCTGCTGTCAAACTTATTGAGGATCCTTTGTAAATGACGCGTTGCCTTTCTCTTGCTGCTTTCAAACATTCGCTTTGCCTTTTGACAATTTGAAACATAGTGTGTCTTGGTGTGAATATCTTTGTATATTTCCTTGAAGTTCACTGAGCTTTTTGAATGTATATATTTGTTTTTAGTGAAATTTGGGAAGCTTTCAAACACATTTCTTCAAATAGTCTTCCTGCCCCTCACTCCCCACCAGGATTCTGTATGTAGGCATTCTTGATGTTGTTACACAGGTCTTTAGGCTCTATTCTTTTTTGTTGTCATTCTTTCATTTTCCTGCTCTTCAGACTGAATCATTTCATTTGATCTATCAAGTTCACTGATTCTTTTTTCCAGCTGCTCAAATCTTCTATTGGAACCCTAAGTAAAAAGTAACTTTTTACTTAGTTATTGTACTTTTCAGCCTCAGAATTTTTTTGTACCTTTTAAAAAATTCATATTTCTTATTTATTTATATGTCATTCTCTTGGGTTTCTTTAGCTCTTTAAGTTTATTTACGACAGTTATATAAAGTTTTTGTCTAATATTTCTAATATCTGCTTACTCAGGGAGAGTCTCATTTATTTCTTCTGTAAATGGGCCATAGTTTTGTGTTTATTTGCATGCTTCTTAATTTTTGTTGAAAACTGGACATTTTGGATATTATAATGTGTTTATTCTGGAAACCAAATTTTTCCCTTCTTCAAGGTTATTTTTGTTACCCACTGTGGAATGTAGTTTTTATTTGTTTAGTAACTTTTGTAAACTGGTTTTGTAATATCTGCATTCTTTTTTATGTTTGATGTTTGAAGGCTCGGTTCCTTTAGCTTGTGTTCATTTAGCATTTAGTGATTTAAAAATGATTTCCTTGACTGCAAGGAGCCAAAAAAGAAAAAAATATGAAAAACATCTCCCAGACTTTGCTTACTGACTCTGTATTGGGGCTCCCTCAACACTTAGCGGAGCCATGTATAATTCTGCCTTAGCCTTCATTTTTTCTTGCTGTGAGCCTAGGAATTACTAAAGGTGAGTTATTAGTGTCTTCTCAGGCCTTTTCTGAGCATGTGTCCCACCTTGGCCATGCTTATGGATTTCCAAATTTTTCATTGTATGTAAGCACTTTTGAGTATTCGAATTTCCCAAAGGAACTTTCTCTCCTGCTTTTTCCTCAAGTTTTCAGTACAGTATATCTTGCCTCAATTGTAATATTTTGCCGCAAATGGCTGAGGGTTGTTAATTTGCCTTTGGACGATCTGATTTCTAAAGGTTTGGTGGAATTCTCCGTGAAAACATCTAAACCTAGTGTTTGTGTGTGTGTTATAATTCCATGACAACTGTATTTCTCTATGGAAATTGCTCACATAAGTGCTGTACTTCTTTTTTTTTTTTTGAAGTCAGTTGTGGTGAATTGTATTTTTCTAGAAAATTACCCATTCCCTCTAGCTTTCAATGTTTTTCATAGATGTGAACAACATTGTTTTTAATGATTTTTTATTTGCTGATTATCAATAGTTATTTCTCTCACCATTCCTTATTCATTTTTGTGCTTTCTCTTTTTTTTTATTCATGATTAAGAGATCTAATTTTTTTGTCAACTTTGTTGATTTGTTTAAAGAACAAGATTTTTGGTTTACTGATTTGATCTGTTTTTTGGCTTCTTATTTTATTAATTTTCACTTTTTTCTACTTTGGGTTCTTTCTTGTACTTTCTGCTTACTCTTTTAGATACTTTTTACATTTTTCAGCTGATAATTTAATTCCTACACTTTTATTAATAAATGTGTTAAGGCTATAGATTTTCCTCTGATCACTGCTTTAACTATATCCCATATACAGATGCTCCTTGATGTATGATGAAGTTTTGTCTCAACAAACCCCCGTAAACTGAAAATATCATAAGTTAAAAATGCATTTAGCACACCGAAAATTATAGGTTGGCCTAGCTTACTTTGAACATGCTCAGAACATTTAGATTAGGCTTCAGTTGGTCAAAATAATCTAACAAAATGTCTAAATAAAGTATTGAATAACTGATATTTATTAAATATGGTACTGAAAATAAGAAACAGAATGGTTGTATGGGTACTTATCATTAATGTACGTAGCTGAAATTACACAGGGCCTGAAGAATTTTTGAAGCATTGAGCTAAGGTTAATTGCTGAATGATGGGACTAATACTTTGACACAGTCAGTCTCTGTCTCTTCCGATCATGAGGGTTGAGAATAGCTGGTAGAAAGTATTGATGCCTGTTGATGGTAGGCAGGCATTATGTTCTTCAGGAAGATATCAAGATGGATTATCTACCTTTATTATCATTTGGCTGACTGGAAGCTGCAGCTCACCGCTGTTGCACAACATTGTGAGAGAGCATTGTGCCACATATTGGTAGTCCAGGAAAATATCAAAATTCAAAATTCGGAGTCGGGTTTCTTTCTTTTTTTTGAGCTGGAGTCTCACTCTGTTGCCAGGCTGGAGGCAGTGGCACGATCTCGGCTCACTGCAACACCTCCGACTCCCTGGTTCAAGTGATTCTCCTGCCTCAGCCTCCCGAATAGCTGGGATTACAGGCACGCACCACAATGCCCAGCTAATTTTTGTATTTTTAGGAGAGACGGGGTTTCACCATGTTGGCCAGGATGGTCTTGATCTCTTGACCTTGTGATCCGCCCTCCTCGGCCTCCCAAAGTGCTAGGATTACAGGCGTGACCCACTGCGCCCATCCTGGAGCATGGTTTCTAATGAATGGATATCACTTTCACACCACCATAAAGCTGAAAAATGGTTGAACCATTGTAACTTGGAAACAGTTTGTATTCTGGTATGCACTGTTTTATTATCACTATTCAGAATATTTATGTCTTGTTTTTGTATTTCCACTGTCATCCTTGTGTTTGGTTTTTTTTCTTGCTGATTTGTTCCAATTCTTTGTAGATTCTGGATATTAGTCCTCTGTTGGATGCATAGTTTGTGAAGATTTTCTCCCACTCTGTGGGTTGTCTGTTTACTCTGCTGATTATTTATTTTGATGTGCAGAAGGCTTTCAGTTTAATTAAGTCCCATCTATTTATCTTTGTTGTGTTTGCTTTTGGGTTCTTGATTGTGAAGTCTTTGCCTAAGCCAATGTCTAGAAGTGTTTTTCCAATCTTATCTTCTAGAATTTTTATGGTTTCAGGTCTTAGATTTAAGTCTGTGAACCATCTTGAGTTGATTTGTTTATAAGGTGAGAGATGAGGATCCAGTTGCATTCTTCTACATGTGGCTTGCCAATTATACCAGCACCATTTGTTGAATAGGGTGTCCTTTCCCCACTTTATGTTTTTGCTTGCTTTGTCAAAGATCAGTTGGCTGAAAGTATTTGGCTTTATTTCTGGGTTCTCTATTCTATTCCATTGGTCTATATGCCTATTTTTATACCAGTACCATGCTGTTTTGGTGACTATGGCCTTATAGTATAGTTTGAAGTCGAGTAATGTGATGCCTCTAGATTTATTCTTTTTGCTTAGTCTTGCTTTGGCTGTGTGGGCTCTTTTTTGGTTCCATGTGAATTTTAGCCTTGTTTTTTCTAGTTCTGTGAAGAATGATGGTGGTATTTTGATGGGAATTGCATTGAATTTGTAGGTTGCTTTTGGCAGTATGGTCGTTTTCACACTGTTGACTCTATCATTCATGGTGAACAGCAGGGGGTGTGGGTAGGACCCATGGGAGACAGACTTGTTTCTTCTTTGTGGTCGACTGCAGCTTGTTGGAGGTGTGGATAAAGCACTGGGGTCTTTGCTCCTTTGTTAGTTCAAGGGTAGCAGGGGTAGTACCACTGTAGAGGCAGTGGCAGAGGGGCTTTTGGTTGACCCTGGGGGCTCCATCTCCAGGTGGAGCTGCTATTACTGGGAATGTTCAGCCTGGGGGATGGAGCAGCTGTACTGCTGGTGTGAGGTTAGGGCTCTGCTTGTTGGGGATCAGGGGGTTTAGGGCTCACTGGGAGAAGAGACTGGTCTCCTCTCCATATGGGAACTGTGGCATGCTGTAAGTTCAGGTGCAGCCTTCAGGCGCTTTGTTTCTTTCCAAGCCTGAGGACAGCATGGATAGAACTGCTGCTGTGACAGGGGCAGAGAGGCTGTCGTTTGCCTCTGGGAGCCTCTCCCTAGGGAAAGTCTGGGCCACTGCCAGTAGGTAAGCTCAGCTGTGGGTGGGGCAACTGATCTGCAGTTATGAGCTGGGTGCTGTGCCTGGTGGAGTGGGTGGTGGGGGTTCCCAGGGGAGGGGGCTGGATTCCTCTCTGTATGGTGGCTGTGGTGTGCTGAAGGTGCCACTGTAGTGATTAGACTCTTAGTTCCTTCTGCAGCCCAAGGGCTGTTATGGTGGTACCACTACAATTGCAGTGGTTGTGAATTGACTCTGGTATTTCCTCCTTGGAGAAATGCTGGGCTACTTCTTATTGAAGTGGTCAGGTGGGGGGCAGGGTAGTTGTACAGGAGTCCCAGGCCAGGCGGCCCTGTTTGGTAAGGAGAAGTGAGGACTGAAAACTGCAGGAAGAAAAATGCAGCCACTCTTCCGTGAGGCAGGTGCTCTGTGCTGGGGGTTCAGACCAACCCCTGGTCCCTGTGGACTCTCCAGGGTGAGGGCTGCGAGATTGGTTTTCTTATTAGATGATCTGTTTAATGCTGAAAGTGGGGTGTTGAAGTCCTTCACTATTATTATATTTGAGTCTACCTCTCTGTTTTGACCTAGTAGTATTTGCTTTATGAATCTGGCTGCTCCAGTGTTGGCTGCATATATATTTAAAATTGTTATATCCTCTTTCTGGATTGATTCCTTTATCGTTGTATAATAAGCATTTTTGTCTTTTTTCTAAAGCTAGTTTTGACTTAAAGTCTGTTTTGTCTGACATAAGTATAGCTACTCCTACTCATTTTGGTTTCTGTTCATGGAATACCTTTTTCCATCTCTTTTCTTTTAGTTAATATGTGTTTTACAGGTAAAGTGCATTTGTTCAGGGAAGCACATAGTCAGGTCATAGTTAAAATTCATTCAGTCAGTCTATATCTTTCAGGTGGAGAATTTAGAAGAAATATATATTTTTTAAAATTAGTTAATTTTTTATTTTTGTTTGTTTTTTGTACAGATAGGGTCTCACTGTGTTGACCAGGCTGCACTTGAACCTCTGACCTCAAGCAATCCTTCTGCCTTGGCCTCCCAAAGTGCTGGAATTATAGTCATGAGCCACCACACCCAGCCCCTAAGTGGACATTTAATCCATGTACATTCAAGGTTATTATTGTCTATATTTGATATAATCAAATACTTAGTCATTTTAAAATTATTTTAATAGTTTCAAATATATTTGTTAAATTTGCTCTATTTGAATCAGGATCTAAAGAAGTTTCAAAGTTGCATTGGCTAATATATCTTTTTAGTTTTTAAAAATATATATGAATTCCTTTCTCCTGCTTTTTAGCTCTGTGTATTTGCTGAATAATCCAGGATATTCATCCTGTTGAATATTCCATACCTTGTGATTATCTTATTAAACCCTACGGTGTTCTTGCATGTTTCTCTCTTTGACATATTTCCTGTATATTATCATAAAATAGAGAATATTTACCAATTAGGCTCATTTCTAGTTGGTTCTATGTGCTCCATATTATACTTTATGTGTATTCACTTCATGTGATATAAAAATTGATCAGTAGGTTCAGGTATTTTCAGCTGATTCATTCCATATATGTTTTCTTCTGAAACAGTTACTCGTCATTTTAGCTTCTATTGGTTGTTATCTTAGGCCCATTAATTCATTGGGTTCCAAATGAATTTGTCTGTATGTTAGTGTCCTATGAAACAATTCTTTTCTCCGATGTTTTATAACTTAATTAAAATGCCAGATCTTGATTTTTAGCAGTTGTAATTTTTTTCTGTTAATTTAATTACATTTTTAAGTTACATAAAACAGCTACATGATTTCAAAGTCAAAAATATAAAATAAGATGTATTCAGAATAACTTTTATCCCTGTGCCTTGCCCTGTTTCCTCCTCCTGCCATAAGAAAATTATATATGGATTATGTTTTTGCCATTTTAAGTATGCTTATTTAAATATTTATAAAATATATACTTATATATGCATGTAAATCCAATGTATTTATCCCTGTTTTAACATAAAAATAACATTCTGGTGTCACTTTTTTGTTTCTTTTCAGTTAAGGTATACCTTGTAGATTACTTTAGAGTAGTATTTGGAGATATTTCTCACTCATTTTATAGTTGCTTCATACTCTATTGCGTACAAGTTTTGCAAGTAGTACTCACTAATTGTCATTTGGTTACTTTCCTTTTTTTTTTTTTTTTTTGAGATGGAGTCTTGCTCTGTCATCCTGGCTGGAGTGCAGAGGCACGTTCTGGGCTCACTGAAACCTCTGCCTCCCAGGTTCAAGCGATCCTCCCACCTCAGCCTCTCAAGTAGCTGGAATTACAAGTGTGCACCACCACACCCGGCTAATTTTTGTATTTTTGGTAGAGATGGGGTTTCGCCATGTTAGCCACGCTGGTCTTGAATTCCTGGCCTCAAGTGATCTGCCCGCCTCAGCCTCCCAAAATGCTGGGATCACAGGCATGAGCCACCACGCCCGGCCTACTTTCCGTTCTTTACTATGAAAAACAATGCTTCAATGAATAGACTTGTGTGCATCAATTATTTTGTATTTTTGCCAATATATCTTTAGGATAGAAGTAGGATTGCTAGACCAAAAGTCAGTACCATGTAAATTTTTTAAGATATTGCCAAGAGTTGTACCATTTTGTATTCTCACCAACAATGCATAAGAGTGCCTCTCTCGGTGTTTTAGACATGAAGTCCTTGCCCATGCCTGTGTCCTGAATGGTAAAGCCTAGGTTTTCTTCCAGGGTTTTTATGGTTTTAGGTCTAACGTTTAAGTCTTTAATCCATCTTGAATTGATTTTTGTATAAGGTGTAAGGAAGGGATCCAGTTTCAGCTTTCTACATATGGCTAGCCAGTTTTCCCAGCACCATTTATTAAATAGGGAATCCTTTCCCCATTGCTTGTTTTTCTCAGGTTTGTCAAAGATCAGATAGTTGTAGATATGCGGCATTATTTCTGAGGGCTCTGTTCTGTTCCATTGATCTATATCTCTGTTTTGGTACCAGTACCATGCTGTTTTGGTTACTGTAGCCTTGTCGTATAGTTTGAAGTCAGGTAGCGTGATGCCTCCAGCTTTGTTCTTTTGGCTTAGGATTGACTTGGCGATGCAGGCTCTTTTTTGGTTCCATATGAACTTTAAAGTAGTTTTTTCCAATTCTGTGAAGAAAGTCATTGGTAGCTTGATGGGGATGGCATTGAATCTGTAAATTACCTTGGGCAGTATGGCCATTTTCACAATATTGATTCTTCCTACCCATGAGCATGGAATGTTCTTCCATTTATTTGTATCCTCTTTTATTTCCTTGAGCAGTGATTTGTAGTTCTCCTTGAAGAGGTCCTTCACATCCCTTGTAAGTTGGATTCCTAGGTATTTTATTCTCTTTGAAGCAATTGTGAATGGGAGTTCACTCATGATTTGGCTCTCTGTTTGTCTGTTGTTGGTGTATAAGAATGCTTGTGATTTTTGTACATTTATTTTGTATCCTGAGACTTTGCTGAAGTTGCTTATCAGCTTAAGAAGATTTTGGGCTGAGACAATGGGGTTTTCTAGATATACAATCATGTCGTCTGCAAACAGGGACAATTTGACTTCCTCTTTTCCTAATTGAATACCCTTTATTTCCTTCTCCTGCCTAGTTGCCCTGGGCAGAACTTCCAACACTATGTTGAATAGGAGTGGTGAGAGAGGGCATCCCTGTCTTGTGCCAGTTTTCAAAGGGAATGCTTCCAGTTTTTGCCCATTCAGTATGATATTGGCTGTGGGCTTGTCATAGACAGGTCTTATTATTTTGAAATACGTCCCATCAATACCTAATTTATTGAGAGTTTTTAGCATGAAGCGTTGTTGAATTTTGTCAAAGGCTTTTTCTGCATCTATTGAGATAATCATGTGGTTTTTGTCTTTGGCTCTGTTTATATGCTGGATTACATTTATTGATTTGCATATATTGAACCAGCCTTGCATCCCAGGGATGAAGCCCACTTGATCTTGGTGGATAAGCTTTTTGATGTGCTGCTGGATTCGTTTTGCCAGTATTTTATTGAGGATTTTTGCATCAATGTTCATCAAGGATATTGGTCTAAAATTCTCTTTTTTTGTTGTGTCTCTGCCTGGCTTTGGTATCAGAATGATGCTGGCCTCATAAAATGAGTTAGGGAGGATTCCCTCTTTTTGTATTGATTGGAATAGTTTCAGAAGGAATGGTACCAGTTCCTCCTTGTACCTCTGGTAGAATTCGGCTGTGAATCCATCTGGTCCTGGACTCTTTTTGGTTGGTAAGCTATTGATTATTGCCACAATTTCAGCTTCTGTTATTGGTCTATTCAGAGATTCAACTTCTTCCTGGTTTAGTCTTGGGAGAGTGTATGTGTCCAGGAATTTATCCATTTCTTCTAGATTTTCTAGTTTATTTGCATAGAGGTGTTTGTAGTATTCTCTGATGGTAGTTTGTATTTCTGTGGGATCGATGGGACAAAAGCAATGACAACAAAAGACAAAATTGACAAATGGGATCTAATTAAACTAAAGAGCTTCTGCACAGCAAAAGAAACTACCATCAGAGTGAACAGGCAACCTACAAAATGGGAGAAAATTTTCGCAACCAACTCATCTGACAAAGGGCTAATATCCAGAATCTACAATGAATTCAAACAAATTTACAAGAAAAAAACAAACAACCCCATCAAAAAGTGGGCGAAGGATATGAACAGACACTTCTCAAAAGAAGACATCTATGCAGCCAAAAAACACATGAAAAAATGCTCATCATCACTGGCCATCAGAGAAATGCAAATCAAAACCACAATGAGATACCATCTCACACCAGTTAGAATGGCAATCATTAAAAAGTCAGGAAACAACAGGTACTGGAGAGGATGTGGAGAAATAGGAACACTTTTACACTGTTGGTGGGACTGTAAACTAGTTCAACCATTGTGGAAGTCAGTGTGGCGATTCCTCAGGGATCTAGAACTGGAAATACCATTTGACCCAGCCATCCCATTACTGGGTATATACCCAAAGGACTATAAATCATGCTGCTATAAAGACACATGCACATGTATGTTTATTGCGGCATTATTCACAATAGCAAAGACTTGGAACCAACCCAAATGTCCAACAATGATAGACTGGATTAAGAAAATGTGGCACATATACACCATGGAATACTATGCAGCCATAAGAAATGATGAGTTCATGTCCTTTGTAGGGACATGGATGAAATTGGAAATCATCATTCTCAGTAAACTATCGCAAGAACAAAAAACCAAACACCACATATTCTCACTCATAGGTGGGAAGTGAACAATGAGATCACATGGACACAGGAAGGGGAATATCACACTCTGGGGACTGTTGTGGGGTGGGGGGAGGGGGGAGGGATAGCATCAGGAGATATACCTAATGCTAGATGACGAGTTAGTGGGTTCAGCGCACCAGCATGGCACATGTATACATATGTAACTAACCTGCACAAGGTGCACATGTACCCTAAAACTTAAAGTATAATTAAAAAAAAAAAAAAAAAGAGTGCCTCTCTCTACAGCTTCATCAACAGGTTGGATTATCAAATATTGAGGTCAGATATTTGATATTTTATAGGTTAGAACTGATATTTAAGTATCATTTTACTTTGCATGCATCTTAATCTGAGAGACTTGAACATTTTTTTCATATATTTAAAGATAGTTTAACATGTGCTGGTGAGGCTACAGAGAATGGGGAACACTTCTACACTGCTGGTGGGAATGCAACTTAGTCCAGCCACTGTGGAGAACAGTCTGGGGATTTCTCAAAGAACTAAGAGTTAAACTACCACTCGATCCAGCAATTCCATCACCGCATATATGCCCAAAGGAAAATACATTGTTTTACCAAAAAGACACATGAACTTGTATGGGTTGTCCCAGTGCTATTCACAATAGCAAAGACATGGAATCCACCTGGGTGCCCAACAACTTTGGACTAGATAAAGTAAATGTGGTACAAATCCACCACAAAATATATGCAGCTAATAAGAAGAAAGTCACATCCTTTGCAGCAGCATGAATGCAGTTGGAGGCCATTATCCTAAGTGAATTAACACTGAAACAGAAAACCAAATACCACATGTTCTCACCTACAAGGGGGAGCTAAGCATCGAGTACACATGGACATAAAGATGAGAGAAACAGACACCACAGAGTAGCAGAGGGAGGATGGAGGAAGAGGGGAAAGAGTTGAAAAACTACATATTGGGTATTATTCTTGCTACCTGGGAGGTGGAATCATTTGTACTCCAGACCTTAGTATCATGCAATATACCTTTGTCTCAAACCTGCACATGTACCCTCTGAACCTATAATGAAATTAGAAAGAAAACCCCAAATATGGTCATTGTAGTCCAGAAGCTAAGATGTGGTATAACTGAATGGTTTATCAATTAGGAATGGATGTAAAAGTAACAATCTCTGTTCTTGATTTTAAGACCAGGTCTATGTGCCACATTTTATCTAGTCTAACACTGATGGGCATTTGGGTTGGTTCCAAGTCTTCCCTATTGTGAATAGTGCTGCAATAAACATACCTGTGCATGTGTCTTTATAGTAGAATGACTTACAATCGTTTGGGTATATACCCAGTAATGGGATTGCTGGGTCAAATGGTATTTCTAGTTTTAGATCCTTGAGGAATCACCACACTGTCTTCCACAATGGTTGAACTAATGTACGCTCCCACCAACAGTGTAAAAGCATTCCTATTTCTCCACATCCTCTCCAGCATCTATTGTTTCCTGACTTTTTAATGATTGCCATTCTAACTGGTGTGAGATGGCATCTCATTGTGGTTTTGATTTGCATTTCTTGCAGCCATAAAAAAGAATGAGTTCATGTCCTTTGCAGGGACATGGATGAAGCTGGAAACCATCATTCTCCGCAAACTAACACAAGAACAGAAAACCAAACACCGCATGTTCTCACTCATAAGTGGGAGTTGACCAATGAGAACATATGGGCACAGGGAAGGGAATATCACACACCAGGGCCTGTCGGGGGGTGGGAGGCAAGGAGAGGGATAACGTTAGGAGAAATACCTAATGTAGATGATGAATTGATGGGTGCAGCAAACAACCATGGCACGTGTATACCTGTGTAACAAACCTGTACATTCTGCACATGTATCCCAGAACTTAAACTATTAAAAAAGACCAGGCCTAATTCAGATAATATGTATGTATGTATGTATGTATGTATGTATGTATGTATATATGTGTGTATATATATATACACATATACACACATATATGTATATATATAAAAGAGTAACATATTTTACTACATAGATTCCAAACTTTTCTGCCTGCCTCCTTCCCAGGGGAGGGATGCCCATAACTTCTGGTCAAATTTCAGGAGAAATTCTGAATATACTGGTTTCTCCCATGGCGTTGTACACATTAATGCCCTTAGCAGTTAAATGAATTATGAATAAATTAGGGGTAAATTTTACAAATAAATGAAAAATAAAAGTTTTTTGCCTACAACTGTAAAAAAAAAAAAGACTGATTCTCCTTATGTATGAACTGTAAGTTTAACTGTTTTGCCCATTTTCCTATTAATATTTTGGGTTTTGTTTTAGAAGTTCCCTATGTGTTAGAAGTGCTAGTCTATTATGTGAGTTACAAGTAGTTTCTTCCCACTTTTAAATTTTCTCATAGTTTTATTACGCATTAAAAATTAATTTGATAGTCAATGTTATCCATCTTTACCATATTCATAGATTATAAAAACATTAACTTGTTTTCTTTTAATATTTGCATAGTTTTTTTGAAAAAAGAGTTATGTCTTGAATTCACTTAGAGATTGTCCTGGCATTTGGTGTAGCAAATAAATTAAATATATCTTTTCCCATATTGCTATCCAATTATCCCACCATCACATTAGTAGGCCTTTCCCCCCTGCACTGATTTGAGATACTGTCATTATTATTTACTACTTTTATTATGTGTTTTTAATCTGCTTATAAATTTTCTATTCTACTTTTCCTAAGATAAACATAATTTTGACCCTTTTATCATCTGACTCTCCTTATCTATTAATTCAAGTCACATTTTGACAAACTAGATTCCTTTTTTCTTAGAATATTTAGTGTTCAATTTTATTCTGGCTCAGTGATTCTCCCTGGAAAGAGAAGATATTTGTCAGAATCATTTGCTAAGGTTTTTTTTTTTTTTCAATTTATATTTTCCTTCTATCTTAAATTTTCATCATGCCTTTCTAGGGTGGTAAGGTGGAAGTATATGAGTACACACTTGCACACAAATATACACACTTCCACTCACAAGTACAGTATCCCAAATGAGCATCTGTTAAGATTGGGATGTGTCATATTTCACAAGAATGTTGGGAAAAAGTAAAGTTTGAAACTTTTGGCTTTGTTAATATATAGGATTTTAATAGTATCTAATGTTTATTCATGCTTAATATGTCTCGAAGTGGGCTATTTGATTTATATCTATTTTGTCATTTTCCTTCATAATAACCATGCATAATAGGTATAATCTCCTGTTTATAAATGTAGAAACTAAAGCTCATGAAAGCTACGTAATGTGCCCAAAATCATGATTAATAAGAGTCAGTAGAGTTGAATCCAGCTCTTTGTTTTTTACTTTAAAGCCTGTGCTTTTAAACATTAACCATGGAAAATGACATAGATGGATCCAAGTAATATACTTTGTGCCAACATGATGAGAGCCTGGATCCCTCTAAATTCTTTCTACTGCTTATGAGCAGTTATACCACAGATGTCTAGGACCTAGAAGGCACATTTCACATTGGCAAACTTACTCTTCCACTCACTCCTGATAATGCCCTCATGGATTCTGGGTTGTTATAGTGGTGGGAGGTGAAGTATAAACTTATAATGGGAGGCGTTTGTTTTTCAACCTCTTAAAAGTTGACATATATCTCCTTACCACTAAGCATATATTTTTTAAATTAAGATGTGACAGTTCTTTTTTTATGTTTTTCACAAAATGGACCAAATAAATTTTTTTTTAAATTTATAAGCTAGGCTATATTTTCTCTCCTTTCTTCTACTAAACTTAGGATCACACAGGAAGGAACAGGTGTACACAAATACTAATATATTTATGCCTTTCTTCATTCTAAGAATTAGCAAAAGAATATTTTGAAAGCATAATAACTTTGTATCTGTATTCCAAAATATAACACACAAGTTGTTGAAAGATAAATTGAGGCAATGTATGTGGAAGTTCCTAGACAATTACTAAATTATATGGGAATGGAGGGCACAATTTTCATGAGCTTTACTAAATAACTTACCAACTTCACTATATTTTGTGTCATTATCTGAGATTAATCTCACAGTTATATAAGATCTAAAACTTTACACTAGAATGTGCATCCCATTTTCTCAGCCGTCTTATTGCCGTCTTCATGTCTTTGTTCCTCAGTGTGTATATAATTGGGTTCAAGAGAGGGGTGATCACAGAATAAAATACAGCAAGGAATTTATCTAATGACTTGATGGGGAATGGCCAGGCATAAATAAAGACACATGGTCCAAAGAACAAAAGAACTACTGTAATGTGAGCAGTCAAAGTGGACAGAGCTTTGGACGACTTATCTAAAGGGCAATGCTGGATGGTCATTAGGATGATAGTGTATGAGATGATTAGAAGAACAAAAGAACACACAGTGAGCACACCACTGTTAGCAATGACCATAATATCTAGCCTGTAGGTATCTGTACAGGCAAGTTTGATTACCCTAGGAAGGTCACAATAAAAACTATCGACCTCATTGGGACCACAGAAGGGTAAGTGCACGGCAAAGGCCAACTGGCTCACCGAATGGAGAAAGCCAATTCCCCATGCGACAGCCATAATGCCGACACATGCGTTGCCACACATAATTGTAGTGTAGTGTAGGGGTTTGCATATTGCTATATATCTGTCAAAGCCCATGGCTATGAGGATCACCATCTCACTCCCACCAAAGAAGTGAAGGAGAAATATCTGAACAAGGCAGCCCTTGAAAGAGATGACTTTGCGCTGGCTGAAAAAGTCAGTAATCATCTTGGGGGCTGTGACTGAAGACAGAGACAGATCAATGAGTGAGAGGTTGGCTAGCAGGAAGTACATGGGAGAGTGAAGGTGGGAGTCAGATACCACTGTTATGACAATAAGAAGGTTTCCAAACACGATTCCTCCATAGAATACAAAAAACAACATAAATAGGAAGGTCTGGAGTTCCTGAGAATCAGAGAGACCCAGAAAAATGAATTCAGTCACCATAGAGTTATTCGTTTCACTCGTTGATTCATTCCAGGAAATAGCCTCTGCAGTTACCTTGAAGAAGAGAAGGAGAAGGAAGTCAGAATTATTATATTCAAATTCAAAGCCTCATTTTATATCATTCTGCTCACTCTTACAGTGACTTTCTATAATCTATTACTTAAAGACATTCAGAATTCAACAAGATCATAATTTTGTCTCGCACTACTTCCCTGGCTATGCCTTATAATTCAGTTATCTCAGCTTCTCAGTGTCTCCATTAATGTTAGGTTTATTCCTAATATAAAATACCATTATTTATGCTTGTCTCTCTGCCAGATTAAGTCTATGCCATAACTCTATGTTTATCTCCTTTTTCTTTGAACTACAAAACAGTTTGTAGCACGCATGTTATTTGGTGATATTAAAGTTCTTAAGAGAAAAAAATAGGCCAAAATGAAATGAAAGATAAAAAATAGAAAAAAAGAAAAAATAGTATCACAAATATAATACTTAAAAATTAACAGAGGATAAAAGAATAGGGAATTCAAAAGTGAAGTGAGAAAAAGTGAGGAAAATGCAATAAAGTTTAAATGAGAGAAAGTGTGAAGGACTTTCATAGGAGATAAAACTGGTAAGAGATTTTGGAATGCTTTCTAAAGCATTTCTGTTTTATTATAGAGACAAGAACTACTGAAAAATTTTGAATGATTGTTTAATTTAGCTCTGGACTCAATGTGAATTGGAAGGGAGGGAGCTTGGAATTGGAAGGGAGGGAGCTGATAATAATTATAACAAGCACTAGTATAACAATACTTTACATAGAGATCCCTTTTAGGAGCAGAAATAAATACAGAAAAAGGTAAAGGATAATGATGACTGTCTAGACACAAGGAGGTATTGTTGGGGCATCTTTGTAAGTTGCTATCTGCCAGGTGAGAGACTGAACACTGACTTCTGGGCATGAGTTGAGAGCCATTTCAATTGTGTATGGAGGAGAGAAAATAAGTACTGTTTCAAGAAGTTTTGCAGTGAAGAGAAGTAACAAATAAAAGGTGTCCTGAAAGTGAGGCATAGCCATATTAACAATCTTTGGATTAGGTATAAGAGTTAATGGGCAAGTAAGATGTAAAAGGGAGAAGTGGAAATTGATCACTAACATTCCACGGGAGACATGAAGGTATAGAGTTTACACTTGCCATCTTTTTTGGAGGAATACTGTTATTTGATTTTTGCTGTTTTTTAAAGAACAGTAATTCATAGTGCTTGGAAATTCTACTTTTCTCTTTACTACTCTGAATCCCATTTCTTAGTCCTACACACTCAAGCAGCACATTACTGTTTTTAAAGTCCTATAAAAATTTAGTGATCTTAAATATTTTTAAGAATAAAGAGAAGTCTAATAGTGGAATAAATCATGAACATTCACTTCAGTTCTCTTCTGCTTAGCACGGTAATAAATATAATCATACTAATCATTGACAGTACAAATGATAGGATTTTTATTGTGAGATAATTTCTGTCCTGACTGGTTGGTTGGACTGTTTCTTTTGAATCAAAGTGTGCAATTTAGAATAGACCTTAAATATGCATTGACATAAAATTAATTCATTTCATTGATAGGCAAGGACAATCTTGAAGTTATATCTTCACATGAAATATGCCAAGGATGAGGTTGACCCGAGGGTTCTCATCTGTAGCAAAAGACTTTCTATCATGGCTGTTAGTAAGAATTCAGGAATGCTATTCTTTAGCAAAAGGAATTTCTTGCTAACGTAGTTAAGACATCTCTCTCCTGAATTTGTGCTGCTGAGGGGATCCTTCACCACCATAATTCTTTCAAAGCTCATTTCTGACTTTTCAAAAATTATTCAAAAAAATTTAGAAGAATTGTATTTATTCTAAGTTGAACATTAAGTTTAGGCTTATTAAAGGAGTTCTTCAGAATCTTACACACTCATTGTAGCAACCATGAAGAGCCAGCCACTGTTGACAGGTAAAATCTTTCATGCCATAGATTATTCATGGAATTCAACCATTAGAATTATATATAATTCTGTGAAAATTGCTGTAGTCCCTTGAAGCATAGTAGCATAAAACTGTAAGAGAATAATATGTAGTGAATTGTCCTTTTTAGTAAACCACTTGGTTAATTAAAAGCCCTTTATGAATGGACTAGATGTACCTGAAGAGATCTGGGAATAGCCAGTCTGAGCTTTGTGTACTGAGACTAACTTTTATAGTCTCACAAGTTTTCCCTTGGCCATTAGAGAAAACACACAGAATTTTCCTGAGTGAGAGGACATTGCCACAATTTTTTGGCCTATTTGGATATTTTTGCTATCTCACTGAGTCTAAAGGTGCTTTTTAAAGAATCACAGCAAAACAAATATAATAAAGTTACAAAATTAAAATCCAGATAGGTTAACAAGAGAGTAAGTAATAATGCTTCGATTTTATAAAAAGAGGAATGCTTAGAACTTTTATGACCAACTTGTGGAGAAAATATAGAAAAATTGCTTTAACCAATAAAAAACCTCACTTCTTGTAACTTATTTTATTTTGCATCTTTAATTACCATGCAGTAGTTAAAAGTGAGCTGAGTGAGTCACCACAATTTATGTTTCTTAAAATAGTCATAGAAATACATCCAAGTGATGTCTCAGTTGTGTTCCTTGACCACCAAACTTAACAGGTTTTACCTGAAAGATGTCAATCGCCTTCTTTGTCCTAAGCACCTTAAGTTAAGCACAGGCACATTAAATGTGCTTTTAAGATCTCAATGGAGTCTCTTCTCCAGGAAATAAATCTCTTCCTATACTTTTAGGTTGTAGATGCTTTTTAAGAGTGACTCGAGAAATGCTTTGAAGAAGATTTCAAGGGCAATAGGATTGTGTTGTTAAAAAAGTGTAACATAGACAAATTTTGCATAATACAGAGTACTAGAGTCTATTTTTTTTATTATACTTTAAGTTCTAGGGTACATGTGCACAATGTGCAGGTTTGTTACATATGTATACATGTGCCATGTGGGTGTGCTGCACCCATTAACTCGTCATTTAACACTAGTTATATCTCCTAATGCTATCCCTCCCCCTTCCCCCCACCCCACAACAGGCCCCGGTGTGTGATGTTCCCCTTCCTGTGTCCATGTGTTCTCATTGTTCAATTCCCACCTATAAGTGAGAACATTGTACAAAACATATTGACAATCAGCCTGAAAATAATACTTAAGGGTTGTAACAAGCTGTTGACCTTACCATTTATCTAACTTAAAGTACAATTAAAATAAAAATTGTTTCTTCCTTGATTTTGGCATTTACTAATTTATATAAACTCATATTTTATCCATTGGATCCACATAATTTCCATAAGAAAATTAATTTCCAGTGATGCTTATTATCAGCATAAAAATACTGATAAATAAACCTAGGTCATATATATGTGTATGTGCTTATATACAGATATAAAATAACTACATCAAAATTAAAGATAGTCATTGCTGTTAATTAGATACACACATTAGATAGAAATATATACTTTTTATGATTAACAAAAAATGTTGCAACTTTATCTGAAATACAATTCTTAGATTTAATGCATCCTTTTTGCAGATTTTTCAGTTTTTTCAGGCAATACTAAAAATGTGCGCGTTCCATAGTGATCATGGTGATCACAGGAGTCTTGATGGTCCATGGCATTTATCCTGTGCTCTCATCAACCAAATGTGTTATGTCATCTCCATAGAATTTAAAATATGTTGATTCAGCCTTCTCATTGCAAACTTCATATCTTTGTTCCTTAAAGTATAGATGGCAGGATTTAAGACAGGGGTGACAACAAAGTTCATGATGGCAAAAAATTTATCCAATGACTTAGTAGGGAAAGGCCACACGTAGAGAAACATGCATGGAGCAAAAAACAAAACCACTACGGTGATGTGAGCCTACGAAGTGAAGAATGCTTTGGATAAATCATTTGAGGAATGTCGTTGGACAGTGACCAGAATAAAAATGTATGATACAATTAAGAAAAAGAAGGTGCCCATCGATATGAATCCACTGTTGGCAGTGACCACAAATTCTAGCCCATAAGTGTCCATGCATGCAAGTTTAATAACCCGAGGAAAATCACAATAAAAGCTCCCCACATTATTAGGGCCACAGAAGGGTAAATTTATGACAAAAACAAACTGAGACATAGCATGAATCACCCCAATGACCCAAGCTGCTGCTACCAAAAACATGCACATTTTGGGATTCATAATAGTTGGATAGTGGAGAGGTTTGCAGATCGCAGTGTACCTATCATATGCCATGACTATCAGCAGCACCATTTCAACTCCTCCCGTAACATGGATAAAGAACTTTTGTATCATACAATTATGGAAGGAAATAACTTTACAATCAGTAAAAAGATCGTAGATCAACCTAGGAACTGTGGTAGATGAAAGGCTCAAGTCAATGAGCGATAGGTTGGCCAGCAGAATATACATGGGGGAGTGTAAGTGAGGATCAAAGATCACTGTGAACACAATGAAGAGGTTTCCCAGGATAATTCCCACATAGAATAAAGAGAAGAAGAGAAAAAGGAAAAACTGCATTTCCAAGGATTGTGCAAGTCCAAGTAATACAAATTCTGTTACCAGAGAGTCATTTACTTGGTCCACTGAATCAGATAGAAGGGAAGACTGTGAAGCAACCTGAAAGAAACGAAGGAATCAACTTAGTGTGACTGAAAATAATGCGTTAAGTGTTAATGATTTAAAATTTATTATTAACAAATCTTTTATTTGATAGTAGATTATTTAAAAACTAGTGGGAACCCAGGGTATAAAAGGTTAATGTAATATGGACAAAGCTGTGCTCAGAGGCAGTCTATTGCTTTAAATGTTCTCAATTGCTCAAATAGATGAACTTATTAGCATCTTAAGAAACTGGAAAAGAATGCATAAAAACTCAAAAAATTCAAGCCAAAAAAGGTAAAAAACAAAAATAAGGAAATATGAAATCCCAGAAAATGGCAAGATTGTATACCAATATATACAAATAAATGGTTTAAAAATTACAGAATCTTTAAAAATGCAATCAATAATAACATTAAATAAAAATTAGAATACAAATGCATAATTACGGTTAAGGCATCTCTGAAAGCTGTTTCCTACATGTGCCTATAATGATCTACCCCAAACTAACACGTGAATCATACTTGAATTTGAAATGCTGTAGAGACAAAAGGTTGATATCTTCATAGTATAAAAAAGAATTTAAACAGTTTCACAAAATCTCCAAGACCTAATAAATGAACAAATGAAATGAAGGAAGAATTAAAATGTAAGCTATACGTGTATTTGTATATACAGATATGTGTGTGTGTGTGTGTATGTGTGTCTTAGAAATCAAAGAAATATGATAAAATGTAATACTATTATGTTTCTGTTACATTAGGAAAAAGTTTTACAGGCCGGGCATGGTTGTTCACGCCTGTTATCCCAGCACTTTGGGAGGCCGAGGAGGGTGGATCACGAGGTCAAGAGATCGAGACCATCCTGTCCAACATGGGGAAACTCCATCTCTACTAAAAATAACAAAAATTAGCTGGGCATGGTGGTGGCGGGTGCCTGTAGTCCCAGCTACTCGGGAGGCTGAGGCAGGAGAATAGCTTGACCCCGGGAGGCGGAGGTTGCAGTGAGCCGAGATTGCGCCACTGCACTTCAGCCTGGCGACAGAGGGAGACTCTGTCTCAAAAAAAAAGAAAAAAAAGTTTTACAATTTTTATTACCCAAACTGGCTAAGGATCAGAGAAACTGGCACTTTTATACGCTGCTGGAGGGAATATAGACTGATTCAAACCTTAAAGAAAATATTTTGAAATCATGTATCAAGAATTTTAAGTCCATGCCTTTTGGTGCAATAATAGTCTTGGAATTCTATTTTTACAGAAGTTTTCAGCATAAAAATATTCATCATACTTTGTTGACAGTGATAAAATCTTGAAACGATTTAAATACCAAACATTAGGTTTAAGTATAGTGTATGTACATGACGGACTGTAATAACAGTTATTAAAATAAATATCAATAGAAGCATTTATAATAACAATGGAAAGACTTTTCTTAAAAATACTAAGAGTAATAATGGTAAAGAAATTGCATAGTACAACATGTTAATTAACAGTAGTTGCTTTTGATTTTTAAAAGAGCTTTACAAAGCTCTAAAGCTCTCTTTCTAGATTTTGAAATATCTTTTTGTATACATATTATATTTTTTTTTTACAAAACATCAAATGGCATAGAAAGTTGAAGGAATAAATGGTTTATTAAGAATTTTGAAAACTAGGATTGACTCATAGGAGACTAAACCAACTAAAGAAATGAAGAACTCTACTACTTCCCTCATTTAATCAATCATTTTTATAATGACTAGAATTTTTTCATAGATGGGATTCTCAAGGAGGTATAGTTAAGTAAGTGAAGGGTCTTGATTAAACGTCTTGAACTTTGCATAATGCTACCATGAAATGGAAACCTTTTGAGACATTCCATCCAGGCAGTTGACAAAGCATCTTGCCTGCCTCACTTTGACCAGAGCTGGCCATACTGAACGAATTCTGGTAATCATTAAATAATTATAAGAAAAATTAATGCTCAGGTGCTCTCATCAAGTTCAGAGTGAGTGAGGTTAGTAATGATGAAGTGGGAAATATTAAGAGATACACAATAAATGGTCAAAGAAATGCAATATAGTACAATGGGATAAGAAGAGATAATATTTTGGGAAGAATACAGCAGATGGAAACAAATAGATTTGATTTCTATCTCCACAATATGCATGCATTTTTTTAAACTCTCAGTGAATTTGTGCATGGCTTTCTACCTTCTCTCATCTAGATATTCTCCTAAATGCTCTTTCCAGCATTTTCTGAATGAAATACATATGGATGGTCCCTGGCTTGTGATAGTTTGACTTATAATTGTTTGACTTTACAATGGTGAGAAAGTGACATGCATTCAGAAGAAACTGTACTTGAGTATAGTAGTCAGTATATTACGTGAGCTATTCAATATTTTATTATAAAATAGGCTTTGTATTAGGTGATCTTATATAAGCTAATGAAAGTGTTCTGAGCACATTTAAGGTAGGCTAGGCCAAACTATGATGTGAGGTACATTAGGAATATTAAATGCATTTTTGACTTATGATGGATTTATCAGGACATAACCCTATTATAAGTCAGAGAGCATCTGTACATTTTTAACTATGTTTTACTATTTTCACTTCATTCATAGTGCTATCCCTGGACTTCTTACCCATATTTAGATCACCCAGATCATAGGGGCTTAAGAACAAAGGATTTTGGGAGAGGAATTGAACCCGGGAAACATTATAGAGTAAATAAGATTATCCCTGGGAGGTTTCATGGAAATGTCCTTTATGCTGCTGAGCAGAAGGTGTTTGGTGACTTACTAAGCTCAACACCAATTCATAAATAGTTATTTATAAAGAAATGAAGTTGAAGCTGAAGAATCATGTTTACTGCTTAGGATCAAGTGTTTTATCCTGTTAAAACTAAGATACAATATATAAACCAAGCACTCTAGGACTCTCATCATGAAAGTGATATTTCATCTTATAAGAGCAATTCCAAAACAAAAGCAATTAATGTCTGAATTACTTTGTCATATTTGGAGATTCCTATTACTACTGAAATTCATATTGCTACTGAAATGGTGTTTGTCTTGGAGTGTGAGTGATAATTAATTTTCTTAAAGAGGAAAATCCCAAACTACATGAACCTATTAGTCTAAAGACTGAAAAATTCTCTTTATAACATGAACATTTGCCATTTTAAAATAAAACAATCGCAATCCAAAATATGAAACTATGGGCGTTCAATATCAGTGTGAAGGAGGCAGAGTCCATAGAATGTTTAAAGAGAGTAAAAAGGAAAGGGAAGAACAAAGATGAATTGGAAAGAAATTTGGAGAATAAAAGAAGGGTCAGGGGAAGGAATAAGAAAGAATCCCGGCCGGGCGCGGTGGCTCACGCCTGTAATCCCAGCACTTTGGGAGGCCGAGGCGGGAGGATCACGAAGTCAGGAGATCGAGACCATCCCGGCTAAAACGGTGAAACCCCGTCTCTACTAAAAATACAAAAAATTAGCCGGGCGTAGTGGCGGGCGCCTGTAGTCCCAGCTACTTGGGAGGCTGAGGCAGGAGAATGGCGTGAACCCGGGAGGCGGAGCTTGCAGTGAGCCGAGATCGCGCCGCTGCACTCCAGCCTGGGCGACAGAGCGAGACTCCGTCTCAAAAAAAAAAAAAAAAAAAAAAAAGAAAGAATCCTAAAGAAAAAACAGGATAAAATGATGATCAAAAGAAGCATTGGTGGAACATGGTACATCTTTACTTAGGTTACCTTCAGGCTTAAAGCAATATACATTGATGCATTATGAACACCTGAGAGAGTAGATTTTACTTGAGTTTTCATACACTGTTTATGTATATTGTCACTGCAAACATGGAAAGTAAAAGAAAAGCTGTAGGAAATAGTCACTGATATGTGGAGAAAAGTTAAGAGTTTAAGCTTGTGAGTGAATAGGTGTGATAATGAGGTATGGTGGGATTGAATGTATAGTTGGATATCACTGGCAGTGGTTCAGCTAACCGACAGGTGAGTTCTCTTCGAAAAGAATTAGGGAATAAGTGATCAAAATATGCTTTAGCCTCCAGGCAGTATTTTACTTATTCTAATATTTGTAGCTTTTCATAAATGTAAAATTAAAGTCCATGAGTGCAGGGAAACTTTTTGCATTGTTCAGTGCATAATTACTTGCCTAAAACAGTGCCTGTCTCATAGAAAAAGCTCAAGAAATACTTGATGAATGAACTTTCTAAAAACAGCATAATAAATTGTCAATATGAGAAATAAAATATTAGCCCCCACAAAAATAGAGAGAAATTGCATTTTAAAGTACTCCTTCACAAGCTTGTACTTGTTGATGAAAACTCAGTTGCATAAAAAAGGGAGTATTTAAATAAGTGAAGAAAGTCCTACCCATTCTGTTACAAACATTTGGAATTATTACATTTTATTGTTGAAGAAATCCTGATGACCCAAAGGAGCTTGTCTAGAGGAAAAGACCATGTGTTTGATTTCTCTGCCTTCTTAGGAAACACTGATGACTTTGGAAAGCTTCTAGGAGTTCTTCAGAAGCCAAGTTTCCATAGAGTTTGTCATCTTTCCTATTGGAGATTTAAAATTTGTCAGTCATTTAGGGTCTGGGACACATATCTTCAAACAGGAAATGCAGACTTATATTAAACAAAAAGGATGTTCAGAATTATAGTTTTGTATAGAAGTGGGAAAGAACTTTGAGATTCTACAGGTAGAATGAGAAACAACACAGTGTGGTTAAATGGCTAACAATACATTCAAGAAGTCAGAATCAGAAGGCAGATCTCCTAAATTCCAGTTTAATGATCTTTCTCAATAGTGGTCTATGCTTTCTTGGTAGAAACAGTCTTTAAAAAAATCTAGAAGCATATATGTTTGACAGGATCACTCTAACCTATTGGAAGAACCCTCTTATTCCCTGAGTTCTTATTTTGTTTAAAATAAAATTAGCATTCACTTCCTAAAATATTATTTCTTCTTTTTCACTGGGCATTGCTCTTCCCAATTCCCTTTCTTATTTCTTCAACCTGGAACAGTTCCATTTCAGAATTCATAGCCATCAGCTCCTCTGTACCCTCCCCTGGGATGAGGCCAAATCTTTCTGAATCTGAGATAGCCTCTCAGCCTATGCATTGGCTGGAGTGTTCCAATGTGGAGGAAGGTAATACCAAAAGAGAGAGAATCACACCAGACTGTGGGAGGTAAAGACTTGAGATTCCCTTCCTCTGGTTTAAAACTAAATCTGGTTTTCAAATAGGATGGAAATAGATGAGATCAGACATCTCCTTTTCAGAGTGGAAAATGAAGTTTATAATGAATTGGAGAGCATGAAAGTTAGAAAACTACACATCTTTAAAGAACTTCATACTAGGGACAAACTGAAATTATCATAGGGGTTTATATGTGGGATTAGTTTTATAAGACATAATATAATTTAATGATTAAAATTTGAAAATAAGAGATAGTGTGGAAGAAAAAGATAAAATATTTCAGAAAGCAGAAGATTTTGGGCACAAATATGTTACAGAAGAGAAGAAATTGAAAGGGAGTTTAGAAGGATAGAGAGAAGCAACCACGACAGGGAAAGTTTTGTAATTAAAAGCATCTCTTTTACCTGTCTTTTCAGGCATAGGATGTGCATTTTTAGGAGAAGGAGAAATTCAGATAGCTTAATCTTCATTTATGTAATACCCCAAAGACAAAGCTATATATAAGATTCTTCATATTGGAAAGGAAGCTAATTAGCTGCACAGGAGAGGGACCCACTGATGCTGCTGAGACAGACAATACCCAGCCCATTATTAGTTTCTCTTGGGGACTAGATCTCTGAGTCACACAATTTCCCCTTGACAAAAGTATCAAAAGAATTGCCTGCTGATGAAATAGGGGGAAGGAAGGAAGGATTTGAGGTACTACATTGGCTAGTAAAAAAGAATCCCCATTTAGCATGGGTAATCTTAGTGTGTGAATTGTTCGGAATGACTGAGATGAGGGAGTGAAAATATATTCAGGGTGGACAGACATACCTTCACTTATGGCACCATGAATGAAATTTGAAGAAATAAATATAAAACATCTGATCTTTAAATACAATGCCTGTAATTGATAACAGGTGAATAAATGGATCCTTCTCCTGTTATCAGTTATAGCAAATGTTTACCTCTGGATGCCAACCTGTGCTCCCAAAGTTTAGTGTGTTGGGGTTGAAGGTTTCTTTGAAAGTTTTTGACCTTTGTCCTTCCTGAATTGACTGGCTACAATTAAAATTTGTATTTTTTTTTGGATCATTTTTTTCAGAGGTATTGGAAAAACATATACAAATATAAAAGAAAAAATAGAATCATTCTGAGTTTCTGTAACAAGAGTGTGTTTCCATGAGGGTGAGGTAATCATTCACAAAAGGACCTGTATTGAGCCATTGAGACAAGCCTAGTGGATACCCCTGGAGAAGCTTGGCTTTATTATTGATGTAAAGACACAGAAAAATCTAATCTCCAGGTTATCATGGTGGCCTGAAAGTGCAAAGGCTCCACCTTGGTTTACAGTGGCATTTGTTTAGAGCTGTATTTCATTTTCTCTTGTTCAGAAATGAGGAAAATGATTTTCTCTAGAACAGCAGCAGAATAAGAAATGTTGGTTGATCCCAAATTAATTTTTGAAAAATAGTAACATTCCAAAAATACGTAAGCAAGATAAAAACTGCAGAATAATGTGGGCAGAAATATTTTTTAAAATTAGGATACACAGTCAGTTACATGGATTATTGTCTACCTAAGATGAGGTAAAACAGTGTAGGTGCTTAGGGAAACCACAACTACAGTGACGTGAGAGGAAAATCTGTTCTATTGCCCCCACAGAGGTCTCTTCTGCAACACAATGAGCAGTACATAAGTCATTCTGATGTGCCAATGTGCTCCTGTCCTGTGTGCCATTGTTCTAAGTGGGAAACTGGGGTAGCAGGCCGAACAGCGTATTGAAATGAATGAGGGAGCATCTAGGCAGAAATAAGTTGCAGGGAGTTGGCCAGCCAGATACAGAACATGTTGTGATTTGAAGGCTGTTTCCTGAGGCATGAATCATGGGTTTTCTAGGCAGCAAAAGGCTTTTGGGCTAACAGAGAAGCTGGAGTTGTTAATGAAGAGTTCATGAGACCTAGTAGTACAAGAGAGGACTGAGAGTGATAATTTACAGGCTTCTTCACCTGAGATTGGCTCAAGATTGGAATTGGCTTAAGCTGCAAAAGGAATTCATTAGTGGATTTCACCCCAGAGATTTGAGGTGATGCAGGCAGAGGAAATTAATTGAGAATAGAAAAGGAGATTAAAAAGGAAGTTCTTTAGTCGTATGACCTGTGATTGAACGTAAGAAGAAAGCTGAAGCATCGTTCAATACATTAGTCATGTTGCAATAGTTTTACTCTTTGCTATATTTATGATGTGATAGAGGTGAACATGACAAAGTCCTGCTCATGTTGAACTTAAAATGCAATGAGGAAGACATCACTGAATGAAAAATTTTGAGGGCTGTTAGTCTTACAAAAGAGGTAATAGGTAGTGCTAGAGGAATATACAATGGAAGGAACTCTTCTGGACTCAGGTTCTGGGAGGCCTCCCTGGTAAAATGATGAAACTGAAAGCTGAGATGTTAAGAGGCAAAACATGAAGGACGAATATTGTATACAAAATGATTAGCTAGTGGAAAGCCCCAGAGTTGATAGAATTTGAAGTTTCCAGGCAAGTAAAAGAAAACCAAATTGGATCTGGAGTTGCAGGGAAAGAGTATGTTATTCTCTGAGACTGAAAAAAAGGAAGGAAGCCAGGTCTTGGATGGCCTACTATACCATGATAACATACCAGTTTAAGGGCACAGAAGCATGTGAAGTGTCTTTAGCAAAAGAATTACATACTTAGATTAAAAATTTTTTTTCTTTTACTGAAGCGTAGATAATAGGATTTTAAGTGGGAAGATCGCATAGGTGACTATATTCTCTTCCAAAAATGACATAGGTAGGCTTAGACAGGAATAGTGGTGTTACAGATGAAAATAAAGGAACATATGTAAGGCTCTTTGGAAGGTAGAATAAGACTTGATGATTTATTGATTTTGGGGTACTATGGAGAAAGAAATCTATTATTTTCCCCAGATTTTGGGTTGTGCAACTAGGTAACTAGTTGGTACAAATTATTGTGACTGAGAACACTGAAAGAAGAGTAGGTTTGAAAAGAGGAAGCCTAGTTTAGTTGCAGACTTGTTGAGTGGAAGATCTTGTGTGGCATCCAGGAAAGTAGGAGGTTAGATCTGTGGATCAGGAACTCAAGAAATAGTACCAGGGTCAGGTGCAATGGCTTGTCCCTGTATTCTCAGCTACTTGGGAGGCTGAAGCAGACAGATTGCTTGAGGTCAGGAGTTTGAGACCAGCCTCAGCAACATAGTGAGACCCTGCCCCTTAAAAAAGAAAGAAAGAATGAAAGAAAGAAAAGGAAAGAAAAGGAGGAAGGAAGAAAGAAAGAAAGAAAGAAAAAATAGAAGGTTTGAGAGCCCCTAGTGTTTAGATGGTAATTAAAGCTGTGGGAATGGGTGATACGTAGAGATAGAATCTAAGTGAAAACAGGCCAAAGATCAAATTAGGGGCAATAGGTTGATTGGTGGTTAAGCAGATGAGGAACACTCAACAAAAGACACAGGGAAGGACTTGCCCAGGAGGTAGGAGAAAAAGCCAGGAAGCTGTGGTGTTCCAGAAGCCCGGTAGAGTATATGAAGATGGGGGAGATTAGCAGCAATTAAGAGAAGAAATTCCCATTCATATGAGTGATAAAGCAATTAAGTAGAATAACTTAGGAAGGTTCTTGGAGAGTCACAGGACAAAATAGCATAGGTACGGTTTCTCTTAATTGAGCTGTTATAATTTACAAAGCAGTAGAAACAAATACATGAAAAAAGTATGTGTAACTTCAATAGAGTTTTTATTTTGAATGCAGAAATCTTCAATGAAATTGAATATGCCTCACCATGTCTAGCTTTATTCTTATCCCAAAATATCAACCACAGATGCATAAGCTCCAGGGAATCTTTTGCCTGACTAGAAAACCTTATTTAAGAAACCAGTACCTCTAAACACATATCCTTGGGCGATTAGTCTCCTGTGAAACAACTGTTATTTCTACACATCTATTTAGAATAAACTTGGATGATTGACTTTTGGAATGTTCTCATTTTTAGAATAATAGAGATGTAGGAAAAAGTGAAAATGCTCTGTCTGTATCTATTTAAAGTCTTGACAGCATTAAAGAAATTTATTCTCTTCCTGCAATCACTCAAATCTGAGCACAAAACTGAAATAGCATCGTAAACTGACAAAGCTCAAGGTAAAGTCAAATCTCAGTTCAGGGCTTTGCACACGTATTACATAGTTGTTTTTGTTTCTTATTCTAATTTAAACAGAAATTAAAATGGAAATTTTAAAAATATACTTTATTAATTTATAATTTACCTAAGTTCACATTTTATTTATTCCATCTATATGCTTACTATGAGATAAATTTATTATGTTTTGAAGCTGAAAGTAATTACAATTAGCATGTCTCAGAAAATGTCATTCAGGAAATAGTATTTGAATATCAAGTTTACTCCTGCAAATCAGCTTGGTTTTGTATTCTTATCTCTCTTCTCAATGGAAGTATATGAAATTAATCTCTTCTCTGTGGTGGCAAGTTAAAGATACCTCTGACTTAATCAATTTCTACATGGCACCTTTGCTAAACTATCTCCCAAAATAGTAGTTCTTATCACAATAATGCTGGTAGCCATGTGACTTTCAGTGTTCTTGGTGAGACTGAATCATCTTGCACTCTGGATATGCACCATTTATTATGACATCCTGCTAGAACCTGCAATCCATTTTCCCAGTCTTTCCATGGAGACGTTCATGTCTTTGTTTCTTAATGTGTAGATCCTAGACAGGGGTGATAGCAAAAGGAACAATGAACAAATATTAATCATGTGTTGTTTTAGGCAAAGGCTACACATAGAGAAATATACATGGCATAAAAAACAAAATCCCTACTGTGATGTGATCTAACATGACACAAATGCTTTAGATAAGTCTCCTGAAGAAGGATTCTAGACGGTTACCGAAATGAAAATATAGGATATTATTAATAAGAAACAGGTAGCTATGGATATAAGCCCACTGTTAGCAGTGACTACAACCTCTAGTTTGTAAGTGTCTACACAAGCAAGTTTCATGACATAAGGAAAATCACAGTGAAAACTACCTACTCTATTAGGGCCACAAAAAGGCAAGTTTATGGCAAAAACAAACTGAGATACAGCATGGATTATCCTGACTATCCAGGATGCCTCCAACAAAGTAAACACACATTTTGGGGTTCATTGTGGTCAGGTAATGGGGAGGCTTACAGATTGGCAGTGTACCTGCTCTATGCCATGGTTATGAGCAGCACCATCTCAATTTTTACGCATGACACAAATGAAAAATATCTGTATCATGCATCTTGGAAAAGAAATGATGCTGCAGTTAGTGAAAAAGTCAGAACTGTAGGAGAAGACCCAGATCAAGAAGATAAATGTTGGCCAGTAGGCAGTACCTGGGGAATTTAAATGAGAGTCAATAATTACTGTGAACACAATGAAGAGATTTTCCAGGATAATTCCCATGTAGAACACAGAGAAGAACCAAAAAAGAAAAGGATGCATCTCCCAAGAGCTTGAAAGTCCAATCAATACAAATTTAGATACCGCAGAATTATTTACTCTATCCATTGGCCATTGACTCAGTCAGTAGAGAAGAAGCTTTAGTATTCTGAAGGAAGAAAGTGAGGAAGAATTGAGAAATACAAATGCTACACGTTGAAGTGTTGTTTGACCATAAATGATTTTGTGGGAAATATGTGGCAAGTGCTGAAATATGAAGACAGAAAACACACAAAGAGAGAAAATGAAAGAAAGATAAATGAATTGGGGAAATGCGGTGATCATAAGTTATTTATTAATTTATTAATCATGTGATGATAAGTTATTAATTATTAATAACAATTAGATCATAAGTTATTTATTAATTATTAATAACTATTAGACAAGAACAGCAAAGAAAAAAATCATGTGGGAATATGGCAGGTGGAGTGAAGGATTAGAGGGGCAAAGAATATAATTTCCGTAACGGAGTGCTTCTTTACCATGCGCATCGTGCAGTAATTACGGCTGCTTCAGTCTTACTCACCCATGTTCAACACAACGTCGTCCACGTAAGAAACAGTCACCGTATTTGAAATGCTAATAGCCTTAATTGTATTTATCTGCATGTACCCTTAGAGGATGTACTCTCTGATCAATCTTCTTTTTTTTTTTTTGAGGCGGAGTCTCGCTGGGTCGCCCAGGCTGGAGTGCGGTGGCGCCATCTCGGCTCACTGCAGGCTCCGCCTCCCGGTTCCCGCCATGCTCCCGCCTCGGCCTCCCCAGCAGCTGGGACCGCAGGCGCCCGCCACCGCGCCCGGCTAACTTTTTGTATTTTTAGTGGAGACGGGGTTTCCCCGTGTTAGCCGGGATGGTCTCGATCTCCTGACCTCGTGATCCGCCCGCCTCGGCCTCCCAAAGTGCTGGGATGACAGGCGCGAGCCCCCGCGCCCGGCCTCTGATCCATCTCTTACTTCACACAGTCTCAGGCATTAATCACACACTAAGAGTGACTGGCCAATGAGGGAAAGAGCAATTAATCTCAGAGGTACAGTAGCATAAAATGCAAAGACTTACTCTTCCGCTGGTTTTCCAATACGTGTGATTCCAGCCAATCACTTGTTGACTTGTTGGAGGAATAAGACTCACTTTAAATAAAGTGAAACTCAACCCCCACAAAAAAGAGTATCTGAAACTCAGAGAGAGGGCTTTTCCATGCTTTGTTAGGAATCAGAGTTGGTGCTTTTGAGAGTTCTGCTCTAGGATTAATACCTTTGACAATTTGAATATGAAGTTGGGAAATAATGGTGTCTTTACTAAAACAAAATATTTAATCATGATACACTAAAAGCACGTAAAAACTACAGGCCCACAGAGCCACAGAGATAAAGGTCACGATAGCTGGTCATCAAATATTTGAACTTTGTCCCATTAAGATATTTTTAAAGGTCAGTAAAATTGATACCAACTACACTTTAGAGAGAACATCTGTTATTATCACTACTTGTAAGTAGAAAGTTTGAAGATATCTATCCATAACATATTTGGATCCATTCATTATGTGATGTAAAGTGAAAAATTAGAAGTACATTTAAGAGTGACATATGAGAAAATCATTAAATAATGCAGAAAGGGGTAATTAAGATTCATACCAAAATGAACGTAGCCATTATAGACGATACAGATTTAGGTTTGTTGACAAGTCCAGTAAATTGTTAATGACAAAAGTTGGTTACAAAAGGATATGTCTTATGTAATATACTCTTTATTTGAATACACTGTAAAATATGTAAGTATATACATCAGCATCTCTAGAGAACCACTTTGGATAATGGCATTTTAGGTAACCTTAATATTAAAAAGGTTGACCATCTATATTTTGTTATTTTCTATATTGTTATTTTTCTTTTATGAGAAGGAAATGAAAGGAAAGCAATAGGAGAGAAAGAAGAGCAAGGAAAGGAAAGGAAAAAGAAAAGAATACTGTGAGATTTATGGAGGGAGTGAAATTTTCTCTCTCTCCCTCTTACACACACACACACACACACACACACACACACACACCAGTTAGAGACAGATGTTTTGTGGCATTGGTTTCATAACTTTATTATCCTTTGTTAAATCACCATTCTCAATTAGTGAATGACAGTTATTGGGTGCATTATGAAAAAATACCCGGGTGTTCTATGCCAAATTTTAACCAGAATTCTACATGCTAATTTGTTTAGAAAAAAATGAATACATGGAATGAATTTTGAGTTAGGGAATATAAATGATAACTGGATGGCATTTTACAGAATCCTTGGGTGTCCCAGTTATTTAGAACAGTGAGTCCTACACTGAAAACAATAGGAAAACACTCTTATAAGCCATACCTTCATTTTGCCAATTAAATTTTATTATTAAATAATTTTTTCCTATGTTTTCTAAAAGAGATAAGACTGAATGAAACAATCATCCTAAAGAGAAAAGCTAGAATTGTGTAGTGGCATCAGGCTTACTAGTAACTCTAAATACTACTATGTCGTGGCGATTAACCTGTTTATAGAGGATCCTATCTTTTGTTCAAGACTTATCAGGAGTTGGTTCTAACATTCAGTTAGTTTGCCCTGAAATATTGAATTCATGCTCAGAGCAGTGAGAAAAGAGTGTATTCAAATAAGTTGAAAGAGAAAACATTTAGTGTTTTGTTTTGTTTGTTTGTTTTGCTTTTTTAGAAAACATTAAAGAATCAGGAATCCTCCTAAGGGAGAGTACCTTAAGAGTTGGTTGCTATCCTTGCTGGATATCTTGGCTTTAACACTAATAAGTGGGTAACCTTTTCAAACAGATAATGTAGAAAATCAGATAGAATGTGTGTCTCCTGACTTCAGTGATTGAAGATTCTCTCTGCCCTAAGGAACTAAGGGAAATCGTAACTTTTCTGAGACCAAAAACACAAAGAGACAATAATACTTAAAATTAATTTCACCAGTGCCTTGTTAACTGATGTATCATATGCATGGATTTTTCTTTTTTTCTTTTTTTTTTTGACTTTTATTTTAGGTTCGGGGGTACACGTGAAGGTTTGTTACATAGGTAAACTCATGTCCTGGGGGTTCGTTGTACAGATTGTTTCATCCCCCAGGTAGCGCCCGGTAGTCAGTAGTTATCTTTTCTGCTCCTCTCCCTCTTCCCGTCGTCCTCAAGTAGACCCCACTGCCTGTTGTTTCCTTCTTTGTGTTTACAAGTTCTCATCATTTATCTCACGCTCATAAGTGAGAACATGTGGTATTTGGATTTCTGTTCCTGCCTTAGCTTGCTAAGGATAGTAGCCTCCAGCTCCATCCATGTTCCTGTCAAAGACATGATCTTGTTCTTTTTTATGGCTGCATAGTAATCCACGGTGTATCAGTACCACACTTTCTTTATCCAGTCTGTTACTGATGGGCATTTAAGTTGATTCCATGTCTCTGCTATTGTGAGTAGTGCTGCAATGAACATTCTCATGCATGCGTCTTTATGGTAGAACGATTTATATTCTTCTGGGTATATACCCAGTAATGGAATTGCTGGGTTGAATGACAGTTCTGTTTTTGGCTTTTTGAGGAATCGCCATCCCATGCTGCTTTCCACAATGGTTGAAATAATTTACAGTCCCACCAACAGTGTATAAGTGTTCCCTTTTCTCTGTAACCTCACCGATATCTGTTATTTTTGACTTTTTAATAATAGCCATTCTGCCTGGTATGAGATGATATCTCAATATGGTTTTGATTTGCATTTCTCTAATGCTCAGTATATTGAGCTTTTTTTTCATATGCTTGTTAACCATATGTATATCTTCTTTTGAGAGTGTCTATTCATGTTCTTTGCCCACTTTTTAATGGGGTTGTTTTTGTCTTGTAAATTTAAGTTCCTTATAGCTGCCAGATATTAGATTTTTGTCAGACTTACAGTTGGCAAATATTTTCTCCCATTCTGTAGGTTGTCTGTTTACTTTGTTGGTAGCTTCTTTTGCTGTGCAGAAGCTATTGTTTTATTAGGTTCCACTTCTCAATTTTTGCTTTTGTTGTGATTGGTTTCCGTGTCTTTGTCATGAAATCTTTGCCCGTTCCTATGTCCAGGATGGTGTTGCCTAAGTTTTAGCTCTATTCATAACTACCTTAGTTCATTGTGATAGAGGCCCTTTTCAGAACTGATAGACACAGTTTCATTAAACCATTTTCATTCTGATAATTACCCCTTTAATTCTTGGCCCAGGCATTGACTAAGATTATCAAATGCTTTATCAAATATGGCATACAGAGGGAATGGCCCCAGCATTCTCTATATGAGGACAGAAAATCACTTCCCCCCACTTTCCATTAGGAAAATGTAACGCACACGATGTGAACATGTTTGGTCTCCGCAGTGGGAAATGTGACATATCATATGACATAAGGAAGGTGACAAGAGATAACAGATCCTTATAATACTAATTCTCCAAAGAGAGACAGTACAAATGTCAATGCATTTAGAAATCTCTCCTTTAACGGGTGTAATATAATTTAGTGATTAAGATTGTAAGAATAATGCTCTGAGGATTGAAATAATTGGAGATAGGAGGAAAACAGAAAAGTGGAGGAGATAGAAGGTTGAAGGGAAATGTAAGAAGAGAGAGATTGCCTTGACATTGCTAAACTTTGGGAGCGTTTTTCTGACCTACCTGTTCTGTTCCAGGGTGTGCAGTAGTGACACTGGGAAACTGATCATTTTGATTTCTGCTTTCTAGTAGAATCAGCTCCAAGACAAAAGTATATATACATTTTCTTCCCAATGATTAACAGAGTTAATTAGTACCACTAGATGTTAGTGACCCATTGATGCTTCTTAGATCCTTGTAACCAGGCCTCCATTGATTTCTCTTGGGAACCAGATCTATGAGTCATATTAATTTTCTCAAGAGAAAAAATATCAGAAGAGTTACTTGGTGATGGAAAGTAAGGAAAAAAAGAAAAATGCAGGAAATATGTTCCCTCTAGGACAGGAAAGTGATACCATGAGCTTACTTAGATTAACTGAGTTGAGGGAAACTAAGACGTCATCCACCATTGTTGAAGATGCCCTCATTCATGGTGTGGGGGTCAGTGAGCTTAATGTGTGTCAAGATATTCTTTTAGAAACAAGGAAGAGAGCTTTAATGCAATGGTGATATTCGTATAACTATTCTTGATTTCTTCCCATTCAACACTTTTTTTTTTACTTCATTGGATAGGGATGACTGAAACCAACACTTTTATCATCTGTTAACTATTCCAAAATTTATCATTCAACACTGAAAATGTGTTGTATAAATGAATGAATGTATGTCTTCGTGTAACCATTCTTTCCTTAAAACATACCGAGTTCTGACTAAATATAAGGGACATGGAGCCATGCTTAACTGTTGAGCAAAATAAAAGGGCTCAAAAGTGTTTCTCTAGATCTGGAGGTGGTAAATTTGACTCATGGGACAAATCTTTTGTAAATAAAGTTTCACTGGAACCCAGTCACACTCATTTGTTTCTGTATTGTCTGTTGACAGTTTTTATGCTACAATAAGAGTTGAGTAGTTATGACAGACACTCTAGGGCCTGTAGAGCCTATAATATTTACTTTTGGCCTTTTACGGAAGAAGTTTACTGACCTTATCCTAGATCAAGGAAGTTTGGCAGAGGAAGAGGGTATGGTAGAAGCACCATCCATATCTATCTTCATCATCTTCATATATAGTTGGGAGTAAAGATGCAGATGAAAGTTGAGAAGGTAAGGTTCTTGAAGTCCTGTAAACCCTGCCTCCAGACACATTGTCTGGAATCAGGATGTCTACATGATTGCAGGGCTAATGTAAACTGAATTTGTGAGGACTTCGGTTAAAAAAATTGTTAAGAATTTCAAGGCAGAAACAGCAGAGCATTAAAAAAAGTGTAGGATCCTTTTAAGTGTGGGATCTTGTTCAACTGCACAGGACACACACTTGTGAAGCTGATGTTGTCTGCAATAATGCTAAGAATCTTAAAGTGTTGAATTAGAAGTTAATACAACTGGGCAAACCGCTCGGGTCCCCTTCCACACTGTGGAAGCTTTGTTCTTTCACTCTTCACAATAAATCTTGCTGCTGCTCAAAAAAAAAAAAATAGTTAATACAACTCTGAGCACTCAGTACATAAAGTTTCCTTTCCAGTTGCTGAAGGAATTTATAGTGGCCCGTACCCTGTACATTAACACATGAATGAGAGAAATGAGTGCATGAATATTTTGAACAGTGTGACTTAAGTGAGGTACGAACCTCAAAAAGACGTTTTTTAAAAATTTTAAATTTTAACTGCTATATTTCTTTTTGATAACAAGTTATATATCTTTATGGTGTGTAATGTGATGTTTTGATACATATGTATATTTATCGTGAAACAGTGACCACCATCAAGCTAATTAACGTAATTCATCATCTGACATAATTATCTTAGTCATTGCTTTGCAGAGTATGAGTGTCTGTTTCCTCACAGGCTCATCCATGATATATTATTATTTATGAAAACACAATAGCAATGCTATATTTTAAAATTTACATTTCTTTGATAAAAAGTGAGTTTGAATATTCTTCATATGTTTATTTTTTATTTGGATTTCTTGTTTTGTCCATAGTCTTTTTATGCTTATTTTAAATTTGGTTTAAATTATATTTAAAAACCATTTTCCCACATTTGTTTTTACTTTAATGAATTAATTCTTCTGTATAATTTTTTTAATCTGAAAATGTCAGCTTTTTTGTTTCTCATTTTTAAAAATTATTTTTTAATTGACAAAAATTATATATATTTGTGGAATACAGTGTGATGTTTTAATATATGTGTATGTTGTTGAATGAATAAATCAAGTTAATTAACACATATATTACCTCATATTAACATTTATAATATACTGTATTAGCAATTTTCAAGCATACAATACATTATTAATTACAGTCAACATGTCGTATATTGGGTCCCCTGAATGTAATCCTACTAATTGAATTTTTTTTCCTTTTATTAACAATGTCCCATTTCCTCATCCTCTCCCTGCCAGATAACCCTAGTAACCATCATACTATTCTCTGCTTCTATGAGTTCAGATTTTTTAGATTCTAAGTGAGATCATGCAATATTTGTCTTTCTGTGTCTAGCTTATTTCACTTAGCTTAATGTCCTCTAGGTTCATCCACGTTGTCTCAAATGACAGAATTTCCTACTGTTTTTAAGGCTGAATAATTTTCCATATCACATTTCATTTATCCATTCATCTGTCTATGAACAGTTAGGTTGATTCTATATCTTGGCCATTGTGAACATGCTGCAATAACATAGGAGTGCAGATATCCCTTTGACATATTGATTTCAATTCCTTTGGCTATATACCCAGAAGTAGGATTCTTGGATCATGTGATAGTTCTATTTTTAATTTGTACATGATACAAGGGTTCCCTTTTCTATCATCCTCTCTGATAGTTGCTATCTTTCATCTTTTTGATAAGAGCCATTCTAACAGGTTTGAGGGGACATCTCATTTTGGTTTTAATTAGTACTTCCCTGACAAATAGTGATGTTGAGCATTTTTTGATGTATCTGTGGCCCTTTGTATGTTGTCTCCTGAGAAATGTCTATTCCTGTCCTCTGCCGATTTTTAAATAATTTATTTTATTTATTTATTTATTTATTTATTTATTTATTTATTTATTTATTTTACTTTTGACATATTTGTGTTACTTGTATATTCTGGATATCAATCCCCAGTTGGATGAGTAGTTTGCAAATATTTCTCCCATTCAAGAGGTTATCTTTTTCACTCTATTGATCGTTTCTTTTGTTGTTAGAAATTTTTTAATTTGACATAGTCTCATTTGTCTATTTTTTCTTTTTTTGCCTGTGCTTTTAGAGTCATATCAGAAAAATGATGGCCCAAACCAATGTCAGGAAGAATATTTTCTATGTTTTGTTCTAATAGTTATACCATTTCATGTTTTAAATTTGTATTTAATCCATTTCCAGTTGAATTTTGCATATGGTATGAAATCAGGATTCAACTGCATTCTTCTGCATGTGAATATATAGTTTTTCCAGCATCATTTATTGAAGAGATTGTCTTTTCCCCATTGTCTTCTTGACATTGTTGTTGAAAATCAATTGAATGTAAATGTGTGGACTTATTTCTGTGCTCTTTATTCCATTCCATAGGTTTATCTATGTGTTTTTATGACAGTATCATGTTGCTTTGATCACTATAGCTTTGTAGTAGATTTTGAAATAAGGTAGTGTGATGCTTCCAGTGTTGTTCATCTTGCTCAAGATTGCTTTAGCTATTCACAGTCTTTTGTGGTTTCATGCATATTTTAGAATTTTTTTTTTATTTCTGTCAAAAATACCTTTGGGATTTTGAAGAGATTGCAATAAATGCATTAGATCTATAAATTGCTTTAAGTAGTGAGGACATCTTAACAATATTACTTTTTCTAATCTATTAACATGAGATAGCTTTCTATTTATATGTGTCTTATTCAACTTCTTTTTTCAATGTTTTATAGTTTTTAGTGTACAGATGTTTGGTAAAATTTATTCCTAAGTATTTTATTTTTTGGATTCTATTGTTAGTGGTATTGTTTTCTTAACTTCTTTCTCTGTTAAGTCCTTATTAGTGTATAGAGACACTACTGATTTTTGTATGTTGATTTTGTATTCTGCAACTTCACTGAATTTACTAGCTCTGTAGTTTTTTTTTTTTTTTTTTTTTGCTGAAGTTTTAAGGGGTTTCTACATATAAGATTATGTTATCTGTAAACAGAAAAGTTTGCTTCTATCTTTCCAATTTGGGTGTTTTTATTTTTATTTTGTCTAATTGTCCTGGCTAGGACTTTTAGTACTATATGGAATAGAAATAGCAAGAGTGGGAACCTTTATATTATTTCTGACCTTAGAGGAAAAGCTTTCATTTTTTTTACCATTGTGATGATTTTACTATTATGATGTTAGCTGTGGGCTTGTTATATATGGCCTTTATTGTGTTGTGGTACATTCCTTCTATTCCTAATTTGTTTTATCTGATGTCTTATTATGAAAGAATGTTTACTTTTGTTAATGCTTTTTCTGCATCTATTGAGATGATAATATGATTTTTATTTTTTATTCTGGTAGTGTGGCATATCACATTTATTGATTTCCATATTTTGAACCATTCTTGCATCTCAGAGATAAATTCTACTCGATTATGTTGTATGACCCCTTTAACGTGCTGTCGAAGCTGGTTTGCTGTTATCTTGTTGAGTATGTAGTTTTGTCATTTACATTGTCTATTCAAACTGACAGCTTGAATGTTGTGGTTATTAATATGATTTATAATATTCTTCATATTTAATAGGTATCAGTGGCTTGTCACACATGAAGCATACATATTTTTCCCACTTTGTCTTTATTTTTGTTTTTGAAAATTTAAATTCAATATGGTAAAATTTAGACTTTTTTCATGGTTTCTGCTTTTGCTTCCTTGCTTAAAGTTGCATACCTCATGCCATAATTATATACATTTTGCCTACATTTTTACAAGTTATTTTATGGTATAATTTTGAAATAGTTCAATCCAAAAATATTTATAAATGTACATATTCAATTTCTATGTGTCTAAAAATCCAACTTGTTGTTTGTTTTTCAAAAAGTATTTTATTCCCTCCACAGTATGTGGATCTATTTACCTCTCTTTTGAAAATATACCTTTATTACCAGACAAAACTTAGATTAGTTTCTGGGCTTTTTTTAAAAAAAAACTATTCTAATCTTTTTTTTTATTGTGAATAATTTAAGGAATCATTGATTAGTGTACATTCAACAGCACAGAGTTCCTACCGCAACTCCTTCCTGATTGCTAATTGATTAGTTTCTAGATCTGATATGTCATTGATTTCCTCCATTGCATTCCATATGGGTTAACTTTTGTATTTTGTGTGTTTAAGAAAAGCATAAATAGAGATCAACCCAGCACTTTGCTGAGAATTGTCAAATGAATTTAGTGTAATATTGGTTCTCACAATTAGTTTTTCTGTGTGGGTCAGTTTTCTAATTTCTGCACAACTATGGATTGCTGCTTAAAACGGATATTGATTAATTACACAGGGGTCAGCTTAAGATGGGATGTAATTGATCCAATAGCCAGAAGAAAACAGGAAGAAACAAATGTACACTTCTTATTTATGTTTCTTATCTTACTGTATACTCCAAGCATAGTATTAATGAGCAGAGTTGAGAACCTGACTCAGCCACTTATGCTTGCACAATAGGCTCTTGAATAAAGTAGTGATAAGTGTCAAGTATTAAGGTTTTGCATGGGTAATTCAGCATGATCTCTTATCATTAAGGCAGTTCTAGCTACAGCCTCTGTTGAATGTTTGACCTTTCAGAAACAGTCATAGATGTTCAGCCCTTGACATGATTGAGGCATTCAATTGGCAACGTAATGGCACATTGTTTACCCTCTCTACAGTGGAAGAATAGCAATTTGTTCTTACTGGGATAAATGTGTTTTCCACCTGTGGCTTTGACTCTCCTGCCATCAATGCCTTGGCCATTAAACTATCCAAAGATGCATAGAATGCCTAATGTTCTTTGTAACACACCTTAGGACAAAGGAATATATTTTGTAGCAGAGAAGGTACAATAATATGCATACAACCAAATGATCCACTGGTGCTATAATACACTATATTAAACAGAATCTATCAGTCTGATAGAACATTAAAAGATATTTCTTTTAAAGGTGGATATAAAGGTGCAACTAAGTGCCAATTTAGGGATGGTACTTTTCAGAGTTGGGGCTCTGTGCTTTAACATGTTATACTTTGAACCAATGGACATTGTAAGATATTGGGTCCTAGAATATACAGGTTTGTAAACCAAGGGCAGAGGGTGAGAGTGGCTCCTCTCACTAAAACTCCCTTGGAGAATTTGAGCTTCCTGGACCTACAGCATTAAGCTCTGCTGGAGTAGGGAGAATGCTTCTTCTGGGTACATAGTAAGCATTCCAATAAGCATAAAGTTTTAGTAGCTCCATGTCATTTTGGCTTCCTTGTGTATGTAGGTTGGCAGACAAAGAAATAAGTTATTATACTGGCAGTTGTAATTGACCTTCCTTATCATGAGGAAATAGAAATACTGCTATACCTTTATCAACCATAGATGATGACAATTGTAAATTGGAAATTGCAGCAATTACAGCCTGACAGGGCCATGGTAATCATGGGTCTTTGGAAGTGAACTAGACTAGCAGAAGCACTGGATAAACATAAGGGGAATATAGAACAGGTTGTAGAAGAGGAAGATGATGAATGTCATCCTGGGAACAAGTGTAATGACAGGACCCATTAACTCTTGTTCCTTTAACACTCTTGTGTTTGAAGAATTAATGATGGAGTGAACTCACATAGAGCATAAACTCCTCCACGCATGGAAAGATGTGGACTGTTTCTAGTGCTGTTGGTGTCTTGCACATACCCCTCTCCACTTAATATTCCCAAGAGTTTGGATTGTTCTATAAGCTCCTGAGAATCTCTGGCTGAGGACTTTTCTTTGAATATAGAAAAAGCTAAACTCACAAGGTGGGGAAACCTAGAATTGCTGTAGAGAAAATGCCCTAGAGCAGCTCTAGACCAGTAAAGAAATGCACAGCTTCTTTGTTTCTTAAGTGGGACAACTACAAGTCATAGAATTTATACAGTCTCTTGATGGCCACAGCAAGAATGTGCCCTTGATGTCCACTGTAGTAAATACAAATCAATGCATCCTTTATTGGCATCCTCCCCTTTTCTTGCCTGGGGAGGCAGAGGTTGCAGTGAGCCGAGATCATGTCACTGCACTCCAGGCTGGGTGACAGAGAACCTGTGTCAAAAAAAAAAAAAAAAAAAAAAGGAAGAAGGAAGAAGAAGAAAGGAAATATGGCATGTTGGGGATGGGGATGGAAGTGGGTTGCAATTTTTAAAAGGGTAGCCAGGGAAATGCTTACTGAGATTTTTAAGTACAAGTCTGAAGGAGGCAAGGGAGTGAGTCAAACATATACATGCAGGAAGGGCTCTCTAGGAGGAGAAAGCAGTGAGAGCAAAGGCTGGGAGCCAATGCAGCCCTGGTGGCTTCGAAGAACAGCAGAGGGCCAGCGTGGCTGCGGCAGAGGGAGTCAGGGCAGTGTGCTAGGAAGTGAAGGCAGGGAGATGCAGGAGGTGTGGATTGTTGGGGCGTCACAGGCTGTGTGACTCCCAATTGCTGTGTGACAAATTCCCACAAATCCAGCAGCTGCAAATACGACCCAATGTTCCCCAGCTTCTGCAGGTCAGGAGTTGGCACAGCCTAACTGGTCCTCTGTAAGGTGCCATCAGGGTGTCAGCCAGCACTGGGTTCTCATCTAGGGCTCAGCTGTGTGGATGGCTCTGCTTCCAAGCTCACATGGCAGCATTCAGTTCTATGCAGGGTGCTGGACACAAGACCTCAGCTTCCTGGTGAGCATCGACTGGAGGGGGCTCTTAGCTCCTCGCAGCTGATCCCCTCCATGAGGCAGCTTGCAACATGGCAGCCTGCTTCTTCAAAGGCGTCAAGAGAGAGTCCCCAGAAAGACAGGTTATGATCTTAACATTTTATTTATTTATTTTTTGAGACAGAGTCTCGCTCTGTCACTGAGGCTGGAGTGCAGTGGCACGATCTTGGCTCACTGCCATCTCCACCTCCTGAGTTCAAGCAATTCTCCTGCTTCAGCCTCTTGAGTAGCTGTGATTACAGGCGTGCACCACTATGCCTGGCTAATTTTTGTATTTTTAGTAGAGGCGGGGTTTTGCCATGTTGGCCAGCCTGGTCTCGAACTCCTGACCTCAGGTGATCCACCCACCTCAGCCTCCCAAAGTGTTGGGATTACAGGCACGAGCCACTGCGTCCAGCCAGTGATCTTATACAATATGATCAGTACATGAATCACATATATACCGCCTCCTTCATAAGCAAGCCACAGGTTCTGCTTACAACCAGAGAAGGGGATTATTCAAGGGTGTGAATGGCAGAGGTGGGGGTTGTGGGGGTCACCTTAGTATCTGCCACCACAGCCTGTCCTCTGTCCCCAAGACTCATGTCCCTTGTGCATGCAAAACACATTCACCCCTCTTGAGATCCCTTCATGCTCACAGTCCCGAATCTCATCTAAATCGGGTTTAGGTGTAGAACAGATTTCTTTGGATGTTCCTCTGATCTGGAAAACTAAAGATACAAGCTATCTGCCCTCTACATATGCAACACACAATGGTGGGTAAAGCTTGAGACATTGCTGTTCAGAAAGAGGCAGCAGGGGAAGGATGAAGGAATGGTGGTTCTGAAATCCAGCTGGACAGATGCTGGTGTTCCCTAAACAGGTTTTAAGATGTGGGAAGATTCCATGTCTCTTGGCTCTGCCTTCTGGGCTTCTGCCTCTGGGTCATCCTTCTTTTCTCACGAAAGATCCACGTGTTTGCAGCCAAGTAGTTTTATCAGCCTTCTTCTTGACAGCAGAGTTTGGGGTCTCTGACAGTCTTCTTTCATTTTGCACTCTGTCCCCTACAGACCAATCTGCCAGCACTGTGGGTGAAACAGCTTTCCCAAACCCTTTGCCTGTCCTCTGTGGGTTTCAGTGGGGCTCATAGTCGATTTGTCAAGAGCCATACCCATGAATCTTTTAGAGATAAACTCTACCTTTCTACCTTCAGCTCCTGCCAAGATGGCCCCCAGGGTAACTCACTGAAGCTTCCCAGGGGCCCTAAGGTTTGGTGGAGAGGTTCTGCATGGTACACCCTTGTAATCTCTTGCAACAGACCTCTGTGTGACTCATTGCTACTCCCATCCTTTGATCTTTATGCATAATCACAAAAGACTGTACAGTTACACCCTATGCCACATGCTCAGAAGCCATTTGTTAATTTCAGCATCTTTTTCCATGTGGGGAGACTGACAATTTTCAAAATCATCAAGTCCTGATTCAATTTTAACAGTTTAAAAACCAGTCTCTTTCTCAATTTATCTCTCTTCTCTCACACTATATTATAAGCAGTAAGAAGAAACCAGGCAGCATCCTCAACATTTTACTTGGAAATCTCCTCAACTGCATACCCAATTTATCACTTACATGATGTGTTTGCCACGTAACTGCAGGAGACCACTTTTCTAAGCTTTCTGCTCCTACCTAACAAGGATCCCTGTCCTCCAGCTTCTAGTGCGAAAATCCTCACTGCCTTTGAGCAGTGGCGAGTCCTCCGAGCCCAGATATCTAGCAACAGTCTGCTCACCTTAGAGTCTGTCTGTCACCACCTGGGCCATTTCTAAGGGACCATAGCTTTCCTCTGAGATGAGGCTTTGAGCTGAGGAGCCACATGATCTGACATGGTTAAGGATGCCTCTGGCTTCCCTGTTGAGAATAGACTGAAGGGGCAAAAATGGAAGCAGAACAGCAGTTAGGAGGCTCCTGTCAAACCCACGTGGAAGGCAGGCTCTGGGCTGTGTTACTGGACTAACACTAACACCGTCCCCTTGCACTTCTGAGGGGTCCCTGGAACTTCCCCAGGGGATGAGACTCCTGGCTAGCAGGACTCAGCCCCTCCCCTTCAACTTTACTCAGGACCTGGTCTCCCCTCCTTAAGGTCTCTGGAGCCCAACGCACACTTCAGCCCACTCTCACAGGCATTCTCTCTGTCCACAAAATATCAACGAAGAGTCTTCTGTGAGTGCAGCATGGTGTGAACACTGGGAGTACAAGGAGAAATAAGACACAGTTGCTGTGCTGGAGAAGCTTGTGCCCAGTGGTGGTGATACTGCCGGAGGTGAGACCACTATGCCAGCACAGGAACAAAGACGGCAGGGGCACAGGGCAATTCAGGGGTGCAGATCTGGGGGCATCCAAGAGGCTCCTAAGCCTCAGTATATAAACTGACAGGTCACAGCCTGCTCTAGGAAACACCTTCTTAAGGGTTGGAGTTATCTCTGTGCATCCCATCCCCACCCCACCAAGCCGCCCTTGGCCCTGCCCTCAGGAGCCTCTGCTTGGCCTTGCTAATTCCTCTCTTCTCCCTGAAGCTAGAGTGAGGTCCCTCTTGGCAGCCTTTGTATCTAGAGAGAGCCGTCCAATAGAAACATAAGGTGAGCAACATGCTTAATTTTAAAATTTCTAGTAGCTACATTAAACATTTTTAAGTGAAATTAACTTTAATAATAAATTTATTTAACCCAATATATCCAAAAGATTATCATTTCAACATGCAATCCTATTTTAAAAATAACTAGTGAGGTACCTGACAAAAAAAAAATCCCTTTTCATGCTAAGTCCAGAAGATCTTTGTGTATTTTATACTCATAGGACATCTGAGTTTGGATGTTACCTTTTTATTGGAAATATGGGATCTGCACTTAGATTTCACTGAATTTACATTGAAAAGGTAGGTTCACATACCCAAGTTGTCTCACACATACCTAAATGTTTTCTGGTAACTGGATGGAGTATCAGTTTTTATATTTATCTTTGCCTTAGCTAAAAAACAAATTAATAGTGCAGGTCCTCAGCCGCACGCAGGCAGTTTTCTCCACGGTCCAAATGGTTGCCCGAATTCACCCAGACCCCGCTGTCGTCCGCTTTTTCATGCAGACATTCAAACAACTGCCTCCCTTCCTCCTGGCACCCCCACCCCATCGCCAGCAGCCTCCAAACCAGTTTCCCTCCTGTCCTCATCTCAGCCACCCATGACTCACACACACATCTGGCTCCCCTGGCCCACTTTTCACCTGGTCCTCATAATCTATGCATAAACATTAACATACCACAGAGTCAATCTGCATACTGATTACTTCTGCTCTGGTCAAATTCTTGCTTTCAGGATCAGGAGGCTTTCTCCCCACACCAAACTGGGCCTGAGGAAATAGTGTCTTGTCTTCCTGTCACCCCTCCCGTAGTTGCATGTCTAATGAGACAAGGGGTGTCTCAGGTGAAGCAGGACAGGGAGGATGCCAGCACTTGGGTGGGAGAGGCTTGAGGAGTGCCTGTTGGGGGATGTGTTGGGGAAGGATGACTTTTCACATATGGCTCATTGTGTCGGGATGATTTCGTTGTTAAATAAGCACCTACAGGATGATTTCACATTCCATACTTCTAAGTTTTTATAATTTAAATTCTTTCCGCCAGGCTGGGTTTTTTTTTTTTTTCCAAACTTTGAATCTGTGGCTAGAATTGGTTTGATTTACATAATCCTGCCCCTGAGATTTAGCCCCACCCCTGAGAGCCCCCTCAGAGCCACCCACAGCCAGGACACCTCTGCTGGCCTCCCCTTCCCCAGCCTTCCAACTTGTGGCAGGCCCCTGGCTCTGGCCTCCCCCTATATGGGAATGAGCCAGCTGCACCGCTGCTGACAGTGGCTGGGATAATCCTCCCTGAGCTGTTCCAAGGATTAGTCCTGCTGCCCTGTGCCCAGCTCCCACACAACGGGGTTTCGGGGCTGTGGACCCTGTGCCAGGAAAGGAAGGGCGCAGCTCCTGCAATGCGGAGCAGCCAGGGCAGTGGGCACCAGGCTTTAGCCTCCCTTTCTCACCCTACAGAGGGCAGGCCCTTCAGCTCCATTCTCCTCCAAGGCTGCAGAGGGGGCAGGAATTGGGGGTGACAGGAGAGCTGTAAGGTCTCCAGTGGGTCATTCTGGGCCCAGAGATGGGTGCTGAAGCTCCCACGCCTGCCTGTGAAAATGGAGTCCTCTCTCACCTGGGAGAGCCAGGTGCTGCCCCGAGAAGGATGCATTTATGGCTTCATGAAGTCTTTCCTGACCCCCGATGCTGCTGACTATAGGTAAGTCTGAGCAAATCTGGCGGAGCCTCATCTTGGCATGAGAAAGAGATGGCTTCTTCTAAGCCCACTGGCCGTGATCCCAGGATTATAACACATTCTGGCTCAAGTCCAGACTATTTGTAGAACACAGGAGATCCTCCATGAGAGGTAGTATAATATAGAGGATATGTGTGCTTACTAAGAGGCTGCCTGTCTGACCTTGGACAAGTTCTTTTTATTTATTTATTTATTTTTTATAGAGACAAAGACTCACTATGTTGCTCAGGCTGGTCTTGAACTCCTGGCCTCAAGCGATCCTCCCACCTCAGCCTCCCAAAGTGTTGGGATTATAGACATGAGCCACTGCACCTGGCCGACCTTGGGCAAGTTCTTAAACCCTTCAAAGCCTCATTTTTCTCCAATCACAAAAGGGAAAGATGGTAATATTTTCCCCACCAAATTCTTGTAAGTATTAAACATTGTATATGTATTTTGAACACGATTAAGCTCTAAACACTTGTTAGGAAGCAGGACTGGCATTTGAAACAAACAGCTCTTTTCCCACAGGTCGGATGCCCTCACAGAATTGAGATTATGTACGTAAAACACAAGGTGCCTAACCCGGCACAGAGCAGGAGGGCTAAGCGTGACATCCAGCACGTGGTCAGTGGAATCCAGTATTCCTACCCACCTCTCTAGTCTCCCCTCCACCCCTCTCCCTTTCAGAGGCACCAAGCTGCTTGTGGTCTTGTCTGTTCCCACTCCCTGCCTGACTGAACATTTTCTCCACCTCCTGATCATCAGCAGCAGAAACTGGCTGCTCTTCCTGCTGGGTAGACAGCCAGACTGTATTTCCCAGCTGCCCCTGCAGTGAGATGTGGCCATCGGAGCCAGCATTGGCCAATGGACTCTGCATGGGAGTGACGCATGCTGCCTCCAGGCTTGTCCCTAAAACCTCCCACGTGTCCTCCGCCTGCTCTTCCCACCTCCAAGGAGCACGGCAATTGTGGAAGACCCAGATTAGTGATGGCAGAACCATAGATGGGAGGAACCTGGGTCCCTGACTTAAAGTATCATGGATTTGGATGTTCCCTTAGTGAGAAATAAACTTCCATTGTGTTTAAGCCTTTATTTGTTTATAGTTGGTTACAGCAACTGCCTTCTTTTAATTAAAACACTCCTGCTGCTTCATGTTGCTGGAATGCTTGTAACCCTGCCCTGCTTCACCAGGGTAACTCCTACTTGGCCTTTAAGTTTATCTCTGCTGTCACACCGTCCAGAAAGCCTTCTCCCAGCACCACAACCCCTCCACCAAGGGTTAGGTGTCTCCAGCAGATGCTGCACAGCTGGCTGCCCTTTGCCCACCCTCCCCTTCTTTCTCATAGAATCCTAGGACTCCTCTGTATCTAGAAGGAGTTGTGTGGTCCAGTGCTGGCCAAGAAGATGTGAGAGCAAGTCGCTGGGTGGAGATTCTTAGGAAAACTTCTTAAAAAGAATGAGACTGGGCTCCTTTCTGCCTTTTACCATTTTTGTGTATGCTTGCCTTCTTCCCACCTGGGACTCTGATGCAGCACCTGTGAATGGGCACACATATTACAACTCTTAGGCTGAAACCCACGTTCTCAGGCAGAGGTCTCTTGTGGGCATTTAGTGCTATAAATGTCTCTTTACACACTGCTTTAAATGCGTCCCAGGTCTTAGGGTATATACCCAAAGGATTATAAATCGTGCTACTATAAAGACACATGCACATGTATGTTTATTGTGGCAGTATTCACAATAGCAAAGACTTTGAACCAACCCAAATGTCCATCAATGACAGACTGGATTAAGAGAATGTGGCACATATATACCATGGGATACTATGCAGCCATTAAAAAGGATGAGTTCATGTCCTTTGCAGGGACATGGATGAAGCTGGAAACCATCATTCTGAGCAAACTATCACAAAGACAGAAAACCAAACACTGCATGTTCTCACTCACAGGTGGGAATTGAACAATGAGAACGCTTGGACATGGGGCAGAGAACATCATACACTGGGGCCTGTCAGTGGGTGGGGGGCTGGGGGAGGGATAGCATTAGAAGAAATACCTAATGTAAATGACAAGTTGATGGGTGCAGCAAACCAACATGGCACACGCATATCTATGTATCCAACCTGCACATTATGCACATGTACCCTAGAACTTAAGTATATAAAAAAAAAAGAAAAAAAACTTTCACCTTTTTCCAAAGTGTTGGGATTATGGGTGTGAGCAACCACATCTGGTCCTTTTTTTTTTTTTTAATGGAGGTGAAATTCATATAAGTTTGACCATTTTAAAGTGAACAATCAGTGGCATTCAGTACATTCACCATGTTGTGCCAACACTATCTCTATGTAGTTCCAAAACATTTTCATGAGCTCAAAATGAAACCTTGTACCCATGAAGCAGCCACTTCCCATTCTCCCCTCCCCTTAGCCCCTGGAAATCGGCTTTCTTTCTCCACGGATTTACATATTCTGTATATTTCCTATAAATGGAATTACACAATAGGTGACCTGTGTCTGGCTTCTTCCACTTAACCTAATGCTTTTGAGGTTCTGTCACATGGTGCCATGGATCAGCTCTGCCTTCCTTTTTATGACTAATACTCCACTGTATGTCCATATCACCATTTGTGTATTCACTCATTAGTCTATGGACACAAGCCTCATTTTTAAGCACTTCAAATATGTTAACTCACTGAATCCTCACCACAAAGACAGATGCAGTTATTACATATTGACAGAGTGAAAACTGAGGCACAGGTAACATGCCTAGGATCACGTGGCTATGAAGCAGAAAGAGGACTCCAGCCGAGGCAGTCTAGTCCCAAAGTCCTTCCCTTCCTAGTAACCACTATGCTCTCCTGCCTCTCAGAGAACAACCCACATGGCACAACACGAGGGCTAAGCTGTCTGGTCTGTCTGGTGAAGCTTCAAATGCTGTTCATTTCAGATAAGGGGAGGTTCCTGGGCTGCAGAGGCTTCCTAGAGGAGGAAGACCATGTAAGGTCTAACTCAGGGCAGGTCAGGATGGTGTGAATTCACTCTGAACACAGTCACCGATGGGTGTTTATGAAAACTGGCTCTGGAACTCCCACAGGGAAGGTTCTTATCTTTGCGTGCACAACACAGAGCCCTCTGGGTAGACTTCTAGACCCAGGCCTCTTTCAAATACATTAGAAACCTCAGCAAGATAAACTATTTTCTGTCTGGCTGCATCTGTCTATCTGTTTAGAGAGCAGGACATTTCCATCCTCCTCTCTCCAGGCATCCTTGGAAGTCTTTCCCACAAGCAAGACATCTTGGTGAAATTTAATGCTGCGGAGGGAAGTGGTTTTCAGGAGAGAGGAGTCTGTTCCCAGAACTGTAGCACAAAAGCTAGAGGCTGAGTAGGAACATCTTAAACTAAGTCCTCAGTCTTATTTCCAGTTTTCTTCCTGTAGATCGGGGCTTAGGACACCCTGTCACATTTTCTTCACTCCTCCACCAGGAATTCCTAAAATCCATGCTCTTGGATCCTGGCAAATCCAGGAGGCTGGGGGATGTGGCAAGCTTCAGCAAGACTGCCTGGGACCAACCCTGCAGCCTTAATTTCCCAGGCCCGCTCAGCCCAGCTGGCCAGCAAAGGCAGGCAGAGCTTCCGTGTCCACACATGAGAATGACCTGCAGCTGTTCTTTGTCCAGGCTGAGGTCCAGGATTCCCATTGCAGCTCCTAGGAAATCTTTAAAATTAGGTCGGGGATGAGCCTGTCAGTAGATTAGGTAGGGAACTTTTATGAAGTTGAGGGTGAACCATCTGGAGGGTGAACTGGCTGGTGTGATTCTAGAACTGGGGGTGGTGCCTAGCAGTGCATTTGTGAGAAGACACAGCCAGGCTTGGTATATGATGTGGTGTGTGTGTATATTCACAGGCATCGTGGAGCATATACACTTTTTTTGTGTGTGTTGAAATCTTACAGATTACAAAGTACTTTTTTTTTTTTCTGAGACAGGGTCTCTCTCTGTCGCCCAGCCTGGAGTGCAGTGGTACAATCATAGCTCACTGCAGCCTCGATCTCCCAAGCTCAAGTGATCCTCCCGCCTCAGCCTCCCATGTAGCTGGGACTACAGGTGTGTGACACCATGACTGGCTATTTTATTTTATTTTTGTAGAGATGGAATCTCACAATATTGCCCAGGCTGATCTCAAACTCTTGGGCTCAAGCAGTCCTCTCGCGTCAGCCTACCAAAGTGCTAGGATTACAGGCATGAGCCACCACGCCCAGCCAGATTACAAAATACTTTGACATCTTTTCTCTACAGCCCTCAAAAGGAGGCAGGGCAAGCACAATTAAATCCCATTACAAATGGGGTGACTGAAGCTCCATTCATGGCTTGCCCAGGGTCACACAAAGAATGAATAGCAGAGCCCTGAGCCTGTGTGCTTCCCTCTGTGCCAGGCTGCTTTACCCAGGCATGGGTGCACCTTGTGCATGGGACATTTCTCCTTTGTTGTGTCCTGAGTACCTTAAGCCACTCAGATATTGCTCAGGTGGAGTGAGGGGAAAATGTTTTCAGGTTGTATTAGTCAAAACAAAATACCACACACTGGGCGACTTTAAAATCATACATTTATCCCTCACAGTTCTGGAGGCTTGGAAGTCCAAGTTCAAGGTGGCAGCTGGACGGGTTCCTGGTGAGGGCTCTCTTCCTGGTTTGCAGACAGCCACCTTCTCTTCGCATCCTCACTTGGTGGGAAAAGACAGAGGAGAGAAAGAGAGAGAGAGAAAAATGAGATAGAGAGAGAGAGAGAAATGAGATAGAGAGAAATGAGAGAGAGAGAGAGAGAGAGAGAGAGAGGGAGACACAGAGACAATGCTCTCTTTTCTTACCAGATCTATAATGAGGGCCCCACCCCATGACCTCATCTAACCGTAATTACCTACCAAAGGCCCATCTCCACATACCATCACATTAGGGGTTAGGGTTTCAACATAAGCATTTGGAGAGGACATAAACATTCTGTCTACAACATGAGTGGAGATCCATCTCTTCTTTACCTCTGGTAAGGGGACCACACGCTGCAGCCAGCGAGACAGTGGCATGTTCTTGTTACAACTCGATCTAACTCCCCCAGAAGAGGAGGCAGGGAAGGCGGACAAAACTGGGAGAGGGAGAGAGTGTTAGGAAGAGAGTAGGGTGGCCAGAGGCAGCAAATAAAATATAAAATGCTTAATTCTGAATCTCAGATAAACAACCAATAATGTTTTTTAGCATAAGTATGTCCCAAACTAAGCTTGGGACATATTTATGCTACGAAATTATTCGTTGTTTATCTAAAATTCAAACTAGCTGGGCATCCTGTCTTTTAATCTGGCAACCCTAAAAGGCAAGGGCCAAAAATGCCGGAGGCAAGCCAACGGATTCCAGGAGGGACAACTGCTGGACTTTGGACTGATGATGCTCTTTTTATATATTTAACTTTTTAAAAAAGCCTCTTTTCTTTCTTTTTACCAGCTTTTCACTAGCTTTTTAAAAATTGTGGTAAAACATACATAACCTAAAATTCACCGTCTAAACCATTTTTCAGCATACAGTTCAGTGGGATTAAGTAGATTCACACTGTTGTGCCGCCATCACTACCACTCATTTCCAGCACCCTTCCATCACCCCAGCCTGAAACTCTACCCATTGAACACGAGCTGCCCAACTCCGCCTTGCTTCCCCATTCCTGGCGACCACTGCTTCTGTCTCTGTGAATTTTGACTATTCTAGGCACTTCACAAAACTGGACTCATACGATATCTGTAGTTTTGCGTCTGGCTTCTCTATTGAATTCTTAAAGGGGGGTGGGAACTAAGCAGATCACAAGGGAGCTGCCCACAGAGGTAAAGACAAGGTCAGGTAGGCTGAGAGACGCAGGAAAGCGGGTCAAGGCGTAGGGCTGGAGGGCAGGGGCGGGCCCTGGGCGTGGGCTGGGGGTCCTGCCCCGGGGCGCACCCCGGGCGAGGGCTGCCCGGAGGAGCCGAGGTTGGCGGACAGCTTGGCCCTGAGCTTGAGGGGAAGGCAGCGATGGGACAAAGGACGGAGGTCTAGGAAGAGGGTCTGCAGAGCAGAAAGCACGGGTAGGGGCGGCCTGACGCTCGGAAGACAACGGATGGGAGCCGTGTGCACGTCGGGAGCTGGGAGTGAGCGTGAGTTCCGTGCCCAGGCCCGCGACTCGGTCCACGAGGACAGCGCTCCGGGTCGACGGGGTCCTGGAGCCGCGCTCGGGGAGGGCGCAGCGGAGGGCGAGCGGCGGCGTTAGGACCCGGAGGCGCGGGCGGACTGTGGGCGGCGGGGCTAGGACCCAGCGGCTCCGGCAGAGCGGAAGCGGCGGCGGGAGCTTCCGGGAGGGCGGCTCGCAGGTGAGGAGGCGTCCGGGGCCGCGGGAAGTAGGGTCGTGGGGGCCTGGCGGGGCGAAGTAGGGGACCCGGAGGGGCTGGAGGGAGGCGGGCGGGAGGCCCGGGACCGTTCCTGACCGAGAAGCCTGCGCCAAGCTGGTGTTCCGCGGCCGCTGCCCGGTGCCCGGCTCCACTGCGAACGCCGCCGCTGGGCCCCGACCGCCCGGGAGGCGTCTTGGGCTCGCCCCGGAGCTTCCTCCCTGGAGCCGCGCCCTGCACCCGGCCTTGCCCGGCCCTAGCAGGGAAGCCAAGGCTTGTGGGGCGCAGGGACCCGGGCTCTGCGGGGTCCCGGTTCCACCTCCCCACTCCTGCGTCTTCCCGCCCCGGCCGGGTTCTGGGAAGCCTCGCGCGGCTCTTCCGCAGCTGCTGCCCGCCCGGAGCTCCTGGTCCCTCGTAGGGGACCCCACTTCTCTGACACCGCGTTGGGTTCCCGGGGCCTACAGCGAGGCCTGTAACTCCGGGAGAGACCCTGGAGCGGGGTGTGGGAGAACGGTCTGGAGGAAGGGCTCCGAGCACTTCGAAAGTATAAACCGCGGTCCCAAAGAGGCGTGCTGTGTCTGCATTTTCCTGGGAGTGCACGGTTTACATTCTCGAAAGTAGTGCTGTCGACTAGAAATATTGAGCGATACACATGTACAAGTTTTGTCACTTAAAAAGAATTTGAAAAAACTTCATAGATGCAAAAAAAAAAAACCCACCATTATTAAAGAATACTTAGGTATTTGTGGAATGCATTGAAGAGTTAACAAAATGGATAGGCAGGAAATATCGCAGACCTAGAATGAATTACAGCTACCCACTGTGGAACTGAGGAGCTAGGGTTTCTCATAAAACTCCCTGATAGAAGACGACTTTTGATAAAATTTTTTTTCCGCCAACAAAATCCCCTGTCTTCTCAACTAGTTACTGTCTGTCCACTAAATAAGAGGTGGTCCGTCACTTCTTCAGATGAGCAACTACAGGCTTTTCAAAAGATAATTGCTAATCAACCCCTTTGTGCCTGGGTTTTCTTATTTGTAAAAATAGATACTACTACCTAACTCCAAAGTGTGTGGTGAAGACAAACAATTGGGGTGATGTATACTAAAGTAACGAAAGTGTTGACCATACACTACGGGCTGGTTAGTGTTAGATTCCCTTGTTTTTCCCTCAGTATCAAAAACAGATCTAATTTAGGTTTACATAAAGACAAAATATGAAGATAAGGTGACTTACAGTTGGTACTACTAACAAAATGTTTGGGCTAAGATTTGCATTATTGCATGAAAACAACAAAACATATCAATAAATAACAAAAAGCTTGGAATTCAGACAACAGATCCAAGTCTGGGCTTGATCTCAAGCTAGTGTTTTGATGTTGAAAAAATGTTATTTGGTCTTTCTAACCCCATTTCCTTATGTAAAATTGGGGATGATGATAAATTCACTGATAATAAGAGTTAAATGAGATTCTTGAGGAGTCAGAATGGTTCTAACATGTGTAGGTATTATTAGCAGTCATACTGTAGCATAAGAAAATACCGTCTGCTGAAAGAGGGACAATAAAGATTATCTACATGGTCATCATTTAAAAGCTACCAGATATAGGAAGAAGGGGCCATAAAATGATAACGTTATGATGATTAATTTTGATGCTTAGGTCAGAGTCCATTCTAGGATATCTGCTGCCCAAAAACAGCAGAGACTCATTTCTTTGGAATCACAGGACGCTGAGTGAGAGGAAAGAAAAAGAAAAGAAATATTTAAGTCACATATGTGATTTCTAAAAGTAAAAAGAAACAGATGAAATTAGTGATATATTTTTAAAATCCAGTATATCCCAAATATGGTTATTTTAGCATGTAATCAATATAAAATAATAAGATATTTTACATTCTTTTTTTCTAGCCTTTGAAATTTGGTGCATATTTTACACTTATGGCACATCTCAATTCAGACTATCCACATTTCAAGTGCTCAGTGGCTGCATGTGCCTGGTGGCTACCATATTGGACAGCACAGGTCTAAGGATTTCATTCCTGCCACAAGTCCAAACTCCTAGCTTTAATTTTGAGTGTTTTTAACAAACTGGCCTCTGTTTATCATTCTTTCTTCTAGTACTTCCCCAAGGATGATTGTACCCTCAGCACTCAAGACCGCTTGCGGTTCCCTTACACACTTTTTGTTCAAGCTGTTTCTTTTACCTGGAATGCTGTCTTTGCACCTTCTTCCTGGACCTGGTTCACCCTTGTTGCCTAGGCTGGAGTGCCATGGCGCGATCTTGGCACACTGCAACCTCCACCTTCCCGGTTCAAGTGATTCTCCTTCCTCAGCCTCCCGAGTAGCGGGGATTACAGGCATGCACCACCACGCCTGGCTAATTTTGTATTTTTAGTAGAGATGGAGTTTCACCATGTTGGTCAGACTGGTCTCGAACTCCCGACCTCAGGTGATCTGCCTGCCTTCGCCTCCCAAAGTGCTGGGATTACAGGCGTGAGCCGCTGCGCCCGGCCGAGAGGCACACATTCTGCTAAGAGCTTTTTCCTGACTCCCCTAACTCCAAGAGGGATTTGTCACTCCTTAGCTTTGTACTCATGACTGGAGTAGAATGAATTTAATTTGAGTTTAGTTGTTTTTGAGACTCTCCCTGGCTAGTGTAGTGTCTTATTCGTCTTTGTTGTGATCATGGCCTGCACCTAACAGATGATCAGTAGATGTTTGCAGACAGAAAGTAAACCACTCATCAGGTGTATTCAGTCCCATTCTTGAACGGGCTTGCTGCCTCCTTTTTGAGGAGATCTGTGTATGTACTATTCTTTCACGCATATGTGTGAGCAAACACACACACACTAACAAGAAATTCATCTGAAGATGTGCACAGGAAATATCTTGCATCTTTACCCCCTTTGTGATCTTACATATGGGAGAACTGAGGCACAGAAATAAGTTAGGACAGCCAGCAAACTTGCATCAGTATAAATACAAAGAAGGGGAGGGAGGAACATGCTTGAAAGGGGTGTGCTGGTCTCAGAGGGTTAGGTTTCTCAGTTGGCTGGGCATCAGCTGGCCATGCTTTAGTTATTTGATGGGAGGAAAAATAAGTGGGAGGTGAGGAGTAACTCCTGGGCTCTGATGAGTATTCAAGGCAAGTACAGATCTGGAAAGCCTGTATGCAAAGGAGGAACTCACTGAAAAGTGCTGGCCTGAGGAGGGCAGAAGGGAGGGCTGGGGAAGCCAGCAGCGGGAGCAAAGGAGTAGGCTCCTACTGGGTGAAGATGTTGGTGTGGTGCGTTATGTAAAATATACAAATTATTATTGGGAATAACCACGTCTCAGCAGTGCTAGTTCTCAGTTTGGAGAATGGGAAATCGAAAGGATCAGATTCAGAGACGGCAACTTACTCAAGGTCACAGCATTTTAAACCCAAATGAAATCTCCTAGGCCCTTCATGCCACACTCATCCATCCCTACCTACTTGTGTTGCAACCAAGGGCCCCACTGTAGTGCCTAGGGGAGCAGGTCTAGGGCACAGTGCCAGGCCTGATTAATGTCTTCCTTACCATTTTCCAGCGAGGGGCTGTGATTAGGCCTATTTATAGGGGCCTGGTCCCTTAATATTCTGCCTGGTGCATCTCTTGCCAATCAAATCAGTGCTGTCTGCAGTGTGATTGCTGCTTTAGTGGCACCAGGGAGAGGAGTTAATTAAACCCAATATAAATAGACTCTGCCCTCACTTTGCAATTCCAGGAGTGTTTTTCCTTCCTGTCCTCCACCCCCACAGGCACCTCTTTCCTCTTGTCCCCCTAAGCTCTAGCCTGGGTGAGCAGGGCTGGCTACTCCTATACCTAGAGTCACTAGCCACTTGCCCAGTCTGTTTCAGGAGCAGGCCTCAGATTCCTCAGGGGTTAAAGTGGGAAGAACCCGTGTGTGCACATTTTTTGTGCTTTTCCAGAACTGGGTACCATTTGGCAGTTGATCACCCAATCTCCCCCGCTACCCCATTTCTACCCCTTTGTTTCCAGCCTCTTTTTTCCTCTGCAACCAAGGTTTCTTGTTTATCCAAGGTGGGGAGCTGAACTGAGACAAGGTATGGAAAGGGTGCCTGGCAGGTAGCAAGCACCTTGTAGGGGGTCAGAAATGTTGCACCTTCTCTGAACTCCTCCATTGACCCTACAGATTCCCCAGTCCCGGGCCCTGCCCTTTCCCTCATTCACTCAGCAGGCATCAGCAGAGTCCCATCTATGCGCTCCTGGCCTCTCACCAAATGCTCTGTCCCCTACTCCCCTATCTGTGCAGGCTGAAGCTATGTGCATAGTTGGGATGAGGGCTGTGTTGTCTCAACACCACCCTGCCCTGTGGTGGGTGGGTGCAGGTGGTCGTGGGTGGCTGTGATGCTCCGGCTCCCACCCACAGGCACCATGACTCCTGTGAGGATGCAGCACTCCCTGGCAGGTCAGACCTATGCCGTGCCCCTCATCCAGCCAGACCTGCGGCGAGAGGAGGCCGTCCAGCAGATGGCGGATGCCCTGCAGTACCTGCAGAAGGTCTCTGGAGACATCTTCAGCAGGTGGGTGCTGCCACCCACCCCCACCTGATGAGAGGGCCATCCCTGTCCTGGGCAATCCCAGCAACACACCCTCTGGGAGCAGCCCCCTTGGGGAATCCCGGTCCTGGGGAACCCATCTGGCTTCCCTGTGTGGGAGGGGCTGAAGTGAGAGCCCAACTTGGAAGCTTTTACTCCTGGGAGTCCGAGAGCTCACTCCCTTCCACCCCACTTAGCCTCCTGGTTTCCTGTGGTGGCTCTGCTCTCACAACTCATGCTTTTCCTCCCATTGGAGGGCCTATTCCTTCACGTTTTCCTGCAGCCAACAAATATTTACCCAGCAGTGCTCGTGTGCAAGGCAGTGTGGGAATCTCTATATATCCAGCCACGGATAAGGCAACATACCTCTCCACCTGGAGCGCACATTCTGGCAGGAGAGAAAGACCTAAATAAGCAATAGATGATTAGTTCTTCAATAACAGTTGTGACAAGGTCTATTGATAATATTTTGTAATCACTAATATTCATATAAACCGTGCACAACCATTGATTTGAGTGCATTAACTCACACTTCATGAGCAGGCACTGCCGTCATCTCATTTTATAGATGAGGAAACTGAGGCACAGAAAGGCTGAGAGACCTGGCCTAGTGACAGAGCCAGGATTCAAAGCCATAGATCATGGCCCCGGGTTATGTAGGTTATTACTGCATCTGTTCAGGGGAGATGGGGTACTGTGAGGCTCGTCATGGGAAGCCTGGCTTGGTCTCAGGTCAGGGAAGGCAGATGTGAGGAAATGACATTTATGGTAAAGTCTGAGGGTTGAGTGGGTAGGTTGGGAAGAACATTCCAGAAAGAAGCACATGAACTACAGCCTGGAGGTGGAGGACCTAAAAGGAAGCCAGCATGGCTGGAGCACGGAGTGGCCATTGAGGGAGGCGAGCTGGAGGGCTGCAGCTTCTTGTATTGGCAGTGCTGACCTCGCACAGTCCTTGGGCTCCAGTGACTTCACTCAGTGTTTATCTAACATGAGTGAGTGAATGGTGTTTGCTGTTTTTTTGGTAAAGGTCCCAGGGGTTGTCGGGTACACAGGTCCTGTCTTTGGCCATAAGCAAACTGAAATGAGGCTTGGTCTCCTTCCCAGGATCCCACACCATGCCTCACATGGTAGACCCCAGTGGGAAGTATGTGACTGCCTGACTCAGGTGCCTCTCGTGGTCCAAGCCATCCCTGCCCTGTCCCTTCCCTGGTTGTCGCCAGACCTGGAGCCCCTGCTCCTTCACTTTGCAGCCTCCTCTTCTGTCACCAACTGGGAACCCACCTCTTCCTGAAAGTCCTCCCCCACTGACTCACCGGCTTGCCCCGAGCTTGTCAAGAATGTCCCAGTAACCAGGGGACACACACTGAAGTGACTGAGGGGTTACCTTGGAGTTGATGCCTTGGCTCAGATCCAGCTCCCCTGTTTTCTTCCTCTGTAACCTTGGGCAACCCAACCCCTCTAAGCCTCGGTGTTCTCATTTGTGAAGTTGTGGTAATAATGGTAGCTTCCTGGTAGAATTATTGTAAATATTAAATTAATCAAAACATGAAAAGGAATGGAACAGTGCTTGGCACCTAGGAAGCCTTCAGGAAATGCTATCTCTTCCCTGTTGATAATCTTGACCCGTACACTGCCTTTGGTTGCCATTCATGAACCTGCCACCAATAGTAACAAAGTGCTGGATGCACCTTTTGTGCTTATCTTTGTGCTAAATGTGCCCGAGGGACACCTAGGGAAGAGGATGCAGGTCTTTAAGAGCCATCAGCTCCAGATTATGGCCACCCCATGTCCAGCACTTAGAATGGAGGCCAAAACCATTCCCTCGGAAATTGTGTTTCCTTGCCAAGATGGGGACTGCGTGGTTGCCCTTCTCTGAGGGCAGCGCTGGATTTTTGGCGTCTTTCCTTTCCTGTCCTGGTACTTGGCACCTTGTAGACAGTTGCATGTCCCCTGCCCAGGGATGGGATGAGGAGAGGGCAGGAAGGCATTTCCTGGGTAGTGGAGTGCTGTGTTCATTGAGTGTGGGTTCTCCAAGCTGCTGGCACAGCGCAGGGAGGGCCAGATGCCTCTCAGGAGCCTTGGGCCTGAGTCCTGGCTCCCTCACTCCTGGGTTCCAGGTCACTGCATCTGTCTCTCCACCATGTGCTCCACCTCGTGCTGGACCTTAAGAGATACCAATTATGTGGCTGCCACTGTGTCCTAGAGGCTGGAATGGGAACACATAGGGCGAGATTGATTGTTAATTGCTAGCATGAACCGCGTGGGCTTCTCAGGGTCTAGAGTGGAGAGAAATCGGTAAGAATTGGTGGCACGCCTGTCAGAACTCCCCAGACCAAGCTAAGCATAAATTAACCAATCAGTAGAGCAGCCTTCGGAGTAAGGGCTAAAATGATGTCCTCAGGGCCTGGTTTTGCTTTCCTTCCATGTCAGTTTGCTTCTTTGGGTCTGGCTGCATTCCCAGACAGGCCATGCTCTCGTGGTAGCAAGGTGACATGACACAGGGTCAGGTCCAGCAGGAAAGAATGCTGTCCTGTGTCCCCACTTCCTCCAGAAGCCACACTCACCCATCCCACCTGGCTTGGTCCTCATGTCTATCCCAGAATCCATTAATGGGGCCAGGGGACTATGACACACCACTTGGCTTAGACTGAGGAGCTCTGTGGGCAGCCCCACCTGAAGCTCTGGGACTAAGCCTGCGAGAGAGATGGATTCCCCAAGGGAAATGGGGCCATTGCTTGAGTAAAAAGGAAATAGTTGCTGAAGAGGAAAACCACGTGCTTACTCCACATAGGGCAGACTCCTGGAAGAGGGGGGCAGGGTAGGGAGGTGGATATGCAGGTTGCCCTGGCAGGGTCTGGAAATGGGGGCTGCAGGCTTGGAGGGAGGCCTCAGTGTGGCTTGGAACGTGGTGTATGGTGGTCTGCCGCGAAGGCCGGCCTGCACAGGGGTGGGAGGGGGGTGCTTCTGCATGGGAAGCACAGACAGCGCTGCCTCTCCCTTGCACTCAGCTCTCGGGGCATGAGAGGCTGACTTTCCGTGAGCCTGTGGGCCAGGCCTCTTTGAATGGGGCTGAGGGAGCTTTGCCCTGGTTCCTTTGTGTCCCCACGGTGCCACGGGAGGCTCCCTGGCAGGGTGTGGGGCAAGGCAGTGAGTGAAGAGTTGGGATGAGTGAGTTAGGGCCCACGGATTACTCAAGACAGGACTTCAAGTTGATTCAGGCGTGTTAGGGAGCTGTGATTGGATTTTGAGCAGGGCAGGGATGGGACAGAAGAGTTTGGGGAAGGTTCCTCAGGCATCCGTCACGGAAGGGACAAGAAGGGAGAGAGAGTGGATGCCAGGGACACCCAGAAGCTGTTATTGTAGTCAGGATACGACAGGGGTGAGGCTACAGACAGGGGACTTGCAAGCAGGGAGGGCAGGGTGAGACATTCAGAGGAAACGACAACAGGAAATGGTGACAGATAGGGAACGAGGATGAAGGGAAGGGAGAGCCAGTGACGACTGGCAGTGGAGTGGGGAGCACCGCCACCTCTCCTCCTCCACTTGCCCCTCCTGTGGCACTGGACAAGCTAGTGGGCTTTTCGTTGTCCATGGGCTTTTTCGGTGGGGATGTGACCAGCTTTGAACCCGTCCCCTTAAACATGCTCCTCCTGCATGGAAGAGACAGGGGCAGGGGAGAGACTCTCTCCCCACCACCCAGCTCAGGCCCCAGCACAGCCCGGCCTCTGGCCTCACTGGCGTCTGTGCCCAGTGACGCAGGCAGGTGAGCTCCTGGCAAATTAGCATTGCAGGCTGTGCTCTCTCCTCCTGCTCTGCTGCAGCTGGGAGTGTGCAGAGACTGGAGGGGATGACAGTCACCCTCTGTTTTCTGTGGTGGCTCTGTTTTCTGTGGTGCTGGATGCACCTCTGTTTTCTGTGGTGGCTCCAAGAGAGTGCACGGTCCCTGCTGATTGAAAGAAGGATGAAGGGCAGAAGAGGGGCGGGGAGCTGTGTGCCCTAAGATCTCATTGCCTTTTTATGCCGATTAACATGCTTTTAGCCCCTACTGAGCTTATAGTTAACAGAAGTTTCCGGGTCTTTCTTCACCTGAACTGTGTCTAAAGCAAGTTCCCTCCACCTTCTGTATTTATATGCTTGATTTTTAAAACCTAAATGTTGGGCTTCACATTTGTTCCTTGTAAATTTCATCTTGGTGATTGCAGTCTACCCTCTGGCCTTTAAAAATTGTCTGAGCCTTGATTCAATCATGAAACCAGCTTACCCTTCCCCTGTGTGCTGGCCCCAGTTTTCTAACCAGGTGTTGAATGAACTGGATGGACTCTGCCAGATCCCTCCGTGCAAGGCTGGAATCAGTCCATTGTTCAACTGTGCCCTTTGGGGCTGTGGTTCATTTGGCTCTGATTTTTCCTATATGTTCTCTCCTCCAACCCCCATAGCTCCATCTTGTCTACAAGATTTTGTTAGAAGCCGTCAAAATCCTGCTGACTTGAGATGCACTGTGCTGCATGTTTTCCCCGGGCACAGCAGGCTAATAATCCTGTTACAAAGAGAAATGCTGTACATTTCGAGCAGTGCTGGCCCCTGGGGCTCACCGCGGCCTTTTCTAAGTGCTTACAGACTCTCTGTTTAATAATCCATTCCAGAAATTTTCCAGGGCTCATTGTTGAGCTTGGTGTTCGCAACTTTGAGTGATCAGCCCTTCTCCTTTGTGGGAGCACCAGGACAGAGCAGCCTTTGTCCCTCCCCAGTCTCAGTTCCCTCCCACTGCCCCTGTGGACCTCGAATGCAGAGCTTATGCACCTACCGAAGGTCGTGTCAGCACCCAAAGCAGAATGAGGCTGCCCTGGGAACTAGGGTCAATTAAGACAGCTTGTGCTGGAGGACCCTTTACAGCAGATGAAGGCCTCTCCCCAGCCAGAAAAGATGGAGCACACGCTGGGTGGTGGCCCCGCTTCCTCACTGGAAGGAGATGGTGCTCTTCTTTTTTCTTTCTGAATTGTGGCCACCTTCATACCAGTCTGTCATGGAACACTTAAGCCGCTTGAGTGCCTGCTGGTACTCCCAGCCCTGCCATGCCTGAGCCCCCTGCACACAAGGAGCCAGGAGTAATCAGGGCAGACCCTTTAGGGCATGGGGACTTCTGGATTGTGAAATTGGCTCTCTGGGGGCCAAGGCCTTCTAACGTTGGTGGAAGTGGCTTTGGCTTATTGGGTCGGATTCTAGGCCATTCATTCTAACGTTTAGAGACATCCCAGCTTTCCCTAGCCCAGAGTCTGCAGCCCCTCCACCATCCCACATCCTCCCCCTCCCTTTCCTCGTGAACCCCAGTCGCGCCTCTGCCTTCTCAAACCCCTCCACCATCCCACACCCTCCTCCTGCCCTTCCTCATGAACCCCAGTCGCGCCTCTGCCTTCTCATCCCTGCGCACCACACAGGCTCACTCGTGCCCAGTGAGTGCTGAGGCTGCTCTGCACGTGGAGTGTTGGCCCTGTGGGCAAGGGCTGGGCTCTTGGAGGTAGGGGAGCTACAGGGGCGACTGGGAGGAGGATGTTGTGTTACACACGCATCAGAGTTAACTTTGCAGTGAGAGCGGCCTTGCTGCGGCCAAAGAACATGGAAAAGCATGAGTGGGGTGATGTGCCTTAAAGCATCAGACACTTGGGCCTCGGGCATCAGGAGCCAGCCACAGGGATGTCTGGGGAAATGGCGTTCCATGAGATGCAAGCACACAAGAATGCACTTGGCACATCTGGGGAACAGCAGGCAGCTGATATCACTGGGCCCACCCCGCACCAGGGAGGATGGAAGCAGGTGAGGAGCTAGACCACACTGAGGCGGTGGTCGGGACTCGGGGTTTGCTCAGTGAGCCGTTCACTATGTGCAGGGGCAGTTCCCCGTCTGAATTTAGGTGACGACACTCAGGTCCAGCCTTGCCAGTCTCAGCCTCCGGTCTCCGTTCCCCCTCTGCAGAGGCCACATTGTCTGCTGCACGTGATCATGAGGGGTTGTGAAGTGCTTGCCCCATCAGTAGCCATGTGTGCATGTGTAAATACCATCCTCTGTGTGCCCTGGAGGCTGTCCTTCAGATAGCATGTACAGGTGGCAGCATAGGGCCTGTCCCTACTGAGAGTGCAGGGAACTCAGCACCGTCAACTCCTCGACCCTGCAGGTCAGATTATCCTTGTAGAGGCCCCCTGGATGGCACCAAGATCGGCCCTGGCAAGTAGGTGACCCTGACTTCAGAGCCCTTGCCTGAGGGCCTGGCCTGGCAGCTCTGCTGTTAGAAGCAGGAGGTGTGCAGGGGGTGGGGAGCAGCCCAGCCTCTGTGATCTTCTCCATGGCAGGATCTCCCAGCAGGTAGAGCAGAGCCGGAGCCAGGTGCAGGCCATTGGAGAGAAGGTCTCCTTGGCCCAGGCCAAGATTGAGAAGATCAAGGGCAGCAAGAAGGCCATCAAGGTAGTCCCCATACCCCTGTGTCCTGAGGCTACTGGGCAGTCCCTCCATTTCCCCGTGCCTCTGAGGCTGCCCAGTCTCTGCCCTGCTGCCCACCTGTACCTTGAGCTTTCTTCTCGCCCAGGCTTCCAACTCCACCCTCTCCTGCCAAGCAATCCTAGCCCTCTGAGCCTCTTGGGGCCCCCTCAGACTTGTCCCTGTGTCCACAGGTGTTCTCCAGTGCCAAGTACCCTGCTCCAGAGCGCCTGCAGGAATATGGCTCCATCTTCACGGGCGCCCAGGACCCTGGCCTGCAGAGACGCCCCCGCCACAGGATCCAGAGCAAGCACCGCCCCCTGGACGAGCGGGCCCTGCAGGTCTGCTGGCCGCGCATATAGCCTGTCACACACCAGGAGGACTGGATACTGGGGAGGAGCCGGGGCCACCATAGGGTTCTGTCCCCCAGAGGAGGCTGACTGGGATGGGATGGCAGCTGATTAGGCCCAGCACCAAATATTCACCATCCGTTGGCCATCCTGGCCCTCCCAGGAGAAGCTGACTTTCCTGTGTGCGTGAGCACCAAGCCGGAGCCCGAGGACGATGCAGAAGAGGGACTTGGGGGTCTTCCCAGCAACATCAGCTCTGTCAGCTCCTTGCTGCTCTTCAACACCACCGAGAACCTGTATGGCCAGAGGGCAGGGCCGAGGGGTGTGGGCGGGAGGCCCGGCCTGGCTTAGTGGGGACCCAGGGCATCAGACACAGGTACAGCACATAGGCCAGGAGCCAGGGGGTGACTGGGGTGGCTCGGCTCGGGAGGCCTGGGACCCCACAGTGCACGCTGTGCCCCTGATGATGTGGGAGAGGAACATGGGCTCAGGACAGCGGGTGTCAGCTTGCCTGACCCCCATGTCGCCTCTGTAGGTAGAAGAAGTATGTCTTCCTGGACCCCCTGGCTGGTGCTGTAACAAAGACCCATGTGATGCTGGGGGCAGAGACAGAGGAGAAGCTGTTTGATGCCCCCTTGTCCATCAGCAAGAGAGAGCAGCTGGAACAGCAGGTGGGAGGGGTGGGACAGAGGTGGAGACAGGTGCAGTGACCCAGGGCCTTGCCAGAGCTCCTCTCCAGTCAAGGCTGTTGGGCCCCTTATTCCACCCATGGGAGGTGCACACAAGGTCTTGTTGGCTGCCCCTGCAGGTCCCTGTCACCTCTCACATGTCCCTGCCTAATCTTGCAGGTCCCAGAGAACTACTTCTATGTGCCAGACCTGGGCCAGGTGCCTGAGATTGATGTTCCATCCTACCTGCCTGACCTGCCCGGCATTACCAACGACCTCATGTACATTGCTGACCTGGGCCCCGGCATTGCCCCCTCTGCCCCTGGCACCATTCCAGAACTGCCCACCTTCCACACTGAGGTAGCCGAGCCTCTCAAGGTAGGTGAGCTGGGTTCTGGGATGGGAGCTGGGCCGGGGACCTCCCTGGTCACACACCTTCTTTCCTAGACACCCCACACTTTGTGTTTCAGACCTACAAGATGGGGTACTAACACCACCCCCACCGCCCCCACCACCACCCCCAGCTCCTGAGGTGCTGGCCAGTGCACCCCCACTCCCACCCTCAACCGCGGCCCCTGTAGGCCAAGGCGCCAGGCAGGACGACAGCAGCAGCAGCGCGTCTCCTTCAGGTGGGAGCAGCTCTTTGAGGCCACCTGATTTCTGGCGTGCTCAGTGCACTCGGGTGGATTTTCTGTGGGTTTGTTAAGTGGTCAGAAATTCTCAATTTTTTGAATAGTTTCCATTTCAAATATCTTGTTCTACTTGGTTCATAAAATAGTGGCTTTCAAACTGTAGAGCTCTGGACTTCTCACTTCTAGGGCAGAGGGAGCCTGAACAAGTGAGGCTCTGGGTTCCCCATTCCTAATTAAACCAATGGAAAGAAGGGGTCTAATAACAAACTACAGCAACACATTTTTCATTTCAGCTTCACTGCTGTATCTCCCAGTGTAACCCTAGCATCCAGAAGTGGCACAAAACCCCTCTGCTGGCTCATGTGTGCAACTGAGACTGTCAGAGCATGGCTAGCTCAGGGGTCCAGCTCTGCAGGGTGGGGGCTAGAGAGGAAGCAGGGAGTATCTGCACACAGGATGCCCGCGCTCAGGTGGTTGCAGAAGTCAGTGCCCAGGCCCCCACACACCGTCTCCAAAGGTCCGGCCTCCCCAGCGCAGGGCTCCTCGTTTGAGGGGAGGTGACTTCCCTCCCAGCAGGCTCTTGGACACAGTAAGCTTCCCCAGCCCTGCCTGAGCAGCCTTTCCTCCTTGCCCTGTTCCCCACCTCCTGGCTCCAGTCCAGGGAGCTCCCAGGGAAGTGGTTGACCCCTCCGGTGGCCGGGCCACTCTGCTAGAGTCCATCCGCCAAGCTGGGGGCATCGGCAAGGCCAAGCTGCGCAGCATGAAGGAGCGAAAGCTGGAGAAGAAGCAGCAGAAGGAGCAGGAGCAAGGTGAGCGGGCCCTGGAGCTTGCAGTCGGAGGGCCTTGGGCAAGATCGCCTCCTCCCCTCCAGCCCTGAGTCCACCGGGTGCTTTCTGCCCACCCCCTGCTCTTGCCAGCTGGCCCCTGCTTCCCCTAGGGCACATGCTGGAAGCCCTGGGCCGCCACCAGAGGGTCCTCAGCCCTCCTGCCTGGGCTATGGCTCCTTCCTGGTTTGGGAGCCATAGTGGAGCTTTCCTCTCTAAGCTCACCCAGCTCAAACTGACAGGAGAATCTTCTTCGACTGCCAAGAGCGGTCCAAGGCAATGGTCAGCCACTGCAGCCTCCTGAGATATTTTTAGAGACTGGACCTGAGGCCTCTGGAGGCTACTGATGATGCCTGCTGTGAACGCAGACACTGGTGTGATGTGATGCCTGCGCCTGCAGCGGCAGTGCCCTGGGCACTATGGTTTTGAGCTTGTACCCAGCGCTGCTTTTGCCTTGCTCTGTGACCCCAGGCAAGCTGCCTCACCTCTCTGGGCCAGTTTCCCCATCGTACAGTGGTGCTGCACACCCTGGCCCTGTCCCCGAGGTGGCTGGGAGGTGGCTCCTCAAACAGCCGCTGTCTCATCAGTGCCCGGTGCTGGGTCAGGGATCGACTGAGGCTCTGAGCTAACTGGGAAACACAGTGGCCTTGGAGGGCTGGGGAGTGTCATGGGGGTGGGGACAGGGAGTCACCGGTCGCATGTGACTGAACTCTTCACCCCAGTCTGTGGCTTTCCCGTTGCAGTGAGAGCCACGAGCCAAGGTGGGCACTTGATGTCGGATCTCTTCAACAAGCTGGTCATGAGGCGCAAGGGTAGGAGGCAGGGCCGCTGCCCGCCCTGGGCCGGCACCTTGTAATTCTGTCCTGCCTTTTTCTTCCTGTATTTAAGTCTCCGGGGGCTGGGGGAACCAGGGTTTCCCACCAATCACCCTCACTCAGCCTTTTCCCTCCAGGCATCTCTGGGAAAGGACCTGGGGCTGGTGAGGGGCCCGGAGGAGCCTTTGCCCGCGTGTCAGACTCCATCCCTCCTCTGCCGCCACCGCAGCAGCCACAGGCAGAGGAGGACGAGGACGACTGGGAATCCTAGGGGGCTCCATGACACCTTCCCCCCCAGACCCAGACTTGGGCCGTTGCTCTGACATGGACACAGCCAGGACAAGCTGCTCAGACCTACTTCCTTGGGAGGGGGTGACGGAACCAGCACTGTGTGGAGACCAGCTTCAAGGAGCGGAAGGCTGGCTTGAGGCCACACAGCTGGGGCGGGGACTTCTGTCTGCCTGTGCTCCATGGGGGGACGGCTCCACCCAGCCTGCGCCACTGTGTTCTTCTCTTAAGAGGCTTCCAGAGAAAACGGCACACCAATCAATAAAGAACTGAGCAGAAACCAACAGTGTGCTTTTAATAAAGGATCTCTAGCTGTGCAGGATGCAAACGTCTCGGGGTCAGTGACTGCCTCCTGCCCCTGTTGGTCCCTAGGCAGTGGGGGCAGAAGCTCCCAGCTGACCTGTTTCTCTGGGATGAGAGGGAGGAGAGAAGGGCAGTCAGCAGGGGCAGCTGTTGCAGATGGGAGGAATAGTCTCCCACAAAAAAGGTTTCAGTGACAGACACGGGGTCTCTAAAAATAGTCATGCTGAGAGCCTAATGGCCCTTGGCACAATTGCTGGTGTTGGGGTAGAAGATGTCTTGGAGTTTGCTCAAGTGGTTGAGAGGGAGGGAGGTGCCATCGACTTGGAGGAACTGGCACCAAGCCAGGGAGATAGAAATCCAGGCAAGGCTGTGGGGCAGGTTAGGGAGCAAGGCTGCAGGAGTGACTCAGGAAGAAGGTGGGGGAGGTGACAAGCCCCCAGGCAGGGGCCCTGTGGCCATGGGGATCTTCTTAAATTGAGACTAGGGGGTGAATAGTCCAGGGCAGCTAACTTTAGTTATTATAGAAAGGGCAGTAGCAGATGGGTCTGCTCTGTCTCGCTTCTAAGAAGGTGGGCAGGACAAATGGCAGCCTCCTGCAGAGGCCCAGTGAGAAGCCTGGCCCTCGGCCACGCAGGATGGAAGACAGATTGGATTCCACAGAGGGGAGCTGCCCTGGGAAGATCTCACGGATGGCCAGGACCCACCATTTCTTCGGGATTCCCCTGTTTTCTCCAACGGGCACTAATGCCTGTGCCTGGGTCCTGGCAACACTCTGGACTCCACACTCTCCTGGGTTTCACCTTTGTAGCAGGATCCCTGCAGACCAGGCCCATGACAAACACCGTCTCCAGCGGGCAGAGCAAAGGAAGGGCACAGCGCCAGGCAGTGCTGCAGCTGCCTGTCAGGAAGAGGCCTACTTCTGGTGAAACTGGGCAGACAAAAGGCAGTGAGAAATGTGATCTCGGGGTGGTGGAGGCTCTAGGGAAAGGAAAAGGCAGGAGTGAACTTCCACACAGCAGCAATGGCAGAACCAAAGGTGGCTTTGACCTCCACGAGGGCTCAGATCCAGGCCAACAGCGTGTCCAGGACAGGGTGCCGGGTGTATCACTGGTCCAGGAGCACTATGCTGGCAGAATCCCTTTGGTGCCTGATGGCCCTGCCTTCGTGGGAACAGAGGCTAAGGCTTTGAGTTACAGCTGCCTCCCCAACAGTGCATCCCCTTCTCCTTCCTCAGCCTCAGGTAGGAGACAGGGCAGGCAACCTCACTTTCCTCTTCTCCCCTTCTCCAGCCCCTGTCTGTCGACCCAGTTGGAGGCAGCCAGGCTTGCCTATGGACTGGTTGACAGCCTTCATGCACAGGTTCTCCACCAGAGCCTTTCTTGGGGGCCCCTGGCCTGGGCTCTGAGCTGGGAGTGAAGGGGATGACCCATGCAGACTGTTTGCTGCTTGTAGCTTTCCCTGGGAAAGACTCTGCCAGGCCTTGGAGCCAGACTAGGAGGCTTTATAGGCCACCGCAAGCAGCAGGGCTCCAGATGACATCACAGGGAAGATCAAGAGGGTGTGGAGGGGCATCGAAGCCTCTCCAGGAGACAGGAGACGCCGGCCCCGTAGAGCCCTAGGGGCGACGCCACTCCCACTCACTGTCTACTCTCCTCTCACCTCTGCAACACTGGGGACACTCACAAGAGTGTGATCCAAGTCGGCCGTCGTCTTCTGCAGCTCTGGAGACCTGATGCTGGGGAAGGGCATGCCTGGCATCACCACACACCTGGGGGGAGACAGGAGCCTGGGGCCGGTGGGCCCACACATCACCAGCTGCTCCGTTCTACCATTTCTTCAGCCCTCTTGGCTGTGCCTGCGGCTCTGCCCCTCCCGTCTCTGCACCTACCACCCAGAGAGGGCTTGTTGAGCTCAGAGATCCCACCTAGGCCAATCCACTGGGTTCTGTGGCAGCGATGGCCTGCCTGATCTTCCACCTGCTCTCCCAGGGCCAAAGCCAGACCTGCTGAGCCCCTCCCTCCAGCCGGCTGGTCTGAGCAGTCACAGCCCGGCTTTGGGCTCCGATGGCAGCAGACGGCAGGTAGGGGTCCAGCTGCTGGAGCGAGGGCCGGCCACGTATCACAGCCAAGGAGATGAGCACAAGCACTACTTACTGGCCTAGGTTGTGAGAGAAGTTGATGCTCTCACTCATCTTTCCTCCAATCTTTCCCCTATGCCTGGTTGTGGTATTAAGTTACATGCAGACAACAGGGGCCAGAAGATGAACAATGGCCCATCCCACTCTAGGCATGGCTCCTCTCCACAGGAAAACTCCACTCCAGTGCTCAGCTTGCACCCTGGCACAGGCCAGCAGTTGCTGGAAGTCAGACACCTGCAGATGAAGACCACAGCATCAAGACCCTGTGACCTCTCAAAGGCCCGGTGGAAAGGACACGGGAAGTCTGGGCTAAGAGACAGCAAATACACATGAACAGAAAGAAGAGGTCAAAGAAAAGGCTGACGGCAAGTTAACGAAAAGAAAAATGGTGAATGATACCCGGTGCTGGCAATCTCGTTTAAACTACATGCAGGAACAGCAAAGGAAATCCGGCAAATTTGCGCAGTCATTCTCAACACCGGCCATGCAGCAAAATCATCAGTGGAAATTTAAAAAAATACACATGGCCAGGCCCCAGCCCAAATCACTAATAAGAATCTCCAGGGCTTCACCTGTTAGACTGGCAAAAATCCAAAAGTAAACACTTTGTGGAGAAACAGGCATTCCTAGACATTGCTGGTGGGATACAGAACAGTACAATTCTGATGGTAATCAGTTCACAAATTAAACATATTTATTTTTTACTTTTAAACCCAGGAATCCCATATTTAGGAGTCTACTGAGACCAAACAGCATATGCTCCGGGTGTTTCCCTATAATCCGCCAGTACTGTTGGAGCAAGAGGGCCCGGCAGTGTCCCCAGCTGCCAGCAGGTGGGCGTGCTGCCACTACACCTTGAGCAAGAGGACCCTGCAATGTCCCTAGCTGCCAGCAGGCGGCGTGCCACCACTATACAGTAAGCAAGAGGGCCCTGCAGTGCCCCGGCGCCAGCAGGGGGCGCTGGCCACCACTCTAAGCAAGAGAGCCCTGCAGTTGCCCTAGTCGCCAGCAGGGGGCGCCCTGGCACAGCACCGTGAGCAAGCGGGTCCTGTAGTGCCCGGCTGCAAGCAAGGGGCGGTCGATCCCGGCTTTTCGGATTACTGAGGTTCTACCCGTCTCTGCGCCGCGCCACCGTGACGTGAGTTTCTGCGCGTGCACGGCGCCACCCTCCCCCCGCCCCAGCCCGGCGCCGTGCGACTTTGCTCCTGCAACACACGCCCCCCCAACCCCCGCCCGTAGGCTTGCGTCTCTGCGCCTGCGCCACGCCTCCACCCCTGGACGCGCTAGCATGTGTCTCTGCGCCTGCGCCGGCGCGGTGCGCCTCTCTGCGCCTGCGCCACGCCTCCACCCCTGGACGCGGTAGCATGTGTCTCTGCGCCTGCGCCGGCGCGGCGCGCCTCTCTGCGCCTGCGCCACGCCTCCACCCCGGACGCGCTAGCATGTGTCTGCGCCTGCGCCGGCGCGGCGCGCCTCTCTGCGCCTGCGCCGGCGCGGCGCGCCTCTCTGCGCCTGCGCCGGCGCGGCGCGCCTTTGCGACGGCGGAGTTCCGTTCTCCTCAGCACAGACCCGGAGAGCACCGCGAGGGCGGAGCTGCGTTGTCCTCTGCACAGATTTCGGTGGTACTGCGAAGGCGGAGCAGAATTCTCCTCAGGTCAGACCCGGGCGGGCGGGCTGAGGGTACCGCGAGGGCGGAGCTGCGTTCTGCTCAGCACAGACCTGGGGGTCACCGTAAAGGTGGAGCAGCATTCCCCTAAGCACAGACGTTGGGGCCACTGCGTGGCTTTGGGACAACTCGGGGCGCATCAACGGTGAATAAAATCTTTCCCGGTTGCAGCCGTGAATAATCAAGGTCAGAGACCAGTTAGAGCGGTTCAGTGCGGAAAACGGGAAAGCAAAAGCCCCTCTGAATCCTGGGCAGCGAGATTCTCCCAAGCTAAGGCGAGGGGCTGCATTAAAGGGTCCAGTTGCAGCATCGGAACGCAAATGCAGCAGTCCTAATGCACACATGATACCCAAAATATAACACCCACGTTGCTCATGTGGTTAGGGTTAGGGTCAGGGTCGGGGTCGGGGTCGGGGTCAGGGTCACGGTTAGGGGTTAAGGGTTAAGGGTTAGGGGTTAAGGGTTGGGGGTTAAGGGTTAGGGTAGGGTTAGGGTTAGGGTTACGGGTTAGGGTTAGGGTTAGGGTTAGGGTTAGGGTTAGGGTTGTTAGGGTTAGGGTTAGGGTTAGGGTTGTTAGGGTTAGGGTTAGGGTTAGGGTTAGGGTTAGGGGTTAGGGGTTAGGGTTAGGGGTTAGGGGTTAGGGGTTAGGGTTGGGGTTAGGGTTAGGGTTAGGGTTAGGGTTAGGGTTAGGGTTAGGGTTAGGGTAGGGTTAGGGTTAGGGTTAGGGTTAGGGTTAGGGTTAGGGTTAGGGTTAGGGTTAGGGTTAGGGTTAGGGTTTAGGGTTAGGGTTAGGGTTAGGGTTA